>NC_000018.10:44546429-45758170 GCF_000001405.40 Homo sapiens | reverse complement strand
GCCAGTGAGCCAGGCAGAACAGAGCCATATTTCTCTTCTTTCAAAAGCAAATGGGAGAAATATCGCTGAATTCTTTTTCTCAGCATGGAACGTCCCTGAGAAAGAGAATGCGCACCTAGGGGTAGGTCTCTGAACTGGCCCTCCTGGGGCGTACCTGTCTCTTATGGTCGAGATTGCAGAGGTGAGATAGACTCCAGTCTCCCATAGCGCTCCCAGGCTTATTAGGAAGACGAAATTCCCGCCTAATAAATTTTGGTCAGACCGGTTGATCTCAAAACCCTGTCTCCTGATGAGATGTTATCAATGACAATGGTGCCCGAAACTCCATTAGCAATTTTAATTTCACCTCGGTCCTGTGGTCCTTTGATCTCGCCCTGCCTCCACTTGCCTTGTGATATTCTATTACCCTGTTAGGTACTTGATGTCTGTCACCCACACCTATTCGCACACTCCCTCCCCTTTTGAAAATCCCTAATAAAAACTTGCTTGGTTTTGTGGCTTGTGGGGCATCATGGATCCTACCAACGTGTGATGTCTCCCCCGGACGCCCAGAAATTAAAATTTCTCTCTTTTGTACTCTGTCCCTTTATTTCTCAAGCCAGCCGACACTTAGGAAAATAGAAAAGAACCTACGTGATTTTCGGGGCAGGTCCCCCGAAACTTTAGAAATTCAGATTCAGGAGGTCTGAGAAGAGATGGGAATAACTGAAGTTTTTCAAAGGCCCTTAGGCATAATTCTGATAAATTCCCCTGGTTGTGAAACATTGTAGCGCATTCATAACAGCTGCCTGGAAATAGAACTTGCAAAAAGGAGCCCACGAAAGAAATCCATCTCCCAAATGTGCTTTGTTTGGTTAGCATAGTGTTAAAAAAACTGAATGCGAATACTTTTAGGCGAGAGCATGCAATCTTCAATTGGCTACAGTCCCCACTATTCCCTATTGCCTTATGTCCAGGTACTTCACTTTTTTCATAGCTTATGACTGATGAGCACTTGTACATTCAGGTTAGAGTTATCCTGCACATGGACACGTGGAGAGGCAGCCTGTTTGTCCCAGTAGTGCTGTCTGAGGGCCAAGTGTTTCTGAGGCTGTTCTTTAGGTACTGCCTTCAGAATAACTTAATATCACATGCAGGAAAACCAGTCTCCTCACTCTGTAGCCATGTTATGATTATTTTAAGAAATGACATCCTCAGGGTGCACAGCATTTAGCCCTCCTGGAAAAGTACACAGTTTTACCTTAAATTGACATTAGGAATCTTTGAACTGATGAATTTGATATAGAGACCCCAGAATCAGTAAGCTCTGTCTCCACAACGTGACAGAAGAAAGGCTTCATTTCCATGCATTATTTCTGAGGGAGGAATGAATGAATTCTCCAGAAGTTTGAGTTCCAACAGCTCAGTGCCATCTAAGTTGCTATGGAGACTTTGTAAACCACTAAGAATCCTGGGCTGGGGAACTGTCTAGCCCAGTGCTGTTGAATAGGGATACAATGTGAGCCACAAATGCAAGTTATTTGTATAATTTTGGATTTTCAAAAGTGGCCATCTTAAAAATGTATTTAAAAAGGTGAAATTAATTTTAACAATATATTTTATTGTCATTTCAAAATTTAATATAGACAATTATTGAGATATTTTTTCCTTTTTTGTTATAAGTGTTGGGAACCCAGTGTGCAATTTACATGTAGAACACATCTCAATTTGGACCAGCTGCACTGCAAGTGCTGCACCATGGATAGTGGCTACTGTATTCAATAGTACAGATCTACCCTCTCATTGAGAGGCCAGCATTAGGGGGGATCTCAGAATGTGGAAAGACCTTCTTGTTGGGTTGGCCAGTTCCATGGCCTGCCTGTGTGTGCTCTTGTTGCCCCCAAATGCACTTGCACTTGGACCATTGACTCATGTCCTAGCTGCCATTGTTTTCTTTGGACTGAGGGACTTAATTTTAGCCAGGTTTCCTGGCACTGTGCCAACTTTTCTCTGCGTTTCAGTTCTTCCCCCTCTAGTCCTTGCCTGTCATTGTAATATAATTCAAAGCTTTGATGGGCTAGGATCCAATGGACCCAACCCAAACAGGAAACTGGCTTCCTCATTGTTTATTTGAAACCTATTTTAAACCATGAACCAGAAAATGTTGGACACTTGTTTTCAGACTTCATTGAGCTGTAACTGAATTGAACCTCAACTATTTCCGGTGGGGCTTCCGACATGGAATGATTTATAAGCCGTAACTGTTAGATCAAGAGAACTAATTAGAACATGAATTGACCCTAAGTTTTCGTTACCTGAGCATGATCACGTCTCATCCTTTGCTTAGAATCTTGTTAGTTAGAGGTTATACAACCTTGTATGAGTCTGGGGTATCCCAAAATACTCTGGGAATATTCCAGCAAGTATTCCACAAAGAATCTCTTGTGTAAAAGGTCTTGGTCTAGATTTCTGTTCCAAACCCCTTTGTGAATCTCACAATAGACAGTCTAACCTATCACTATGTCTCTCTCTTGTGTGGGCACATAGGAACTACATGCTATATGGTGGTACTATATACCACTGTAGCAGCCATGTTGGCTGCCTGTCCAATTGCCATTCCTCTTGCTTTTGCTCCAATATGGCAGAGTTCACCTGTTACAAGAGAAGCTACATACCAGATGCCTACTTTCTCAGATTTTTTAGGCAGCCATGAATGGCCATACAACCCAGTTCTGCCAAAAAGACACAAGTGAAATTATTTTAGAGGAGCTTCTAAGAAAGACTTCCCTCCCTGATAAAGAAGAGAAACATGAGAGAATGGCCCTCTTGCAACTCTATTTGCCCCCCTTCTTCTTGATGTGGTTGTGATGTTTGTAACCAGGGCAGCCATGTTGTAACAATGAGGCTACAAGCTCTAGGATGAAAGTGGAGCCTTCTGAGGATGCTGAGAATGATGAGGAAGATGGAAAGAAATTGCACCCCTTGGTGACATCATTGAGCACAAAATCTGGAACTTCCTACTTTTAGGAATGAAATTCCTGTTGTTTTAACCACTTTCTGTCAGGTATTTTGTTACTTGCAGGCAAAGGCATCCTAACTGTTATGGATGCCTGGTACTTAATGATATATTACTGTCTTCGTTTTTTAGAAGAAAGAGGTCACTGGCATACTCTTCCCTCAAACTTGTTAACTGGTTGTCTCTTACTCATTATCATCACTGCACTATATTATATTACTCCTTTACTTGTCAGTTCACCTCATAAAGTTTTTGTGAGGGAAGAGACTATGGCCGTCTGGTTCACTATTGTAGTCACAGTTCCTGTTATGTAGTAAACAGTCATTCAATAAATGGATGAATGGGGGCTATCAAGGAGGTGGAACCCTCAGCCCTTGGCTAACTATTTCCTGGAGGTGAGAGAATGAGGTCAAGGATGGCATCCTGTTTCTGGCTTTCCCATTCGGGTGGAAGGTGCTACCTTTCTCCATGAGTCAACATGGGAGGGAGAGAAGAATAGTTGAAGAAGATGAGTTTTGTCCTGGATATGTTGAGTTTGAGGAAGTGCTTTTGGAACAGTCCCTGTAGGGAGTTGAAGATAAGCTCTGGATTGAAGCATGAGAAGGATGGGATTGGCGAGGAAGAGTGTGCAGCATGAGAGGAGAAGTGATCCTTCAGTGCTCCATCGATGGTGTGGCACCACCATTCACCTTGTAGCCCAAGCTACAAATCAGGAAGCCATCCTTGACACCTCCCCCTCCCTCACCCTGCAAATCAACTCATCACAGAGTTCTGGTGATTCTGCCTCCTGTCTCTCATATCCATGAACGTCTCTCCATCACCACTGAAGTCCAAGCCACCATCACTTCTCTCCTGCACTACTGCAATGGCCTCCCAGTTGGCTTGCTGAATTCACTCCAGCACCCTTTCATTCACCATAATCCAGCCACAGCAATCTTCTCACTCCTTGAAAGCACCAATCTCCTTGTTTCAAGGCCTTTATCCACAAGTTTCCCTTTGCCAAGGGTACTGTTCCCTCCACACTCCACCTTCCTCCACCTCCTGCCTATTCCTTAGATCTCTGCCTAAACCTCCCTTCCTCAGTGTGGACACATGTGTTTTTACCCTGTAAGACAAGTCTACATAGGAAGCCAAATAGCTTGTGAGTACAGGATTGGACAAGGAGCATTAGTTGCTTGGTCTATATAGTTCAGTTTACTAAACCATAATACCCCAGTGCCATTTCCGCCACAGAGCTCACCCTTGACACCTGTCCCACCCCAAGTTCCAATATTGAAGACCCCCTTCCTAGGTTTTCCTCTTCCTGAGCCTCAGTGGTTGACTTGCTACCCCATCAGGTGGACCTAAGCTTGCTTTAGATATGTTCACACCTACCAGGTTAATATTAAATAAGATTAGGTCAGTCCTGGGAGCAATTTTCTCTTTTAGGTGACTTTGCACATGTCTGATCTGATTTACTGCATCTACTTTATAGTTTAAGAGCTGTGAAAGCAGCTATACTTATATTTCATTCTTTAAAAGTCTATTATTTACTATATTCATTTATTAAGCCTTAAATTCCTTCAGGATCTGCATTGCTGATTGCTTTAGCCAGTGGCACTCTACAGCCTTGAAGCTATAAGCCCTCCTAATGGTCTGGGAGTTGTCAATGCAGATTAAAGAAGAAGATGAAACTAAAGAGTGAAGCCTTTTGGAAGGAACTAGTTACATAAGGAGAAAGGCTGAAAACAGTCCTGTGCCTGAAATCTTATCTTATGTTTACTAACCACAAAAATATTCTTGCAAAATTGTTAATAAGAAGCCTCCTTAGAAATTCCTGGTTTCTTGTAAAACTTAGCTTTGATCTTGACATATTCCGTGCTAATCCTGTATCATGGGTAACAGGCAAGTTGGCCCCTTTAGCTCCTAAAGGTATAGAGTGTCCTTAGCATAAGAGCCTCACAACCTGTCGTTTCTACCCCAGATAAAAGAAGACATAGAATGCCCAGATCCCTCTGGAGAATTTATTTGAATTTACCTTGAAACCATAGGTAGGAGAAGTTTTGTTATGACAGAGGGCACTTCAATAGGGAGACCCCACTATGGCTTCTTTAGTTTCCTTTTAGGGCTGCTTTGAAACTTATCATTCAAACTTGTTGAAGTAAATTTCTCATCTTACCATATTTTCTTTCAAATCTGCCAACTGTGGTGAAAGGGTGTGGAAGAGAAGTGCTTCTGTGGAAGAGACAAGCATGGCTGTGGCTTCAGCCTCAGGGGATAACATTCTGACAAGTGGCTGGTCCTAGAGAGCTGACCCCTGAGGCATGCTGTGGCCCAGGGTCAGCCCTGATGGTGGTGCCCAGGGCCTGTCTGGGAATGCATAGAAGTGGCTCTTGGGATATTGATCTCAAAGTGTTAGGAGCATGTCCTGAACAACTGTCCTCAGTTATTCATTCTCATCCAGGAGTTGAAAGAATAATGGATAGTTGAGAGGATACCCAAGGGGATGGGCCTGCCAATCTGAAATTGAAAAGGGTTTACTCAACTATACATCTGGTGCTATTACCAAGTGTAAGAAAGGAATAAGGATTCTAGCACGTGCAACATAAGCGATACCTACTTATGCCTGTGATTGTTCATATACATGATGGCTATAAATGGCACATTATACAAAACTGAGCTGTGAGCATAATTTATTCATGTACTTGCATAGAAATTTGTTATACAGACATTAGGAAAAAGTATAAGTGCTCCCTGCAAATATTCAATTTTAGGAAAATAGTAACAAAAATAGCTTGAGAAAATTAATATCATTTAAATTCGACAATGTACAATGTTCCCATTTACAGATTTGTGTGAGCACAAGAAGCTCCTGCATGGTAGATCCCTGTTCTGAAGATCGACTCGGGTCCATTTTAGAGGCCTCTGGTTCTCTCAGCCACAGCCTAGATTCTTCACTGCTGATGATCTTTGGTTATGCTTGCTTTTTTTTCCCCACAATTCTTCTTTCACACGTTCCCTAACAAGAAAGGGTTCAGTTCAAACACTGAAAATTGAGCTTCTCCACAGCAATATCCATAAACCTATGACAGTTGCAAATTCATAGTTCCAAAGGCTTTGGTCACTGGGTTTTAAAATTGGAACGATATGTTTGCTTGCTTGGTTTCCTGAGAAAAGGAAGAAGTGAGCTTCTCCCTAAAATATTTGTAGGTTTACTTCCCTATTTCTGTTTATTCATTCAGCAAAATGTATATTGTGCACTGAGCACTGCAAACTAGAAGTGGAAAAAATCTTCAGGATTCCTACGTTTCACTTTCCAACCTCCAAAATACTACACGATACACACTGAAGTGGAAAGTAAATGAACATGACTTCCTTTTTAAATTAATTAATTAATTAATTAATTAATTTTTTTGAGATAGGGTCTTGCTCGGTCACACAGGCTGGAGTGCAGTGACATGATCATATAGCTCACTGCAGCCTCGAACTTCTGTGCACAAGCGATCTTTCCACCTCAGCCTCCTGAGTAGCTGCTGCAGATGTGTGCTGCTACACCTGGCTAATGTTACTATTTTTATTTTTTAAGAGATGGAGTCTTGCTATGTTGCCCAAGCTGGTCTTGAACTCCTGGGCTCAAGAGATCCTTTTACCTCCATCTCCCAAAGTGCTGGGATTACAGGTGTGAGCCAGTCCCTGAACGTGACTTCTGTTGCTGTCTTCAGTATGTTTGGTTACAGAGACTTTACGGAACTGATAACTTTAAAATTAAAGAGAGGAAAACAGGGGAATCCTTACCTGTTTTGTTTTGTTTTGTTTTGTTTTGTTTTTGTTTTTGTTTGTTTTTTTTTTTTTTTGAGAGACACAGTTTCACTCTTGTCGCCCAGGTTGGAGTGCAGTGGTGCAATCTTAGCTCACTGCAGCCTCCTCCTCCTGGGCTCAAGTCATTTTCCCACCTCAGCCTCCCAAGTAGCTGGAACTACAGGCACCCACCACCATGCCTGGCTAATTTTTGTATTTTTTGTAGATACAGGGTTTCACCATGCTGCCCAGGCTGGTCTTGAACTCCTGGGTTCAAGCAATCTGCCCGCCTGGGCTCCCCAAAGTGCTGGGATTACAGGCGTGAGCCACCGCACTCAGCCCTTTATTTCTTTTTGGTGGTTCAAATGCCATTGATTTCTGAGAGAGAATATTGTGAGTGTGCAAAAAATAATGAGCTTTTTTAAATTAAGGAATTCAACAACTTATAAAAATAACACCCGTAAGCAATCTGACCTTTGCCTTCAGTCTTTATAAGACATCCTCAAATGAATAAAAAATATGATTTTAAAGAGCCCTTTGGAGGTTGGTAACAATTCTATGCATTTGTGGCATTTACAAAATCAATTTAGGGGTTAAAGTAAAAATGCCTAAGCTGAGTATTTCATAAATACAGTAAGTAACTTTTCTTTAATATGTAAGAACAGGTTAAGCCAGGAACTTCTCCTATTTTATCTCATTTAAAACAGATCATTTTTCATAAGGAAAAATAATCTCTACCTAAAAAATCCTTTGCAATCTCTGAGAAAAGTTGCAATACAGAATAATTTTGATTGACAAAATTCCTTTCTCCCTCTTGCAGTCCTGTCAGTCTGAAAAACCCCAACATTGTCCCATGAGAGAATGTCACACACACAAGGGATAGGGTGCAGGCCATTGTTTGCAGGAAGTGGGGACTGAGCTCTGCTGTCAGCTTGCACCTCTGTGATACAGATTCTGGCTATAATGTGTAACTTGCATTGATTTAAAAAAAAAGCCAAGCTGCTTATCACAGAATTCTGGATTAACTTCGATTTTGTGACTGTGAATTCCATAAGGCTTAGTTGGTTTATGGGGTTTAATTTTTAATACTGTTAACATCATCGAGCCAGCTAAACACCAAGAATATCAATAAATACTAATAGTTTGTTTTCACTTCCTCCTTCTGTTGGAGCACTTTGACTTTATATACATTCCAGTCTTAGTGCCAAGGCCCCATTGGGGTTTCAAATTCCATACCAGAGCACATCACCTGGATGTGACTCTCATATGCTCAAGGATATTCCTGGAGTTGAAAGGAAAATACAAAATGAGCATAAGAACAGATTACAGACGCGTCAGTATGAAAGTTGATACTCGTGAAAAACAGCAGTTTGCTGAGACCCTGGAAGTTAGCTGGAGCAGTCAGGCAGAAATGACTCGTGACCATGGCTGCAAATGGGGCTTGTTCTCACAAAGGGCTTTCCACCATTCTTTTCTTGGCTTGCAGGTAGAAGATGCGGTTTTCTTCAGGATAAGTAACTTTACTGAGGGGCATCTTGTAGATGTTGGAATTTTTTGTGGTCATGATGAGGAACAATAGCGTGGCCAAACAGAAGGGCCAGGTACAAGCTGGCAATCCAACCTGGGGAAGAAGAGAAAGCCACACGCTCCTTTCAGATCCCATCTGACAGCTGAGCTGCACAAGGCATCCCCCTCTACTTGCATTCAGCCCAGGGGGATGAACCACTGGGGGCATTGCTCTGGATTCTGTGCATGCTCGTGGAGACTGAATTTACAATCTCAGGGCATTGAGTTGTTGGAATGTTGACATCCATTCTTTAGGGCAGCCACTTATGTCTCTATCTTGTATGTCTTTCTCTCCCTCTCATATATTCAGACTTCCTGCACCAGATGTGCCAAGAGAACATTTGACAGAGATGACACTTGCAAACTGCAAATGGCCCCTGACCAGTCTTCATGTCCACAAGGCCTTCTCTGATTAGTCCAGCCCACAGTGACCTCTCTGACCTTGACTTCTGCCTGGTCTAGATCTTAGACTTGACTTGCTTTGTTTCTTTCCATTCTGTCTCCCAAATAGACTCTAAGTTCCTTGAGGGTAGGTCCTCTTTGTGCTGCTCATGGAAACTCACACAATTCTGAGCATACACCATTGGTTAGCTCTGACCTGATGCATGGACCTCCCTGGGGTGTGATGGAGTGTAGGGGTACCCTAATCTGACTGCACATCAGAATCATCTGGGGGAGTTAAAAAAAAACACAGATGTTCAAGCATCATACAAGACCTACTCTATCAGAAATACCAAAGGACAGGGCCTAAGGCTCCATATTTTTCTGTCTTCCTAGCTGACTCTGGTGTGCAGCTTGCCCATTTGGGTCCTGGGACTGATGCCTGTGAATCTTCTTTGTTGACATGTGAAGGGCCCCATGTGCTCTGATGTACTCTCCATCATGCATGTGTGTAATGGGACTTTGGCTTTCCACCAGAAAGACACTGTGTCTCCTTAAGGACCCTCCCAGATAAAATCTCCATGCTGCTGCCAAAAGGGCTAGATACTGCCTTGACTCCTTAGCAGCCATGACCACATCAACATGGACTAAGCTATCAGAAACCGGCCCTGCATCACCTGCAATGGAATATCTGGCTTTCTGTTTAAGTAAAAGATATCCTAAAGTCTACTTCTTATCACTTAGAGTTAGACTCTGAACTTGATAATATGTTATACAACCTACGTTTCATTTTTTTTTAAACCAAGCAATCTGATACTTGTAACAACTGGGTGATTGTGGTTTGGACTAAAGTTTGCTGTGATGCTGAAAGAAAGGCCAGGGAGCTCCAGGAGAAGGGAGAGCAGTGCTTCTCATGGTCATGGATCCTGCCACTGGATGCCAGCCCAGTGGACTTCAGGAGCATTTCCCATATAGTTGTAAGCTGGTCAATTACGCTAATGAAAAGTGAGACTAAAGCAAACTCACCTCAGCCATAAAGTTTGCCATGCCGACTCCAAGATAGGCCGTGAACAGGGCTACAGAAAAAAAAAGGAGGGAAAGAACAATGCTTCGTAGATGCACTTTTAATCACAGGAAAGGCTGCCTTCCAATATAAATCACCTGGAATGCACAGTGCCCTGATTACAAGCATGAGCCTAAAGTCAGCAGTCCTGGGTTCAAATCCTGGCTCCATCACTTAGGAGCTCCATGGGCTCTGTTTTAAGCCTCCATTTCCTCACCTGTACAATGGAAGTAAGAGGAATATATTTTTCATGGTGTTGGTGTGAGGATGAAAGGAAATAATGCATGTGTTTAGCACACAGTAAGTGCTCAATAAAGGTAGTTTTTTTATGGTTACTATTTTGTTGTTATTGCTAATACTTAAGGGAAAGGCCTTCCATGGCAAATAAATTTCTCTGATGTTTTATCCAAGCATAGCTGAATTAAAATGAAACCTATGAATGTTTCTTGAGATAGCATCTAGGATTCTCATATTAATGAATTGAATTCACAGCTACAAAAAATCATAGTGCTTGCTTTGGCAGCCTGTGTACTAAAAACCAAAACAAAACCATGTTTACAAAATAAGAAGGAAAGAACTCAGAGAACAGCAGGAACTGAACACAAACTTGAGATTCCTCCCCTTGATAACATCTTCTCCAATACCATTAAAATCAATGAATAAACGTCTTTTTTTTTATTTTTTATTTTTTTTGGAGATGGAGTCTCACTCAGTCGCCCAGGCTGGAGGGCACTGGCGTGATCTCTGCTCACTGCAAGCTCCGCCTCCTGGGTTCACGCCATTCTCCTGCCTCAGCCTCCCGAGTAGCTGGGACTACAGGTGCCCACCACTACGCCCAGCTAATTTTTTTTTTTTTGTATTGTTAGTAGAGACGGGGTTTCACCATGTTAACCAGGATGGTCTCAATCTCCTGACCTTGTCATCTGCCCGTCTCGGCCTCCCAAAGTGCTGGGATTACAGGCATGAGCCACCGCGCCCAGCCAACGTCTTATGTTTTTATTTGCTTTGAGTGGCCAAAAAATTGTAGAATCAGTAATTCGAGTATATGGGTGACTTTCAGTGTAAAACAACAAAAGCAAAGATCTCAACCAGCTAATTATCTATTCCTCAGTTTTGGTTGAAGAGAAGGCTCACAGAGGCTCAGGGAAGCCCTCAGGTTTCATGGGGACAGCCTGAAGAATGACCTTCATATAATGGCCACACAGCCACTTGGGCCACCGGAGCTCACCGTGAGACACACTCACCATCTCGTCTTCATGTCTGGTACGTCAGCTATCTTGGTGTGTGGGGATGTGGCAGACATGGTGGGAGAGGCTCTGTGATCCTCATTTACTTTACCATAGACTTCTGTCCTTTTACCAATATTTTGTCTTTTTATCCTGGTGTTTCTTATTCAATAGTATATCAAATTCTTTCACGTATGAATTGTCTCACACTAGTGGGAAAGGCTGGTCTTTGGAAACAGTACTGGTTTCAAATCCCAGCTCTGCCATTTTATTTGTTGTATAACAAATCACTGTCTTGGAATCTAGTTTCATCATCTGTAAAAAGGCACCTTGAAGATCTGCCTTACTGGGAGGTGAAGAATCTCAAATGAGAGCTTGTATTTCCATAAACACAGCTGTAAATGCATCTCTTTCACCATGGGACTGAGCTACTGCTCTGAGCAGAAGGGTGCTCATGGCTTGGCTTAGAAGGGTTTCTCTCCTTGGTTACACCAATTTCATTCATTGTTGAAATTTAATCAATTAATTTAACAACTATTCATTGGCCCTCTGCCAAGCACTGGGGCCCTCTGTCCCTGATCTCTTGAGTGCCCCCTCTACCACAACACCACCCCTGAGCACATGAGGCCTTGTTGCTTTCTCTCTTTTTAAAATATCCATTACACTTCTAAGGCTCACTTTTGGCACGTTTACGTCTCATACTGTTATGCTGCTGTGAAGTGATCTCCAATTCAAAGTTGCTTTTCTCTCCATAGTACAAGTGATAGATTATTTAATGGTAGGTATGTCAATTAAGACTCGCCAAGTAGGACCGGGAAAGCCTTACAGTAGAGGCGCAATTCTGCACAGCATCATCAGTTTGTAGGCAATGACCCTGACAGCATTCTTGGTAGCTGAGGGAAGAAAAGGCCCTTGAGTACTGAAGGGGAAACTGGATTTCAGCTCCTCCTGGATAGTGTCCCTTCCAATGGACTGCCACAGGTGAGTCCCACTGCGATAACCCAACCATTGGGAAGAGATACACAATATGTTTACACTCTCCACTGGTAAAACAACAACATTGAGATGTTCTCTGGCCACGCAGTTGCTCTGGCTTAGAGGCCAGAAAGACAGCAGTGCCAGGTTCTGTCAGAGTTTCCTGAGTCCACTTCCTGATAAAGCCACTGGGGACTGATAAAAAAACAGCTCTGTAATAAATGTCTGTCACTTATTTATGTTGGCTAAGAGGGTTGGTCTTTTGTTTGGCAGTATCAGGGTGATGTGGACAAGCTGAAACTTGCTGTGGCATTTTACATGTGAGATTTGCTTTCCAAGGGGGGCTGGAGATCTGTCTCAAAAATCCATGCACAGAGATTTAAAAGTCTGATTGTACCTTGTGGGGGCCCAGTGGGCACTCTCACACACTGCTGGCAGCAGTGGAAACTGGTATGGCTCTTTTGGAGATGAAGTTGGCATCCACTGAAATCAAAATTGGCATTCCCTTTAACCCATCAATTTAGCTTCTTGAAAAGAAGGTGAATCTTCTTTCTTACAGAAATGCTTGTACAAAGTACACAAGGACATTTGTACCAAAAATATTCATTTCAGGACTCTTTGTAATGATTTCAAACTAGAAGCAATCTGAACTTCCCCCAGCAAAAGGGCACTTATCATATAAAATGTCTACACAGTCACCATCTCCACAGCCTTGAGCAATGGAGGTTCTACACCCTGTGGCAGGGGACCCCTTTTTCCTTAGATGCACCAGGAAAAATGCAGCTCCAACCTGGGCTTCCATCTCTGCCCAGAGACTCACCCAAACAGCTGGTATCCCGAGGGAAACGTGAGCTCCCAGGACAAGGAAAGGGGACATCCCAGGAGAGCAAATACCATAAAAGAAGGACAACAAACTGAACAACCTACAGTCGATAATTTTTTCTTTGAGACAGAGTCTCTCTCTGTCACCCAGGCTGGAGTGCAGTGGCATGATCTCAGCTCACTGCAGCTCTGCCTTCCGAGTTCAAGTGGTTCTCCTGCCTCAGCCTCCTGAGTAGCTGGGACTATAGGCGCGTGCTACCACGCCCAGCTAATTTTTGTATTTTTAGTAGAGATGGGGTTTCACCGTGTTAGCCAGGATGGTCTCAATCTCTTGACCTTGTGATCCACCCGCCTTGGCCTCCCAAAGTGCTGGGTTTACAGGTGTGAGTCACTGCACCCAGCCAGTAAAATTTAATTAATGAACCAGAAATGGAGAACTCAACAGATAATGTGATCGGTGCAATGGACAGAGCCAAAGAATGATCGGGCCAATCAGCTGAACTGAAGGGCCTCAGGAAAAGATAGATGGAAAATATTAAGAAAAAGTCAAGAGTTATGAAAAACTTAGCATAAAGTATTGTACTCAAATACTAGAAATCACAGAAGGAGAGGGGAAAAATTGAAAAGATTTGACAAAGTAAAAACTGATGATGTTTCCAGAATTAAAGGAAGATATGAGGGCTCATGTTGAGAGGACTTGAGTACCTACTAGCATAGAAAAAAAAGTTACATCTAGACAGATAATAGTGAAATAAAACCATATATATATCTCATATGCAAAGAGAAAATTCAGAGAGTCCAGAGAGAAAAATAAAATCAATTTTAACAAGAATTAGTTTCTTTTCAGACATCTTAATAGCAATTTTGGGTATAAGAAGACAATGGAGTAGTCTTTGAGGACAACTTTCAAAATATTGAGAAAAAAATGTTAAATCTTGAGTTTGGTAGCTAGCTAAACTAAAATTTAAATGAAGGTAAAATGAAGATATTCTCCAGCATACAAGGTCTCTTTGCAAACCCTCTTTGAAGAAAACAAAACTCTCTTTGCAAACCCTCTTTGAAAAAGTAATCCACCAGTAATCCTAGCACTTTGGGAGGCCGAGGCAGGTGGATCACTTGAGGTCAGGAGTTTGAGACCAGCCTGGCCAACATGGCAAAACCCTGTCTCTACAAAAAGTACAAAAAATTAGCTGGGCATGGTGGTGCATGTCTGTAATCCCAGCTACTTGGGAGTCTGAGGCATAGGAATCGCTTGAACCCAGGAGGTGGAGGCTGCAGTGAGCTGAGATTGTGCCACTGCACTCCAGCCTGGGGAACAGAGTGAGACTCTGTCTCAAAAAAAAAAAAGTACAGAAGGTTAATATGAACTAAGTCAGAGTGAATAAGCAAGTTAATAAAGTTTACAGTTGCCTAAATAAGCAAGTACCCAAAACAAAAACTTATACTTACGACAAATCCAAAATAAAAATTCTATACAGTATCAATGGTTTTAGTAGTCATCAGGGGTGGGCCTTCTCAGAGGAAGTAAAGGCAGGCTTGGGTATCAGTCATATTTGGGGAGAAGATACAGATGTTGATAAACTTAAGCAATTGAGAGGAGAAAATAAACAAGCTTGATTCTTAATAAGTTATGCAAATCCACCAGAAAAACTGTTTTTCCAGACTTTTAAATAGTGCTGAGCGAGTGCTAGACACTATTTGTTCTATGAGTTTCAGACATGCATTAACTAACTTAATCATCAGAACAACTGTATGAATTAAATATGGTAACTTCCATTTTCTAAGATGGGGAAACTGAGGCATAGAAAGGTTAAGTAATTTGCTTACATTCATAAGCAAATACGCTAGTAAGTAGCAGACCTGCTGGAATTGAATCCAGGCTGTCTGGCACCAGAGTCTGAGCTCTTTAGCTCAGTTGACTGCCTCAACCATTATGCTACACCAGTTAAAAAAAAAAAAAATCTATCCAAAGGAAGGTGAGTGTGGTAGGAAGAATAATGGTCTCCAAAGACGTCTACATCTTAAACCTCAGAACTTGAGAATATGTGACCTCACATGGCAAAAGGGAATTAGCAGCAGCTGTGATTAAGTTAAAGACCTTGAGATGGAGAGAATTTCCTAGACTATTGAATGGACCCAATGTAATCACAAGGATCCTTATAAGAAGGGGGCAAAAAAGCCCTCTCTAGGGAGTAAGATGGAGTATTTCCACTTTCTGTTTCATACATTTCTATACAGATTACATTTTTGTTTTGTTTTATACAATAAATCTGTGCTGCTTCTATAATTGAGAAAATATCAAAGATTCCCACTTTGGGGAAACAACATGTCAAGAGCTTCGACTTCATTCTTCTCCATGGTCTGTCAAAACCTCATCACTAGCTGGGCACTGTGGCTCACGCCTGTAATCCCAGCACTTTGGGAGGCCAAGGCAGGTGGATCACGAGGTCAGGAGTTCAAGACCAGCCTGGCCAACATGGTGAAACCCCATCTCTACTAAAAATACAAAAAAAAATTAGCTGGGCATGGTGGCACATGCCTGTAATCCCAGCTACTGGGGAGGCTGAGGCAGAAGAATTGCTTGAACCGGGACCCGGGAGGCAGAGGTTGCAGTGAGCTGAGATCGTGCCACTGCATGCCAGCCTGAGCTACAGAGCAAGAGTCCATCTCAAACAACAACAACAACATAAAACAAAAAACTCAGCACCCGCCAGGTGCGGTGGCTCATACTTGTAATCCCAGCACTTTGGGAGGCCGGGGTGGACAGATCATGAGGTCAGAAGATTGAGACCATCCTGGCCAACATGGTGAAACCCCGTCTCTACTAAAAATACAAAAATTAGCTAGGCGTGATGGTGCGTGCCTGTAAGCCCAGCTACTTGGGAGGCTGAGGCAGGAGAACCGCTTGAACCAGGGAGTCGGAGGTTGCAGTGAGCCAAGATCGTGCCACTGTGCCACTGCATTCCAGCCTGGCAACAGAGCAAGACTCTGTCAAAAAAAAAAAAAAAAAAACCAAAAAACAAAAAACAACAAAAAACCCAGAAAAACAAAAACCTCGTCGCCATCTCCTGTGCTCAAAATGCCTTCTCCTTGATCTTGAAGGACATGCTCAGGCTGTCCCCATGCTGGCCTGCACCACACTTTCCACCAAACAGAATTCCTCCTCTTATTTTCTAGCATTTATGGAAAAGCCCCCTTCTTCCTGGAGGTACTTTGTGATAATTCTGAGTGGAAATGGCCCCCTGGAGAATCCTGTACTATGGACTTCTTCTTCTCCCACAAAGATTGCATGGTCCTCTTGGGCTCACTCCCTTGCCTGGCTTCTGCCCTCTATTGTAACACTCTGTGCAGGAACTGCATGGGACCTAAAGCTTCTAAACCCCTTGCTCTTCCTGGTACTGTCTTTTGTATCATGTGTGTTTAATACATATTTGTGGCTACTTCCTCCAGAAAAATAAAGGTATGCATCCCAAATAAAGGTTTGAAACCCCTAACCAATCTCAGAATAAAGCTGAAAGGTTGTAGGATAAACATTCTAACCCAGCTGAACTCAGGTGGAAACCCCTAACCAATCTCAGAATAAAGCTGAAAGGTTGTAGGATAAACATTCCAACCCAGCTGAACTCAGGTGGCTACAGCACCTGTCTGTAATCCTCTCCTTTATCCTTGTGAACGAATATGGAGAAGGAGTTCAACATTTCAACAGAACAGCTAGGTGAAATAGCTGAGTAATAGTAAAGAATTTGACAAAATGACATCTACATGGCTACATCACAGCAACCTGAGTTATGTTACCCTTGCTATAGCATCGAATCAAAATGGAATGGGTCTTTAGAAACCGTTGGTACCATCCCATTTTCTGCCAGTGCAGAAATCTATTCTAAACCCGCCTGATACATGGCCCACTGTTTTCATAACTGTTTAGATACCTTGGCTTGATTAATCTGGTGATAAACTGATTCTAGACATATATTTCCACTAGATTAGACATAATTTCTCCACATTACACTATCCCTCCTCCTTTTTGTTCCCAAGCAAATCTCATTCTCTCCACTCTAGAATATTATCTTAAATGCTTATACTTTGATTGAATTAGGCATGCCAGAGGCTATGGGTGAATGAGCCTCCACTCAAAATCCACCTGGGATCTATTAGCTTTTCAGATCCAAATCACATGCAGTCTGTTTTCACCTAAGAGGTTGCCGTGAGGGCCTGAATGCTATAAAAGGGAAGCAGAGGAGTGCGGTGGGATAACTCTGGAGGTGGATGGTAAGTGTGGGTTCCGGGGGTGGATTTACCCATTGCTGTCCAGATTCCCTGCGGCACATCCCTTAGCCTCTCTGGCCTCAGGACCCCAACAGTAAAGTAAGAAGGATGGAGTAGAGGTCTCAGGATGCCTTCTCGCTCTGACAGGCTGAGTCTGGCTAGAACACTGGGAGTCAGAAAGGATTAATACAGCAGTTCTTGAAATGTGATCCTGAGAGCAACAGCATCAGCACCCCCTGAGAACTTGTTAGAAGTGGAAATTCTGCCGGCATGGTGGCTTATGCCTGTAATCCCAGCACTTTGGGAGGTGGAGGCGGGAGGATTGCTTGAGCCCGGGAATTCAAGATCAGCCTGGGTAACATAGGGAGACCCCATCTCTATAAAAAATAAAAAATTAACCAGGCATGGTGGCACGCCTGTGGTCCTAGCTACTTTACTTGGGAGGCTGAGGCTGCAGGATTGCTTGAGCCCAGGAGGTTGAGGCTGCAGTGAGCTGTGTTCACACCACCGCACTCCAGCCTGGGCAACAGAATGAGACCCTTTTTCTTTTTTTTTCTTTTCTCTTTTTTTTTTTTTTTTGAGATGAAGTCTTGCTCTGTTGCCCAGGCTGAAGTGCAGTGGCGCGATCTTGGCTCAGAATGAGACTGTTTTTTAGAAAAATAAAAAAAGAAATATTCTTCCCCTTATCTCTGACGCTGAATCAGACTGAGGAGGGGGCCCAGCGATTTGTGTTTTAACAAGTCTTTCAGGTGATTCTGATGCATTCTGAAGTTTTAGAATGGCTGGGTTACTGTGATGCTCACTCAAAGGGGTAAATGTAATCAACCCTGATTTACCAGGGGACATTGCTCTGTATTTAGCTGGAGTTATTCCCGTTTAGTTTGTTGGGTCAAACAACTAGTTTGAAGAACGCAAGACAAGTCAGTTGAAAGCAAAAGGAGTGTCAGCTGAGGTCCTTGCCATCCCCAGTGGGAGGCATGGCAGATCCTCACAGCCAGGAGCAGTGAGTGCCACCATTCTAGGAGCTTATTGGTGGCCAAGGCCAAGTGTCAGTGCAAGCTGGAGAGCCCGTGAGCACAGGGGGAGCTTTGAGAAGGCATGTGTGGCATGCACCAGGGAAGGGCTGGTGTATCTCTGGGGATAAAGCTGAAGAATAACTGGGATTTTTCTTTTTCTATCCTCCCAAACATCCATGTTTTAGGATATTAATATGACTCAATAGGCTCCTGCCTTCACAATCATCAGAGAGGTAGGCAGAGGTGATTTTAATGCTCTCAGAGAGGGGACGTCACTTGTCCTGTTCACACACTTAGACAGCAAGTGGGCTCAAGCCAGAACCCTGGCCCTGATTTTTCATGCAGTCCGTTTTTACTGCTTATCCTTGATTGAGATCCTGTAGTCATGAGCAGCCCTCCCCCAGGGGCGTGGGAGACTCACCACAGCCAAGAGCCAGGAGGTGGGTTTGCCAGGTGAGCGCCATGAACATTCCTCCCATTGCAATGCAGGCCAGAGAGCTGTTGAAACCCCAGAGTCCAAAGTAGATGTCCTCAAATGGGGCTGAAAGACTGAGTCCTGTTAAGACAGGAGGGGTCAGAACTCAGGACTAAAGGCAGGATGTTCTGGAAGGAAACTGAGGGTGGGATTGAAAGTTAGCAGGAAGCATCCCGGGAACTCCCATTGGTCCCTAGGAAGCCAAGATCTCAAGGAAGATCTGGAGCACAGAAGATGCCTGAGGCAATGCATGGGATGGAGGAGGTGCTCAATATTTGGTAAGGGCTCTTGTGCTCACCCGCTGCTATGCCCAGCAATGATCCTATGGCAGCATGCAGGCACATGAGTGGGGAGGAGAGTAGGATGGCTCCCAGGAAAATGCCCCCTGTCCATGGATTATCACAGCCATAGATCTGACCAACTCCCACTGGTATAGATTTCAACAACTGCAAAAGAAATTTAAGAAAAATGAGGCTACCAAAACAACTGAACAGAAACCCACAGGACACCCACAAACTCCTACAATGTAATTTTAGATTGGACATACCTTACCTCTTTCAAGAACAGTGTTAATACCATTTAAAATTCTCTCTCTTTGATTACAGAAAAATCCCAGTCATCCTTCAGCTTTATCCCCAGAGATACACCAGCCCTTCCCTGGTGCATGCAACACATGCCTTCTCAAAGCTCCCCCTGTGCTCTCCTGCTTGCACTGACACTTGGCCTTGGTCACTGTTAAGCTCCCAGCTTGGTGCCACTCACTGCTCCTGGCTATGAGGATCTGCCTTGCCTCCTACTGGGGATGGCAAGGACCACAGCTGACACTTCTTTTGCTTTCAAATGTCCATCAGTGTTGAGGGTGATTTAATCTATCCATGCATCCCTATGTTCAATAGAGATTATTATCACTATGCAATTTGGATGCTTACACTAAAGCCAGAGACCCAAAGCCAGGTTATCTTGTCCACAATTTAGAAGTAATTTTTAGCAAGTTTGTGAATTTACTTTTCTGTCATTAAGTGGAACATGTATTCATTTAAACAAAGATATTTTTAGCTTATTCTAGTTATGAACAACTGTCAAGCAGGTCTCAAAACACAAAAATACATGGAAATGTCATAATTCTACTTTCTGGCTGAGGCCTGAATTTAGTTATTCTGTTCACAGAATTGCAGTTCTCAGGAGTGAACAAGGTTTAACTGAACCTAACAAGTGATCATTCTTTACAGCTGAACTTCTGGTAGGGCTAGGATAGGCATAATTAGCCATAGCATGTCCCTTTTGAGCAAGGCCATTTACTGAAAGATGTTTTCCTCAGTTCCCATCTTGCCCTCTCCACCATTGCTAGGTCGTGTATGTACCAAAGACCTTCTGGAGGCAGTGACTCTACCAGAGGGAGCCCCAGCTTTGGCACAAGGGGAAGTGTCTTCTCCCCTCTTATATTAGGCTGAGTCTAACATTGGCTAAGGGCACCAGACCATAGTGTGAGTTTGACTCTACCCTAAGATGGACTCTAAATTCTTCCAGCCCATGCTGAGTCTTCATGTCTAGACATTTTGCTATTTCTAGACCAGGGAACTTGGCAAAGATGGCATATGCTTTTTTTGTTTGTTTGTTTGTTTTTGGACTTGGCTGCAGAACTCTCTCTCAGGTAGCCATAGGGTTGGGGTTGGTGCTGAGGATGGGCTGTTCATTCAGAGTGAGAAGGACAAGGCTTCCCCTGCCCCAGATCAGCACTGTGCAGGATAACTTTCCGAGATGATGGAATAGTCTGTATCTGTGCTGTCTAATACAGTGGGTCCTAGCCACGTGTGGCTATCAAGCACCTGAGATGTGGCTAGAGAGGTTGAGGAACTCAATTTTTAACTAATCTACATCTAAATTTATATAGCCACATGGGGCTAGAGGCTCCTGTGTTAGTGCAGTTCTAGATCGATTAATGCTATTTTATACTGTTATTTTTCATGGGTAGTTCTAATGAATCTTTGATTTTTTCCTTCTGAATTATTTCCAGGTGCTCCCTTTAGTTTTCTGGCAAGAAGCTAGGGAGAAGGTGACTTGAGCTCCTCGTGTGTTTTGATCACTCAACAAAGAAGACAAAAGGGCGTTTCATAACCTGACAGTGGGAGAGCACATTAAAAAGGTAAGGTTTCTTTGGTTTTCTTCTAATTTCAGGTGTTCTCTTGTTCTTGATAATCCAGAAACCTTAAACATATTTATTACACACCAACAGGAAGAGCTGGAATTTGATTTGGGTTAACCAGGTTTTAAAAAATACAGAATCTCTTTATAGCCATCTTTAAAGAGATACATAGGATTCACCCCTTGATACAGTGGTTCTCAAACTCTGGCCCGCATCACAATTTGGGGAGTTTGTTAAAACAGGTTCCAGGCCCCACCCTTAGAGATTGTGATTTAGAGGGTCTGAGATGAAGCCTGTTTGGGTATTTAAAGCTCCCCAGGTGATTCTGATGCCTACCAAAGCTTGGGAACCCTAAATTATTGTAGATGTTCTATGAGCTATGCCATAAGGAAAAGCAGAATAGAGAGGTTCTGTCAGAAGCTCTAAGAGTAAGCATCCAGTTTTTTGATTGGAGGGAGTAGACTATGGAAGATTTAAAACCAGGCTGGAGGCCACATGCCTTAAGGGCTGGCTCCCATCACCCCCACCCCCAAGCTTACGATAGAGTGACTCCCAGTGGAACTGTACTCTGGGGTTAGCACTGTAGATGTTTAGGGGAAAAGGCAGAAAAATCAGCTTGACTAAATAGTAATTTTAAAAAATCCCTTAGACCCTAATGCTCTGGAGTAGAACAAATGCTTTAAATGGCAAGATGAAGGCAGAAAGGCCACCATAGTCCTGAGCATCTAGGAGACTCTGACACCCGTGGACAGTTGACCAGGAGGCCATTGCGTATCTTGCAGAGCCAGGGCGAATGTGAGAAGCCAGTGTCTCTTACCTCCAGGGCACTGAGGTCAGACCAGGAGATATTTGGAGCTGTAGTTATAGGTATGACCAGTTTGGCTGGAAAGAATGGATTGTAATGTCCTGTGGCTGAAAGGTACATTGACAACGCCATGTTGAAAGGGAGGGTGAAGACGGGGAGGTCCCATTTGCTGAGCATGGAATTCAATGCACTTGAGAAAATTGGGCTAAAAAAAGAACAGAGCAAAAGAATGTGCATGTGACAAAGCAGGCTGACACACGGAATCGCTATACTCTGGAGGGGCTTTGTTTCACCTGCCAACAGGCCCCTTACGTGTTGTGTTGGCACATTTGCCACAGAAAGAAAACTTGGGATAAATCCTATTATAGAGGCAGTAAATATTACATAAAGTAAAAAATCAACTCTCAGCTTATTTGGCTTTTGAAAAATTCTACTCTGGGGTTGCTCAGAGTGAGCTATATATTGAGATTTTAAAAATATTTTTGAAGTACTTATGACATACAAAATAAAATATTATCTACATAGTTAAAGTCCCCTTTGTCCCTCCACTTGCTCTTATGTCCCTCCCTCCCCACTAGAGGCAACCCTGATTCTGATTTGGCAGATATTATTTCTTTAATATACCTATTTTTGGAAAAGAGAAACAATCGTTCAAGGATGCAGGTAGTGTGAGCTGGAGGAAAATGATATCACAGTTGGTGGGGCAGAGTGTGTGTCCTTGAGCTGTTGATAAATTGCATGACCTAGGCAAGGCGCATCTCCTTAGCCTCAGAGCCCATAAACTGTGGGGCTGGGCTGCATGGTCCCGAGGTCCCTCATAGGCTCTCACTTGTTGGCCCAATCAAAGAGCCATCACTTAAAGACCAGAACTCCCATTTTCCTGGATTGTGGAAGGGAGCGTGGTGAGCACTTACAGGCTAGGCCTCCTTCCCACGAACCTATTCTTCAGAGCAGGGCCCAAATTACTTCCTGAAGAGTTTAGCTCTACAGGTAGGTCCTCGTCCACACACCCGTGGGTACAGTAAGGGTGGGCATCCCTTCTGCAGACACTGCCCACAGCAGGCTGTGCTTATTTATGTGCATATTAGTATTTTATATTTAACTACAATATAGAAAGAAGGAAATCTTTGTTTCCAGAAAAAGGATGTAAGACATTGTCAACATAAAAACTAGTTTGAAGGATTTGGGTTTGAAAAAAAAGGAATTCAGCAAAAAAATTTTTTCTAAGGGAGACCTGGGGGGCAGGTGGGTAAGGGGGAATTCACGTAGGCACAGTGGTTCTCCCAGCATCATGTGGGAATGCGTTAGAAACGCAAATTCTCGGGCCCCACCCCAGATAGACTGCATCAGAAACCCTGGGGCCGGGGAGCAGATGCCTGTGGTGTAACAAACCCTGCAGGTGATTCTCATATTGCTCAAGTTTGAGAGGCAATGATGGAGGAAGTGGGTCTCAACTTTGGCTATACTTTAGAGTCATCTGGGAAGCTTTAGAAACTCCCAAAGCCCAGGCGCTACCGCAGACCAATGACAGTAGAGTCTTGGGAGGGAGGAGTCAAGTGTATGTGGGGGCCACGTGCATCAGTGTGTTTCTACCAAAAAGACACCTGCACTCGTATCTTCATTGCAGCACTGTTTCCCTTCCCCATGGAAGTGTCAATGTGCAGCCACCTCTGGTTGAGAGGTATTAGTGGATGTGTAGCCAGATCAGACAAAAGGCCAAATAACTGGTTGTAAGGAAATATACATCTTTTAAAATGGTTGTTTCTGTTTCCAATAGACAGAATCTACTGGAATCCAATTTTAAATTTACCATTTTAACTGTTTGTCCTCCTCCTGCTCCTCTTCCTCCTTCTCCTTGCCCTCCTGCTCCTCCTGCTACTCCTCCTCCTTTCCATCCTTCTCCTCCTCCTCCTCCTCCTCACTTAGCCCAAGCAAGGAGGTTCGGAGAACTGGAGTGCGGTGACGCAATCATAGCTCACTGCAGCCCCTAACTCCTGGGCTCAAGTGATCCTTCCCCCTCAGCCTTCTGAATAGTTTGGACTACAAACAAGAACCACCGCACCCGGCTAACCATTTTTAAGTGTGCAGCTCAATGACATTAAGGACAATCACATTGTTGTACAACCATCACCACTATACATTCAGAGAACATATTTCATCTTGCAAAACTGAAACTCTGCCATATAACAACTCCCATTCCCTCCTTCTGCCATGTTTTTTTTTTCAAAAAGGCATTTTGAAAACCAATTGTAACTTACCAAGTCATGGACATAGCACATACAGGGAGTAACAGCCACCAGAAATAGTCTCCCTTGTCCGAAAAGACAGCCATGAGTACTCCCACCAGGGTGGCATTGTAGCCATAGAGCCCAGATGCTATTAATGACCTGTGGGGCAAGAGACACAGCACGGACATTTCCTGGGTGAGCTTTGGTTGCACTTGCACATAAATAACACTAGTAACTTCCAGATCATATTCATATTAAAAAATGAGATTATATTTGGAAATGTATTTCAAAGTCTACGTAAGCATCGTACAAAAACTAATAAAGACATGAAGTGAAATATACATAGATAAAAATATAAATGTGCATTTAGATCAGTGGTCCCCAGCCTTTTTGGCCCCAGGGACAGGTTTCATGGAAGACAATTTTCCATGGATGGGGAATGGGGGATGATTTCGGGATGAAACTGTTCCACCTCAGATTATCAGGCATTAGATTCTCATAAGGAGCAAGCAACCTAGATCCCTCACATGCCCAGTTCATAATGGGGTTCGCACTCTTATGAGAAGCTAATGCTTCTGCTGATCTGACAGGAGGCGGAGCTCAGGTGGAAATGCTCACTCGCCCACCGCTCACCTCCTGCTGTGCGGCCCAGTTCCCAACAGGCCACAGACAGGTACCTGTCTCCAGTGCAGGGGTTGGGGACCCCTGATAGAGAATGACTCCCTCTACAGGTGTCACGGCTAAAGACAGGTCTACAGTGGCTGAGAGGAAAGGGGAGTTTAGTAAGGCAATCTGCTCTGTTTTCTTTTAGCCTTTCCTTTGGAAAGTTATTCTTTTAAATCAAGAGCCTCTGACTTGAAGAGCGCTTTTAGCATATGAAACTGTTGCTTAAGTTTGATTTCTTGGTGAGAGATATAAGATTCCTGAAATGTAAATTCACTTTCACAGTGTCTTTGATCTTATCAACATTAATCTTCCAGGTTAGTATACATTTTTGTGTCCTGATGCTTCTATTTTGTTGTCTCCAAACGCACATTTCAAAGTTATTGCAAAGAAGAACAATTGCTTTTCTCTTACTTGGAGAAGTATCCCATTTAATTATGTGCATGTTGAGCACCCAGTTCTTTCTGAGGTTACTTTTTGCTTAGTATTCAATCTCATTTCTTCCCCGTCTTCTTCTCCTTCTTTAGATTGAGGGGGTACATGTGCAGGTTTGTTACATAGATGTATTGCATGATGCTGACTGAGGTTTGGGCTTCTATTGAACTCGTCACCCAAATAGTGAACAAAGTACCTGATAGGTAGGTTTTCAACACTTGTTTCCCTTCCTCTCCTCTTTTGGAGTCCCAGTTGTCTACTATTTCCATGTCCGTGTTTACCCAGTGTTTAGCTCCTAATTGTAAGTGAAAACGTGTGGTATTTGATTTTCTGTTACTACATTAATTCACTTAGGATATTGGTCTCCAGATACATCCATGCTGCTGCAAAGGACTTGATTTCAATCCTTTTTATGGCTATGTAGTAGTTCGTGTTGTATATGCACCACATATTCTTTATATAATCCACCATTGATGGGCACCTAGATTGATTGACCTGACAAGGCAGGATTCCCACAGCTCTGAGAGTTGGCAACGTCTGGCACCGTGAAAGGCACAGGATCCACTTCCCAAGGGCCTGTCACTCAAGGATGATGTCTGTAGGGGGATGGGGGAGTAAAGATGGTGAAGTGAGTAGGTGAGGCCTAATGCTGGGCTCGAGCAGGAGGTGCTATAGCCAGTGAGCCACACTGCAGGGGCTGGTAAGGGATAGTGTGACAGCTGCTTCTTGGCTTGTTTCTAACTGGGCCAGGAGGCACCATTGCAACAGGCAAGATGATGTCACGTACATTAATCCAGATGAACATTAAATGTGGGGTTCCCTATTCAAAAGTTCTTTGTTTCCCTTAAATAATCCTTGAGGGCAAATGGGAGGTGATACAATTTGCAAAGGTACAACTCAGAGACTGGGACTACACATGACAGTAGAGAGCCATGCAGACTTGTCCTCTCAACAACTGACTTGGAGATGTTAATGCTTGAGTTTGATCAGTGGAAAATTAATGGCAACATCTACAAATTGTGGAATGCCATAGTTAAAGCCACAGGAAGACATATATTTACTTAAAACAGAGAATTTCCATTTTAATGCAGTCTTTTCAGACCAAGGAAAGTAAAACATTTGAAACTAACACATATAAATGACTTGTCTTCTAAATAATATCTGACAAAAAATGAGTTGATCATGTTTCATCAGAGCAAAATCATAAAGGAATATTCAGTATGGCACAATTATAGACTCCATCCCCAAACTGAGGAGACCTTTTCTTGGCATGCATTGGAATAGAGTTTAACCTAAGCTATAAAATCCCCTTCTACAGGGAGCAAATCAGACTCCTTGAAATTGATAGAAAAGTGGAGCATTTGCTAACTCTCTCCCCACGGACCTCTTTAGGCAATTTGCAGCCAGTGTTACAAGAGCTTAGTTGTGTAATGACCACACTGGGGATTGGGATTATGCGTTGATCTCAGACACCTGGAATACTGGTTCCCTCCCTAAAGGAACTGGCTAGTGGGGAGCTATCTACTGCCCTGGTGAGAGTCAGCTCATCACTTCTTCAATGACAGATCAATTTATAAAGTGTGTGCTATTTTTAATCTAATCAATATATCAGAAGACTCACTAAGGCTTCTTAAGTCAGAATCCACTCAATTGGAATTCATGGTTATTCTTTTCTCCAGGAGCTGAGCTGACCTTTGCACTGTCTATGAAGAATGAGTTTCCTAAACTCATCATAGCAACAAGATATAACGGGGGTTATTAAGCCACTAAAACTTTTTCTGAATTCATATGCACTTTTTCCCAAATAGAATGCTGACGACAAATAATTTTATCAATCATTAAAGAAGATCCCTTCAGAACCTCTCCAGGGAAATACTTGTAGCTTAGTTCTGGTTAGCACGTAATGCCACAAGAATCTGGCATCATTTAGACCAGCCATTTATTCAGATATCAAGAGCAAGAGACTGTAACTGATTCCCTGACCTCTGACTAAAAACAAATATAAACAGTTCTGTGGACTAAATGTTGTTTATCCTGGGAAGGATGTGGTTTTATCACTGTTGCCCACAGTAACTGGTCAGCCCCTGTGTCTCAGAAGGGAGCTGAGAAGGCTTGAAAGGGTACACCTACCTGTCCTGGCTGAGCAAGAGGGCCATCAGAGTGGAGACCACTGTTCCCAGCCAGCCAGTGAGAGCCCACCAGGGGTTCTGAACAAGAAGTCCTACCAGAATCAGGATTCCACTGACGGGGTTGTTGACGAACACCACTTGGGATATGCCCCGGAGAATCCAGTCAATGAACTGGAGCACCACGGGTTTGTCTGGAAGGGATGAGGTAAAGCAGAGCTAAGGAAGCTGCCAAGTGATACTCTTCAACCACAGGCCCACCCTGAGCAAAATCAGCAAAACCTCCTGGAAGTGAAACATTTTTGATATTTCTTTAATATTTCTCTCTCAACCCATTGTTGCATTAGTGGCACCCAGATCCCTGAAAGCCTCTATCTACTGTATGCTCAACCCACACTGCCCCTCCTAGAATCTAAGCTCCTGAAAGCATCTAATGCACTTATTTTCATGCTTATAGGTACAAATTCTGAAGCCAAAGGAATAAATTTAAGTTTTAAGTACTGAAACTACAGGATGAAGCCAGGTGCCTTCTAATATGAGCTGGGCCCTGGCTACTGTCTCCATAAGAAAAAAAAATGGAGAGGTTTGCAGGTTAAAAGATAAAAGTAGAAAAATGGTGAGTAAAGAGATCTATAAAAAGTTGGAGAATATAACTAAAGGTATAAGTAGAAGTACCAGGAAACCATTTCCCCCAAAGCTACTTCTCCTGTCTCTCCAAAATGTGAAAGGATAAATACCTTTAAGCTGGTTGGCAAGTTCTTTCATGTCACCGGTGACATAGCCAAGAGCTTTGGGGAAGCACCTTCTCCCTTGACATGGCGAAACCTGGTTTTCACCCCTAACCATAGTGGGGCTGTCCACTCTAACCATAGTGGGGCTGTCCTCCATGGCTATCTCTTCCTCTGGCTCCTTGAGGGAAGGACAGAGCTTATAAGTATCCCTAAGGCAGAGCCCTCCAGATTAGCCAGCTTTGGGCCTGGTTACAGTAGAAGATCTGGACCACTATGTTCCATAGAACTAAGAGAGCACCATTTTCCTTCTGAAACACCACCACAGAGCTTATTAGCCAAACCCAAATCCCACAGTACCTTTGCCATCAGTGTCTGTAATGCTACCATGAGAATGTTCTGGTCTTTAATTTCATAAGGTGCAGTGTCTGGTCCAACAAACATTTACTAAGCGTGTATTTCTTGCACTTAAGGAGTTCAGTCTAGTTGAGAAGACTGAAAAACAGTTAATGTTAACAGAATGAGTCAAATCACGTAGAAAGAGCTGAAATTAAGTACGTTAGCTCCATGCTGTCAATTAAGGAGCAAGAAACCAGGTTATGGAATGGCCTGCTCACCAATGCAGGCTGATCAGCTACTTGCCAAGACAGGTAGCCTTTTTAAATTACATTTTTATTTTATAAAAAGTTTTGTTTTTAAAAGATTGAAAGGGAAGAAATTTTTAAAATTGTGTGTGTTGACACGGTCTCCCCACCCTCTGCAAGTCCAAGATGGCTTGAATTTGTCCTTATGTCATGTGACTGCCTCAGATACTCTTTACTTTTGGAATTTGTTATTTAAATATGTAAAACCAGGCAAGAAGGATATTTCATCAAGGTAGAGAAACTGGGAAAGATGGAATTGGACAAAGCTGTTGAAAACCAAAGAGCTGTAATCTAAGGATTGTATGATAGAAAAATGTGCAGGGCATAATTATAGGAAACATGTCTCTGGAACGTATGAACACTATAACCATGACTGTGTTCACTATGAGACCATTCACTTCTCATGATAAGTAGCTGCAAGAAAGCACCAATATCACCAGAATTTGGTACCTTGAAGACAAAAATGATGATTTCATTGTGCTGATGGTAGATAAAAAAGAATAGCAGTGGCATAATCCCAGAGGCAGGCTGAGGGAGGAAGCCAATGGCAAAACCACCTTGAGTGTGCAAGAACAGCCAACAGCACAGCCAGGTCAATTGGGAAGCAGGGAAACGCCAAAATCATCAGACCCTGGAAGGCATAATTGTGGAATGTTGAAGCCACAGCCACATAAGACACTACCAAAGAAACACTGAAAGCCCACATAGAGAAACCAGCCTGTCTTCTCTGTGTTGCCAGGCTGTGATCAAATGGTCCTCATGGATATTTCTGGCCCCATCATTGTTCCATTTACCATAGCTAACAAATAGCAATGAACAGATACTAAGTTATACCTATTAAAAAAAGTTGAACTCTAGCTTTGGCTTCTATTAATCCCAGTAAAGAAATCAATATGGGTAACTGATTTATTGGTAGCAATTACATTTCAATTGTATTACCTCACTGCCCAACTAACCATTCTGCTTTTTAAACAATGCCAAACTATTAATCTTTACACAAAAAAGCAGCTTTTTATACAATGCATTCCAGACCAAGGTCATTTTATCTCGGTAAAACAATGTTAGATACCAACATCTGTGTGACTTGCAATGAATCTTGGAGGTCAGGAACCAAAATTAAGTCCATATGGAGCTGAGTTGGCTCCATAGTTAAAGATAAAAAACCGTATGAATAATTAAGCACTTATGAAAAAGTACTTCTATTTCATAATCTAAGTGGTGGCTGTCATTTATTTTCAGATTATCTCCCTCTTCAAATTTCATAGCTGAACATATTGCTTGATAAGCCCATGCCTCTGCTGTAGTGACCCATTTTCAAAGCCATACCAACTTATGGGAGGCATCAGGCTTCAGCTCAGGCAAGGACAAGCAGCCCAAAGAGATAAATGCCTTGAGTTTCTGGAACTGAATCTATAAAACCCTAAGGTGGCAGCATCAAATGAAAACACTCAAGTGGCATTTTCCATCAACTCCCAAAGCAGGAACATGGACCATTTCAGAATAAACAAATTCATGTTCTCAAAATTCCCAGCATATATTTATTTATTTTAGAGGGCTTGAAATATCCCATCACCTCAGAGATTTTGGAGATACAGATTCGAAACCTGATAATAGAACTGGCCAGACGTGATTGAGAGCCTGAGCGGCCCGAGTCTCCTGTTGAGCCACCCAAAGTTAAGTAAAGATTAAACTAGTTTTCTCCAAATCGACAGCCCAACATATAGAAGACTTATTGCCATTTGTGAATCTAATTTCAACATAATTGGGATGGGTTGTAGGGCTAGGATGTCCTGCAGAGAGGGGTCTTCTCATGACCTGGGCAGACAGTTGCTGCTATTTTAGAGTCCCCAGGAACCATTTATTCTGAACAGCTGAACCCTTCTAGAGCCCCTGGGAGACCTGACTCCTTGCTCCAGAAGTCAGGCATGAGAACCACTTAGGAGAAATACGAAACTTACAGTTGTAGTTGGCCTAGAATTTTGCCATGCTAAAATATTTGCATTTCTTAGGGAACTTTAAGAGTCCTTACATCCTAACTGGGAAGACAAGGCAAGGCTATGCAGCCAGGACCTTCTGCTAATGTTCAAACATCTTAGCCCCAGTGAAGCAGGCCATTAATTTCAACTAAGAAGAAGGGACAATAAGTAAAAGGCACTCTAATAAAATAGACACAGGGTAAACGTAAAACCCCAGGTGACTTATCCCCAGCTTTTCCATGGCTGTCAAAACTTCTCAGCTCAATGGTCTAGCCTCTAAACCAAGGTGAGCGCCATGGGGCTTTTTGGACCAAGATCCCTGTGCCTTTGGCTTAGCTCACAGCCAACCCCCACTTCCCAGGCTCTGCCCGGAAAAGATACACCAGAGTTTGGAGCAGGCTCCCAGGTTCCCCGAGCCAGAGGCTGCACGAAGGAAGCATACCTGTTCCTGCGACCCATCTGCCAGGGCCAAGCTTAGCCGGGCGATGCCTCTGCGCGCTGCGTCACCAGCTTTAGTTCCAAAAGGGTCCTTCCAAACAGGACCATGACGGGCGTCACCAGCGCCGCCAATCAAAGACCGTCCATTCATCCTTACTTTTTCTCAATACATGACAAAGGGCAAAAATATGTGAATCAGCATGACGTGTGCCCTAGCTCTAATGACCACGCAAAAGGCAAGCTGAGGGGGGCTGGAGCGCGCCCACTGGGTTCCTGGTGAGGGAAGATGTGGCCCCACATGGGAGACCGCTAATGAAGAAGGAGGACTTTGCCTTCACCAAAGAGCTCTCAGTGGGCAGAAAGACAGCAGCTGACTATGGAAATTTGATGTTCATTTACTTTGCTTAAAAAAAAAATAACGGGAAGCCATCCTACACAGGGACCAATGCCCAGATTTTGTTCTGCTGCGTGTCTCTGCTGTTGGATCTGAGGTTGCTTCTTCCAGAGGGGGAGGAGGGGGTTCATGTTCTGACACGTTTGGGGGCAGATTGTGAGGGCTGCATCTTGGGGACCAACACCAAAGCAACAGGTTGCCCCACAGCAGTTTCCCTTGGCCTTGTTTATGAAATGTGAGAAGAAGGATGCATGATGTGGGCTCTGTTTTCTGTAATAAGATACTAGCCACGCTTTGTAAGCATTCACAAGCTGCCTTTAAGAGACTCCTAAATGGTATTTTTTTTTCCTGTGCCACCACATCCAGCTGTGTTTATTTTAATTTATTTTATTTTTTTTTAGAGACAAAGTCTCATTGTATTGTCCAGGCTGGTTTTGAATTCCTGGCCTCAAGTGATCCTCCCACCTTAGCCTCCCAAAACACTGGGATTACAGGCATAAGTCATCATGCCAGGCCAAGAACTCTTAAATTTTGAACATCACTTTGTTAATAATAAACAGTTTTTAGTTGAATTCCACAAATGTGGCAGCTTTTTATAAATTTTCTTTTTCCTTTTTAAAACTTCCATTGCATCCAAGAATATCACTCTTTTACCAGAAGTTCCAGTTGTGTGTGTGGTATTTCTCTTTTTCTCCCCCTGTTGTTTATTCTGTTTTTACTTTCTTCTTCTGGCTTGGCCTAAAACCTGAAAACCTACCCTTTACCAGAATGACTCAGAAAAATCCACAATTTTAGGAAACACTTCTGACATGTCTCAGGTAAAAATTGTGTGTGTGCATGCATGTGTGTATATTTACCTATAGTAAACTAGCTGGCTAGTTCTGTACCACACTGATGTGCCTGCATGTTGCATTATGAATATTTTTATTTGATAAAGAACAAATGGTTAAGAAACCCAGTGGTAGGGCTCTCATGTTATATAAAGCTAAAAACAAAGAAATAAGAAACAATGAAGAATGAAAAAAGAGACAAGCAGGGGTTGTCACATTTTCTCAGTGTAGACAGCGTCTCCTTCTGCCCCTGCCTGGCACCGGCCTTTCCTCTACCACCAAAATCACACACCTTGGAGAACCCCTTCCTTGAGCTCAACATCAATATTTTCCTAGAACCAAGAGAAATTTGAGAGCTAGGTAGGATTTTAGAGACCACGTAGTTCAAGCCTTCATTTTATAGAAGAGAAAACCAAGGATCAGAGTGGGCATCATCCAGATTCACTCAGTACGTGGCAGGCAGACTGGGTCTTATGGAATAGGTCAGCTCTGGTGGTTCTTAATTTTTCAGTCTTGGGCCAGGCACATTAATGCCACCCAAGGTTCGGTTCAAGTCAACAAACAAGTGAAGCAGCAGTTTCTGTGTGCTGGAGTATGCAGAGAGGGCTAGGACTTAGCGATGCGGTGGGCACAGACTATCTTCACGGTCACTTTGAACTAATCTTGGGGTGGGGGTTGAACAACCACAAAGAAAGAGCTCTGCTATCCCCAGTTTCACCCTATGCCCTTGCCAGAAGCAGTTACTCTCTGACAAACAAATGTCTCCCTGTGCCTCAAAGCTGACACATCTACAGCAAGGCTTATGTGTGCTGAAGTTAACATCCCAAGAATATCCTGGAAGCTGCACCTGAAGAGCTTTCCAGCAGAAGTCAAAAAGCACTTTTCATACCCCAGATCACTAGTAAAATGAAGCAGTGCTTAGCATTTTAATACAAGGCAATATCAAGATTTCAGGTCAACTAATATCCTCTATTTTATTACACGAAATAAAATATATTCTATTGCCAGCATGTATTAGAAATTTGTGCAATTGGAGAGACCTGAAGTCTTCAATTTTCCATGCTTCAGCTATTACTTTTAAAAATAATATGAAGTGTTGGATATGGATATAGAAGAAAGCATTTAAACACTCATGGTCTAGCATAATAAAGAGACTTTCAGCATTGACACTTATTTGGTACTTACTATAATCTTTATTTTAGGTAGTTTTTGATTTTAAGTAGCAGGAGATGCCCAGTTTTCTTTAAAGCTGTAATTGGAAACAAAGAAAATGCTGTCAGATATTCCTGTGTCCTGGTTAAAACACTTCCCTCCTTGGAAAACACTACTCCCAGAAGTCTTGATTCCAGACTCCAGAGAGTGCAGCTGCAAGGAAGCTGCCAAATTCGTGGCTTCAGTTGTGACTGACTTGTTCTCCCGATGGGTGCACAAGAACATTCCCTTCAGCATGACAGCACACACAGAGGAGTCCATAAATCCATCACTGGAAAGGGCCATTCCCAGTGGCCCACTTTTTTCTTTTGAGTCTTGTAGACACTCGCCTCGAACTTATTTCAAGAACACAGCCCAAATTATTATTTCAAGAACACAACCTGAAACTCCTAATAGTGTTGATTAACCCAGAATCATTGAGCACATTGGGTGGACACCTCCCTGCAAACCCTCTTCCACATCAGCTCAGGTGCTGCATGCACCTTGCTTCAGAAATCACGAATAAAGGCATGCCTTTGAGCTTCCAGGAAGAAGCCTGTGGCTTTGGTAAATTGCTTTCTAGTCTACCAGAACTCTGATTTTGCTACTTCTGATCAATTCCGGTGATATAAAACATTTTCTTCATTAAGAAAAAGAGCAAAACTTAGAACTGTGAAGACAAGCCCCAAATGATGAATAGTTGGAAATGAATAGAAATAAGGATGAGTACTTACACCACTCTAGCTGGCTTCCTGGCAGCAGAAGGCAGTGGCTGATAAAGATTTGCCCACCTCCACGACAAGGGAGAGTGCTTCTCAGGAGATGGTGCTGGAGGGAGGCACCTAACAGTTATATACTCAGAGCCCCACTCTGCTCTGTGTGTTTGTGGGCTCGGCTTTCTCCTCCCACTTCAGGCATCAATGCCAAAGCAACACCAAGGAACTGGTCCCCTGGCTTCAGTACCCGATGTCTCTCTCTCTGTTCTTGACAGAGTACCAACTGCTTTGCCACAGTTTCCACAGCATTCCAAGGTCTTTGACCAGCAATAATCCTACCAAAATGCATCTTTTTCTTCTCCTGTTTCCTCTGGCCCCTACTCATATTTTTGGAAAGATTTACAACTGAAAAGGATCAACACGGTGTCAAACTAAAAACCATGGGGCAGGTTGCTGCTGTGTGGACTCGGAAGCTAAGCGACTGCTCCTGGGGTGAAATTTTCTTAGACTTGGCACAACTTCTACACAGATGTAAGACTCCAGCAAGGGCCTGAGGGGCTGTTGGGAGGGTGGGGAAGATAAGGTACATGCAAGTTGTTTTCTGAAGGCCAGCTGCCTTTTTCCCAGTGAGGAGAAAACAAAAATATCAGTGTTTCCCTGGAATGTCTGTCTTCCCAGGTGAGAATTCTTGGACATACTCTGCTGCCTCTTTAAAAGTCAGGAAGCAAACATTCTATAGCAGGGAAATCTAAAACTGAATTAAAATATCTCCTCCTTCCCCCTTCTTTTTAAATTTCAATTTTGTGGCTTGTTCTGTTATGGCAAAAATCTAACTCAAATCTACTTTTATGAGTGCAGAATTTTAAAAAAATATATGTGTATATATGTATATGTGTGTATATATGTAACATATATACATCTATATTACATACATACATGTATATATGTAGATATATACATATAATAAATATACATATATACATATATTACATATGTGTAGATATATATGTGTGTATATATGTAATATATATACATATATACATATACTTTTAAATATATATATAATATATATATGTAATCCCACAGCCAGCCATGCAGATGTCATAGGTCTTTTATCTGGGTCTCCTGCCTGCTTGGATGTGCAGATAGTACTTATCAGCCTTCAGCTAGGTGGCCCATGGCTGGGAGCTCTCTGGCTCCACCCGCTGGACACCCGCCAGACCACAGGGTTCTTGCCGGCTTGGGACATCCTTCCTCCAAGTGCCTCCCGAGCAGCTGAGGTAGGGTGTGTATAGGTCTAGGTTCATAATAAGAGTTTCCAGGTTCAGGCAAATCTCCTTCCAACATTTTTTCCCTGGTAAAATAAGGAGAAAATAAGCTCCTCGGGTTTCCCTGAAGGAGAAAAATGAATCTTCAGGAGACAGTGTGAGTGGCCTGCTTTGGGAATGAAAGGAATCATACTAGTGTCTCCATGACTTCCTTATGCAAATGGACCACTGTCCCTGATAGAAATAATCATGCTAATGATGGTAATGAGAATAATAACTGCCACAAATGGTAGAGCATTTGCAAAATTCCTATATTATACTATTGTCCCCATTTTGTAGATGAGCAATCTGAGGCTCAGAGTTTAAATAACTTGCTCAAAGTCTGACTCAAAGTTTGTACTTTTAGCCACTCCAGTGCTGTCCAATATTTCCAACTTCTGCCTGTATGTTTGCTTTTCATTAATTCCTTCACTCAACTTGGCCATGATGCATATTTATGGACCTCATCCTGAAGCTGCCTCCACATGACACCCATGGAGCCTTCTGCCTCAGTCGCACTGGTCAGGGCTGAAGGTGTGTAGTGAATCTCAGACCTCCTTGGAAAAACCACCTCTTTCTGTACCCACCCTCCCTCCCTGGCCTTTCTCCTGGTCCCTGTAAAGCCACACCTTAAGTGGGGGGCCACAAATTACAGCCTTGCCATATTGTATGCACAAGGCAGCACAAGGCACATGGAATTCCAAGTCAGATAAACCTGAGTTTGAATACTAGCTTTTCTCTGACAAGCTGTATGACCTTAGGCATGTTACTCACAGTTTCTGAGCCTCAGATTCCTCAGTGTAAAGTGGGGTAACTTTTCTTCCTTTATAAAGTTGTGATGAGGGATGACATCTTCAAAGCACCGTGCCGAACATGTAGAGGTGCCCCCATTCTGATGTCAGCCCCTCTCAATCAGCACTGGTTTACCTTGGGGGTTTCCAAATGGAACCTTCCTCCTGGCTTGAATAAGGGGACAAACTTCTCCCTGCTTTGACATCAGAAGGGGTGCAGTTATGAGTACAGAGGAAACCATTTGCTTCATTCAAGAACTGTGAACTAGGTAGCTTTCTGATGCAGGGCTTGCCAAATTCTCATACTGCAGGATTCTGAGATGCCAGGGTCCGCTGCCACCCTGTTGCTGTAGACAACTGGGCACTCATTGCGTGCATACATGTGTTCTCGGTGCTTTTAACAGCCTAATTGCACAATACAATGAACTTTTCTCTGTTCTTTCTACAGTAGCTCCTTTATTATTTCCAGAGAGTCATTTGCTGAGTATGCCCTAACATTGCCTTTCCTTGGTCTTTCCCTTGCATCTCCTCTTTGGGTGCCCCTCTCTGTTCCCATACCAAGTGAATGCACCTTCCATCTCTCTGCCTGGAACAATCACAAATGAACCTACATAAAGCTGCTCTCCTCTTCGACTTTCTTCTTGGAGTTTCTGCCCCTAGAATGTTTTCTCTCTCCTCCCCCTCCTCATACTCTGCCCAAATCTATTTGGATTTCGCAGTGGGCTTCTGTGCACTTAAAGCAGTTTACATCTCTATTCCTCACTGGCCATGAAATCATGCCGCCTAGCTCTGCAACAGTTCTGGTACTGTCTTATTTTTTAGAATATATCTTACGATGCACAGTCCCATCTGGGCCGGAAGGTACCGGATGATGAAGTCAGGATCCAATAGCTCTCTCCATTCCTAATGGACCTCTCTTTCCAGAAAGATTTTGAGGCAGTTCATCAAATATACGTAAGAGGACATAAGAACTAGGTGACAAAATGGAGAAAGGAGAATGCAACTATGGATAAAACACAATTTTCATATTTTTTCTACAATACCTTGCATTTGTTGGTATTTCTAAATTTGTGTTGTTTTAATCAGAAATTATAACACTGTTTCATTTGATTGCTGCTTGATATTGATCTACGCATAGGCAGTTTAATGTTATAAATAATTGGCACCTCAAGATTATGTAATTGGGCAGTGCCCTCACTGAGGACTTCTACAAGACATTCTCATGCTTTTCTGTCCCCTCACCCCCCCACGAAGAGAGTGGCAAGGACTGCAAGTCTGGAACAGAATGTTCCTTTGCAGTGAGTTCTGAGCCTACTGAGTTCTTTGGTTTGGTAAACAGTCAGATAAAAAGGTACCAGACGAGAGCCAAAACTCCCAGAACGACACTTGGAGGGGACCCTTTGATGTAGGCATTCCCTAGAGTGAAGCCAAGGATCAAGGCAGCGCAGAGAGTGCAAAAGTCTCACTCAAACCTCCACTGCCTGCCCTTGCTGGGGGAACACAATGACGGGTGATGAAAGGAGGCACTGAGGTCCCTAAGTTTTTAGCTCCCCTTAAATGCAGTCCTGAAATTATTCCATCCATTTTAGGAGTAAACGGGGATCAATAGCTGGGAGCATCCAGAGATGATGTTCCTCCTGCACAAAGCAGAGGGTTCATGTAATCTCCATCCCTACCTACAACTTTCATCAGATGCCCATCTGTCACCTTTCCAGCTTTTAAATTAAAATCAGACCAGTGTAAGGCTCATAATGTAGTCTCTGGTGTCATGGGCCAATGCGTAAGGGTGTGCAGGTTGTGCACTGCACAAATGCACCACGTCTAAGGGGGTCACTATTAATGTCCTAGAAATTTGTGTGTTTATTGCAACAAAGTTCTTGAAGATGGTACTAAAATGTCTTGAGAAAAGGGGTGCTAGTGTGTCTGTGCAAGGAGCCATATTGTCTAGCAATACCTTGAGCTTTTAAAAATTTTCATTTTTATTTTTTTTGAACACCGAGAAGCCAGCTTTTGTTTCTTTTTCTTCTTCTTCTTCTTTTTTTTTTAGACAGAGTCTTGCTCTTTTGCCCAGGCTGGAGTGCAGTGGTGTGATCTCAGCTCACCGCAACCTCCACCTCCTGGGTTCAAGCGATTCTCCTGCTTCAGCCTCCTGAGTAGCTAAGATTACAGGCATGCACCACCATGCCCAGCTAATTTTGTATTTTTAGCAGAGACAGGGTTTCACCATGTTGGCCAGGCTGGTCTCAGACTCCTGACCTCAAGTGATCCATCTGCCTCAGCCTCCCAAAGTGCTGGGATTACAGGCATGAGCCACCACGCCTGGCAAGAAGAAAGGCTTCCCTGACCGGGAATCAAATCCGGGCCATGGTGGTGAGAGCGCCAAATCCCATCCACTACACCACCCGGGGCATCATCCTCCCTCCCAGGCTTGCGCCTTTTGTTTCTTCAAGATTAAAAGAAAAAATCATTTCCCAGTGAGGAACAATAGGGAAAGAGGTAGGAGGAGAATCATCTCAATCTCTTTAGGCTCAGATGAAAAGGAGAGTAAAGTGTTGGAAAAATGAGGGGTGGGGACTGGCATGGCCGCGTTTCCCTAGGCCCCTGCTAAGGATAAACCACATGCATCGGATTGTTCTCTTACTGTAAAAGATGAGGGGATGCTGGCCCCAAGGTTAGGAAGTTGAGCTCGATTTGATAATTGGGCCGGGAAGAGGAGGTGGGACGGCCTGGCATCACCATTGCGAATGGGGCTCGCTGGGCACCCAGATCGATCTGCTGTCTTTTTGTCTGAAGGTTTGCCAAACCAAAACATCCGTGGGCTCAGAACACACTGCAAAGGAATGTTGTATTCCAGACTTGCAGTCCTTGCCATGCTCTTTGTTGAGGGTGAGGGGACAGAGAAGCATGAGAATGTCTTATAGAATTCCTGAGTGTGGGTGCTGCCCAATTACATACTCTTGAGGTGAAAATTATGTGTAACATTAAACTGCCCATGCATAGATCAGGATCTGAGTTACTCACCAGGGGCCTGGCTGGGATGGGGCAGGTGTATTAAAGTGCGACTATTCTCTGGAGCTGGGGAGGTGGCAGCTGGCTCAGGCCCCTTCCTCATCATTTGTCTCAACTGGAGACTGAGTATCTGCCAGCTGCACAGTTTTGTTGCTCAGCCTGATTTAATGACCTTTGTGGTTATTAGGAATCCTCCCTGTTACTATTCTCCTGCCTTACACCAATTGACAGCCAAGAGCTGGACAGTGATTCAAAGTCCTTTAACCCTGACCCCTCCTCCCATTCCCCTGGCCTCTACTTTCTTTTCTCTTGGTATCACCGAGGCTGGGTTGTGGGGCAAAGGCAGAAGGAACTTAAGGGCAAACTGGACAAACTATTCAATGACCTGTTCCATTAGTTGACATGAAACTGGACAACACTGCATCCTCAACTTCTTGAGTTGGGAAACTGGAGTATTATGATTTAACTGACCACAGCCTTAGCAACTCTCACTATAACAGCGTTGGCCTAAGAAATGCAGATTGCAGGGATACTATAGACACAGAGGAGAATCCCCTGTACCTCTAACATGGTATCCTGTTGTTAAAGAATAAACCCGAGTCCAAGTTTTCTTCAAAAGCAAGATTAACACCCAGTAGAGAAGGCTTTATTTATTTATTTTGGATGCTACATCTCTTATTAGTACTTAAAAATCAGCTAGGCATTACAGCACCATTATCCTTTCTGTATAGCATTGGAAAAATACAAAATTTTCCATTTCTCATTCAAGATTCAGATGAATAAATGGTGATAGAACTAAAAGGAGGGTTCCTAATTAATCACAAACCCCTGCTTTTAAACAAAAGATGGCGACTCTCAACACTATTGTAACTCTTATTTGGAGAAGTGTTCGCATTGACTTTGTTTCTGGTACCGGAAGAAGCCAGCTTTTAATTCAGCTTCTTGGGACCAGTGGAACCTTCTCCCAACTGGGGTGTCAACTGTGGGTCCTGGAGAAATAGCAATGTGGGAAGAAATAGGGCATACACAAGGAGACACAGGTTTCCCATTGTTTATCCATTTTCCCTACCTGCAGTCTTTTTCTCACTCAGCTGAGGTTGCTGATTATTTTCTCCCAACACCTGGACCAAGGGACATATTTAAACTGGGGGCTAATGTTTAGTTTTGTCCTGGGCCTGAGGTGGCTAGGATGTGCTGATGTGAGGGAAGTCAAAGAGTTTATTCCTGGGTAGGTCACTTAGCTTTCTAGTCCCCAGCAGCATGACACAATGGCACGCCGGCCAGCCAGTCCCAAAGTGTCAGTGGAGGTCTGAAAGTGGGCCAGGGGAGTGAGGATGGGTGAGGAAATGTCCTTCCTTCATACAGAAGAGTGTCTAAGGCATGGTTCAGGAGATGTCATCTTTGAAGACAAGTGTCTGTGATCTCACAATTAAACCCACATCAACATGGACAATGAATTAAACATTGTTGAGTGAGATGGAAAATCCTAGGCAGAAACTTAAACACCCTTGTGATATGATGAGTAAAACAATATCCCCATGTGGACTTTTAATGCCCAACATCACTTAGCATTTTGGCTCCTTCTGACTCACACTTTTGTAAAACCTGGGGTCTACAGAACCCCCAAGAGACTTGACTGCCATGTAAGTCTCACAACCAATTGCTCAATAGCTTTATTTTTATTTTTTGTAACCAAGGGGTCTTGCTAGGTTGCCCAGGCTGATCTTGAACTCCTGGCCTCAAGCAACCCTCTCACCTCAGCCTCCAAAAATGCTGGGATTATAGGGGAAGACCACACTTGGTCCTCAATAGCTTTTTATCCTCAATGTTTAATAAGGAGAAATTCATTTTAACATCCATGACAGCCTTGAAGGATGAAGTTACCCAGGGGCATCCCAGGTGGTTGGTGGAGTACCCAGAACTTTGTTCTGTTATCTAAGATTTCTCTTTGAGGAGATGGTGGGGGGCTCTGGCCTTTTCTCTTGATTATGGCAAGAGATGGCATTATGGTCCCTAGAGTAGCCTCAAGCCTTTTTTTTTTTTTTTTTTGCTTCAAGCAGATTGTTCCATTTATTTCTCTACTTGGTGTATTCCATTCTATTATTTAAAAATCATCCTAATCCTAATCAGAAAACCTTACAATATGACTTCCTCATGGAGGCCATTCACTTTTATAGTCCTTCCTTCAGTAGATTCACACTGGGTAAAGCCATCTCACCTGTTATTATGCCTTTCCTCAATCCCAATGTGACACCCATTTCCTACTCAACTTGGCTTCTGAACTTTCTTGTCCATTAGAGCCACACCACCTTTCTCATTTCCTCCGTTCACTCATCCATCGTGTAAGAGATGCCAAACACAGGAGGATTCCTAAATGAAGAAATGTTGTTCTTGATGTTAAGGATTTTAGTTTGGTGAAATTCTCTATCTTTCAGAATCTTCTCCTCAGCTCCTAAATGTGTGTTGCCTCCAGTGTTGGCTTGGATTCTCAGCTCCTTATGTATTTTCCCTTGGCAAATTCCTGTATCCTACTTTCTTTCCCATTCTGCTTCATCCCACTACAGCATGTTATGTTTAGCCAGTTTATTGGAAACAGTCCTGGAGAAGGAATGGAGAGATACTAGTTCTGACAAGGTTGCCATTTCATTTATTGGCTTCTCAATTGCTCACTTCTTAGGAGAAGAGTTGGGCTAACTCAGCGATTCCCAGGCTTGTCTGCACATTGGAATTACCTGGAGAGCTTTAAAAAATGTGGATAGAGCATCCCTCCCCTAGAGAGTCTATTGTAATTAGTTTGGGGTGTGGGGGGGTTTAAAGTTTTCTTGGTGATTCTAACGTGCAGGCAGGGTTGCGAACCACTATGCTGAATCTACTTAACGCTAATTCCCCACTCTCTAGAACAAGGAACTGCTTCACAGTGGGATCAGGTAGATTTTGGAGTTTAATAGACCAGGTTCAATTTCCAGCCAGCAATGACACCTCAGGGAAAATCACTTCACCTTTTTGAGCCTAATTCCACTATGAAATTAATGAAGATTAATAATATCTACCTTCCAAATATAAGGATCAAACAAGATCATAGAACAGGACAGGCATTCAAGCAAAGGTAATTATTATTATTTCTCCTAAAACAACAGTTCCTGTCTCTGACTTCATTATTTCCGCCAATGGTGTTACCATTATCTCAGTTCCTAGGCTCAACAAATGCTTGCTGAGTGAGCACCAGATGGTGGAGCCGATCATCCTTCCTTGTGAAGGAGAAGTGAAGGTTAAATTTCACTCACTTTGGTGAATGTTTTCAGGTCTTGCTACTCACAGTGTGGTCCCCAGATCAGCAACATTGACATCCCCTGGAACTTGTTTAGAAATGAAACATCTCAGTCCCACCCAGACCTTCAGAATCAGAATTTGCATTAAGTAGGTCCCCAGGGGATTTGTTTGGAAAGCACTGCTGTAAAGCATCCCTGTCCTTGAGACTAGGTGAAAAGGCATGAATTCAGCCCCTGGAGTGGGGACAGTTTACAAATTCCGATGTCTTGTTTGGAGATGCCATGGTGAGCCCAAGTGAGTCATGGTGGCATTCCAGCTGGCAGCAGGGAGTGTGCCGTTGCATGCTGGGCCACACCAATGGAAGGCAACACTCTAGGCCAAGCCTTGTCCTCCCATTAAACTTCATCAAGTCACTCCATCAGGTCCCACCCTCTGCGTGGTGCTGGTTGCTTCATATAGGTTTGGTGGGTGCCTTGAGGCCATCAGTTACCATGAGACATCATCACATGTCACGGGAGGGTGATGCTTGCACACACAGGGGCAGGGCTTCCTCCAGCCCAGGGAGTCTGGCAGCACCTTGTGTGGTTTAGCCAGAGGCCTCTGCATCCTGCCCACTCACAGGACTGACACCCGCTGCATTGCAGGAGCAATCCCCACCCCAGGGTCTCAGGGGACTTCTTGAAACATTTTCTTGGTGGGTTCCATGCCCTGGTTTTTCCACCTTGGATTCCCTGATCTTTGTAAATTCAGGGACCCTGCAGTAATTCTCTCCTATACCACACCAGTATACATATGACTTCTTTGTCCAAAAGGCCAAAATAACAAAACACTGTGTGGAACTGTACTTTCTGTAGCCTACATTATAAAAATAGACATTTTGAAGGCAATTTTCTAAATGACACTGCCATCCCATCTGCTATCCCTCCTACCCCAGGACAGGGGTGGGTAAGCATCTTCCATTATGACTGCCTGATGGAGAAAAGGTCAAACTTCAGGCCACAGTCATTGGCATGCATCTCCCAAAATATTTCTCTTTCCTCTCACCGTAATTACAGGATCTTGCAACTGTCTGCTTTATAGAGCTTCCCCACTCACTGGCTAGCTTCCTGAGGGCAGAGTCTGGGATGGTCTTGTTTACTGATGTAGCCCCAGGTTCAGTGTCTGGCTCATGGAGATTCATAATAGTTATTTGTTGAGTATATGGATGAATAAATGGGTGAACGACTCTGATACTTGAAGACTAGGATGAGTTCCTGTGAGGTCCTGAGATAGGGTGTGTGTGTCTCTAGGTTGGCAGGGAAGTCGGGGTACAATTCCTCTAAATATAGCCCTCAGAGCAGGGGTCCAGAATTGTGACTGGGACAGGTAGCCCAGGGTCAATGCCCTTGCCACTGGGGACACACACAGAGCTCATAGGTCCTGTGGCAGGTGAATCAGCCTTATGCACCAAGCTCCCAGGATGCCAGCCTTGGAGATCTACCCCAAGGGGAGAGGCTTTAGCTTGCTTCTAGGACTGCCCTGAACCTGGGGAGTGTCAAGCCTCAGTTCTAGGTGCATAGATTGGCCAGTTCTGGGAACACCCGAGCCATTCTGAAGCTGGCAAGCAGGAAGGAAGCCTGTATCTTCAGGCCCTCTTTGGCAGAGATCATTGTGGATGACACAGAACAATACCAATCCCAGCTGCCAAACCCAGAGGCCTGAGGCCCCTAAGGATCAGGTGTGGAATGGGACCGGTCCTTCCTTTACATCGTGGTCACAAGCTGTAAACTCATGATCCCTTGGCCAGTTCACCGCCTTCCTACTTTCCAAACTCAGCAACTTCTCTCAGGCTGCAGGCCATGCCCTTCCAATTAACTGTCATTTTTCACCCCCAATTTCCCATCCTACTGAGTATCTGGGTAAGTCCTCAGGACTCCAGGGAATGGTGTGAGGTGTGAGATAATTCTTGCACCTGGGGAGGCAATAAGACACAGGGAGCATCAGTGAAAGTCAAGGCTGCATAAGATCAATGGTGACATTGGGGCAAAATAATGCTTCTTCCTTAGCACACAAGGGGTTTGTAATATCATTAGCTAAAAGGGAACCCATTATGTGGTCTTCCAGGGAGGGACGGGATGCCCATCAAGTTCAATCAAGAACTGCCAGATTTTAAGTCTCCCTTAAATGATACTATGTGATATGCAATTAAGTGCTAAATTGTGGGCAGACACAATTTAGGATTAAGAGAGTTTGGGTAATATCAGTAGAGTCTAGAGTAAGCAGAAGGAACTTTACTAAAGATGTTGGCCTAATAAGGCCCTTAATATTTGAGTAGCATTTAGCGAAGGCAGGAAAAGAGAGAGTGGCCTTCAGGGGAGAGACTTAAGGATAAGCTAAGAGAAGCATGGCTTGTTTTAGGGGCTGCAAACAGCCTGTGATCAGACTAGAAGGTGTGTGCTGTGAGTCATGGCCTGTGAATCTAGCCCCCACTTATGTCCACAAGGAAAGCACTGTTTCTTTATGTTTGCATAAGGCATCAGAACTGATAGCATCTTCTGACATTCCCTTCCTCATGTTGTATGATACAATGACCAGACATGGAGCCCCTACTGCCCCTACCAAAGGACTCACCATCAAATAAAGTACAAGTAAGAAAAATACTATATTATCAAAGACAAGATGCAACTATGAATCCTATGCCATTTAAAATAGCAAAATTATGCTCTACGTTCAATAATATGGGCAATATGAACTAGAATGCATTGGGATTTCCTATATAAAGTAGGATTCAAGTAATAACTATAATAACAGTCTATATAACTATATAACATGTTATATATATAACTACATAACATTCTAATAACTATACAACATTCAAGTAATAACTATATAAACTGTAAGCAAATATTAAACACAGAGCAGTCTGATTTTTCTTCTTAACGTGGGAGAAATAAGCATCATTTGCCTGCTCTCTATTTTCCATGCATTTCTATGATTCTCTGTAATGATGGAAGGTTTCAAACACTTTCTACTGGTCTAAAACCTCCTTTGGCCAGGCATGGTGGCTAACATCTGTAATCTCAGCACTTTGGGAGGCCGAGACGGGTAGATCACTTGAGGTCCGGAGTTCGAGACCAGCCTGGCCAACATGGTGAAAACCCCATCTCTACTAAAAATACAAAAATTAGCCAGGCGTGGTGGTGGGCACCTGTAATCCCAGCTACTTGGGGGGCTGAGGCAGGAGAATTGCTCGAAGCGGAGGTTGCAGTGAGCCGAGGTTGTGCCATTGCACTCCACCCTGGGTGACAGAGCGAGACTCCATCTCAAAATAAATAAATAAAAATAAAACCTCCCTAAATGCAGCAGATGCTTGATGCCTGTAGCTCCAAAGTTCTGCCTGTTTTCGTATTAAATAAAGAATAGTAACAAATAAGAAGTGGTGGTTGCCACTTTAAGAAAGTTATGAAAACCTGCCAAGTCATTAGGATTTTTTAAAAAGTTCTTTACAACTTTGGGGCTTCTCTGAAAACAAGGGTGTTGGAACAAATTCTCTGAGGCTTTGCTGCCACTACCCTCTCCAGCTAGTAGGGAGGGAGGGTTCCTTACAGAACTGCTAACAAAGAAGACAGTTTTCCTGCCAAACAAGCTGATGCTGGAGACTTACTGGAAGAGAGATTATGACATTGGAAAATGATATGTAGGAATTATGAAGCCCAAAGGAAAGATGAGGTCTTCTGGATTATTGACCAGGTTTGCAGAGTGTCAAAAACCAGATGAACAGATATAACTCTAAAGTAATTGGAAATCAGGAGTAATTGAAGTTCTGTGGACAGAACAGTGTGAGGATGAAAGCAGCATTTAGGGAGCTTATCTGGGAGCAGTCCACGGGGAGGCCTGAGGGCCAGTGCCAGGGAGCCTCACTGTGAGCTCTCCTGAAGCAGGACAGTACTGAGAGGAAAGGGCTGAAAATATGAGATCATTCTGGAGGAAAAAAGAAATACCTTAGGCATGGAAGGGTGAATCAAAAATGGCATCAATTGTTGGCAGGGAAGTGGAGTTGCCAAAACTTACCCACACTGCTGGTAGAAATGTGCATTGATACGATCACTTTAGAAACTGCTGGCACCGGCTAGGTGCGGCAGCTCACTCCTGTAATCCCAGCACTTTGGGAGGCTGAGGCAGGTGGATCACCTGAGGTCAGGTGTTTCAGACCAGCCTGGCCAACGTGGTAGAACTCCGTCTCTACTAAAAATAAAAGAAAAAGTAGCTGGGTATGGTGGTGGGCGCCTGTAATCCCAGCTACCTGGGAGACTTGAACCAGGGAGGTGGAGGTTGCAGTGAGCCAATATCGCGCCACTGCACTACAGCCTGGGTGACAGAGTGAGACTCCATCTCAAAAAAAACCAAAAAAACCAAAAAAACCCAAAAAAACTGCTGGCAGCATCTCTGAGAGCAGAAATGCATAATCCATGGCCCAGCAATTCCTTCTTGGGACTATACACAAAAGAAATGTGTACATATAGTCACAAGAAAAGACATGCACCATCAAGTTCAGTACAGCAGGACTCATCAAAGCCCCCAAAGGGAAACAATCTGATTGCCATCAGCAATATATTGGGTAAGTCATACTGTACTTGCACAGCAAGAGAATGGGTGGTCTACCCTTCCATGCAATGGTATGAATGAATCTCACAATGTTGACCAAAAGAAGCCAGACATGGAAGAGAACAGACTGTATAATTTCATTTATACAAAGTTCAAAAACAGGCTAAGCAGACAGAAGTCAGGCCATTGGTCATCCCTGGAAGAGGGCCCTGGGGGACTTCTGGGATGCTGATAATGTTCTGCTGCTTGATCTGGTGCTTGTTACCTGGGTGTGTCCATTCATGAAGGTTCATCAAGCTGTCTACTTGTGATGTGTGCACTTCAATGTAAATCTATCATGCTTTAATAACAATGTTAAAATGAAAATAGGAAGTGGAGCAAAGTGAACTAGGAGTCCATTCTGTGACAGAGTCTGAGATGTCTGGGCAGGCAGGTGGACATGGCCAGGATGCAGTTGGAGATGTGGGATTTTGGACTGGGTAAGAATCCAGGGCTGGAGACACCGAATTTGGGGATTGTTTGCACAGAAGTGACAGGGAAGATGAGAGCATGGGCATAGGGGAGCAGTTAGCATCACCTAGAAGCAGTTGGAGCCAGCTAGAAGCAATTAGAACCAGTTGGCTGTTAAAGCCAGGAGGATGAGGAGCACGCAGAGCCATTCATCAGAGTCCTATTCAGCACTTTCCCCCAGTAGGTCCCTGCGCTTGGCTCTGCCATCCGTGATTTCTGTCCTTTAGGACTTACGTTTTAATTGGGTGGGGCAGATGCTTCCTCATCATTTCATGTGGCATTATCTTCCTTTTACAAGCTGAGGAAACAGAGGGTTGGCGAGGTGAGCTGTCCAGGGCTGGTGAGGGGTGGAGTGTTGGCACCTGTTCAGCCTCCCGCACACTTCAGGGTATGCGGTGCCTCTAACCCTGCAGCTCTCAACAACAGAGGGCAGCAAGGTTCCTGGGCAGGTCAGCTGGCCTCACAGAAGGGCCCTGAAAGTCAGTGGAGGGGGTGGTAAGCAACATGCTGCTCTGCACTCTTCCCTGGAATACAGGACCTCTCAGGATAAAGAAGGAATGTGTTGTAACCCACGTGCACACACAGCAGTGACACAGGCTTGTTTTCCCACTGCCTCATGTGAGCTGCTGGGATTGTGCTTTTCCTGAAAGCACATCAGGCCAGGAGGTCAGGGTGCCATTCCAAACCCCTGTGTACTCCTGGGGGCCGGGATGATGTGTCAATAACAGAGCCAGCACATTTTCTGTCATAGAAAATCCCAGGGCAGTAGGGACTACCAAACACACCCACATGAAACATCAATACATCTGCAGAAGAAAAATTACACTCAAGATTTCACACACAAGCACAGTCTTCTCAACCATCACACATGGAGGGGCAGGAAGGGTGAAGTAGCAGGTTGGGGCCAATGAGAGATGCCCTCCATCAAAGCTCCTCTACATGTTTTCAGGACCCTCCCTCTGTAATGGGGCATGACTCCACACCTCCATCCTTAACTCTCATTACTCCTCAATGGGATGTTGCGTGAAGGTGTCAGTTCCTTCACAGGGGAAGTGCCCTGGGACAAATTGTCCTTATTCCCATCCCAGGCCGTTGCCTGTGCTGTTTCTTCTAGGAAGATGCACTGGGAGCCAAATAGGTTGAGATCGTGGTTTAGGGGCTTCTGAGCATCATAATATGTAGATTTGGGACAAGTCCTGTTACCTTTCTCTTTTCTTTAAAAGGGGGACAGCCGTCTCAGTGGTATCAGTGAGAAGGTATATGTGAAGTCCTTAGTAGAGACACCAGTATAGAGTTGGCGGGCAAGCAGTCACAGCTGTTCTCCACCTCACTTCCCTTTTCCCTTGCTTGGAATGTCCTCAGAGTTGAAGTCATCTTGTTCTCCAGAGAGCTCTGGTTGTTTTGAAACTGACCCAGTTGTCACATAGATGTTATTTTTTTATTTTTATTTTTTGGATAAACATAAAAATGGACCCTTGTCTTAAACATTGAAACTTACATTTGTTTTATCTGAGTTCCTTTTTAAGGAAATGACCTTCAGGCCTCTCAAAAAAGTATAAAAAACCTGAAACTCTGGAACAAATTGCTGCATCCAGACAATGAGATGCCAAATCCCTTATTTATCATCGTTGCTTCCTTGCCCCTCCCTAGTTTCTGTTTTCTTACACCTTGTTACATTTCTTTTCTGCTATGTAAATCCCTACTTTTAGTCAGTGGGGGAGATGGATTTGAGACGGAGCTCCCATTGCCTTGGCTGCAGCACCCGATTAAAGCCTTCTTCCTTGGCAACATCACCTCAGTCATTGGCTTTCTGTGGGGTGAGCAGTAGGATCTAGACTGAACCCCTGGTGTTTCAGTAACAGCTTCACTCAGTTAGATAATGTACCTGTCTCTCCTGCACCTGGCTCAGCTCCAAGGCTCAGGTGTACTCACGGTGGGGCCCAGGTTACTTGAGGGCTTGAGTTTTTCTTTGGAATGGAACACAGTGTCTCCAGACCCTTTGAGTGACTTCCTCAGTGGCATTTTGGCTTTTGTCACTTCTAAAATGTCTTCAAAAAGCTAGTAACTGCTTGCATATTGAAAATTGATAACTTTTAATAATAAGTTTAAACAGTTAAAATGCATTTTTATGTCCAATTGTTGAGAATCTTCTGGATGCTGGTAATATTCTGTTTCTTGACCTGCATACTGGTTACATTGGTGTGTTCATTTATGGGAAATTCATTGATTAAGTGGTACATTTATGATTTGCTCACTTTTCTGGATAGATGTTATATTTTAAGAAAAACATGAAAAACCAAAAAACTTGTTATAGGCTTTCTGAGCCCAGAGCACATCCTGCCCTGATGCTTGACCTCATAGCTTGTGTGTGATCCTGTAATGGAGTGACTGCTGGCTTACCCTGAGGGCAGCAGGCCAGAGTTCTCATATCAATCTAGAGGGGCCAGTGGAGAGATCAATCAAAAGGCCACCTCTGGTGATAAGGGAGACCCCACCAGCCTCTTAAAAGCCAGATCAGAAATATTAGAGACGAAGTGTACAAAAGTATTGAGGAAGAAAACTTAACTTTGCCTTGAAGTTCAGAGAAGTCCTCACAAAAGATGCCAGTGACATTTGAACTGGGTATTAAGGACTGAATAGGTGTGTTTCTGGTGGAAAACGGAAGAAAGGGATGACAAGAATAGCATGAACAAAGACAATAAAATTAAGATGCATTGGGTGTGAGGCTCAGAAAGTAATTTAATGTGGAAGAGCTTAGTGAGTAAGTGTAAGTGAGAGTGAGTGTGTGTATATGGGGAGAAGTGAGTTTAAAGAGATAAGCAACAGCTGGGGCATGAAGTGCCGTGTCTGTCAAGCTCAGGAGTTTGGGCTTTATCCTTCAGACAGGTAGAACCTCTGAGGGATGCTAAGTAGGAAAATCTATCACCTCCACCACTACCACTACCACCACCACCACCACCACCACTACCAATGCCACCACCAGCTTCACCACCACCAATGCCACCACCAGCTCCACCATCACCATCAATTCCACCACCAGCTCCACCTCCACCATCACCACCAGAGTACCTATTACAATAATTGTCTTCACAGAATAAATTTTCATAGTGCTAATTATAGCACAATTAATTAGGGAACAAAATTATTTATTTATTTATTTATTTATTTATTTATTTATTGAGACAGAGTCTCACTCTCTTGCCTAGGCTGGAGTACAGTGGTGCGATCTCAGCTCACTGCAACCCCCTCCTTCCGGGTTCAAGCCATTCTTGTGCCTCAGCCCCCCGAGTAGCTGAGATTACAGGCACCCGCCACCACACCCAGCTCCTTTTTTTTTTTGAGACAGAGTCTCACTCTGTCACCCAGGCTGGAGTGCAGTGGTGCAATCTTGGCTTGCTGCAAGCTCTGCCTCCCTGGTTCACACCATTCTCCTGCCTCAGCCTCCTGAGTAGCTGGGACTACAGGCACCCACTACCATGCCCAGCTAATTTTTTGTATTTTTAGTAGAGACAGGGTTTCACCATGTTAGCCAGGATGGTCTCGATCTCATGACCTCGTGATCTGCCCACCTCAGCCTTCCAAAGTGCTGGGATTACAGGCATGAGCCACTGTGCCTGGCCCCCACCCACCTGCTTTTTTGCGTTTTTAGTAGAGACGGGGTTTACCCTGTTGGCCAGGCTGGTCTTGAACTCCTGACCTCAGGTGATCACCTGCCTCGGACTCCCAAAGTGCTGGGATTACAGGCATGAGCCTCTGTGCCTGGCCAGGGAACAAAATTTTAACTACATATTTTTAAAAATTGATGAGCATAATGTAGAGAAAGAAAGCTGAGTGAGTGGAGTGTAAAGCATGAGAATGGAGCTGATCTGTTGGAGGGAGACTCTCTTTTGTAACCTGTGCTCTTCTGCTCACCATTGGTGCTGCCAGCAAAATTACAAGGTTAAGGCCAAAAATTATGGAGGAAATGGAAGGATTCTGAGTATACGGATGAAAGACAGCCATGACTGAACTTAGATTTGTTAATAATTTGTTAATGATAAAATTTAAAATTTATTTTAAATTACAAAATTACAACATTATTTTTGTAATTCAAGGTTTCTGGTTTTCTAGAAATGCAAATCATTGCCTTATGGTAAAGTAACAGGAGCTGATCAAAGAGCTTCACCTCTGTTATCTCATTTTTAAAAAAATTCTAACTTATTTTAGGTTCAGGATACATGTAGAGGTTTGTTGCATAGGTAAATTGTGTGCCACAGGGGTTTGGTGTACAGATTATTTTGTCAACCAGGTAATAAGCATAGTACTTGGTAGGTAGTTTTTTGATCTTCTCCCTTCTCCCACTCTCCACCTTCAGGAAGGCCCCATTGTCTCTTCCCTTCTTTATGTCTATGTATACTCAATGGTTAGCTCCCAATTATAACTGGGAACATGCAGCATTTGGTTTTCTGTTCCTGTGTTAGTTTGCTTAACATAATGGCCTCTAGCGGCCGGGCGTGGTGGCTCACGCCTGTAATCCCAGCACTTTGGGAGGCTGAGGCGAGCGGACCACCTGAGGTCGGGAGTTTGAGACCAGCCTGACCAACATGGAGAAACCCTGTCTCTACTAAAAATACAAAAATTAGCCAGGCATGGTGGTGGTGCTTACCTGTAATCCCAGCTACTCAGGAGGCTGAGGCAGTAGAATCGCTTGAACCCGGGAGGTGGAGGTTGCTGTGAGCCGAGATTGCACCATTGCACTCCAGCCTGGGCAACAAGAGCGAAACTCCATCTCAAAAAAAAAAAAAAAAAATAGATAATGGCCTCCAGCTTCATACATCTTGCTGCAAAGGACATGATCTTATTTCTTTTTATGGCTGCATAGTATTCCATTGTATATATGTATCACATTATCTTTATCCAGTCAACTATTGATGGGCATTTAGATTGATTCCATGTCTTTGCTATTGTGTATAGTACTGCGATGAACATATCTGTGCATGTGTCTTTATGGTAGAATAATTTATATTCCTTTCAGTATATATCTAATAGTAGAATTTCTGGGTCCAGTGATAATTCTTTTTTAAGTTTTTTGAGAAATTGTCGTGCTGCTTTCCACAGTGGCTGAACTAATTTACATTCCCATTGGCAGTGTATAGGTGTTCCCTTTTTCCTGCAACCTTTCCAGCATCTGTTATTTTTTGACTTAATAATAGTTATTGTGGGGTGGGAGATAGCATTTTCTTGTGGTTTTGATGTGCATTTCTCCAATGATTAGTGATGTTGAGCATTTTTTCATATGCTTGTTGGTCATGTGTAGGTCTTTTGAAAATTGTCTCTTCATGTCCTTTGCCCACTTTTTAATGGAGTTTTTTGCCTATTAATTGTTTAAGTTTCTTATGTATTCTGGATATTAGACCTTTGTCTGATGTATAGTTTGCAAATATTTTCTTCCATTCCATGGGTTGTCTGTTTATTATTCTGGTAATTTCTTTTGCTGTGAAGAAGATCTTTAGTTTAATTAGGTCCTGCTAGTCAATTTTTGTTTTTGTTGCAACTGCTTTTGACACCTTTTTCATAAAATCTTTGCCAGGGCCTATGTCCAGAAGGATATTTCCTAGGTTATCTTCCAGGGTTTTTATAGTTTTAGGCTTTACATTTAAGCCTTTAATCCATCTTGAATTGATTTTTGTACATGATAAAGGAAGGGGTCCAGTTTCAATCTTCTGCACTTAGCTAGTTATCCTAGTACCATTTATTGAATAGGGAGTCCTTTCTCCATTTCTTGTTTCTGTTGACTTTTGGTTTTGTCAAAGACCAGATGGTGTATGTGTGAAGCATTATTTCTGGGCTCTTTATTCTGTTCCATCAATCTATGTGTCTGTTTTTATACCAGTACCATGCTGTTTTGGTTACTGTAGGCTTGTAACCAAAGTCTAGTTTGCCAAAGTATTTGAAGTAGGGTAATGTGATGTCTCCAGCTTTGTTCTTTTTGCTTAGGCTTGTCTTGGCTATTCAGGCTCTTTCTTTGTTCCCTATGAATTTTAAAATAGTTTTTTTTCTAATGCTATGAACAATGTCATTGGTGGTTTGATAGGAATAATATTCATATGGTTTGGATCTGTGTCCCCATCCAAACATTTTACATGTTAAAATGCAATCCCCAATGTTGGAGATGGGGCCTAGTGGGAGATGATTGCATCATGGGAGCAGTTTCTTATGGTTTAACACCATCCACTCCTGGTGCTGTCATCATGATAGTGAGTTCTCATGAGATCTGGTTGTTTAAAAGTATGTTTAAAAGTATGTGGCACCTCCCCCTCTCCCTCTCACTCCTGCTACTGCCGTGTAAAACACCTACTCCTGCTTTGCCTTCTGCCATGAGTAAAAGCTCTCTGAGGCCTCCTCAGAAGCAGATGCCACCATGCTTCCTATACAGCCTGTAGAATCATGAGCCAATTAAACTTCTTTTCTTATAAATTAACCAGTCTCAGATATTTCTTTATTGCAATGTGAAAATAAACAAATCCAGAAAATTGGTACCAAGGACTGGGGCATTGCTATAAAGATATCTCAAAATGTGGAAACAACTTTGGAACTGGGTAATGGGCAGAGATTGGAAGAGTGTGGAGGGCTCAGAAGGAGACAGAAAGGTGAGGGAAAATTTGAAATTTTCTAGAGACATGTTAAATTGTTGTGACTGAAATGCTAAGAGTGATATGGACAATGAAGTCCAGGCTGAGGAGGTCTCAGATGAAAATTAGGAACTTATTGGGAACTGGAGTAAAGGTCACTTTTGTTGTGCTTTAGCAAAGAGCCTGGGTGTATTGTGATCCTTCTCTAGGGATCTATGGAACTTTGAACTTGAGAGTGATGATTTAGGTTATCTGGGGGAAGACATTTCCAAATAGTAAAGCATTCAAGAAGTAGCCTGGCTGTTTCTAATAACCTATGCTCAATGTGTGAGCAAAGAAACAACCTGAAACTGGAACTTATATTTAAAAGGGAAGCAGAGTGTAAAAGTTCAGAAAATTTGCAGCCTGGCAATGTGGTAGGAAAGAAAAGCCCATTTTCATGGGGAGGAATTCAAGCAGGCTACAGAAATTTGCATAAGTGGAATGGAGCCAAATCACAACAGCCGAGACAATGGGGGAAAAGGCCTCAGGCATTTCAGAGACCTTTGCAGCAGCCCCTCCCATCACAGGCCCAGAGGCCTAGAAGGAAAGAATGGTTTCATGAGCCAGGCCCAGGGCACTGCAGCCCTGCACAGTCTTGAGACACTGGACCGTGTATCCCAGTTACTCCAGCTTCAGCTGTGGCTAAAAAGGACCCAGGTACACCTTGGGCCACTGCTTCAGAGGGTGCAAGCTAGAAGCCTTGGTGGCTTCCATGTGGTGTTAAGCCTGCAGGTGCACAGAGAGCAAGAGTTAAGGCTTGAGAGCCTCCACCTAGATTTCATAGGATGTATGGAAAAGCCTGCTGCAGAGGAAGAGCCCTCATGGAAAACCTCTGCTAAGGCAGTGTGGAATGGAAATGTGGGGTTGGACCCCCCCCAACATAGACCCCCTGGGGCACTGCCTAGTCAAGCTGTGAGAAAAGGGTCACCATCCTCCAGACCCCAGAATTGTAGACCCACCAAAGTCTTGCACTATGTACCTGGAAAAGCTGCAAACACTCAACACCAGCCCTTAAGAGCAGCCATGCAGGCTGAACACTGCAAAGCCACAGGGATAAACCTGCCCTGTGAGCCCACAGGGATGGATCTTCCCATGACTCCCCTGCTGGGTTTTAGAATTGCAGGAGGCCTATTCACCCTTTCTTTTGGCTGATCTCTCCCTTTTGGAATGAGAGTATTTACCCAATGCCTATATATCCATTGTATCTTGGAAATAACTAATTTGTGTTTCATTTTACAGGCTAATAGGCAGAAGCGACTAGCCTTGTCTCAGATGAGACTTTGGACTTTGGACTTTTGAGTTAATGCTGGAATGAGTTAAGACTTTGCAGGAATGTTGGGAAGGCATGATGGGATTTTTCAATGTGAGAAGGATATGAGGTTTGAGAGGGGCCAGGGATGGAATGATATGATTTGGATCTGAGTCCCTGTCCAAATCTCATGATTCAACATGTAATCCCCAGTGTTGGAGGTGGGGCCTGGTGGAAGGTGATTGGATCATGAGGGTGGTTTCTCATGGTCTAACACCATCCTCCTTGGAGCTGTCATCACAATAGTGAGTTCTCATGAGATCTGGTTGTTTAAAAGTGCGTGGCACCTCCTCACTCTGTCTCGGTCCTTCTCCTGCCATGTAAGATGTCTGCTCCTGCTTTGCCTTCTGCCATGAGTAAAATCTCCCTGAGGCCTACACAGAAGCTGATGCTGCCATGCTTCCTGTACAGCCTGCAGAACTGTGAGCCAATTAAACCCATTTTTCTTTAGAAATTACCCAGTCTTAGGTATTTCTTTATAGCAATGTGAGAATAGACTAATACAAGCATTGAGTCTATACACTGCTTTGAGCAGTATGGTTATTCTAACTATTGATTCTTCCTATCCATGAGCATGGAAAGTTTTTCCATTTGTTTGTGTCATCTCTGATTTCTTTGAGCAGTGTTTTGTGATTCTCATTGTAGGATCTTTCACCTCCCTTGTTAAGTGTATTCCTGGATATTTTATTCTTTTTGTCGTTATTGTGAATGGGATCGCATTCTTGATTTGACTCTCAGCTTAGACATTGTTGGTGTACAGAAATGCTACTTTTGTACATAATTTTTGTATGCTGAAACTTTGCTGAAGTTTTTAAAATCAGAAATAGGAGATTTTGGGCAGCAACCATGGGGTTTTCGAGGTATAAAATCATACCATCTTCAAACAGAGATAGTTTGAATTCTTCTCTTTTTCTATTAATGCCTTTTATTTCTTTTTCTTGCCTATTTGCTCTGGCTAGGACTTCCAGTACTATGTTGAATAGGAGCAGTGAGAAGCATCCCTTTTTTGCTCTGTTTCTCAAAGGGAATCATTCCAGCTTTTGCTTATTTAGTATGATGTTGGCTATGGGTTTGTCATAGATGGCTCTTGTTATTTTGAGGTATGTTTCATTAATGCTTAGTTCGTCAAGGGGTTTAAACATGAAGATATAATGGATTTTATTGAAAGACTTCTGCATCTATTGAGATGATCATGTGGTTTTTGTTTTTAGTTCTGTTTATGTGAAGAATCACATTTATTGATTTACATGTGTTGAACCAAACTTGCATCTCAGGGATAAAGCCTACTTGATCATGGTGGATTAGCCTTTTGATGTGCTAGTGGATTCAGTTTGCTAGTATTTTGTTGAGTATTTTTGCATTTATGTTCATCAAAGATATTGGCTTGAAGTTTCCTCTTTTTGTTGTGTCTCTGCCAGGTTTTGCTATCAGGATAATGCTGGGCTCATTGAATGAGTTGTGGAGGAGTCCCTCCTCCTTATTTGTTGGAATAGTTTAAGTAGGAATGGTACCCCCTCTTTCTTTATATACATCTGGTAGAATTCACTAGTGAATCCATCTGGTTCTGGGCTTTTTCTGGTTGGCAGGCTTCTTATTACTGATTCAATTTCGGAACTTGCTATTGGTCTCTTCAGAGATTCAGTTTCTTCCTGGTTGAATCTTGGGAGATTGTATGTTTCCAGGGATTTATCCATTGTTTCATGTTTTGTAGGTTGTGTGCCTAGAAATGTTCATAGCAGTGTTGGAGGGTTTAATTTTTGCATTTCTGTGGGGTTGACGGTAATCTCCCTTTGTTATTTCTGATTGTGTTTATTTAGATCTTCTCTTTTTTAATTCATCTAGCTAACAGTCTATTAATCTTATTTATTCTTTCAAATAACTAACTCCTGGATTTGTTGACCTTTTGTGTGGTTTTTCACATCTCAGTTTACTTCAGTTCAGCTCTAATTTTAGTTATTTCTTGTCTTCTGTAACTTTGGGGTTGGTTTGCTCTTGTTTCTCTAGTTCTTCTTGATGTGAATTAAGTTGTTAATTTGAGATCTTTCTAACTTTTTGACATAAGATAATGCTATAAAATTTCCTCTTAACACTGTTTTAGGTGTGTCCCAGAAATTCTGGTATGTTGTATCTTTGCTCTCATTAGTTTGAAATAATTTCTTGATTTCTGCCTCAATTTCATTGTGTACTCCAAAGTCATTTAGGAGCAGGTTGTTTAGTTGTTTAATTTTCATGTAATTGTATGGTTTTGAGCAATTTTCTTAGTAGTTTTTTTTATTATACTTTAAGTTTTAGGGTACATGTGCACAACGTGCAGGTTAGTTACACATGTATACGTGTGTCATGTTGGTGTGCTGCACCCAGTAACTAGTCATTTAACATTAGGTATATCTCCAAATGCTATCCCTCCCCCCTCCCCCCACCCCACAACAGGCCCCGGTGTATGATGTTCCCCTTCCTGTGTCCATGTGTTCTCATTGTTCAATTCCCACCTACGAGTGAGAACATGTGGTGTTTGTTTTTTTTGTCCTTGCGATAGTTTGCTGAGAATGATGGTTTCCAGCTTCATCCATGTCCCTACAAAGGACGTGAACTCATCATGTTTTATGGCTGCATAGTATTCCATGGTGTATATGTGCCACATTTTCTTAATCCAGTCTATCATTGTTGGACATTTGGTTGGTTCCAAGTCTTTGCTATTGTGAATAGTGCTGCAATAAACATATGTGTGCATGTGTCTTTATAGCAGCATGATTTATAATCCTTTGGGTATATACTCAGTAATGGAATGGCTGGGTCAAATGGTATTTCTAGTTCTAGATCCCTGAGGAATTGCCACACTGACTTCCACAATGGTTGAACTAGTTTACAGTCCCACCAACAGTGTAAAAGTGTTCCTATTTCTCCACATCCTCTCCAGCACCTGACTTTTTAATGATCGCCATTCTAACTGGTGTGAGATGGTATCTCATTGTGGTTTCGATTTGCATTTCTCTGATGGACAATGATGTTGAGCATTTTTTCATGCAGTTTTTGGCTGCATAAATGTCTTCTTTTGAGAAGTGTCTGTTCATATCCTTTGCCCACTTTTTGATGGGGTTGTTTGTTTTTTTCTTGTAAATGTGTTGGAGTTCATTGTAGATTCTGGATATTAGCCTTTTGTCAGATGAGTAGATTGCAAACGTTTTCTCCCATTCTGTAGGTTACCTGTTCACTCTGATGGTAGTTTCTTTTGCTGTGCAGAAGTTCTTTAGTTTAATTAGATCCCATTTGTCAATTTTGGCTTTTGTTGCCATTGCTTTTGGTGTTTTAGACATGAAGTCCTTGCCCATGACTATGTCCTGAATGGTATTGCTTAGGTTTTCTTCTAGGGTTTTTATGGCTTTAGGTCTAACATGTAAGTCTTTAATCCACTTTGAATTAATTTTTGTATAAGGTGTAAGGAAGGGATCCAGTTTCAGCTTTCTACATATGGCTAGCCAGTTTTCCCAGCACCATATATTAAATAGGGAATCCTTTCCCCATTTCTTTTTTGTCAGTTTTGTCAAAGATCAGATGGTTGTAGATATGTGGCATTATTTCTGAGGGCTCTGCTCTGTTCCATTGGTCTATATCTCTGTTTTGGTACCAGTACCATGCTGTTTTGGTTACTGTAGCCTTGTAGTATAGTTTGAAGTCAGGTAGCGTGATGCCTCCAGCTTTGTTCTTTTGGCTTAGGATTGTCTTGGCAATGCGGGCTCTTTGTTGGTTCCATATGAACTTTAAGGTAGTTTTTCCAATTCTGTGAAGAAAGTCATTGGTAGCTTGATGGGGATGGCATTGAATCTGTAAATTACCTTGGGCAGTATGACCATTTTCACAATATTGATTCTTCCTATCCATGAGCATGGAATGTTCTTCCATTTGTTAGTATCCTCTTTGATTTCATTGAGCAGTGGTTTGCAGTTCTCCTTGAAGAGGTCCTTCACATCCCTTGTAAGTTGGATTCCTAGGTGTTTTATTCTCTTTGAAGCAATTGTGAATGGGAGTTCACTCATGATTTGGCTCTCTGTTTGTCTGTTATTGGTGTATAAGAATGCTTGTGATTTTTGCACATTGATTTTGTATCCTGAGACTTTGCTGAAGTTGCCTATCAGCTTGAGATTTTGGGCTGAGATGATGGGGTTTTCTAGATATACAATCATGTCATCTGCAAACAGGGACAATTTGACTTTCTCTTTTCCTAATTGAATAGCGTTTATTTCCTTCTCCTGCCTGATTGCCCTGGCCAGAACTTCCAACACTATGTTGAATAGGAGTGGTGAGAGAGGGCATGCCTGTCTTGTGCCAGTTTTCAAAGGGAATGCTTCCAGTTTTTGTCCATTGAGTATGATATTGGCTGTGGGTTTGTCATAGATAGCTCTTATTATTTTGAGATACATCCCATCAATACCTAATTTATTGAGAGTTTTTAGCATGAAGAGTTGTTGAATTTTGTCAAAGGCCTTTTCTGCATCTATTGAGATAATCATATGGTTTTTGTTGTTGGTTCTGCTTATATGCTGGATTATGTTTATTGATTTGTGTATGTTGAACCAACCTTGCATCCCAGGGATGAAGTCCACTTGATCATGGTGGATAAGCTTTTTGATGTGCTGCTGGATTCGGTTTGCCAGTATTTTTTGAGGATTTTTGCATCAATGTTCATCGGGGATATTGGTCTAAAATTCTCTTTTTTGTTGTGTCTCTGCCAGGCTTTGGTATCAGGATGATGCTGGCCTCACAAAGTGAGTTAGGGAGGATTCCCTCTTTTTCTATTGATTGGAATAGTTTCAGAAGGAATGGTACCACCTCCTCCTTGTACCTCTGGTAGAATTCGGCTGTGAGTCCATCTGGTCCTGGACTTTTTTTGGTTGCTAAGCTGTTAATTATTGCCTCAATTTCAAAGCCTGTTATTGGTCTATTCAGAGATTCAACTTCTTCCTGGTTTAGTCTTGGGAGGGTGTATGTGTCGAGGAATTTATCCATTTCTTGTAGATTTTCTAGTTTATTTGCGTAGAGGTGTTTATAGTATTCTCTGATGGTAGTTTGTATTTCTGTGGGATTGGTGGTGATATCCCCTTTGTCATTTTTTATTGCGTCTATTTGATTCTTCTCTCTTTTCTTCTTTATTAGTCTTGCCAGTGGTCTATCAATTTTGTTGATCTTTTCAAAAAACCAGCTCCTGGATTCATTGATTTTTTGAAGCGTTTTTTGTGTCTCTATTTTCTTCAGTTCTGCTCTGATCTTAGTTATTTCTTGCCTTCTGCTAGCTTTTGAATGTGTTTGCTCTTGCTTCTCTAGTTCTTTTAATTGTGATGTTAGGGTGTCAATTTTGGATCTTTCCTGCTTTCTCTTGTGGGCATTTACTGCTATAAATTTCCCTCTACACACTGCTTTGAATGTGTCCCAGAGATTCTGGTATGTTGTGTGTTTGTTCTCGCTGGTTTCAAAGAACATCTTTATTTCTGCCTTCATTTCGTTATGTATGCAGTAGTCATTCAGGAGCAGGTTGTTCGGTTTCCATGTAGTTGAGTGGTTTTGAGTGAGTTTCTTAATCCTGAGTTCTAGTTTGATTGCACTGTGGTCTGAGAGACAGTTTGTCATAATTTCTTTTCTTTTACATTAGCTGAGGAGTGCTTTACTTCCAACTATGTGGTCAATTTTGGAATAAGTGTGGTTTGGTGCTGAGAAGAATGTATATTCTGTTGTTTTGGGGTGGAGAGTTCTGTAGATGTCTATTAGGTCCACTTGGTGCAGAGCTGAGTTCAATTCCTGGATATCCTTCTTAACTTTCTGTCTCGTTGATCTGTCTAATGTTGACAGTGGGGTGTTAAGTCTCCCATTATTATTGTGTGGGAGTCTAACTCTCTTTGTAGGTCTCTAAGGACTTGTTTTATGAATCTGGGTGCTCCTGTATTGGGTGCATACATATTTAGGATAGTTAGCTCTTCTTGTTGAATTGATCCCTTTACCATTATGTAATGGCCTTCTTTGTCTCTTTTGATTTTAGTTGATTTAAAGTCTGTTTTATCAGAGACTAGGGTTGAAACCCCTGCCTTTTTTTTGTTTTCCATTTGCTTGGTAGATCTTCCTCCATCCCTTTATTTTGAGCCTATGTGTGTCTCTTCATGTGAGATGGGTTTCCTGAATACAGCACACTGATGGGTCTTGACTCTTTATCCAATTTGCCAGTCTGTGTCTTTTAATTGGAGCATTTAGCCCATTTACATTTAAGGTTAATATTGTTATGTGTGAATTCGATCCTGTCATTATGATGTTAGCTGGTTATTTTGCTCGTTAATTGATGCAGTTTCTTCCTAGCCTCAATGGTCTTTACAATTTCGCATGTTTTTGCAGTGGCTGGTACTGTTTGTTCCTTTCCATGTTTAGTGCTTCCTTCAGGAGCTCTTTTAGAGCAGGCCTGGTGGTGACAAAATCTCTCAGCATTTGCTTGTCTGTAAAGTATTTTATTTCTCCTTCACTTATGAAGCTTAGTTTGGCTGGATATGAAATTCTGGGTTGAAAATTCTTTTCTTTAAGAATGTTGAATATTGGCCCCCACTCTCTTCTGGCTTGTAGAGTTTCTGCTGAGAAATCAGTTTTTAGTCTGATGGGCTTCCCTTTGTGGGTAACCCGACCTTTCTCTCTGGCTGCCCTTAACATTTTTTCCTTCATTTCAACTTTGGTGAATCTGACAATTATGTGTCTTGGAATTGCTCTTCTCGAGGAGTATCTTTGTGGCGTTCTCTGTATTTCCTGAATTTGAATGTTGGGCTGCCTTGCTAGATTGGGGAAGTTCTCCTGGATAATATCCTGCAGAGTGTTTTCCAACTTTGTTCCATTCTCCCCGTCACTTTCAGGTACACCAACCAGATGTAGATTTGGTCTTTTCACACAGTCCCATATTTCTTGGAGGCTTTGTTCGTTTAGTTTTATTCTTTTTTCTCTAAACTTCTCTCTAACTTCATTTCATTCATTTGATCTTCCATCACTGATACCCTTTCTTCCAGTTGATCACATCAGCTACTGAGGCTTGTGCATTCGTCACATAGTTCTCATGCCTTGGTTTTCAGCTCCATCAGGTCCTTTAAGGACTTCTCTGCATTGGTTGTTCTAGTTATCCATTCATCTAATTTTTTTTCAAGGTTTTTAACTTCTTTGCCATGGGTTCGAACTTCCTCCTTTAGCTTGGAGTAGTTGGATCGTCTGAAGCCTTCTTCTCTCAACTTGTCAAAGTCATTCTCCATCCAGCTTTATTCCATTGCTGATGAGGAGTTGCATTCCTTTGGAGGAGGAGAGGCACTCTTTTTAGAGTTTCCAGTTTTTCTGTTCTGTTTTTTCCCCATCTTTGTGCTTTTATCTACCTTTGGTCTTTGATGATGGTGACATACAGATGGGGTTTTGGTGGGGATGTTCTTTCTGTTTGTTAGTTTTCCTTCTAACAGTCAGGACCCTCAGCTGCAGGTCTGTTGGAGTTTGCTAGAGGTCCATACCAGACCCTGTTCCTGAGTATCAGCAGTGGAGGCTGCAGTACAGTGGATATTGGTGAACAGCAAATGTTGCTGCCTGATCGTTCCTCCGGAAGTTTTGTCTCAGAGGAGTACCCAGCCGTGTGAAGTGTCAGTCTGCTCCTACTGGGGGGTGCTTCCCAGTTAGGCTACTCGGGGGTTAGGTACCCACTTGAGGAGGCAGTCTGTCCATTCTCACATCTCCAGCTGCATGCTGGGAGAACCACTACTCTCTTCAAAGCTGTTAGACAGGAACATTTAAGTCTGCAGAGGATTCTGCTGCCTTTTGTTTGGCAATGCCCTGCCCCCAGAGGTGGAGTCTACAGAGGCAGGCAGGCCTCCTTGAGCTGCAGTGGGTTCCACCCAGTTCCAGCTTCCCGGCTGCTTTGTTTACCTACTCAAGCCTCAGCAATGGCGGGCGCCCCTCCCCCAGCCTCGCTGCCGCCTTGCAGTTTGATCTCAGACTGCTGTGCTAGCAATGAGTGAGGCTCCATGGACATAGGACCCTCGGAGCCAGGCACGGGATATAATCTCCTGGTGTGCCGTTTGCTAAGACCTTTGGAAAAGCACAGTATTAGGGTGGGAGTGACCCGATTTTCCAGGTTCTGTCTGTCACCCCTTTCTTTGACTAGGAAAGGGAATTCCCTGACCCCTTGCACTTCCCAGGTGAGGCAATGCCTTGCCCCGCTTTGGCTCATGCTCGGTGCGCTGCACTCACTGTCCCACATCCACTTTCCGACACTCCCCAGTGAGATGAACCTGCTACCTCAGTTGGAAATGCAGAAATCACCCGTCTTCTGCGTCGCTCACACTGGGAGCTGTAGACTGAAGTTGTTCTTATTCGGCCATCTTGGCTCTTCATGTCAGTAGTTTTTTTTTTTTTTTTTTTTTTTTTTTGAGACAGAGTCTTGCTCTGTCACCCAGGCTGGAGTGCAGTGGTGCAGTCTCAGCTCACTGCAATCTCTGCCTCGCGGGTTCAGGTAATTCTTCTGCCTCAGCCTCCTGAGTAGCTGGGACTACAGGCGTGTGCCACCACATGCAGCTAATTTTTGTATTTGTAGTAGAGACAGGGTTTCACCATGTTGGCCAGGATGGTATTGAACTCCTGACCTCAGGTGATCCACCTGCCTCAGCCTCCCAAAGTGCTGGGATTACAGGTGTGAGCTACTGCACCTGGCCCCTATTGATTTTTATTTTATTGCTCTGTGATCTGATAATGTGTTTGGTATGATTTCGGATTTTTTGAATTTGATGAGGGTTGTTTCATGGTTGGTTGTGTGATTGATTTTAGAGTATGTGCCATGTGCAGCTGAGAAGAATGTATATTCTGCTGTTTTTGGGTGGAGAGTTCTGTAGATGTCTGTTAGGCCCATTTGGTCAGGTGTCGAGATTGAGTCCTGAATGTCTTTGTTCGTTTTCTGCCTTGATGGTATGTCTAATACTTTCAGTGGGATGTTGAAGTCTCCCACTATTATTGTGCAGTTATCTAAATCTCTTCATAGGTCTCTAAAAACTTGCTTTATGAATCTAGGTGCCCTTGTGTTGGGGGCATGTCTATTTAGGATAGTTAGGTCTTCTTGGTTAATTGAACCCCTTTACTATCATGTAATGTTCTTTGTCTTTTTAAAATTATTTTTGGTTTTAAGACTATTTTATCTGAAATTAGAATAGCAACCTCTGCTTTTTTCTATTTTCTGTTTGCTTGGTAGATTTTTCTCCATCCCTTTACTTTGAGCCTATGAATGCCATTGCATGTGAGATGGGTCTCTTGAAGACAGCATATACTTTGGTCTTACTTCTTTATCTAGCTTGCTACTCTATGCCTTTTAATTGGGGCATTTAGCCTATTTACATTCAAGATTGATATTTATATGTGTGGATTTGATCCTGGCATTCTGTTGTTAGCTGGTTATTATGCAGACTTGATTGTGTGGTTGCTTTATGGTGTCAATGGTCTCAGTACCTAAATGTGTTTTTGCAGTTGCCAGTGATGGCCTTTCCACATTCAGCATTCCCTTAAGGATCTCTTGTAAGGCAGGTCTGGTGGTAATGAATTCCAAGAGCATTTGCCTGTCTAAAAAGGGTCTTATTTTTCCTTTGCTTATGAAGTTTAGTTAGACTGCCTGTAAAATTCTTGATTGGAATTTATTTTCTTTAAGAATGCTGAATACAGGCTCCCCAATTGCTTCTGGCTTGTAGAGCTTCTGCTGAAAGATCCACTATTAGCCTAGTGGGATTCCGTTTGTAGGTGACCTGCTCCTTCTTTCTAGCTGCCTTTAACATTTTGTTTTTCATTTTGGCCTTGAAGAATCTGATGACTATGTATCTTGGGGGTGGTCATCTTGTATAGTATCTTGCAAGGGTTCTCTGCATTTCCTGAATTTGAACATTGGCCTGTCTAGTGAGGTTGGGGAAATTTTCATGGATGATATCCTTAAATGTTTTCCAAGTTGCTTGTGATCTGTGCTTGCTCGCTCTCATGTGCGTGCTCTCTCTCTTTCTTTCTCTCTTTCAGGGATGCCAGGGAGTTGTAGATTTGGTCTCTTTACATAATCCCATATTTCTCGGAGGTTTTGTTTATTCTTCTTTATTGTTTTTTCTTTATTTTTGTCTATTTTGTAGAACTGGGCTTCAAACTCTCAGATTCTTTCCTCAGCTTGGTTGATTCTGCTGTTAATATTCGTGATTGTATTATGAAATTCTTGAAGTGAGTTTTTCAGGTCTATCAGATCAGTTTGGTTCTTCCTCAAAATGCCATTTCATATGTTATCTCCTGTATTGTTTTATTATATTCCTTAGATTCCTTGGATTGGGTTTCAACTTTCTCCTGGATGTCAATGATAATGTTCTCTGTTCCTGTCGGTAATCTGAATTCTTTTTCTGTCATTTCAGCCCCAGGTAGGGACCATTGCTGGGGAACTTGTGTGGTCATTTGGAGGTAAGAAAACATTCTGGCATTTTGAGTTGCCAGAGTTCTTGTGCTGATTCCTTCTTATCTGTGTGGGATGATGTTCCCTCAACCTCTGAAGTTGCTGTCCTTTCGATGCATGTTTTTTTCTTTGCTTTTCTCTTCTTTGCTGCCCTTGGGGGTTTCATTGCAGTATAAGGTAGGTTCAGTTGACTGGGTTCATTTCTGGAAGATTTTAGGGGCCACGGCTCAGCTCAGCACTCCTGGTGGACTCTAAGTCTGGGGAGTTGGTACCAGGACCCCAGCTTTGTTATCTGGCCCCGTGAGATTGGGAACCTGCTGCATCAGAGGGTCCAAGGTGTTCCTGGTCCATTAGCCACAACCCTCTGATGGGTGGTGCCAGACAAAGTGCTTCTTTGGGGCGGTGGCAGCAGGATCTGTGCTCACTCACGTGTTCTGGCACCTGTGGCAGCGCCGCAGGGTGCTTATGCCTTGGTGGGGTTGGGGTACCAGCAGAAGTCGAGCTGCTGCATTCCTGTGTGCACTTGTACCTGTGGCAGGGTGCAGGTGGGAGCAGGGTTGCCAGTGTCCATGCTTACACTTGCACCAGTGGTGGCAGTGGCAGGGTGCTGGCAGTCACTGGGCTGCTGACCTTCATGGGCACATTCACCTGTTACCTCATTTAACCATTAAAAGAACTACAGTAACAGGCTAATAAATTAGTTCCTTGTTAGGATGTGAAATTTGGGCTCAGAGGCATTAAATAAATTTCCAGGCCCCACAATAAGTGCGTTTCTTAGAAGCTGTGCACTCTCCTGAGATCCAATGTCCCTTTGAGAATCAGTGAGGTGGGGGACAGGCCTAAGCCTGGAAAACTAGATGCCTAGAATAGAATGCAAAAGCCTGGAATGCAAAAGGAGGGCAACGAGCAAATGGAGCATTCCGTGGCTTTTGGAGGGTCTCTGGCGCCCTCTGCTGACAGTGTGAAAGTTTCATAAGCCAAGGAGTGTGCAGCGTGCCCAAGTCCGTTGATCATACAGAAGGATGTGTGAGCATGCAAAAGGGCACAGAAGGTGGGCAGTGCAGATGAAGGGAAGGGACAAAGGTACAGAAAGAGCCATCTTCGTCCTAGGTACATGTAAGTTTCTGTCCCCTATCTCTTTGCAGACAACTGGGTTCACTGTCTCTTAATTTCAAGGAAAAGCATGCTTTTCAAACTTCGATATGCACAGGAATCACCAGGGATCCTGGGCGGGGCGGGGCGGGGGGAGGGGTGCAGTCTGGGCTCCAGCCCCAGTGTTTCTGACTATTAGGTCTGAAGGGGCCTTAGGGATCTGCGCTTTTTAACTACATCCAAGTGAGTCTGATTCAGGTGGTTCTTGGACCACACTTTCAAAAAGCAAAACAAAACAACAACACACACCTTAATATTTAAGTTTAAAAAAATGGACAGTTCAGAAACAAACTAAAATTGTGGCTTCTACATTCAGTTGCTAAAAAACACCCCAGAGGAATTCATAGGTTACTGTGTTATTTCTGCTCTGACCTGGTTGAAGATAAAAGCTACAAGTCTACAAAACACACACACCCCAACCATCCTGTTAGCCGAACTCTCCAAGATGAAATTAAAACAATCCAATAGCATTCAAGTCAGTAAGTCTACTCTTGCAAAAGAATGATTCCAAAACTCGAGGTGTTTGGAAGTGTACTCGTAGAGATGTTAATATGTGGACACACACACACACACACACACACACACACACGCCCTTCTCTGATAAAAGAAGGATAAGTGATTCATTAAAAGCACACTGGCATTAAAGTCTTTGAGAAGCCAATGCTAATGAAAGATGTTAAACTTTATTTGGCTTAATGTACCTGGATCTCATTGGATCATGTGACTTTTTCTTATTTAAAATTTTTTCTTTTGGATATGTATTTAAGATCCATGACTGATGAGTTATGGAAATACTACCTTAAAGCAAGAGGAATGTGAACTAAAGATTTTTCTGGATTCTGAAAAACAATCCCATATGCAAAAAAGAATAGTCTTTTCAATAAATAGTGCTGGGGCAACTGAATATCCACTTGCAGAAGATTGGGGACTCTACTACCATATACAAAAAATAACTCAAAGTGGATCAAAGACCTAAATATAAGAGCTAAAGCTATGAAACTTTCAGAAGAAGAGTTTTGTCTCCTCCCTAGCCTGAGCCCTTAACACTCAGACAGTTTCCATCTCTCCATGGAAGCCCATCCAGCACCCTTTTATTCTCCTCGGATAACAGTCTCAGAACCAGGAGTTCAAATAGTAAGTGAATCAAGCAGCACGGATATCCTGTGCTCAGTAATATGTTTGGTCTCCAAAGTATGTTGTGTTCAAGTAATTATAAGATGAGGTCTTTGACTTTAGAGTTTCCCATCTTGCTGAGCAAATAAGACCCTCCACCCAGGTGGCAGGTGATACCAGATAACATAAAATTGAATGTTGAATTATATGGTCAATATTAAATTTATGTAAAAACTAGAGTTTTCTTAAAGAATGCAGAAGCTTCTAAGACATTCATGAGGGAGGTAAATTGAAGTTTTTGGGGTGTGAAAGGCACAAACCATTTATACGTCCCTCAAGTTATGCCAAATCATATTTCCATTCTTTTCCCCCAGTGTCAACAGTAAGTGGGGTTCCCATGAGCTCCTCTCTGAGCCATTTGGGCGACTGCTGTGATGGTAAGGAGGGAGGGTGGGCATGGGCCACAGAAGCCATGGAGCCAGCTGCAGGTCTGCTGCTGCTCTTGACAGATGGTAGCCACCTGCCTCAATCCCCACCCCCGCAACCCCAGTCCCCGTCAGGGCCTTTCTAGGATAAGGCCTTACAGTGACTGGATTTGCAAGCTGCACACTGACCCATGGCCACTCATGCAATCATGTCCTGGGCTTCTACGTGAATTCTACTCAAATTCCTGTGCTGAGACCCCCTCTGTCTACCCACCTCCTTCAGTTCTTCAGATAGCCAGGAGAATTGGCCTTCTTAAGTCATTTGCGATGCAGGTAAAAATGCAGATACCCCATCACTTACTGAATCCCAATATCTTAGGGTTCAGGGGAGGTGCTAGAATCTGCATTTTGGTTAAACATTATCTTGCTTAGTACCCACCTCCTGGAATTAATTCCAGGCTTACAGGGATGCTGAAGTAGGGGTCCATCTGTCAGTAAATATGTATCCACGTGCCAGGCCTGGAATGGGGGCCATGAAAATACATAATCTGGCCCCTCAGAGGTTATAATGTGTTGGGGAAGATGAGTTATTCACAGGTTGTGGTGTGATGTGTTGGGCAGGAAGCCAAGTCATGGGGGTGCTCCCCACTCACACGCTCATGATTGGGTGAAATCCGGCTAAACATTGATTCAAAGAGCACCCAGGGGAGTATGCAGGGATGGGGAAAAAGCCAGCTACTCTTTCTGCCTTTCTCCAGTAGGGCGTTTCATGAGCTGATTATGAGTAGGGATCTGTCTGGGTCTTTCCTTTGCTCCAGCTGGAAAATCTACAAATATTTTGGTTGTGGGGTGCCTTCCTGGTTTGTTCCAGTCCCTGCACCATGGAGCCTGGGTGTGCTGGGTCTTCAGGATAGAAGGTGCCACCTCTCTCTGCACTTCCTTTGCTCCCTGGGGTGCTTGTCAAGTGAGTACCCCACAAGTGAGGCTCTGTGTATATTGGGGTGTTGTGTTGCTGTCTCATGCTGTCATGGGTGAGGAAGGAGTTTGAAAGCAGAGAACTAGCCCAGGGGGATCTTTGATGCTGCAGCCATGGGAGAGCAAGCTCCAGTTGCCACCAAGAGCTCAGCACAGGACCAGCTACGTAATTCATGGGGCCCAGTACAAAATGTAAATATGATTCATTTGTTCAAAAGCTATTAAGACTTGCAAGACACTGATGGGAGGACAGATGACAACAGAGAAGGCAATGCCTCTCTTTTGCTGGACATAACTTATAACTTTAGTATAACTGTGTCTGTCACTTACTCATTCACTGCGGGAGAGAGGCCCCAGTTAGGGGAATGTACAAAACTCATCGCTGTTCACAAGGAGTTCACAGTCTGTTCATGTTGAGAACCTGGGGCTAAGGCCAAGGAGCCACAGCGGGGCCTGGGAGAACAGGAAGCCAGTCCCTGAAGGCGGCTTGTGGCCCAGGAATGGTGATGGGTGCTCCAGCCACAGCCCAGACTCCCTGTCCTGCCCTCCAGGCTGTCACTTTAATCTTGTGTCCTGAGCTTTCCATCTTGCTGTATGCTAGGGTTAGAAACTAGCTAGGAATCAGTGTCTCTCTGGAAGCTTAAAAACAAGAACTACACACAGATGAGCAGAATAGGATTCACAGGTCTTTAGAGGGGCCAGGAACACAGCTTACATTTGTCCAAATCCAGAGGTTAAGAACTGTATGGTTACAGCCCTCCTCTGACCTCAGGGACAGAGACAATCTCCATTTGACAAAATCATGCTGCCTGGGGCTCCTCCCACTTGAGAGCTCTCTAGAGAATCTTCTCCCTGCAGCCCTGCACAGAGCAGCACAGCACAGCACCGAGCAGCCCCCACACCTTCTACTGATGGGGCCCCCTGGGGAGCTTTGGCAACCACCCCGGCCTGGGCCGCCCCTAAGGTTCTGATAGAGCTAGTCTGGGCTGTTGCCTGGGCCCCAGGGTTTGTAATGCTCTGCTGCCCGACTTGCCCACCTCCCCGCCCCATGACACCCCTTGAAACTACTGCTCAGGCCATGCCGTAAGAGACAGGTGGACCCTAGTGACCCAGACTGACCCATCAAGAAGCAAGCACTGGGGAGAGGAGTGAAAGCCACCCCATCCCTCTCCCAGCCCCAGCCCTGGCCCCACCAGACAGTTCAAAGAGGGGTGGAGCCTCACCCCATGGCAAAAACTGCTATTTTTTTTTTTTTTTTGCACTCTTCCTGTTACAGTACCAGCTGGCCGCCAGCACCTGCTCTCTACATGGCTCCATGTTCTGCTTTTCTCCACCTCTTTAACCCCTGACCACAGCTGTCTGCCTGCACAGGGCTCCCTGCATGGCTGTCTCAGTGGAGCTGCTTTTCTACGCCCACTGCCTGCCCATTGGCTTGCCCCCTTGCAATAACTGCTGTCATCACCATTTCCCAACTTCCACCTTCTGCCCCCATTCCAGGCCAGCCCTTAACCCCATCCTACCTGCTCACAGGGCACAGCTGCTGCTTCTCACTGGGGCCATGCCTCTGACCTCTAGCCAGCTCTGCCTGTGTCTGTGGTGCCTGACTGAGAGCAGCGTGGTCGGAGGGGCTCCGGACAACCCCCTGCTCCTCTTTTCTAGGGCCAAGGCGCTCACTCAGCAGGCTTCTAGGTCTAGGGCCAAAGCAAAACCTTGCTTTTGTGCTCAGCCTACTGAGCCGGATGTTACTGGTTAGTGGTTTTCTTTATCTAGTCTTCTTTGTGGTGCAGGGTGAGTCCCCAACAACAGTGAGAAAGAGAGAAACTTCACTTTAGAGGATTCTCTGTGCTGTCTGTGCTCCTCCTGCCTCAGTGCTCAGTGCTTCTCACTGCATCTCCTGGCAGGTCTACTACCCCTTATGCAAACCCACCTGGGAACTGAGGATGGGGACTGGGGTTTAACGGAGTGCTGAAGAGTGACTCAAATTAGAAACAGTTGGGGTCCAAGAAATAGGCAGCACCGTTGTTTTCCTGCCCCAGCTGCATGTTAGAATCACCCCAGGAGCTTTAAAAAAATTACCTGTGCCCAGGCCCATTGCTGGCTTAATTGGCCTGAGGTAGGGCCTGGCATCAGAATCAGAGGATCCTGATCTAACCAAGAGTAAGAACCTGTGCAACGATCTCTGGACCTGGATCCAGCCGCATCTGTATCATCTGGGAGTTTGTTAGAAGCTCAGATTTTTGGTTCCACCCGGCTCTAGTGAATCCAAATCTTTGAGGTTGAGGCCCAGGGATTTGTGTTTTAATAAGCCTTGCGGATGATTCTTAGATGCACAACCAGTGCATTACAGTATACAATGAAAGGGAAATAAATCAGTGGAGGCAGCATCCTATTTCTAAGTCTATCTCGTGGGTCTCAAAGTATGGGACCCCTATACCCACAGCATCAACATCTGTGGGGAACTTGTTAGAAAAGGAAATTCTCAGGCCGTGCCTCAGGTCTACTGATTGACAGTCTTGGAATAGGGCCCACTAACCTGCATTAAATAAGGTCTCTAGGTGATTCTGATACATGCTTGAGTTTGAGAACTACCAATCTCCCATCTATCTACCTGCCCCTCACCTGAGACCATTACATAGTTTAAATGTCTGAATAACAAAGGCTCTGTAAGGAAAGGATGGTTGCAGAAGACCGTTTGCAAAAGAGGCTTGAAGCTATTGCTCATAAAATGATGGAATGCTGAGGACTAGATGCCGTGCACTACTCTGAAAATTTCTTTCCCTGAACCCTACACATGTGTTTTGGAAGGAGGCTACAGGCAATAAGTTCTGGAGGCAAGTCAGTTGGCCTAGTTGAGAGCGTGTGTATCTGTTATAAGGACGTTGTGTGCGTGAAACAGTTTTCAAATTCCAGCCAATAGAGTCTATTCTCTCTACGGAACTTATTCTGTAGAGAGAATAGAAAAGCATCTCCACTGAGACAGAGGGGTAGGAGGGTGTTTCAGTCAATTACTCAGTTACTATTTCTCAGGGCTATTATGTGCCATCAATGGGCTAGTTCGATGAAGGAAAAAAAAAAACAACTGTGCATGTGTGTGTGCATGTTTGTGTACATATATGTAGCACACATTCTGCTCCACCCATTTAAAAAATTTTCCCAACAATTGAGTTAATCATGTGCCTTGGTGCCCAGCATATCTTCATGGGCCCATACGAGGCCCCTGTCTGGAATATATAGGTGTGTATGTCCTTTTATTTATTTATTTTTTTGAGACAGAGTTTCACTGTTGTTGCCCAGGCTGGAGTGCAATGGTGCGATCTCGGCTCACCACAACTCTCCCTCCTGAGTTCAAGCGATTCTCCTGCCTCAGCCTCCCGAGTAGCTGGGATTACAGGCATGCACCACCATGCCCAGCTAATCTTGTATTTTTACTAGAGATGGGGTTTCTCCATGTTGGTCAGGCTGGTCTCGAACTCCTGACCTCTGGTGATTTGCCCGCCTCGGCCTCCTAAAGTGCTGGGATTACAGGTGTGAGTCACCGTGCCCGGTCCTGTCCTTTTATTTTTATACCTCACTCCCTTTTCCCTCTCACATTCCTGTATACTTTTTTGTTTGTTTGTTTGTATGTGTGCTTGTAAAACATGTGTTGGTGTATTGTGTGCATGCCCAGATTTGTAGTTTGCTGATGTCTGTGATGTAAATACTCCCACCATGGCCGGTTTCAAGCTATCAATGTGATGTCACTGAATGGCATGGGGAGAAATGTGCTCACTTGTGCAGTGGACTCTCAGGAACTGATGGAGCCGGCTGCAGCTCTCCACTGTTGGTGCTTAATTGAAGTGCTGGACTAGACTAGCTACTTTGGTATTCTGTAGACCTTGTATATTTTCATAGGTCAAATTCTTCTACCCCATCTATTTCTACTTTGCTTAGTATCATGGGCCAACTTAACTTGCTTTATAGGTGAGGATATTGAAATACTTAGAACAGCTGAAGGGTTTTATTCGTGGTCAATAACAAGAACAGCATGCATGTGAAGGGTTTCCTGCTCTTAATAAAACCAGATTATAACACTTTGGTGGAAAATGCATGAAAACTGGTGCTTTAATAGTTGTATGTCATCATTTGGAGGTTCTGGGGCAACTGAGTGAGCTGTGAGCATAAACAGCCTTCTGGTGAAATTCCTGGATGCTTAATCCTCAGAGACCACTAATTCCACGGTCATTAAAATACAGCCTGAGACCTTCTTGGCCTCAAGGTGTGATTGCAAACTCAGAGGTAGCCTCTGGAGTGTGACTCGTTTGCTTTTTCTAGGTGGAGGATTTGTTTCCACCCTTAAGTGCTGCATTTTTCTGGAGAAGTCATATGGGCTAGATATGATGTGGAAGAGAAATATGCCACCCAGTGCTCTTGGGCTGCTAAAAGATGGCCAGAATCTTGGGGGCAGACCAAGAAAAGGCAAACATAGAAATTAACTTTTTCCAAATGATGGATTTGGTTAAATGTAATTCTTAAAGCTGTGGTTATAGAGGGTCTGTCCCCGCCTCTCCTTCCCCACATTCCCTCTTATGTCCTCATCCCCATGACACTAAACTGGGAGTGCATGTGTGCTTGGAGGGTGGTGGGAGGCACTGCTATGGTGCTATGAGAGGTTCATTCCCCTCTGGAGAAGGCGTGGGAAGGTCAGGCCACATGGAGTTCCACAAAGAAGGTTTGTGGCTTAGGAGCTTGAAACTATAACCAGAGTGACTGAACAAGGGTTACTGGCCACTCAAGACTGGCTTGATTTGTAATTTGGGGGCACAAAGCTAAAAGACTCTACCCTAAATAGTGAGATGTGTTATTAACAATCTGTGCTTCAACTCAAACAGAAAACCAAGTCCAAGGTCATTTCTGTGTAATTCGCTCCATAAGCAAATCAACCCCTGTTCTGATGATTTTGAGCCCATCCTTGTCTCTTTTCAGGCACATGCTTGACCATGGAAAACCCCTCAAGTGAGCAATGTATGAACCTCTAGGTGAGCCCCGTTTTAAGAAAACCCTGATGCCGACTTGCAAACTTAAACAGTTTAATGACAGTATGATTATGAATATTACAAAGGGAAACACATTTGTTTATAATATGATTTGAGTGTTGATAAAGATCAGTTTTCATCTGACACTTCCAGAAATATTTCTGTAATGTAAAGGAAAGCACATTGGCATTTTCAGTGAATTTAGGTTCCTAACCCCACGTCTGGAGAGCATTTTCCTATGACTCAAGAATAAAACTTTATAGAACGTTAACATTTTCCTGCCTCTTCTTGGGTAACCCTTCTGTCCTTTACTTAAATTACTTGTTGTCATGCTGATTTCATCAGATTATAGGAGAGAGAGAATAATCAACACTTCTGAGGTGGAAAGGACTTTCAAATCCTTCCCTGTCATGAAACTGATTAAGAAATGGAGGTGGAGAGTGGGGAAAGACTTGCTCAACCTGGTAGGGGCTCATTAGCAGCAGAGCTGGGGCAGAACCAACCCTCTTGCCTTCCGGGCTAATGCACAGTTCTTGGTATTGTGTTTTGCCATATTAAATGACCGAGTTGTGTGATGACCATGTCACTGACCTCTATCCCTTTCTTGGTGACTTCCCCTTTTTTTTTTTTTTGAGACAGAGTCTCACTCCGTTGCCCAGGCTGGAGTGCAGTGGCGTGATCTTGGCTCACTGCAAGCTCCACCTCCCGGGTTCACGCCATTCTCCTGCCTCAGCCTCCCAAGTAGCTGGGACTACAGGTGCCCGCCACCATGCCTGGCTAATTTTTTGTATTTTTAGTAGAGATGGGGTCTCACCATGTTCGCCAGGATGGTCTCGATCTCCTGACCTCGTGATCCACCCGCCTCGGCCTCCCAAAGTGCTGGGATTACAGGCGTGAGCCACCGTGCCCGGCCGGTGACTTCTCTTTAAGGATGAGGCTTATTTCGCAGAAGAGGGCAAGTTCCCCACAAAGGGAGCTCTTATGGGAAAGCTAAGGGTATAAAGTCTAAACTAAACATATCTTTGATAAGTGTTGTGCATCTTAGAAAAGAGAGGTTCTGGAATGGTGACTACATACACGCTTCTTTGTGTTTGGGGAGAGAGTCACAGAACAGACCAAAGGGAAGGCTAAGTGGTCTCTTATCCTGGGGATCTGGACGGCGTGCTGAAGCCTGAATTTACACTGATGTGTTTTAGACAGGGAAACTTAGGAGACATCGTAGGCCTGATACTTTGTTATGATTGATGCCCTTCTGTTTCTCTCCTGGGACAGGTAGTAGATGCGGTTGGCCTCTGGGTAGGTGACTTTGCTGAGCGGGAGCTTGTAGATGGCGGGGTTATTGGTCGTCAGGAGCAGGAAGGTGAGAGCTGAGAGACAGAAGGGCCAAGTGCAGGGCGGCAATCCAAACTGGAGAGAAAGAACACAGATAAGCCTTGGTCACATCAGGTGCCTGTGCATTTTAATCAGCCCTTATCAATCACCTACAGCCCTGGGGACATGAGGGACTGCTTTGAGGGCATTGATACTTCATTGATGACCAATATAAATAAAATCATGCCAGTGCTATTCATCTGCATTGCAACAGGTGAATGCACAGTTTTCAAAATGCAGCCACTGGGAACCCTAATAGTTGGGCTAATATGCCCTTATGTAGAAGTCATCAGAACATAATATGCCTTTTGTAGAGGCTGTGTTTTGTCAGAAGCTATGTTTCTGGCCAGGTTAGACTTCTAACTCTAGGAACTATGGTCATCCTGTGTCTTCTCCCATCAGCCCCTGTTGGAGAAGTGTCTTTGGCAGCCATTTGGTAGCTCAAGATGTTTTCTGTTTGGTCATAGCTGATTGGACTAGAGATAGGCACCCAACTCAAACACTGCTTCCTATAGGCAGGTGAAAGTGCCCGCTGCCAACAGAATCCCTCTCTTGAATAGTTGAACTAAGAGGCACAGAGACTGTGTCTACAGGGTTCTGGAACTGAAAAAACTGGGGAACAAACCAGGGATGGGTGGCCATTGGGGGATGTGTGCAGTAGAAGTAACCCGTCAGAGAGACACAGGGAAAGTGAGCAGAGAGATGGAGAGAGGCAAAGATGTGTCATCATTGTCCTATGGAGCTGGAGACAGAGCACAGCTGCCTTTCTTCTCAAGGGCTCTCCAATCTCCAGCTCTTTTTCTCTTGATGTTGACCTGTTTTTATTTCTTGAGATGCTCTAAGGCTTTTTAGTACTCTTCTCCACTCTTCATTTGAGATAGCTTGAATGGATAGTTTGCTAACAATGAGCCTGCAACTTCAGTTACGAGGCACATCAAATATGCCCCCTCTTGCCAAAACATCATCTTATTATAAGCAGTAAAAACCTCAGGGCCGGGCGCGGTGGCTCACGCCTGTAATCCCAGCACTTTGGGAGGCCGAGGCGGGCGGATCACGAGGTCAGGAGATCGAGACCATCCCGGCTAAAAACGGTGAAACCCCGTCTCTACTAAAAATACAAAAAATTAGCCGGGCGTAGTGGCGGGCGCCTGTAGTCCCAGCTACTTGGGAGGCTGAGGCAGGAGAATGGCGTGAACCCGGGAGGTGGAGCTTGCAATGAGCCGAGATCCCGCCACTGCACTCCAGCCTGGGCGACAGAGCGAGACTCCGTCTCAAAAAAAAAAAAAAAAAAAAAAAAAAAAAAAAAAAAACCTCAGATACTACCATGGGAGTAACAATGCCAGTCATGTGTGTGTCCAGAGATGGCACCGTTGGGTGCGTCTTGGGGAACAACAAAGACAGCCTGCTACCAGAGCTGGGTCTGTAAGGGGCACCCATGAGTGATGAGTTCCATTCAGCGAGTCTTCCAAAGCCCCACTAAGACTGCACAAAGTGTTTGGGAAGCACCCTTGGAGTCCTACATTGGAAAGGATGTTGGTTTGGATTTCCACAGTCCAAGAACCGAATCTCAGTTCTGATCACCTTGCTATGGCCATTTAATCTTTCTGAGACCTCAATAGCGAAATAGGAATAATAAAGCCTACTTAGAGAGTTGGTGCCTCTAGTGTATACCAAGTACTCAATACAAATGATCCTAAATATGTGGTTATTATCATCAAACAGATGGCAGCATTGTTGAAGACATGAGGTTGTATATACATGTGCCACTTAGAAAACAAAAGAGTACAGCTCCTATGTGCTCTTCTGAGGAGAGCTTGGATGGTCCCATAAATGTCATTCAACATTTTTATTTCCTGTTCCTCGATGACATTGTGGGAAATTCCTTTAAAGTGAGTTAATAGCCTGTACTTTTTTATATTCCGGAGAGTGGCCAACACAATGTCTTAAACACAGTAGGCAAACTAGGTAAACTTGATTTTGTTTTGAAAGATGTCTAAACTGAATAGTCTAATCTGTAACTTCTCTGAAAACAGAGAGAAAGGCCAGTCATCACTGTAAACATCCATGATCAGGAATCGCAGCTTCCTGTTTTGCATTTCTTTCAGTGACTTGTTCAAGGAAGGCACATGGCACGGATTTAGTGGATGAATGACTGGGTGAATGGATGGGTATAGTTAGAGGCTGATAAAGCCTGAAGGGAGCCTCAGAGCCAATACTTCATGCCCTTATTCCCCCTCAGAGTTTCTGATGCTTCGCTATTCAACCCCGGTTCTAAAACACCCTGTCATAGAGGCTCACTATCTTAGGGCTTCATTCATCCAGTATTGCTTGAGCACCTACTATGTGTTGAAGACTATAACAGATACTGGAGATAAAGATAATATGATGAGGTCCCTGTTCCAAGGGAGAGGACTGGCTGAGGGTAGAAGAAGACCAATGAGTACTAGACTCATCACAAAACTGTACGACATCAAGTATTTAGCCGAGGTGTGCACAAATACAATGAAGCCCAGAAAAGAGATTCAGTTCACTGGGGAAGACGGGATAGTATCAGGGAAGGCAAATTCTACTGCTTAGAAAAATTCCTTCTTATGCTAAGTCCAAGCCACCCATTTTTACTAAAGGTGAGGGAGAGATCTAGGCAGGTGTTACTAGAATGCCCACTCCCTCCTTATCTGCAGGATCACCTGGACTTCTTGTTGTCCATGCAAAGTGTGCCCTTTTACCCTTATCTGACAAGGGGAGGCACCAGCTGCAAGTGGAGCCCTGAGCCCTCTGCACTGGGGTTGGGGGCCAGCATGGGCTCCTCCTGACCTCACACATCACCCTACACTGGAGCCCAGATGAGGAAGGGGTTCCCAGACTGTGGCCCGTGACTTTAAGCCTCAGCTCTGGCTTCTGTCTCGCCTGGTTGGGGTTTGACTCCCCTTATTCTATGGAGGGGAGCTAGTTAGTTGCCGTGGGGCAAAGATATATGCTGGCTCACAAGCTAGCTAGGCAGGCACACACAAATTAAATAATAAAGATTTAAAAATAGTTATAGAGGAAGATAGAAAGGAATTTGATTTACAAGATAATGCTCCTCAAATTTCCTCTAAGGAGTTCCTGGCCTACTGATGATAGGAATGGATTGGCCCACAGTTGAAATGTAAACTTTTGGGGCCTGGCTCCCTCTGCCTAGCAGGTGCTGAAGTGAGTAGTGTGACTTGAAATAAGGGAGATGAACTGGGGAAGAGTTCTTAGAGGAGAGAGGTTTTCAGCAGGTTTGGGGAAGCCAAGAGGACACCAGGAAGGATGTTGTAGGCACGTTCTGAGCCTGTGTTGACTCACCACAGATAACATGTTAGCCAGGGCAGCACCCAGGTAGGCAGCAAACAGTGCTAGAAAAAAAAAAAAAAAAGAAAGAAATAGACCAGTAACTATTTAATAGCACCTCAAGATTGCTCTACATATTCTCTTCCCATCAATTTTATGCCACAAATGCTATCTCTAAGATTTTTTAAAAATTTGAGTTATGTTTCCATTGCTTGGCAGCTTTAAAATTGTTAAATTCCATGCAAATGCTGGTGCAGCAAAGACAGCAGATGAACTTGTTAAAAAGGGCCAGAATTGAGCTGTTATGGTTCTCTTGGGTCCCACCACCTTGCATTCCAGTAAAGGAACATTTAACAGCATAAACCATAAATGAAAATTTTACTATACGGCAAAGGCAAGTGAATCCCAGAACTCCCTACTGGAATATTTCATCACAAGTTATTAACATAATATGGGTTTCTAGGGAAGAGCAGCGTTCTGAAAGCTTGAGGAAGACTAGACATGCCCAGTGCCTTGTCGTGTAGGCTCTGCAGAAGGCATGACGAGGCTGGCCACTGGGAATGAGCCCAGTGCTGGCAACAGGGGAGAAGCTATTAAAATGTACTAGTGTAATTGGCCTTTGCTTCCAAACCCTTCATTTCTCGCTGAGAGCATCCCAATTGTCCTTAGGATTATATTAACAAGAGTTAACCTTTATTAGTGTGTTATTGTGTGCCCAGCTAGTAGCAATACTACCATAGCTTTCAGCATTCCTACAGTGTAAGCACTATTATCGTCTTCATTTCACACATGAGAAAACTGAGGCTCAGAGAGGTGAAATAATATGACTGTTCAGCCTATATTTCAGTTGGAGAAGCCCCTTTTGTTTTGGAGGGGAGATTCAAGGTGGAAGAGTAGATGAGATTAAAGAATGAGTTACACGACTGGGAGTGGCGGCTCACGTCTGTAATCCCAGCACTTTGGGAGGCTGAGATGGGAGGATCACTTGAGCCCAGGAGTTTGAGACCAGTCTGGGCAACAAAGCAAGATACCATCTCTACAGAAACCAAAAACATTAGCTGGGTGTGGTGGCATGTGCCTGTAATCTCAGCTACTTGGGAGGCTGAGGCAGGAGGATGGCTTGAGCCCGGAAGTTTGAGGCTGCAATGAACTATGATCATGCTACTTACTGTGATCTAGCCTGGGTGACAGAGCAAGACCTCATCTCAAAAAACAAACAACAAACAAACAAACAAAAGAGAATGAGTTAAATGAGTTACATGAAGTAGAATGTGGGGCTGTCAATGGGTTTCATGGGTCACACCAGGCAGCTTATTCTCTGAGAGCGAATAGGAGCCCATGCCGTCCTTTGTGTTTGCTGAATCCTCATTAATTAACATACATCATTTAACTAGAGATAATAGAGGTCAGCACTTACTGGACATTCCCTATGTGTCAGCATTATTCTCATCATTTTCACAAATGATCTAATTTGATCCTGACAACAGCTGTAGGAGTTGGGCACTGTTAGTATCAGGCATGGAGAGTTCAAGCAACTTGCCCAGGATTACATGGCTAACAAGTGGCGGAGCTCCAGCCATCTGGCTCTGGGAGTGGGCTCTTAATCAGCCTCTCAGATCTGAGGTTGGAAAGAGAGAGGCAAACCAAGCACTACCAAGGCCCCCGAATAGAGGGGAGCCAGATGGCCTGAGTGGGACTCTGGGCTTGGTCTGTGAAGAATGGAAGACTCCAACTCCATCCATCTTCCCTGGGACCCAGAGCCAAAGGATTCATTCTGTCTCCCTCTTCCCCCACTGATATTTGCTATTTTATCAAATCTGGTGTTATTACTAGCAGGAAAACCCTCCGAAAACCCCGTGTGGGCTCCTGTGTGGCTATAGGGCTTGCAGAGTCGGGAGAGAGGAGGAAGGATAGAAGAAAGAAGACGAAATGAGACATGCGGCCTGCCTGGGCTGGAGGGAAAACTGTCTGTCTCAGGTGATGTGCCGAGCAGGCAGTGGTGGAAGGAACCTTTGCAACAGGATGCCTGGCCACCTGGCCTGTCTTATCCATCACTGACTGTATGATGTTGGAAAAGGGCCTAACTGTTCTGGGCTTGGATTTTTTTACTGGTAGAAAAAGCACTGGCTTCAGGAAACAGTGTGGTGTCCTGCAAAGAGCACAGCCTTTTACAGTCAGGCAGACCTGACTTCAAGTAATGTATTTAGCTTCCTTTAGCCTCATTTCTCCATCTGTGAAATGGGGATATTAATATCATCCACACACTTTATGGGGCTGGAGGGAAGATTAAATGAGATGACCTGTACCAAGGTTTCACAGCTCCAGCTCCATGGACACTTTGGATGGGGCAATTCCTTATTCTGGGGGTGCCGTCCTGTGTATTGTAGGGTGTTTAACAGCGTCTCTGGATTTTACCCATTAGATGCCAGTAGCACTTCCCCCAGCCTCAGGTATGACACAGAAAAATGTCATCAGACATTGCCAAATGTTCCTGGGGAAGGGGAAAATTACCCCTGGTTGAAAACCACCCGTGTAACATCTGACATAAATTGGGCATTTAAGATTTGTTTGTTAAACATGAATATCCCTTAGTGAATAAGTAGAACTTGGAGTTGGTAGCCAGGGATATCCTGTAATGTCCTTTCCCAGCTGGTATCCTAGATGTCCTTGTCCTCTGAGACTCTGGACAGAAGTTATAGCTCCACGGTCTGGACGCAGCCACCTCCCCACCGGGCCACCTGCTCCGATCCTATGTGGAAGTCATGGGCCACTAAGAGAGCCTAGAGTGGCACAGTCTTGACTCTGAATCTTTAAAAACTTCAGGACTCCTTGACTTCTCATTTCTAGCATTCAGACTTTTAATTTTTAATGGGATGAGGCCCAAACCAATTTAATAATATAAATGACGACTGATTTTAAAGATCTCTGAGCATTTAGAATTTTTGCCATTGGGACATTTTTATGGAAGGAAGGAACTTAGGCATAGGTCTAGTTTCAGGTCATGTAAAAATGCTGGCCTATTAAGAAGTTAAAGTTAATTTAAATTAAAATATTCACAGTGACATTTAATTCCAGTGGGGCTGTTCTGTCTGCTGAAGGAGCTATCATTCCCTCCTGCTCTCACTGCCTCCTGGTTGCCTATCAATGGGCCCTACGCACAAGTAAGCTTGACTACGTGTTCCAGGTTTTCTAGATGGCCTCAACTTCTTCTTTTCATTGAACCTGTACAAACATTTGTTTGTGAGGCTGAGTGGGCAGATCACTTGAGCCCACGACCAGCCTGGGAAACATAGTGCAGCCCTGTCTCTCCAAAAAAAAAAAAAAAAAAAATATATATATATATATATATATATAGAAATTAGCTGGGCATGGTGGTGCATGCCTACAGCCCCACCTACTCAGGAGGCTGAGGTGGGAGGATCACTTGAGCCTGGGAAGTTGAGGCTGCAGTGAGCCGTGATCATGCCACTGCACTCCAGCCTGGGCAACAGAGTAAGACCCTGTCTCAAAACAACAACAACAACAGTAAAACGCCCCCCAAACTCCACTTGTATGTGTTATAGACTGCTTTCCCATTTTTGGTCTATACGTACATCACTGGATGCTTCCAGGTCTTTCTTTAACTTGTAGAAGGAGGGTTGACTCTACCTCTGCCCACAGGCAAGTCCTTTTACCTCCCTTAGCCTCAGGCACCACGGCTACAAAATAAAGCTGGAGTTTTCAGCTTCTAAAAATGATAAAATGGAGTAATATTTGGAAAAGTATTTTGGTGAAAACCAATAAATGTTAGATATTATTACTGTGTAGTCTGTCTAAAAGTTCAAGGATCCACCTACAGGGGCTTAAAATTCACTTTAGTGTATTCTCATGTTTCCTGAGATCGTCAGGCTCATTGGCACTTTTGGGAGATGATGTGACTCAGTTTCCTTGAAACCAGTGAGTGCACCTTGATTTATCAGAGGCTTCTGGAATAGAGAGAGGTGCCATGCTGGGAAAGGGGGTGGGGAGTTTAATGAGTTCGGATGGAGGAAGACCTAGCTTCATGTCTCAGCCTTGTCTTTTACACGCAGTTGAGCCACTTCACCTCTTTGTCAAGGCTGGGACTTGGGGAGGTGAGTGAAGCACCTGGGGTGCAAAATTTCAAGTGGCCTTCACTCTCAGGGTCATGGGGATATGTCAGGGTCATCACCTGCTTGGCCCTGAGAGTAAGCACCTCCTTAAATTTTGCATCCCACGTGTCTCCCTTGTCTCACCTTAGTCTTGCTCTTTGACACAACTTTTCCTCGTTTGCAAAATACGAATAGTAATACCAACCTTGAGAATTAGTGTTAAGGTAGAGATGACGTATTTAAAGTGCCTACTTTGTGGTGGGTGTTAGGTGAATGGCTACCTTTTATTTGGGCAATATGACAGCTACTTTTTTTTTTTTTAAGTAACTACAGTGTGCTGGCCTTAGGTTGGTGTAGCAAAAAGTAATTTTAAGAAGAGCAAATGAAAAAGACAGCAGCTTTACCCTTCGTATCTTGTTTAGAGTTCGTAGTCACTGTCATAAAATGCAAAAGAAAATATATCTACAAATTATCTTAAGGAAACAAATATGTGGCCATAGCTGATCCAGAACATCTTCCCGAGCAAGAATATTTGGAAAATTTTTATTATAAATTTATTTTTAAAAATAAGTTTATATAGATAATGTTCACAGAGTCTACAGATGTATTGAAATAGAACTTCTGTTTTAAATGTTCTGCTCAAAAGGAGTTTTGTTTGGTTTCCAGTCATATAACATCAAGAAATAAAGGATGTTCAAGGATGAGGACATACAAATCTACCAACTTGTTACAGTCGATCTAATTTCCTGGGACTCTGAACAAATATATAACAAAGAGGAGTCATTTGAAGGGTCTGTGGTTAATGTTTGAATGCTTAAGGTGAATCGCTGTAGAAGACGTAAATCACCCAATTCCATATGTAACGAGTAACCTGCATAAGAGTTGCTCAGCCAGTTTGCTCCAACCCCCGCCAGGAGAGTAGCAATCACAGGAGACAGCCCAGGAACAACAATCAAACCTCCACCACCGTCTTCATGTGACTGAACGTTGAGTATTCAGTGAAAATAGTGTTTAATCTATTAATTACTAAATAACCATTAAAAAACATAAAAAAACAGTTTTATGTAAAAAGCCTTTTATAAAGGAAACAAATCCTCTGTGGGGAGTACCTACCGCAGGCGATGGCGAGGAGGTGCGTCTGCCAGGTGATGACGTAGAACATGCCTCCTATCGCTATGCATGCGAGGGTGCTGTTGAAGCCACACAGGCCGAAGTAGATGGAGTCAAAGGGCGTCGCAATAGTGAGTGCTGTGACAGAAGGCAGGCATCAGGGTTGGGTCTAGGGTCTTATGGGGCCCATCTGCTGGCCCTGAAACCTACCACAGTCCTCAAAGCCCGGAGCCAGTTATCTTCTTAGGTAGTTATACAAAAAGGACTTCTGGCTTTATTCTGTGAAAAAACATCTAAAGGAAACAAATGGCCATAGAGTCCCATGAATACTAGCAGTTAAGCTGGCATGGGTTGAAGAGATTCTTTGAGTAAGGACAGAAGTCTGATTTAAACAGTCCAGAGAATATCCTTCCCCTGCCAAGAAAGAGAACCTCTCCTCCTTCATCGATACCTTAATTCTCTAATGGAGAACGAATCTTTCTTGCTGTCATTGCAGATCACTTAACATGTAAATATACCTGGAAGAAACTTCCCCCAAACTTTAAATTTATACTAAGGTGTGAATGACTAACACCAAAGCCTTTCTTGAGGGCAGCTGTGGCTCAGGGGAGGATAAAGGGGCTAGATCAAAAACGGAGAAACAGGGTACAACAGAAGGAGGGAAAGTTCACAGGAATCAGCAGGTGGAGTGTTGAAGATGAGAGTCACCATTTTATTTGGAGCTGGCCCCAGGCTCTAACCCCCTCACAGCCCAGGGAAGTGAGGACACAGACCTGCTAGCATCCCCATGGTGGATCCAATTGCTGCATGCAAGCAAATGAGAGGTGAGGATATGAACAGAGCTATGAGGAAGATGCCTCCAGTCCAGGGGTTATCACAGCCGTACACTTGGCCAATTCCAACGGGGATGGCTCTCAAAAGCTGTAGGCATAACAGGATTACATGCTCATTATGGAGGCAAAAGAGACAACTTGACCTTGGCTGCAAGAGACTTGGCACTGAACCCTTCCCACTAACATTTTGCAATGGATGTCCAGGATTTTTGTTTCTATTCAAATAGGTTAACTTTAACAGGAACAAAAGCTTTATTATCTTAATCTTGAGTTCTTAGAACACTGATGGATTAGGATGTTGAGTTTCCTTTATTTAGAAATATGAGCGTGAGGCATTTATCCCTCAGGGAAGAGAAACTGAAAACCTTTCAAGGTAGGGTACTATTGATTAGAAAAGTAATATATGTCTGATCAAAGTTGGGGTTTAAAAACCCTTTGTGAATTTTTTTTTTTTTTTTGAGATGGAGTTTCGCTCTTGTTGCCCAGGCTGGAGTGCAATGGCGTGATCTTGGCTCACTGCAACCTCCGCCTCCCGGGTTCAAGAGATTCTCTTGCCTCAGCCTCCCGAGTAGCTGGGATTACAGGCATATGCCGCCATGCCTGGCTAATGTTGTATTTTTAGTAGAGATGAGGTTTTTCCATGTTGATCAGGCTGGTCTTGAACTCCTGACCTCAGGTGATCCGCCTGCCTTGGTCTCCCAAAGTGCTGGGATTACAGGCGTGAGCCACCACGCCTGGCCATGATTTTTTTTTAAAGCTAAAAAGATGATGAGAAGGTGAAATATTAGACAAAAAAATGGCCCTGTGTGTTTTCAAGTACAACATGTTTGGGGTGTGATTTTGTTAGTAAGGTCTGGAGGAGGAACTCGACTAGTATCTACAGGAGCGGCCAGGAGAAGGTAGTATCGCCCAGCATCTGCTATTTTGATTAATAAACCCCCAGGGCACCCTGCTTGATTCCGTGCTCCATCTATCTCTGGGGCTGGTGGGGCCTGTCTGTGAATGGAAAAACACTTGAAAAAGTCTGGTGCCTTGTGGGCACCTGCACAAAGGTCCGAGAGTTTGGGAAGAGGATCCTGGAAATGCGGGCTTCCCCAGCCACAGGGACTGTGTTTTGGAGGGTCTAGCCAAGGCCCATGGGCAGGAAGCTGAGGAGAGGCAGTGTCCTGGGGCGAGTCCCTGTATATAGATTAAGGCAAGGACGCTCTTCTCTAGAGAACTCTTCCCTCTGCGCGTGGCCGGGGAGGGAGATCCTGCAGCTCGGGGGCCCTCACGCCACAGTGAGTGTGTACAGGAGACAGGCTGAGTGGGTTAGGCTTTGGGCTTAGTCTCCTGTTACCCAGGGCAGAGAACAGAATGAGGGCTCTGGCCTCACCATGCAGGGCAAAGGGGACAGGCGAGAGAGAGTTGCACATACAGAAGCAGCAGCATGGGCAGTTTTGTCCTCAGCCAGTTGCACCCTTCAGAGGGCTCTCAGTGGTCACAAGAGCAGAGGAAGCCGTGGGGACTCAACATTGCTGGGAAGTTTAGACAATCCCTCTGAAATTCACCACTTATTTATCAGAAACTCAAGGCTCTAATTTTAAAGGTCAAAAAGACAAAACATATGAGTCATTGTCATAATCCATTCAGTTGGCCAGAAAGTTACTTCTTAAAGAATAATGCCACAAAATTGAATTTTTCTTTCCTGGAACACTGGTGGAGTGGTGGTGGTGGTGGTGGTGGGTCTCAAGTGTTTGTACAGGATTATTCATTTTTTTCCATTTCTATAAAATTTCAAAATTTCTTCTCAACTGAAACTGTGACATATAGAATGCAATATCTAAAATCTGCATTTTCTGACATCATTTCCCCATAGCATGCCACTTAGAGCAAGTTTGTCTCCAAAAGATATTAATTGGGTAGACTAAGAACGGGCAGCTTAAGAAGCTGAACTGCCAGCACAGCACCTTTTCTTGTTTCTGGTCCAAGAAGGTCCTCACACACACAAAATGATCAAGGATCCGACTAACACAAATAGTTCTCAGCCAGGTGTAATGGTCCACGCCTGTAATCCCAGCACTTTGGGAGGCTGAGGTGGCATGATCGCTTGAGGCCAGAGGTTTGAGACCAGCCTGGGCAACAATGACAAGAGCGATCTCTACAAAAAAATATAAAGAATTAGCTGGGCCTGGTGGCACATGACTGTAGTCCCAGCTACTCAGAAGGCTGAGGTGGGAGGATCCCTTGAACACAGGAGTTTGAGGCTGCAGTGAGCTGTGATTGCGTCACTGCACTCCAGCCGGGGTGACAGAATGAGACTCTATCTCTGAAACAAAAACAGAAACCCCAAAATCGAATAGTTTTCTTGCTAAATACTGGTGCTTCTCAGTGTAAATTCAGGGCTCTTTCTACTACACCACGCTGTTGCTTACTGTGGAAAGCTAAGAGAAACGAGGCATCATTATTTTAGAGAAAGTTCCTTCAACAAGCCCAAGTGATTTTGTGGTCAGATGATGAGTTGCCAATAACGAAGTCTCAGAGTGAGCGCCAGACTGTGGAGCCGTTTCGTGTAACGGAAAGTAGGAGGGCCTTGGAGAAAACGTGCCTTGTTAGATAAGGTGGCTGGCTAATAGGCACATTTCTCTAGGCTGACTTAATACTGTGAGTGCAGCTTCTTATTAATCACCTTGGCTGACTTCCAGAGGTCAGGATTATATACAGAATACTTATTAAAAAAAACTTTAAAAGCTCTGTTATATGTTTCTTAATGAAAGAACACCTGTGCTTTAAAACCAACAGCATGGTGTAGTAGAAAAAGCCCTGAGTTTACACTGAGAAGCACCAGTATTTAGCAAGAAAACGATTTGATTTTGGGGTTTTTGTTTTTGTTTTGGAGATAGAGTCTCATGGAGTGCAGTGACACAATCACAGCGCACTGCAGCCTCAAACTCCTGGGCTCAAGCGATCCTCCCACCTCAGCCTTCTGAGTAGCTGGGACTATAGGCATGTGCCACCAGGCCCAGCTTTGGTGAGTGAAGGGAATAAACTCTGGAGGTTGGAACAACGACTTCTTAAGCCAATAGATGGTAGCATGATGTGTACGACTTGAATGATTCCGTGTGATTGAATGAAAGAAAATGCACAACGCAAGCTGTAAGCCTCAAAAAGACTTTTTAAACATCCACAAAGAGCCCAGGCTGGAAGTCAGGAGGCTGAAGTTCTAGTCTTGACTTTGCTCCTCCCTAATTGGCTGTAAGACCTAAGGCAGGTCTCTTAACGTGGCCGCAGTTTCCTTCTCTGTGCTATCATAGAGTGAGACCAAAACTAGCCCTTTTTGCTCTCAGAAGTAGAAAAGGATGGCAGCTCATGAGATATATATGTAGAATGCTTGGTACTGTGTAATTGTTAAAAATTATTACTTGTGGATGTTTCTGATGTGCAAAATATGCAAATGCCAGTAACATCCAGTGTGGACAGACCTGCCCTTCCTCCTTCCATGATACGTACCAAGGGCACTTGGACCTCTGACCAGGTGATGTTGGGCATGGCGGATGCAGGCTGCAGCAGCGTTGTGGGGAAGAAAAGGTTGTAGTGGCCCGTGGCTGCCAGGTACAAAGTCACAGTGATATTGAAGGGCAGTGTGAAGACTGGGAGGTCCCACTTGCTGAAGATGGTACCCAGGGCACTGGAGAGGATGGGGCTGATGGCAGAAGCATGAGAGATGCTGGTCAGGAAGCCGCCTGGTCATAACACTAGACTGTGCTGCAGTGGGGGCTCCCTGTGCCTTCCTAGAGAAAAGCAGCCTGCTGGGTATTCTCTGGAGCCTGACTGGCCCTGAGCAGGTCTTTCCCTGGGCCTCTTCCTCCCTGCACAGTGACAGGGTGGGGCACCCAGACTCAACTTCAGAAGAAGATATAAGGCAGGCAGTCTCAGAACTTCCTTCAGGAATCCTATAGCTCCATCCCCAGGCATCAGGTTGGGGAGGCCGAGGGGAGGGAATCACATTCATTCAACAAATGTTTTTTTGAGTGGCTGTGTGCATGGGCTTTGTGGCCAGGGTGCCCTGTGTTTTCTCAACATGGGGTAGAGCAGGCACTGAGGGCTTCCCCATGGCTGGGCCTTCAGCCTACCCTGGGAGGTGGTCTTGGTCTGCTCAGGGGTCCCAAGGATTTAGAAAAGCCGGGGTAGGGGAGGGTTGAAAAGATTTCCAGAAACTGACAGGACCCTATAGTGCAGCTCTTAACCAATGTGGGCCTCAGTTTCTTTCTCTGCACTCTGGCAGGGTGAGACCAAAAACCATTTAGATCTTAAAAGAATAATAAAGGGTGGTCGCTAATGGGATACTGTGTATAGACCTAGCATGGGGCTACCATGGTATAAACTTAGTTATTAGTCCAGTGGACATTTCTGATGTGCAAGCTAAATACATGCCACTTTAATATCACGTTTAGACAGACGGTCATGGGATTGGGATGAAAAGGTTGGTGGCCATTGATATGAACCCACAACCCTTCAAAAGCAAACTTACCAAGACATGGACATGATGATGACGGGTAGCAACAGCCACCAGTAGTAGTCACCTTTGTCTGAGAACACGGCCATCAGCAGCCCCACCAGCACCCCATTGTAGCCGTGAAATCCTGCAGCGATGGCCGACCTGGCAGGAGAGGGAGGGTCAGGTGGAGCAGGGGCTTCCCCAGGGCCCTTTACATTTTCCTATTGAGTCAGATTCTTTTTATCTGGGGCCTGACTACACACGCCTTCAAATAGACCACCCTTCTGGGAGTGGGGAAGGAAGACAACCCTATGAATCCTTCATATTTCTCTAGAAATATGTTGCTATGACAAAATAACCAGGGAACAGTCATTTTTAGTTGTCAGTGTCCTTATTTTGAGGATTTCTCAGCTGGGAAGAGGAAGAATGGTCCCCATGGGGAGTGACTTCTTGGCTACATGTTTGGACCCTGAGCCTCTGGGACTTACTTGTCCTGACTCAGGATGAGGGCTGTCAAGGTGGACATGATGGTACCCAGGCAGCCTGAGATCGCCCACCAGGGGTTCTGGATGAAGAGGCCGAGGATGATGAGGATGCCGCTGAGGGGGTTGTTCACAAACATCACTTGAGATGTGCCTCGGAGGACCCAGTCAAAGAACTGGAACACTGGGGACTTGTCTGAAATGGAACCGGGGCAGGAAGTAGGCAAGTGCTCAGTGTGGGCAGCCCTGGGTGGGCAGATGGAGGGTGTGAGGGAATCTGGATATCCGAAGTGGGTTTGCAGGAAGCCAGCCACCTGCTGTCACCTGCCACCAAAGATGGTAAACAAGGAACTCAAGAGAGCATCTGACTGCCAAGAAAACTCTTGAGACCCATCACCAGCCAGATGTGACCTCCAGGTTGTTTTTCTGGCAGGGGGGATTAGGTGCCCTGAGCTGCCTCTGACCCCTGTGGTGGTACCATGAATTTTCAAGAACATGTTCTTGCTGCATAGAGGGCATTAAACCCATGGGCTGAGCTCTGGAAAGATTGCTAAAGAGAACCTATTGGCATGGTAGACACAGTTCTCCCATGAACCATCCAGATGGCGTTTTTCTAGAATGCTGGCTCTAGAATCCCAATGCGAAAAACACCTGTCTGCAATATTCAGATGGGATATTTGAGATAGCAGAAGTGTTCTGTTCAGAAATGAGAGCTCATGAGCTCACACTCTTGCATGTATTGCTATTTATAGTTCAAGAGGCTGTATGTCTGTTTTAACAGCAAAACTCCCAGCTTCCAGGAAAGACCACAGTAACAGAGTGCAGTCTAGTCTAAGTCTAGTCTATAGGGAACCCCCATGGCAATGGGTTTCCTGGGGATGGGTGGAGGTGAGTTTTTAGGGTCAGGGTCAGTGTTGTTCTCATAGAATTTTACCTTTAAGTCCCTCTCCACACTCCTTCATCTCTCCTGTGATGTAGCTGAGGGCTTTGCTGACCCTTTTCCCACTGGCAGCCATGGAACTCCGAATCCAGGATGTCTTGGAAATGTTTGTTTCCACTTTTATCTCAGAGCTCTCCTCCATGGTGTCCAGATCCTGTCCAGGACAGAGATAGGCAAGAGTCTCCCACATTCGGTGGTTCTTACACTGAGAATTCATGTTTGTGGTCACTCAGGGACCAAATAAGATTGTCATTTGGTATTTCATTAAATTGCTGTTTAACCTCCCTGTTTCTGTAGATTAGACTGTCTTTTGTTTGACACATGACCTCATCTAATAGGTTAACTACCGTGAGGCACAGTAAGATAACATCTTTACTTTCGTTCTGTGGAGGAGGACTCTGGCAAGTGGAGGTTCTCATTTTCAAAGGTCAAGGTCAAACAGTAGAACTGAGATTAACCACAGATTTTTAGTCTTTTTTTTTTTTTAACATTAATACTCTTTCCAGAAGAAATGGCTTTCTCCCTGGCATGTCTAGTCTTTAAGATATAACTGTTCATAAACATAAGGGTATGAAATTGAACATGTGAAGATTCTGTTTTTGAAAACAGGCACCAGCTTATTTCCTAAATGCTTGAATACTGGGTTTAAAGGAAGCCTGATAATAATTCAAATACAAGGAATATGAAAAGTTACAAAGTAAACTGTGAAAGAGACATTTTTGTCCCAGGTAATTACATTTCAGAAAATACGAATGCAAGAAAAGTTTGCCTAAATCGGAGAACCTTGTTTACAGCTCTCAGCTCCCTCATCTGCTGTGGGCTCTGTGACTGTAGGGCGCTGTCCCTGATTCAGGACACTCAGTACTCACAAGCAGCTCGACTGTGGGCTTCCGGTATCGATAGGGAAATGGGTCTTTGTTTTGTCTTTCCTGGTGTTCGCCTTTTCCAAACACTGGAGTTAGAAGGAAAGAGCACCATCAGTTAGGACACCTCTACTCTGGCACCTCAGAAGCTAATGTCCTGCAAGGCTCAAGAGGTGTTAAGATTATGCAGTATTTCCTGTTCCTACTGAGGAAGCACAGAATCATGGGGCCTTGCAGCTCGAAGGCTCTTTTGTTCTTTTACTGGTCATGGATCCATCTGGGCCCTCGCTTTGGGGAAAAAGTGTACATCTTCATATAAACAGGGCATTTTACAAGGAATTTAGGGAGCTCAGAGATTCCACTAACTTTTAATTAAGAAGCCCTCATTTAGCTCAACCTTGATAATTTTTTAGATGAGGAAACAGCAGCCTGGAGAGACAGTGACTTGTGCTTGATCCCGGAATCCAGGGTTCTTTCTCCTGTTCCACATGGAGAACTTGAAGGTGAACAAAAAAAAAAAAAAAAAAAAAAAAAAAAGAAACTTGGTTGTTGTTGAAGCCCTTCACTTCCTGTTCATAAAGTATTAAGCTGCCTGAGCCATGAGCCATGCATAATCTGTGTTTGAATTTGGCCATGACTCTCCTCACCTGGATGACCTCAGGCTGTTCTGTTTGTTTTTGTTTTTGTTTTTTTAAGGTATTGTAGTAGCAATGGCTGGTGGGATTAGGACAAGAGACATCCATGTAATCTCTTGAAGCAGATTTTGGCAAGCCTTTGTAATTGTAGAAAACTCTTGCAATGTGGATCTAAACATTTTTATTATTACAGGTAATTTACTTTTAGAGACCACCAATTTCAGTAGGGTTTTATGCATCCTGAAAGATGTTCAGGCCCCTGGAAGTTTCCTTCTTGATGCTTTGGTTCCCTCCTGTGGTCAAGTGTGAGAATAGCAGGCTGGGCTCTGACTACCCTGTGTTTTCAGACTGAATTGCCTGTTCCCCCGTTCTGCACTCATGAGTCGTCAGGGTGTCAAAACACTAGAAGGGATGCATCGAAGGCACTGTGTTCCCACTTCTGAAGGGACAGGGACTGCAGATACCAGTGTGTTTGGGAGGTGACACCATTCAGGACAAACAAATTCATTTTGAAAGCTTTGAAAGGAAGAGTAGGAAGCAGAAGGGATCCCTTGAAATTGGAGGCCTGTGTGTGATATCCCCACTGACCCGCTGTTTCTGTCTGAAGCTCCTCTCTGCCTGCCAGTGCTGCAGGGCTCTCTACTATGCTCTCCCCAACCACAGCCCCTATCCTGAGACGATGTTAGGAGGAATTTATTAAGCCTTTGAGGCAAACCGTGGTCTCTTCCACACTCTGCTGGGGAACCTCTATCAAAGACAAACTCCTGAGCTACAGGGGCCCTTGAGATGTGCAATGTCCTCGGCAATCCCCTCTCCACCTCGTGTATTTTCCCATATTCACTCAAAGTCCATTTCTCTGGGCTAACTGACTTGTGGTATGAAATGATGAGACTTGGGGGAGCTGGAGGAAGAAGGTCATTCAGGCATCTTCTGGGGAGCATGTGATGTTGCACTAACTTGGGAGTCACTTTTATTCCCAACAGTGGCCCTAGTCAGCTGTGTGACTCTGGGCAATGCTGCCCCCTCTCTGGGGATTGGAGGCAGGATTAGATGGTCCCTGTGTCCTGGATCTTCATGAGGCTGCTCCAACCTTGCAGCTGGTTGAGGAAACCTCCCCAGACTCCTCCCTGTTTGCTGCCACATGTTCTCAGCTTCCACGTCCAAATTTCTGGCCTCCACTTGTTCAGCTTTAGCGGCCCTTGGATACCCTCTTCCTGGCCTTTGGCAGCACTTTCCCCACCATGGGTCTCTACCTGTGCCCTTGGCCTCCCCACCATTGCCATAGATGGGAACTGTTCATCTCTAGCCTCCTAGACCAGTGGTTTTTGATTTGCTGGCAAATTAGAATCTCCTGGAGAGCTTTAGAAGCTCCTGATGCCCACCCAGGCTGCTCTGCAGATGAATTAAACTAGTCACTGGGATGGGATGCAGGTGATTCCAATGTGCAGCCAGGTTGAGACCCCAGAATCTCACTGCCTGTCCCAGCTTCAGCCTCTCCGAGACCCAGGGGGCATCCAGACGCATTCGGGGAACTGTGGCCTTGGTCAGACGTCAGGTGTGAGAGGTCAAGTCTGACTCCAGCGGGTCTCCCCACCACCCTGTGAAGTAGGTATTGCCATTGTCCCTGTTTTATTAGAGACTAGGAAGGCAGGGATCCAAGCGTGAGGGGGAGGACATGCACACCTTTGCTCCTCCTCCGAATGGATGACCACTCGATGTGAAATACACTCCTGTGCTTGGAGAGCACAGCCTCCGAGCCCTCCTCCACCTTTGGGCCTGCTGTGGGTGGATGCTCCCCACCGCCTCCTAGCCAGGGGCAAAACAAGACAGGTCAGTGTCCCACCTAGTCCGCACCTGAGAGAGCCAAGCAGAGAGCTGGGAAAAATCACACAGATGCTGGAAAGGAGAGAGCAGTGAAGCCTGAAGCTGGAGTAGTCATTGCATCAGTCTCTGCATAAAACACTTAGCTTCTCTATTTCTCCCATTAAAACTTCTACTTCCTCTCCCCACAGTAACCCAAGTTATAGTCTGTCAAGAAATGGATGAGCAGTTTGCCTTATTTCTTAGTGTGCAAGGAAGCACTCTAAGACCCATTTAGCTGCAACTTGCACTGGCATGAGCAGGTGGCAGCCAGCGTCTTGGACTTCATCTGTGGCAGGGAGTTCCAAAACTGCCTGCATGTTAGAATCACCCAGGTGCTTTAAAAAAATGCCTGAGCTCCACCTCAGACCAGTTTAAAAAAATTAAAGTTTTGAATGCCCATGGTATTTAAAAGATGGCTCCAATATGCAGCTTGGGCTGAGAACTGACATCAGCTCTTGCTACTCAACGTGTGGTCCCTGTGGTCCCTGGACCAGTAGCATCAGCATCATCTGCCTGGGAGCTTGTTAGAAATGCAGAATCTCAGGCCTTAACCAAGACTGATGGAATCAGAATCTGTATTTTAACAAGAGCCACTGGGTGAATTCTGTGCTTATTAAAGCCTGACCAATACCAATTTATGGGGAGCTAGGAGTGCTGAGTCTGTAATCAGCTACAAGAAGCACTCTGCTGTACCTTATTATGTTCAGTTTTCACACTATTGGGAGAGCAGAGCACTCTTATCACTTGGGATAGGGTCTCTCAATGTGTGGATCAAGAACTGACAGCATTGAATTATCTTGGTGTCTTGTTAAAGTGCATGCTCCTAGCCCTATTGCCTCACCCACACCCAGGTCTCGTAATTGGAAAATCTGGTGATCCTGGGGGGTATGCAGTTTTACCTTGCTCTGCTTGGAGCTCCAGTACACACTAGAGTTAGATGGTCCAGCAGCTGCTTGGAACAGTAGAAAACATTCACACTATTACATCTGCATATTTTCTGGGTTGACTCATTTGGCCTTTTCAGCAGTGCCTTGAATAGAATGGGCACTATATATTATCACTAAAAGGTGGAAAATTGAGGCTCAGAGTGATTTCTTTAGCATCCTACAAATGGTGAGTCACATGACTCAGCTCCCAATCCTTTTCTCTGCATTTTTGCTACTCAGTCTGGTTTGTGGACCAGGGAGCTTGCTTGGAATTCAGAATCTCAGGCCCTACCCCAGAACTACTGAATTTGAATTGGCTTTTAACAAGATCTCCAGCTGATTCGTGTGCATACGAAAGCTGGAAAGCACTGGGGTAGATCACACTGCTTATGTAGAAACAACTATGGCAAAGCTCAGAACATAGCAGGGCCAACAACAAGAGGGTCTGTGGGGCATGCATGATTAAGGAAAGCAGGTCTTGTCTACACTTTTTTTTTTCTAAGACGGAGTCTTGCTCTGTCACCCAGGCTGGAGTGCAGTGGCACAATCTCAGCTCATTACAACCTCCACCTCCCGGATTCAAGCAATTCCCTGCCTCAGCCTCCTGAGTAGCTGGGATTACAGGTGCCCACCATCACACCCGGCTAATTTTTCTATTTTTGGTAGAGACAGGGTTTCACCATCTTGGCCAGGCTGGTCTTGAATTCCTGACCTCGTGATCCACCCATCTGGGATTCCCAAAGTGCTGGGAGTACAGGCGTGAGCTACAGCGCCCAGCCTTGTCTATATTTTTATGCTGAAAGTTTACACACCTGATCGTGTCCCTTCCCTCTGGCTCAGGATGGAGAAGCAGCTACTGTTTCAGCATCCTGTCCAGGGGTCAGTGTTGAGCTGTAACTCCCAAGACTGAGAAGTGCCCCTCAACTCTGCATTTCAGAGATACCTGGAGTGTCAACTTGTCCTGGGACGTCTGTGCAGGCAGGGTTCATGCAGGATGATGAGGGGTATCATTGCATCACCTGACCAAGTGGGGCGTTCTCCCATAGTGCCATTCCCCAGAGCATGTCTGCCAGACTGGGAAGGCACCTCTGCCAGTCCACTGCTTCTTGTTCCTCATATGCCAAGTGTCTGCTACCCTAGTCATCCCCTTGGTAATCCTAGTTTGACCTTAGAATCATAAACTCAGAACTGAATGGGAGTTTCAAGATCACAGTTCACCTTCCCCATTCAGAGAAATTAACTCACCCAAATCATACAGTTCATTAATCCTGGCAAAGCTAGGAATTGCATTTGGGTCTCTCAGTTCCCAATTCACTGCTCTTTCCACCCTGATGCTGCATTATATCGAAAGGCACAGACCTGTTTGGTGCAAGAAAGGAGTTTTCCTTTTAGTCTAGGGCCTGTACCTGGATATCGGAGGGCATGACAAACACCATTTACTAACCAATGTTATTCTTCATATATCCAAAGAGGCACTCCAGTTTAACAAAACAAGGCAACATCTACCTGGAAAGTTACCGGTTGTTAAGATACTCCAGATTTGTTCACTGAGGAGTCAGCCATAGTAACACAGGTGGAGAGTGCTGGGCTTGCTGATGGAAGGTCTTTGGATGGGTGGGTAGGTGATTGCCCTGGCAGAGCTGACATGGCTACAGAAGGCCAGTGGCTCAGCCTCCACTCCCTGATTCTTCACAGTTAGCAGCCCAGATTCTGTGCTATGTGTTCCTAGAGTTGATGGCCCAGCTGCAAAAATCAAAAACAGAAAGTACCTTTCTCACATGGCCAAGACTGGAGTGCTGGGCTATAGACCACCCAGGGAGGGCAGCAGCTCCTCACGATGTGGCAGCCAAGAGTTGAGAATGGAAGAGGGGAACAGATGCCACAAAGAAGATTAGAGATAAAATAGCAAACTTCTCAAGTCTGTGCAGACACTTACAGTGAAGGTGATAAAGCAATTTACCACTGGCCTCTGGGACAAATTCTTAGGACTTTCATCGTGGATAAAGACACTTTCAAGAAGATTATGAACATGTCTATCAAATGTTTAGAAATGAGGTGTGCCATTGGTGAGGTGGGGAGAAAAGAAAACAGTAACACTGGTGGGAACCAGAAGTCACTAATTTCTGCATGGTGTTTTGCAAGTCACATAATCCCACTGACAGTTTCCTCAATGGCAGGCATGAAATTCTCCCAGAAAGAAATATACAGACCCTGTAGGGTTGACCTTGCAAACCCAAACTGTAAATGATGACAGATATCTCAGAGGGGTACCTGCCATTTCTTTCTGATATTGTTATGGAGATGAGATAATGCTTACGAAATGCGCTGGAAAATAAATTTGCAGTGTTCAAATGTGTGAACATTTGGTATCTCCTGAGGGAGGACACATTCCTCTGATGGAACTAGGCCCCTCTGCTCCAGGCAAGATAGCTCCTTATCGTTAGGGCACACCTGGCATTTTACACCTACCTGCATTGACTCTTACCTTGCTAAGAGTTAATCATATGTTCTTGACTTGTCACCTTTGTAGGATGGTGAGATCTTTGACAGCCAGGATTATGCCATTTTACCTTGCTTGGCTCCCCACTAACTATCATGAATGTGGTATACTGTAGTTTGTTGAACACATTACTGAGGGATAATTATCCTATGCATTTTAATATTTTTTTGAGACACGATCTTGCTTCATTGTCCAGGCTGGAGTGCAATGGTACAATCATAGCTCACTGCAGCCTAAAACTCCTGAACTCAAGTGATCCTTCTGCCTTAGCATTCGGAATTGTTGGGACTACAAGCATGCCTCACCATGCATGGCTTTTCTTTCTTTTTTTTTTTTTTTTGTAGAGCCAGTGTCTCATTATGTTGACCAGGCTGGTCCCAAACTCCTGGGCTCAAGTGGTCCTCCTGCCTCGGCCTCCCAAAATGCCAGGATTACAAGCATGAGCCACCACGTCCAGCCTGTATTTTAATTTCTGACTAGTATAATGGACAAAGTCATTAGATATTTCAGGGTACAAACAGTTTTTGTAAAATAATGTATCTTAGTATAAATGTTAAATGTTTGATAGACACTGAAATATAGGTGAGAGTCCTTCATAGACTGATAAAAGTTATATCTGAATTGTGTGAGGCTTTGGAAATTGCAGGGCAAGGATTGATTATTTCTAGTGTTACTTGGATAAAAGAGTGGAAGTTTATAGACGGTGATATAAAGGTTGGTCATTTATGATCAACTAACAAGAAACACAGGAGCTCTGAAAGAGTAGCTGGAAGAACTCAATTAATGAAAGAGAAGAAAATAGGCCATGGAAGATGGAGAGCTGGCTCCCTGTGGTTTATTTTGGTTCCTAAGATATTACATAAGTCCATTCCGTCTGGTTGTGAAACCCTAAGCTCTTTTGAGGTGAGGCTGGGCATTCTATAGCTCAAGAGTAAATTTTGTTTACAATAAGCACTCAATAATTGCCTTAATCACTTTTTGCCACCCCCTCACCTCCAATATCATGGCACACATTAAAAATAGTATTTGTACAGCATGGTGCAGTAAACAGATGATGTTTATGGCCAGAGGGCCTGAGCCCAGGGACTCTGCTACAGCACCTGGCTGCTTGGAGGTCAGGGGTGGCTCTCTTGGGCAGTTACACGCATGTCCTGGAAAACCTGTGGGTGAGCCTCAGCAGCTGAGTAACTCCTCGGCATACCTGCTTGGTGTAGGAGCTGCTGCTCTCCCCTCCTCTAACAAGCCTTATTAAGTGTCCCGGTGCATGTAGCTTCACCCTGGGGGCCTTTCAGGACCATTTCAGGGGCACGGTCCCTGCCCTCGAGGATTGCCATCATCCTGTGTTTTAATAGGCAGGAGGCCAATGGTGCTTTCTTTTGATTGACTCAGAGAAGGAAAGAACAGTTATGAGCCATGATGATTTGTTCAGGAACACTTTCCTTGGGAGTAGTGATCCTGAAGGACTCATGCCTCTAACTCATGCCAACTGTTCAAATATCAGAGGTTAAAAAAAAAAGATTTCATAGAAGTGCCCACTGGTGAAATAAAGTTATAACACTTATTACAATTTCTTTGAGAGGAACAAAATAAACCTAAATCATATGTGACTTCTTTCAGAGGGGAAATAATAATCTACCCTCTTTCTGAATATCAACCTTTACCCAAACAGGTCCATGCCTCTACACTTTCTGTGAGTTGTCTTTCTCAGGTTTTTTTTTTTTGAGTTGGAGTTTCGCTGTATCACCCAAGCTGGAGTGCAGTGGCATGATCTCGGCTCACTGCAACCTCCGCCTTCCAGGTTCAAGCAATTCTCCTGTCTCAGCCTCCCGAGTAGCTGGGACTACAGGTGTGAGACACTACACCCGGCTAATTTTTGTATTTTTAGTAGAGACAAGGTTTCACTATATTGGTTAGGCTGGTCTCGAACTCCTGACCTCAGGTGATCTGCATACCTCTGCCTCCCAAAGTGCTAGGATTACAGGCGTGAGCTACCACACCTGGCCCTTTCTCAGGTTTTGAACAAGATTTACTCTCTCCTAGGGGGGGATTGATGTTGTCCATCTTTCAGTTGCAATGTCCAACATAAGGAGCATGAGAGGCTACCATCAAGACCTATTTGCCATCCCTCCCCAGCTTCCTGGGCCTCTTACTCCTCTGATCTGTTGTTTGTGGACACACCCACACACCACAAGGCAATTTCCTTGCTGCAATACCAGAACCACTGTCTTTGAAGTGACACATCACGTATAATTTGATCTTTTTTTTTTCTACAACCAGTTCTATGCTTTGACTGACTATGCTTTGGCCACAGTTTGGACAATGTTTCTCCACATGGAAGTTGAGCTTTGTACTAAGACTTGTAATTTCCTAGGCTATTCTCTGTGTGTGCGATATGGATACTTGTGGGTGGTAAGTGGGATGGTACCTTTTTCTGTGAAGTTATATTTAGTTGAAATTTTCAAAGATCATTCTCTAAACTCTCTAAGGCATTGGATGTTAGAATTGAAAAAGGCTTTGAGATGATCTTGTCCAGCTCTCCCATTTTACAGATTTGGAAACTGAGGCCACAAGAAATGGAATGACTTGCCCTAGGCCACACAGCTATTGGCAGAGCTGAGTGTAGATAAGACATAGGTGTCTCTTCTCTCTTATCTTGTAGTCTAAGATTTATTTCCCTAAACCTTACTCCCCATTGGAAGTTCAGTTTCTTTCTTTTTTCTTTTCTTTCTTTTCTTTCCTTTCTTTCTCTCTCTCTTTTCTTTCCTTCCTTCCTTCCTTCCTTTTCTTTCTTTCCTTTCTTTTTTTTTTTTTTTCCTTGACACAGTCTCGCTCTGTCACCCAGACTGGAGTGCAGTGGCGTGATCTCGGCTCACTGCAACCTCCGCCTCCAGAGTTCAAGCAATTCTCCTGTCTCAGCCTCCTGAGTAGCTGGGACTACAGGCGCATGCCACCACTCCTAGCTAATTTTTTTTTTTTGTATTTTTGTATTTTTAGTAGAGATGGGGTTTCACGGTGTTAGCTAGGATAGTCTCAATCTCCTGACCTCAGGTGATCCACCCGCTTCTGCCTCCCAAAGTGTTGGGATTACAGGCGTGAGCCACTGTGCCCGGCCTAGTCAAAATCTTTCAATTCAACTCTGCTTTGGAATATAATGGCCTAAGGTAGGTATTCTCGAATCTATTTCTCTTTAAACCATGGCTCCCTTTCCTCAAGAAAAACCCCAGTCTTCCTGAGACTTCCTATCTGGACTGGGAGGTGGATGAGAGATGCATGGAATGAAGAGGAAGACCAGGTCCATGGGAACACTTGGAGATAAAATTACTTGGAAGGCTCAACTTCTTAATCCATTAGCCAATTTTTTATTTTTAAGAAGGTGGGGGTATGAGTCACTGTTACCTTGAAAGAAGCGAGACTCATCCTCACAGCAAATGCTTTAAACTTTCTCTTCTCCTTCCCACGCAGCTCACTTGTTGGCCAAAGGACTAGCCTAAATCTCATTTCTTTCGGTGTCTTTGGCTTATTCCATGGGGAAGACGTTAATTAGCATAAATAAGTTGATGCCTTATTGAACCTCATGATGCCTGATGATAAAGCCTCATAAATGAGGTTAAAGAGAGTACAAAGGTCAGAGCACCCCATCTCTAACTGCGGGACACCAGACTGATTTTTCTCCAGAATGACTTTGCACTCTCTTCTCACTGTTCCTACCCTGGCCCACACCCTCAGAATTGCATGTCTGTATCATCAGTCTTCCTAATTTTGATCTTTCCTCTTTCAATCCATTCTTAGCTTCAGCGGCTAGACCATGTTATTATGTCACTCTCTTACTCAATAACCTACATGCTCCCTATTGCCAAGAATATTGTGCTCAAATTCCTCTGCCTGGCTTTCCTGATGTGTTTACAACAACTTCATCAAGCTTCACCCTTTTCTTTCCCAACGCACACCCTGCCAAGGTGTTCTGGCCTTATCACTGGCCCTCTGTTCTCCCTCCATCCCTCTTCTTGCCTAAGTTCTATCCATCTTTCAAGGTCTGGTTTGTGTTCTACTTCCTCCATGAAGACATCCTTGGCTTATTTGGCCATATGGATGATTCCAGCCCTTGAATTCCCATTGTATTTGCAGAGGTTACTCTAGACTACACCTTTTGAAGTTGAGGCCGCAGTGGAGTTTCCTATTGTTAGTTACAATGCACATAAAAAGTATTCAATACATACATTCCAATCTAATGAAACTATTTGGAATTAGCAATTCCGTGTAACCAAGTGATCCTTTGAGTTTGAGCATTGGCAGAAGGAAACTGAGGCCCAGAGATAAGTGGCTTACCTGAGGCCACACAGCTGATCAGTTAGGAAGCAAGTTTTTGACCTCCTGGTTTTGGATTATTTACTCCTGCAATGGTAGGTGTTTTACAGACAGTTGGAGCCTTCTCAAATGATATCAATGGATTTGCAACTTTTTAAATTAAAAAAATTAAGAATTATTTTGTATCTCAAAAGGAGTTACAAAAATTACCAAAAAATAATGAACACCTGTGTGTCATCCCAATCGCAATACCCCCTGAAAGGCCATAGAAAGTTCTGAGCAATTGTATACTGGCTTCTCTTTCATACTCTCTTTCTCCACATGCTCTTCTATGCCTTCTTCTGCGCTACCTATGGCAGACATAGCTATGCAGAAGCTATGGCAACCTATGGCAGACGTAGCTAATTGATCCCAGCACTCTTTCCCTGTAAGTCTAGATACAGCCTCAGAATCCTTGTCAACACAATGATCCTGAAAGCCAATACCAATCAGGCACTTTAGAGTAAATGTAGCCACACAGAAGGGTGTGGACATTGTATACATTTGAGAGAAGGGGTCCAACGAGGCCAGGGTGGTGATAGTAGGTAGAGGCCGGACACTACCTATCACATCTGGGCACATTCATGCCTCACAGGATGGCTTTCCCTCACCAAGTTCACCAAGGCTTATATCGTTTGGTGCTGGTTTTGGAGGATATCACATACTTTACAAGGCTGTCCATTCTCTGATCAGAGAACTTCAATATCCTGGGATGTTGTTCCTTATGGCATGGCTATTTGTCTTCCAGACACATCCACTGTCAGTGGCTGCACAGACTAGGTCTACAGTAATCTGAGTATGTAAAAGGGGGACCCTGAGGAGACAGGTTGTTAGGAGCTGGGATGTTAAGACATTTGTGGACACTGGAGAACCCAGTTCTATTGGTGTTTCTGAGGAAGGGGTACAGGAACTGAGGAGAGAGGCCAAGGAGCCTGGAGCAGAAGCATCTTCCGTGGAAGCTGCAGGTAATGAATCGTGGGCAGAAGGTATTCAGCTCTATCTCATTAGCCAGAGGTGACATCCCAGAGGCCCAACTCAGCACAGTGCTGCCCTGGAAACCAAACTGATGTCACAGCTGTGGGTCATAGAGTCATGGAAAGGATGACAAATAACGAGAAGGCTCATCCAGTGGGTGTGTGTGGTGGTGAGGGATTTGAGGGCTGATGGATGAGCCTGTTTCATCAGCAGGTGAGCAGGAAGTACTCAGGGTTATGAGTTAGGACACTTGGACTTTTGTCCAGCCTCATTTACCACCTGGACAAGTCTCTGTACAAGCCGTGGTTTCCTCATCTATTAAAGCCTACCCAGCTCGAAGCTTCCAAAATCTATGTTGTCTCTGGAATTCTTAGTAAGGTTCCCACCCCAGGACTGTCTTCCCCAGATGCAGTTCAACAGAAGGAAGAAACAGAGCAAGACTAGCCTTTCTTTCTTCTCTTCCTTTGAAGAATTAAGTGGTTTTGTTGGCTAGGACGTGTACCTGGTTCAGCTCTCTCCCCCAGGACTTCTTACCTGGGCTCCTTTTGATTTCCTGCACGCAGTAGGAGGAATCTAGATCATCGGGACTAGAAAGAAGCAGCTTCCTTCTGATTGGGCGGCGTCTCTGGTCCTCAACTTCAGGTGCTGTGACTTCTCCTAAACACCAACCCCTTCACCTCCCTGAGCCCTCCAGCTCATCCTCTGTCTGACTTGCTATAAATTCACTAGCTTGCGTTCCCTGAACCTGTTGCCTGGCGCACGTCTGCCAGTTGAGGAAGGGTACCATGGAGGATCAGGGAGAAGAAAGACAAATGCCCCTTCTGCAGCTCACCCACGTCCCCCCCAGCATTCCTGCCAAAAGACTATTTCCTAAACTCCCTGGGGAGGACTAGCTTCAGCTACCATGGTTCCCCCGACCTGGTTGGATCAGGTAGGTTTCCTTTAAAGAGGCAGAGCTGGGGACTGTCTGGTAGCTTCCCTGTTGTCCCACAGGTTACCTCCCAGTTGCACCTCTCATTAGAATTCTCGCTCCAGCATTTGCCTTTAAAGCTATTATTTAAGTGTTATCCCCTCAGGGGGCCAATTTGCCTTCCCACCTCAATAAACTCCCTTAATTCCCCATAGGGGCAGGGCACAGGCTGGGGAACAGTATTGCCATCAGCATCTGAATGGAAATTTCTGCACAGCCCAATACTAGATGCTGCCTTTCTAGTTCTATGGAAATTTTCAGACCTTTCTTCCTTCTGATTCCTGCTGACTGGGGTCCTGGGGACCTGGAGGCTCACTGCAGGACCCTCTCAGAGCAAGAAGGGTGTGACGAACCCCCACCAGCAGGAAGAATTCTGAGATCTATATATTAGGGAGCTGGCCATTGCAAGTCCCATGAGGCCATAGGGTCTGGGGGCCTGGAGTTTGGGGAGGGGGCCCAATCCAAACATGTTTTGTTTGGCTTTGTGAGTATGATGGGTCATGCATCAACCCCCAAGCTTTTGCCCTGCCACTTTCACATACACACACTCAGTGGTGGGGTGTGAGGCAGCCTACCCAGGTTCAGAAGCAAAACCTCACTCTGAGGAAATTAGCTACACCTGAGTAGACAAACTCCCCCACTGACGTCAAAGGCCCCCTTCCCACTGTGCCAGGTGTTTTGGAACTGTTGAAGAGGGGTCCTAATCACGAGGGCCTTGTGAGGAAGGAAAGCAAACAAAGGGGGTGGGAGGAGCCCAGCAGGCCCCCACATTCCAAGGAGTGGTGGGGAATGGTGTGGAGGGGAGGTCGGTCGCCTGCATGGAGGCCTGTCCTTGTGTTGCTAGTTCAGGATCCATGGCTATCTGCTGGTTAACACGGAGCCTTCACGTTTTTCTTGTCCCTGCTGGCTGGTCTGTTGGCTCAGTCCTTGCTGCTGTCCCTTGTTCTCTTGCCCTGGCTTCTCCCAAGGGCTCCTGAACTTCTTGAGATGCGCTCACTCCAGCTACCTAAGCATCCACCTATTCCAGACATAACAGGGAGCCACCTGTGAGCAATATGTCATTAATTTGAAAAGACAGGAAATGACTGCTTAAGAAGGCTTTCAGGAAGTTCATACACATTCCATTAGCCAAATGGAACTGTGGTTCTTCAAGATGTAGTGAGTATCTGTCACAAACACTAGACTCAGGGTGGGGCAATAAAGTGCTGCCTTGGAAAGCAGAAGGCCAAGATATAATCTTGTCCCCTTGACTAGAGCTAGATAAAGGCTAGAGCTCAGATACCAAGGGCTCTTCAAGAGATCAATTTGTGCCTACACTCTTTATTTGAAGGCTCAATTGAAATTCGCTTCAGAACAAGGTTTTCTTCACAATGCTCGTGGCTTCCTTCAATTCTACGTTTTCAACTTTACAGAGGGAGGAGGCCTGCATTGACCACCAGGAGCTAAACTTGGGAAGGTCAGATCCTCCAAGGGAAAGGGCCCAAGTCCATGTGGAATAAATGCAAGCTGGAGCTGGAAGTTCTCCAAAGGGCTGCTTACTTTGCTTCATTCTGCTCTAGCAGCCTGTGCAGCGGTAGAAGGGGGTTGGGAGGTCCTTGTTATCAATTTGCAGAGGGTTAAAAAGGACTTGTCATTTTCCCCCTTGCCCCCTTCTTGGGGTCTTGGAATTTCTAGTTCCACTTGGGGTAGAAGGGCTCCCTGTGTATTCTTTCATCTTCTCTGAATGGCTAGAGACAGGAAAAACCAGGCAAGTAAAAAAAGTCTCACATAAAATGTGAATGCCTTTAAAGTTACCAGATGAGACCATGGTTTATTGAGTAGAAATCATGCCCATACTGAAACTGCCAGCCCCCACCTGGTTTTAGATTAGAGCTGTCCTCAGGCCATCAAAACCTTTATGACCCAAGAAAACAAAGTTTAGGCTCATACAGGAAAGCATAAACAAATGTTCCACGATGTTTGCACACTGGTCTGATATAACCACAAACTCAGGCTGCGAAGACAGTTTCCTGACAGGCAGATCTTAGAGGGTTGACCAGAAAGAGAGTCCCTTCAGAGAGGAGAGTGATGGGAAGGAGAAAGTCAATGCCAAGGAGAGTTGAATAATGTTGGTCCCCAGCTTTTGTCCATGTAAGCAACCATGTTGAGCATTTTGGTAAAGTGGCCAAATGGCTAACTGGTTAAGCTCTAGAAAAGTAGCAAAGGCACTTGTGGCATATTTTTGGTACACATGGTCTTCATGTTCTTACCTTTTTACCACCTCGGCGATAACTCCTCTTTATTCCTCCATGGGAACTCAGGGCCATAGAATCACAGAACGTTGGGAATTGGAAAAGAGAGGCCGCAGTGGTAATCCGGTCTGGTTACCCACCCCAAACAAGCATCTCCAACCGGCCTCCACACCCTGCTCCTGCACTATCAGGGCAGAAATCTTAGGACCTTATAGGACATTATCTCTCAAGCAACTTCCATTGTTAAAAAGTGCCTTTCTCCACTGATTCAAAGTCCATTTGCTTATCACTCGTACCTAGTGCACTCCCTCTGTGCTCTGGAGAAACACTGAACAAGTTGACTTCTCCCACATGCATTACCTAATACTGCAGACACACACGGCTGCAGCTCTTTCATCTCTTCTCCAAGCCAAACACAACCAGCTTCATCATCCCCTGTGAGATGATGGTGCTCCAGACCCTCATCCATCCAGCTTGGCCTCATCTTGGCATGCCCTCCTTTGCCAAAGACCCTCTCGAAATGTGCCACCCATTTTTCTTTGTACTCTTTCTTCCCCTTTCATCAGAACTGTTCTCAGAAATGGCTCCTTTGGCCTAAGATACAAATGATTGATCATGTTTACTGTGGTACCTTCTCAGGACTGTTTACAGTTGAACAGATTCAAAGCCTTAAGTTGAAGGAATGGCTGGGAATGCTTGGGCTGCAGGTAATGGAAAGATAGGGGATACAAGGGGACAAGGCACTGAAATCTTCCTGGAACCCTTAAAATCATGCCTAAAACACTTTTTAAACAGAAGATCAGCCTGACAAGGTCAGGAGCTCAAGACCAGCCCGGCCAACATGGTGAAACCCCATCTTTGCTAAAAATAAAAAAAAAGCTGGGCATGGTGGTGGGTGCCTGTAATGCCAGCTACTCAAGAGGCTGAGGCAGGAGAATCGCTTGAACCTGGGAGGTGGAGGTTTCAGTGAGCCGAGATCGTGCCATTGCACTCCAGCCTGGGCAACAAGAACAAAACTCCGTCTCAAAAACAAAACAAAACAAGACAAAAAAACCCAAAACACCTGTGGTGCTGTGAATTTCAGTGGGCTCAGGCAGTCCGCATCCTCATCTTCACCTCAGGTGAGACTATTCACCTGGCCAGGTAAATTCCCATAAAATGAATTCCTTGAAGGCAGGAGCTGGTCTGATTCTTTCCTGGTTTGTTGTCAATCCTGGGGCCTGAGTAACACATTAATAGTTTCTCATGCGATGTCTTCTGGATGAATGAGTGAATGAGGTTAGACCATGAGGCAGACAGAGTTTCTCAGCTTATGAAAGTTGGCAAATGGCCCTGGGCAGGCTACACAGGGGCCCATCTGTGATGGATTAAGGGGAATGGGCAGAAGCTTGGGGCCAGGAGTTGTGAGAAGCTGCATCTGATTTCTGGAGCAAGAGGAGATAGAAAATTAAAAAAAAAATCATAAACACACATGGATCTTCTATTTTAGCTCTCAAAGATTTTCTGAAACTAAAAACATGATTTTTAAACTAAAAAAATTCAACTTATCCATTGAATTGAAGAAAAGAAAGGTTATTGTTGGGACCTAAATCACTGGCCTGGTCAAATGGAAGGTCAAATGGAAGGAATATCTCAAAGCAGAGCCAAAATACAAATGATAAAAATTGTGAAGAATAACATAAGCAACTCGAAATAGAGATCAAAGAGGCCCATCACATGGATATAGGAGTTCCAGAAACAGAAAAAGGAAGAGATGGAGGGAAACCAATAATCAAATCTTAGAAGAAAAGTTGCTAAGCTGAAGAAAGACTTGAGTTTGCAGATTAAGAGGCAGGATTGATGAGAAAAGACACGCCCCTGGGCTTAGCTTCATAAAATTCCCGAACTCCGAAGACAGAAAGGACAACTAACTGTCATCTAGAAAGAAAGAACAGGTTATTCACAAAGGAAAAAGAATGAGATTGACACCAGATTTCTCATGTGTAACACTCAAAAGCCAGAAAATGAAGGAACAATATCTAGAGACCACTGAGGGGAGAGACTGCAGGGCAGGAGCCCCTCGCCTCCAAAATGTCGCCGTCTGCCAGGGCAAGAAACTCTGTGGACATGCAAAGGGTCAAAGAATATGTCACCATATTCTCTCATATATTACTTGAAGAAAATACAAAGAGTTGTAAACAAGTAATAAATGAATTGGAACAGAGATAGCAAGACAGGGGAAGAAGAAGAGAGGAAAGTGTAATAAAATGTAACATGTTCAATACAAATGGTAAACTCCAAATGGATGATAGAATGGCTGGGAATGTATGATGTAGGGGCTCAGTAAGAATTCTTGTGAAAAGAAGAGGCATATTGCAAGGGGAAAGAATTAAAAATGATAAATGGTCTTAGCACAATTTAGGAGTGGGAGATAGCTGGAGAAGTAAAAGCATTTTAGGTACTGGGGCGCTGGGGAGGAGAATAGTGAAATTATTTCAAAGGCCTTAGTTCCTCAGGGTAGGGAAAGATCATTGGAGAAATGGGGTATCTTGTCAGGGAAAAGTATTTTTCATCTTGTTTTTATATAATAAGAGACAAATATGCCTTTTTGTTTTTGTTTTTTGTTTTTGAGACAGAGTCTCACTCGCTCTCATAGGCTGGAGTGCAGTGCACGATCTCGGCTCGCTCACTGCAAGCTCCACCTCCTGGGTTCACACCATTCTCCTGCCTCAGCCTCCCGAGTAGCTGGGACTACAGGCACCCGCCACCATGCCCAGCAATTTTTTTGTATTTTTAGTAGAGACAGGGTTTCACCATGTTAGCCAGGATGGTCTCTATCTCCTGACCTCGTGAGAGACGAATATGCTTTTGATTATGAGTGTTGGGAAAGGAGCAGTAACTGCTAGCAGAATGTAAAACAACAGTGGACCTTCCAAATTAACAAAGGGAAGAAAGAAAGAGGGAGTATCATGATCAAACTTCTAAAACGAGAACAATGAAAAAACAAAAAAGCAAAGAAAAATGAATAGTAAAAAAGTGAAAGAAAAAAACTAGTATATTAGTTATTACATAAGATGTGAAAAGGTTAACTTATTAAATTACAGAAACACTGAGATTAGGTAAAAATATGAAACATTGCTATATGTTATTTTTAAAAAATATAGTTAAAAGTAATAAAGTTAAAAATTAAAAGAAATGATGAAGGTTAAAACAAAGGGATAAGAAAATATCAGAAAGAAAGAAGGTACAACAATATTAATACTGGTTAAGTTGGAGTGATGGTTAAAAGCATTAACTAGGCCGGGCGTGGTGGCTCATGCCTGTAATCCCAGCACCTTGGGAGGCCGAGGTGGGCGAATCACGAGGTCAGGAGATCGAGACCATCCTGGCTAACACGGTGAAACCCCATCTCTACTAAAAATACAAAAAATTAGCTGGTCGTGGTGGCGGGTGCCTGTAGTCCCAGCTAATCTGGAGGCTGAGGCAGGAGAATGGCGTGAACCCGGGAGGCGGAGCTTGCAGTGAGCCCAGATGGTGCCACTGCACTCCAGCCTGGGCGATAGAGTGAGACTCCATCTCAAAAAAAAAAAAAAAAAAAAAAAAAAAAGCATTAACTAGAATAAAGAGGGTAACTTATAATAATAGGCAAAATTTTTGAAGAAAAAGATTGTCATAAATTAATAGGCATCAAACAATGTGGTAACTAATTATATGAGGTAAATGTTTTAGAAATGCAAAGATTAATGAAACAGTACAATTATAGTTGATTTTTAACAAACCCTTTTCAGAATTAAGACCCCATATACAAAAAAATAAGAACATAGAGAAATTGAATAATACAATTAACAAATCAATTTAATATGTATTTCTTTCAAAGTAAAATTTAATTTTATATGTCCAAAATCAATCAGGTACTTGACAATGAAGAAAAATTCACACAATTTTAAAATAAAGATTTTTACAGGCCATGTTTTCTGCTCATAATCCAATAAAACTAGATATACAAAGTTAAAAAAATCAAGATTCCTAAATGCTAGAAATTAAGAAACCCATTATTAAATAATCCTCAAACAACCAAAGAGGAATAAAAATTAAAATTACAAACTATTTTAAAAATGATAAATGTAGACTCCTTTATTCTAAAACCTATAGTATCCAGCTAAAGCTGTACTCAGGAGAAAATTAATAGCTGTAAATGGCTTTGTTGTTAGAAAGACCTAAAATGAAGGAATTCTACATCAATTTTAAAACATTAGAAAATAACATTTAAACCTTAAGAAAACAGGAAAAATAAATCAATAGAAAACAAACCAAAACAAGTAGAAAGGACAAATAAATCCAAAATCGCTTCTTTGAAAAAGTCAATAAAATTAACGAACTCCTTGCAAACCTGATTAAAGAAAAGAGATAACAAAATTATGTAAGAGTAGAAATGAGAAGGGGATAAAACCATGCATACAGGAGAGACTGAAATTGTTTTATGAGAACATTATAAGTAACTCTATGGCCACAAACATTTAAAGCTAAAGAAAATTGATTATATCTTAGCAAATGCTCAAGCTTGACTCAAGATGAAGCAGAAAACTTGACTATGTCAATTATGGAAGAAACTGGAAAGATGATTTAAGATCTGCCATTTTAAAGTGCAGCAGGACAAGACTGTCATGGCTGATAGAATTCATCAGTGTTGTATGAGAGGAGATAAAGATGGGAGAAAGTGTTGGGGAGGGCAGAGACTGGGAGAGGGAGAGTGGAAGATGGGTGAGATAGGAAAAGAGTTTGAGACACAGCCTCCTCTAAAGTCCCTTTCTCTCCAAACTGACACATCTTTAATGATTGCATATTTATGTTCAACATAGACACTCTCATTTGTACAGCCAAGAGCTGTTGCTTGTAGTTTGGGGTGATGGTAGAAAAACTGCCAGAATATGGGTCCCCAAACCCTTCTTCTTCTCTCATCATGGCCTGCCCCCATGCAACCTCATGTTGGTGCTGTGAATCTGTAAGTTTAGAGATCTTTTACCTACCCATTCAGCAGGTAGATGAGGTGGGGAAGCCCTGGGGAAGGTGGGACAAGATCACTCCAGGAGCTCTCCAGTCTCGTGAGATGAGGTGAAGAGTTGGCAGGGGTGGGGGAGATGGGGGGAGTTGGTGGGAAAAGAAAGCGATAATCTTGTCCAAATCAGCTGAAATAATTTTTTATATCCAAATAGTTTTCCTCTCCTGGGGATCCAGTAAGCATGGCTAAAAGACAGTCCCCAATCAGACCCAATGCTTTGGGTGGACAGCCTCAAAGAGCTTAATGAAGACAGGAGGGGATTTTCTAGGGCAATGAGTGGGGTCTCTGGTTCTGGTTATCTGTTGTTAAAATACTTTGGGAGCCTTGCCTCCATTTTGGGTAATTGAATCTGTTCTGGAAACCCGGCAGAGAACTGAAGCCCTTATCCTAATATTATAGAGGTTTTCATGCATCATGGGATCGGACCACCTGATCTTCACACTCCCTTCAAACGTTGGGATTCTCTGAACCTCCCTGTCCTTCCTGCCTGGAAAACTCCAGCACTGAAGGGTCATCAGTTTTTCTTTGTCCAAGAGTGGTGTGCTTTCTGGCAGATGAGAGAACAACAGAGTGAGAGGTTGGAGAAGAGTGAACCTTAGAAATAGTTCCCAGACAATGTAGAAGGCGGGTCTTGGTTTAAAACTGCACCCCTTAGTGCACATCACTGGGTATCCTAGTTCTCCAGCAGCCCCAGAGCAGGTCCTCCTGATTCCAGTCATGCTACTGTCACTTTTCTGGGTATCCTCCATTTCCTGAGGGTCTTCATGCTGTCACCAGCATGTAAAACCCCTTTGCTATGTCGCAAGGGACTTGGTGGTGTCTGTTTGGGCCTGTGCACCGCCCACCAGTTTGTAAGCATTAGTATGTAGACTGTCTCTATCAGGGATCTGCAAAATACAGCTTGTGGACCAAATCTAGCTCACTGCTTGTTTAATAAAGTTTTATTGACACATAGCCATACTCATTCATTTACACGTTGTCTATGGCTACTTTTATGCTATAATGACAGGGTTAAGACTTTGCCAAAGAGAATATATGGCCTCCCAGCAGAAAATATTTACTATCTGGCTCTTTACAGAAAAAGTTTGCTGACCCCGATCTATATATATCTTTGTATATGTATATATATATTTAAAAAGACCAAATGAAAGCTATTGACTATAGTTGAGAAACAAAATTATGAAATTCATAGATAATTGTCTTTCTATAGTCAGGGCTACCTATTTGTTTTAAATATCATACACTTCATAAAGCCTCCCATGCTCACAAGCAAATAGAAGAATGAAGTAAATTTCCCAAGCTTTTTACACATGGAACTCAGGTACTTTCCTTAACTGAAATCTCTGCTTAGAGATGCTGGTTTGATTTGTCCCAGCAATCCCATTACTAGGTATATACTGAAAGGATTATAAATCATTCTATTGTAAAGACACAAGCACACATATGTTTATCACAGCACTGTATACAATAGCAAAGTCTTGATAGACTGGATGAAGAAAATGTGGCACATATACACCATGGAATACTATGCAGCCATAAAAAGAATGAGTTCATATCCTTTGCAGGGACATGGATGAAGCTGGAAGCCATCATTCTCAGCAAACTAACACAGGAACAGAAAATCAAACACCACATGTTCTCACTTATAAGTGGGAGTTGAACAGTGAGAACACGTGGACACAGGGAGGGGAACATCACACACTGGGCCCTGTTGGGGGATGGGAGGCAAGAGGAGGGAGAGCACTAGGATAACTACCTAATGCACGTGGGGCTTAAAACCTAGATGACGGGTTGATAGGTGCAGCAAACCACCATGGCACATATATACCTATATAACAAACCTGCATGTTCTGCACATGTATCCCAGAACTTAAAATTAAAAAAATTAAATTTTAAAGAGATGCTGGTTTGACCTAAACTAAGAAATGCTTATCCTCCATAATAAAGTCATATATAGGATTCTAATTTATTAATTCCTCCCTGCTATGGAATATCGCCTTGCCCCTTACAAAGACCACTGAATGGTTAAGACTCCTTATTTAGATAATTCCCTGCCCCAATCGTCCCTGTTTTGACTTTAAAATCCCATCAGTGTGAAATTCCTCTCTTTGTGGTCATTAGTCTCTAGCTCAGCCACTAGAGAGCCTTCCCTTCCTAGCCTGTGTCCCCTGACTTACCCCCCTACTCTGTGTCTGCCTAGGAACCACTCAACAAGTTTAATTTTATAGCATCTATTATTTAGTTTAAGATGCCAAGAAGATCACCTGTTAATTACCTTTCCAAAAGACTACTGTTTTTGTTTTAAGTCAACAACATTTAAGACACACACCTTATTGCTAACTCCGGAAATTTTACTGTAATACCAACATCCCTTAATGTCGCACAATAGATAGTTATGGAGATTCTGGCAGAGAATGAAAATCAGCTTCAGGGAAAGAAAGTTACAGGTGTGCTTGGTTCTACACAGGTGCAAGGAGAGGCAAAGAAGGTGAGTGCTGCAACTGATTGAACCAGAGCAGAGAACACAGGGAGAGGACATCAGGTCAGGCAAAGAGCGTTTCTTCCCCGAACATGGCTATTCACCGCTGGGGGCCTTCTCTTCTTCACCGCTTTTCACTGTCAGGTAGTAGATGCGGTTGGCCTCGGGGTAGGTGACTTTGCTGAGTGGGAGTCTGAAGATGGCTGGGTTGTTTGTCGTCAGGAGCAGGAAGATGATGGTGGCAAGGCAGAAGGCCCAGGTGCCTGGTGGCACGCCCACCTGGAAACAAAAGCATTGGGGACTGAAGAAGTTTCCTAGTTTCCTGTGTTGGGCTGGGGACTCTGGGGGAGAAGGATGTGACAGGCGTTGAGGATGGAGATCCTCCCTCCAGTGAAGGCATTGATATTCCTGGATTTGCAATGTCACAGTAGTTGGTCAAAGAATTTAGGGCTGGATGCAGTGGCTCATGCCTGTAATACCAGCACTTTGGGAGGCCAAGGTGGGAGGATCACTTGAGCCCAGACCAGCCTTGGCAACAAAGTGAGACCCAAAAAAATACAAAAGACAGCTGGGCATGATGGTGCATGCCTCTAGTCCCAGCTACTTGGGAGGCTGAACTGGGAGGATGGCTTGAGTCCTGGGAGGTTGGAGCTGCAGTGAGCCAAGATTGCACTACTGCATTCCAGCCTGGGCAACAGTGCGAGACCCTGTCTTGCAAAGAAAACAAAAACAAAACAGATAATTTGAGCCACAATCAGAATCTTTCAATGATGGAGCTGAAAATTGGCCTGAGGATGTTCCCCCATGTCCAGTCACACAGCTCCATCTGTCCGTCGTGTTTTCCACTGCTAGTTACATTGCAATCTTTCAACACACACACACACCCCTCCCTCTCCTAGAGGTACATGTATGCAATTGTCAATCCTCCTCCGGACAACCTTAGATAAACCTTAACAGAGATGTCGTGTGAGCACCAGCTACCATTACCCGCTCAATGTTCCTTTCCCAGACCCCACAACCCCATATGTCCAGAAGCTCTGGGAAGAGCACTTTGGGGTAGTGTTCAGGAGAATCCACACTTACCACTGACATGATGTTGGAGATGGCTGCTTCCATGTATGCACAGAACAGGGCTGTGGAGGAACAAGGATCACCAGAGTGAGCTTCCCAGGGCCTTCCCCCTAAGCCACTGCCATTGCAGACCAGGGAGCCCAGACCAAGAACAGGAGCCCCACCCTCTCTCCTGCAGCCTCAGATTCTGCACCATGCCCTGACAGCTGGCATGCTTGCCTGGCATTTGTTATCTCTGTAGACAGGTGAGGCCAGTCTCCCACCAGACTGTTCATTCTTCGGGCAGAGATTAAAACATATATTTCCTTTTGTCCCCTCCCTGCTTCCATAGTGGCCTTGCATGGAGTCAGGGGTCAATACACATCATATGCTAGTCTACGCTGATGGTAGCGAAGAGCTAGTACAGGCTGGATGATTGTTGTAGGGGAAGAGTGGTCAGACTATACGAGCTCCTGCCAAGGTCCCTCCTATTCAAGACTGTGAGCAGCTGTGATGCTGCTTGATGTTCACCAAGTCTCACCAGGGCTGAACCTTACTAGACCCCTGAACCAGTCCCCAGGAGCCAGGCAGCTGGGTTCCCCCATGGGAGCTGGGTCCTGAGGACAGTCAGGAAAGCTCGTCCATGTAGCTGGTGCCTCTGGACAAACTCCTTCTGCCTGCAGCTTTGCTCTTTCTCCTTCTCTGTCCGGAACACCTCTTCCCTCTCTCTTTGTCAACTCAGATCCTACTAGAAGTGTTGAGATAAACCCTAGCCTCCCCCTGTAGGCTTCCCAGATGATTCCAGCCACAGGAATCTGCCACTTCTCTGAAGGCCAAAAGCAGTTACGGTCTGAACCTCAAAATAACAGGCACTTTTAACTTGACAAATATTTACTAGGTCCACTGTCTCCATGCCCAGCCTCATGTTGGCTGCTGAGGGGATACAAGGGATATGGAAGTCATTCTCAGTCTCCAAGCATAAGTGGGAAAAAACAAAAGAGAAGCTGTTCCAGACGCTAGTCTTCTGTTTCCTTGACTCTAGTTTTATTTATTAATGTCCTGTCCTGCTTCCAGAGAACAATACCAGGAGAGGAGAGCTGGTGGCAAGCTGGGGCTGGGATTGACTCTCCCTTTTGCCATTAATAGCTATCTTCTAGGGCAAGTTAATTAGCCCCTCTGAGCCTCATTTCCTCATCTGTAAAATGGGCCAGGCAGGCTATGCCTGGTGGTATTCTTGGGGGGATTAAGTGAGTTTGTATATTTATATAACAGGGTATGGTGCTGGGATACAGGTGTATGAGAAGGACTATGGCTGATTTCCCTTCTGGCAGCATATTCTCTGTTTATGGAAATCGAGCTTCCATAATGTGGTTATGATTTTTAGTGCTCCTGGTACATCACCTCACTGGATCATTCCAACAACCTTTGTGGACGCTGCAGCCTTAGTAATTATTTGTGCAATTACTTCTCTCCTGCTAGGCTGTGGCTTCATGAGGATGTAGTCACCATGGTATCTTCTATACCTAGACTAGGTCCTGGCACTTGATGGTGTTGTATAAACAGTTGTTGAATGAAGAGTTATAGAGAGCAGGAATGCTGTCATTAGCACACAAGGAAATGCATATGTGATTTCCTTATAAACTTTACAACACTGTGTAAGTATAATACCATTCGGTGGTTGTGATCCCATTTGACAGAAAAGGGACCTGAAATCCCCAGCTGTTAAGGGCAGCACTGGCATTAGGACGCAAGCCATTGGCCTTTCTGTCACTGCTGAACAGTATTGATTAGTGGTCCCCATGGGTTTCACATAAACAAGGGGGGAAGGAATAGCCAGAATAACCTGGTTGTCAGCTTTTCTGAACACCTACCACAGATGAGGGCCAGCAGGTGAGTCTGCCAGGTGAGGGCATAGAACATGCCTCCGATGGCGATGCAGGAGAGGACGCAGTTGTAGCTCCAGAGGCCTGTGTAGATGGTCTCGAAGGGTGTGGCCACTGACAGGGCTATGGGACAAGGTGTGGTATTTCTGTCTGATTCTGGGCCACAGAACAAAGACCACCCTGGGACTGGTGCCAGGTCTCAGAGTGGCCTCCATGCTGTTGTTCACCCCACATCTCCAAACCTGCCCATCAAAAGAGCCTCTACAAATGGCATCCGGTCTTAGGAGACCTTCAATGAAAAGAGAACAGTGGTTTCCAAACCAGTTGTCAAAGCCACAGGCTTCACTTGGAGGTCCTCCTGGGTGAGAAGAGGCAAGGAGGTGGGATTCTAGGCCCCTTCTTACTGCTTTGACTACAGCAACTGCAGTCTTAGCAAGAAAGTTTCCAAAAAGGTTTGAAGAGTTAAACAAATATTTTTAAAAGTTGTTTCAAGTGCTCTGGAAAAATATCCCTATACACTTATGGATATATGTAGATAGAGGAATGATACAGCAGAAGGAGTAAGATGTGAACAGTGGGTACATCTGGGGAAAGAATTTACAGATGCCTCATATTTTTATTTTTACCATTTTTTGATGAGTTTAAAACTATTTCCAAATAAAAAATACTTTTTAAAGTTTTGCTTCCAAAAAAATCTTTGAAAAATATTAGAAGAAGTCTAAAACAGGTTCCTACTCCCAATGCTCCTACCCCAATCTCTGACTCTGTTGTCAGAAAGAGCAAATACCTATTTAAATGTGTATACATACATATACACAGGTAGCAATATTAAAGCACATTTGTTAAGTGGCAATCCAATGTTTGAGAACAATTTTCTTTGTATCTTACCAAAAATTTCAGAGTGCTGGGCCATTTATTTTATCACAGTTGGTCTTGGTTACTGCTCCCGCCCCTACCCCTGTGTCTCTCCAGCATCCTCAGCTCCAGGGGCTCAGTTTGCAGGCCAACTTGGTTCTTACCCCCTTGCATCTCTCCACATGTATTTTTTTTTTTTTTAAGACGGAGTCTCACTCTATTTCCCAGGCTGGAGTGAGGTGGTACGATCTTGGCTCATTGCAACCTCCACCTCCTGGGTTCAAGTGATTCTCCTGCCTCAGCTCCCCAAGTAGCTGGGATTATGGGTGCCCACCACCACACCCAGCTAATTTTTGTACTTTTTTTTCTTTAGTAGAGATGGGTTTTCACCCTGAGTTCAGGTCATCTATGTGCCTCGGCCTCCCAAAGTGCTGGGATTACAGGCATAAGTCACCGTGCCTGTCTCCCTGAAAGTATTTAAAACTGCAGGGAAGAGAATGTCTGGAAGATTTGCTGTATGTAGGGGAAAAGTGACCTTGAGTGAATTATCCTGAGGACCTGAAGAGAGGGAGCTCTGTCCTACCTGCTAGCAGCCCCACGATTGAGCCAATGGCTGCATGCAAGCAGATGAGTGGCGAGGAGATGAACAGAGCCACCAGGAACACGCCGCCTGTCCAGGGATTGTCACAGCCATACACCTGGCCGACCCCAACAGGGATGGCTTGTAACAGCTGCAAAGTTAACAGAATACAGGTCACTGGAGCATGGACAATAATGCAAAAACCAGACTCAGGGCCAGATTTGAGCCATTCCTCGGGGGAGTAATGGAGTGGAACGGGAGGATGACTGTACCCTCCAGCATGTGAGAGAACATGGGAGGCATGAGCTGGAACAAACAGCTCCTCACTCTACCACCCAGCAGGCATGTGAGCATCCCTCATGCAAAGCCAGGGCCCCCAACATGGGCTGGGCATGGATGCTTCTGAGGAACATACGGCTTCTGCTTTGAGGGGACCAGAATGCACCTCCTCCCTAGAATGCCGCTGGGAGTTTCAGGGCTCTCGGGGATTTCCTCTAGACCTTCTGAAATCCATACAAATATTCTAGGAATATTGAAAATACAGTAGGCCATTTTGATGTATGATTTGACTAAAAGTCACCCAGCCTGTTGTTGGTCAAGTGCAGGCTAGAGGCTCTGAGCTTGACCCCTAGCTCAGGTCTGAGGTCTTTGTCACCCTTGCTGTCTCTTTGTCAAGCCACTGCTGACACGTCCTCTTTGGCGGCCCCTGCCCATTCACTGCTACCCTGGGGGGTTGTGAGCCTTTGGAAAGGAGCAGTAGGCATGCCCCCTGCTCTCGAAGACCGCATAGCATTGTAGAAAGGTAGTATGTGGCACATCTGGAGAATGGCCTGAAGCCCAGACATCCCTGAGCCTGAGAGTAACTTGGTGCTGGAATTGGGGAGAATTTGTTTGGCAGTGCTGACAGATGGCTTTTCTGTGGCCAGGCTGAATTGTCGATATTTTTGGAGTCCTTTGAGGGCAGAAAAAGAAAGGAGGGAGAATGGCAGGGCAGGCAGAGCACTGGCCTGGGAGTAGAGGGCTCTAGCTTCCATCAGGGCTCTGCACAGTTCACTGTGTGACTGTGAGCATGTCACATCCTCGTCTGTAACAAGAGGCTGGCTTGGCAGATGATCTTCCAGCTTTAAGACTCTGTAGTTCTTTTCACCATTGCCAGGTCACATGACCTCTGTGAGGACAGGGCCCTTTATGCCCAGGTACACCATAGGTGCTTAACAAATAGGAATTGATTAGGTCAGTGGTTCCCAAACTTTGCTGTACAGTGGAATCCCCTGGGAATCTTTAAACAAATACTGATGCCCAGCTCTTCCCTAGACATTCTGATTTAATTGATATGGGGCATGGCAGGTCCTCAGGTGAGTCTAGTGTGCGATGGGAGATTAGTTATAGATGATCTACTGTAGACGTTGCTGTAGATGTTGGGAATAATTTAGTTTCTCCCTTTGGACCAAATTTTGTACTTTTTGACAATTTGATTTAATTCTGGAATAAGTATGATTTCTTCAGGGAGTAGTATTTGAAGAGCCTAGAGGGCTCTTAAACTTTGCTCACTCTTGTCTCTGAATGAATGGTCTTTTAATAACCAAATGCTGTTTGGACCAGAGTTTATAATCTTGCGAAAGGAATGGCAAGGGAGGGGTACTCAATCATATTTATTTATAGAAACCCAGAAAACACTTTGTACCAGACCAGGGAACTCAGCTTAAATGTTGGGAACAGGCTGGAAGTCTATTTAATAAATATCCCATGATTGCCAACATCTGAGGAATGCGGGATGCTGAGGGGAGTTCACGTCCACCTTTCCATCCGGGAACGCAGATTTTAAGCCCAAGCGGTCAAGAATGAGAGGAATGAGGGAATGAGTGGCCTTGGAATGGAGCCTGGGTTTAGAATGAAGCTTCCTCCGCTGGGATCTATATTTCAGCCTGGTGAGCTGTGCCCCAGGGCGGCCTTCCCTCCCAGCACGCTGCTCCCAGGCCGCAGCTGACACCCTGGTGTGAAGGGCAGTCAGGTGTGCCATGGAAATTTACTAAGCACCAGGCCTTCTTCACACTCCTCATAATTCTTATATAGCAACAATAAGCTGATTAAACAAAAAGGAAAAGGAAGGCCTTTCTCTGTTGTTTCAAAGAGAAAGAGGGAAGTGGCCTGGGAGCAGCGTGCTGGGGACCTCTCTAGTCTTGACAATAAAAATGTCTCCAGACATTGCCTAATGTCTCCAAGGGGCAAAATTATCCCTGCCTGAGAACCACTAAGAGAGAGAGTATATAAAAATTAACCCTCTGTCTTCTATGCTAATGCCTTTAAAATCCCAATTTTAAATGTTTATTTTAGTATCTTGCCCCTTTATCTGACTATACATTTTATCTAATATCTTTCACTCAACCACCACAGTTCTGTACTGTCAACGCTTATCTGTTCACTTGCATGTTATCTGTTTCCCCGTATAGAATGTAGGCTTCCTAAGAGCAGGATGTCATTGTCTTGTATTATCAGTATCTGAAAAAGTGTCCAGGCCATGTTACATGCTCAATAAGTACTGTTGAAAGGATCTATGGATGTGGCAGCAACCCTTTCTGATACCCTGCTGAGGCCCATCATCTGGTATAGATGTTTCTAGAGAAGTTGAGAGCATGGATAGTCCACAAATTGGTTGGCGAGAAGGTCTGCAGTGGAATATGGGGGTCTCAACTCATCACCGCTGGGTAACTTACCAGGGGCATTTCCATCTCTGTCCAGGTGATATTGGGCACTGAAGACACAGGCTCTACCAGTGTTGTGGGGAAGAAGAGGTTGTAGTGGCCTGTGGCTGCAAGGTACAAGGTGACTGCAATGTTGAAGGGCAGAGTGAAGACCGGGAGGTCCCACTTGCTGAAGATGGAATTCAAGGCACTAGAAAGAACTGGGCTGAAGATGCAAGAGACAGAGGGTTAATCCCTGTGACATCCTGAGGTCTACATTGTCTCAGCAGCTCTGGCCACTGTATCATCCACTGCCTCCTCTCCTAGGCACAGCATTCCTGGCCCCCTTGAGACTCCAGTGTTCCAATGATCTGGGATAGGGAATAGAATAAGGTATTCAATTTCAGCTCTTACCTTTTTCTTTTTTTTTTGCCAATTTATTGTCATCTGCTTCATAAGCTTACACCTCTGAGAAACAAATTTTAAAAATATCGTAACTTATTTTGAGTAAAACACTTTATAAAATAGTGGAAATATTTCCTTGTTTTTTAAACCAAGAAAACTAAACAAAATGTAATGTATTGCCTTTGAATCACCAAGGTGTACAATGACTATTGTTCAAGGCTCTGATAACATTTTAGAAGACTGACCTTCTAGGAGGAGGCTGCAATGGCATATGGGTAATTTGCAGGTCTAGTTTCAGCAAAAATACTTAGAGCTACTCTGGAAACTGCCAGGGGAAAATAGAACCTTCAGTTGTTTGTACCCTCTGTCTTCTTCATCTTTTCCTTGGAAGGAGAATGGGTGTTGGAGACAGATGAAGCTTAGTGCAAATCCTGACTCACTCCTATGCATACAGGCTGAAGGAACAATGTTAGGTAATTAATCTCCCTTAGCTTCAGTTTCCTCTGGAAGGCACCAGCCACCCTAGACACCAAATACCCCACATCATCCACACTCAGTGACCTGCTGGGCAAAACCTGAAGTTGCATGATGTGTTTAAATTGTCTGCTTTTAATGAATGACCATGAATTTCAAAAAGGCGTTTAAGACTTCCTGAAAACCCTCCTACACATCCCTCACCAGTTAACTCTCCGACTTGCTGAGACAAGTATTTCACATTTTCACCTTTCTTCTCAAATCTTTACTGTCTGCTTCCCTTTAGCCTCCGCCAACCACCTGGCTTTACTTCATTAAGAAAATAGAAGTGACAAGATGAGAAAGGCTTGTTTTCCCAGCCATAAAATCCACACCCTGTCTGCTTTCTTCCCACAAAATCTGCCTCTCTGTCTTTTTCACATAATGGAAGCATCCCTGCTCCTTCATCAGGCCAGTTCTTTTCCCTGTTCTTTGGATCTAATCTGCCTCAGGGACTTCATTCCTGTAATTTTCTCATTTCTCTCCTGCAGCTTCAATCTCTTCTTTTTCTTTGGATCATTCTCATCAGGATATAACATGCTCTAGTATCTTCTACCTTTAAACATCTTCCCCCTTTAACCTGATGGCCACTCCAGCTGTGGCTCCGTTTCTCTGCTCCCCTTCGGGCAGTAGCCCTCGAAATGGTTGGCTTTCTGTGCTATCCCCAATCTTTCTCTTCCTAGTCTTTCCCAAACCCACTTCAGTCAGGTGTGTGCCCTCATTACACCATGGAAATGGCTCTTGTCCATTTCACCAATGGCATCTATCTTGCTAAGTCCATGGTCATTCCCTATTGCTTTGACAGTTGGACCTGCCCACCATCTTGAAATACTTTGTCTGGGCTACCATGACACTGGATTTTCTTAGTTTTCTTTTTGCCTGTTCCTTCTTAGTCTCTTTTGATGGTTTTTCCCCTCTCTTGCCAGACTTCTAAATGTTGGAAGAGCCTATGGGACTCTGTCTTGAATATTTTCTCTCTCTTCTAAAAAATCTTCTCTGTTGGGTGATAGCCTTTAGTACCATAGATGAAAGCTTCTGTGTGTTTCCACCTCCCAAATCTTGATCATATCACTGTTTCAGATTTGTACATCCAATTGCCTTTACAACATCTCTACTTGGAAGTCTATAGTATAATGTGTCCAAACAGAATTCTTGATTTGTATCCTGTCTCCTGCCACCGACCAGTTCTTCTCTTGGTCTTTTGTATCAACCTAGGTACTTAGGCAAATTAAAGGAGTGTATTCAATTTTCTTTTTTTTTTTCCTCTCCTTGGTTTTCCACAACCTCCCAACAAGTTATATTGCCTCTATCTTCTTTAAAATATACCCCAGACCCACTCACTTCTTACCATGTTCATGGATATCACTCTAATCTAAACACTGTCATCTCTGTGGGGTTTTGTAGCAGACAATTGTGGATTATTGTAGCAGATGCTTCCAGCATCCACTCTTACTCCAGTTAAAATCCGTCTCCATCCTGCAAACAGAGTGATTTGTTTAGATTTAAACCATATCCCATCACATCTCTGCCTAAAACTCTCTAACTGCTTTCTATCACAGCTGATATAGAAATCCAAAGGCTTACTGGGTCTACAGGGTGTACCTGGTCTGACTCTCATCGAGTACCTGCCCTCCCCTCCTGCCACTCCTCCATCCTTCACTGGGCTTCTGCCACACCAGTCTTGTCTCTCTTCTTAGAATACATCACACTTCCCCAGTTGGGGGCTGCTTCTGCCTGCAACATCCTTCACCCACATCTTCAGATGACAGATGCCTTCTTATCATTTAGGCGACAGCTCAAATGTCCCCTCTGCAAAGTTGTCTTCCCTGAGCACACATGTCTGGAATCATTTGCTGTCCCATTTAGCCTCTCTTGCTTTCCTCAAAGCACTTATCACATCTTGAAATGATCCCTTTTATTAACTAGTTTATGAGTTTATTTCTGTCTTAGCCAAGAAGAATGTCAGTTCCAAGGGAATAGAGACTTTTCCTTGTTTACAAATATTCCCAGCATCTAGGGTCAACCTTTCACTCAACAAATAGTTCAGGCACTCAACAGATATTTGTTTATTGAATGAATCTGGAAAATGGCACTACAAATACCTACCCTATGACTTGAATTTCAGGGTCCCCATAAATGGATTGATGAATGCACTGGAGTAGTAGCACAGAGCCCAGGGTGGGGTGCTCAGTGTTTTTTTGTCCTTTAAATTGGGAAGTGGGATGGGGGGCACTGAAGTCTAATTGCCAGCCAGTGCAATGTGGTTGAGGAGCTGTGTTGAGGGGCTTAATCTATGTAGTTTTAAACCAAATGTATTGCAAATGAGGGCAAGTTCTCCTTTTCACAGGCAGGAACGTGGGGGGCATTAAGAAAATCCACATAGAAATGACTGTCTTGGCTTTTTGTCCCAATGGATTAAGAACGAAACCCTAAGAGGAAAACTAAATTGCCCAGAATCCTTAATGTAGTAATTTATTTGCAAGCACTACTAAAAAGTAATAAAAGAGTAGTTAAGCTAAATTAAACTAGCTGGTTTTAGTAACTGCAGACTTTGAAACCAAGGAAAGACATTTACTTCTTAGAGATGTTAAAAGTAAATCATCCTGTCTGATTTATTGCTGACAATAAGAATAAATCACACTGTTTGAGGGAAGTTGAGAACAGGGTGGTATACACATGTGAAGTCAGGGTCTGGGGGACAAAGGTTCACCATGACAGTGAGCACACTGCAGAGACCCCAAGATGCTTGATAGACCTGCTGTAAATTTACGTGAACTAAGAATCATTGTGTGAATGGCCCAGCACACCCTTCGCTAGGTGAATATTTGTTCCTAACTCCCTTTCATGGTGACCTTCTTATTTCATCTAGAATATGAGGTGATTGCCCAGCAAGATCTCAACCGATACTTCCAGTTCAAAGGTTCTATGCTTTACATATAAATATTCTGTTCCAAGAAAGCTCTCTGCTTCTATCACAAGCAGGTTTTCAGCTTTTAGGTCTTGGTTACGTCACATAATAGACAATTCCCATGCAACCTGGGGTTTAATAGTGCAGATTGGATTTGGAATGCCAGCATCAAAAACTACCACAAAGTACAACTTGGGGCAAGTGACTTAATCTCTGCATGCCTTGGTCTTCCCTTCCATAAACTGATGGCAAATGTAGCCATACTTAGCACTGCATAAGCCCTGCTTAGCACTGTGTCAAGCATGTAGGAATAACTTAGGAAATGCTGACTTTTATTACTAAGAATGTCGTTCAGGAAGATTACCATTGCAATAAAAAAAATGTTGTCTTTTGTTGGTTTAAAGAATCCTCCTGGCTGGGCATGGTGGCTCACGCCTGTAATCCCAGCACTTTGGGAGGCCGAGGCAGGTGGATCACGAGGTCAGGAGATCGAGACCATCCTGGCTAACACAGTGAAACCCTGTCTCTACTAAAAATACAAAAAATTAGCTGGGCGTGGTGGCGGGTGCCTGTAGTCCCAGCTACTTGTGTGGCTGAGGCAGGAGAATGGTGTGAACCCAGGAGGTGGAGCTTGCAGTGAGCCGAGATTGCGCCACTGCACTCCAGCCTGGACGACAGAGCAAGACTCTGTGTCAAACAAACAAAAAACAAAAGAATCCTCCTTATTCCATATCTCCAAATGACCCCCTTGTGTTACAAGAGAACTCATGGGCTTTCATGGTGTCAGACAAGCTAACTTGGCTATGAAGGGGCTGGGTCCCACATGTGTATGTCCTGTCTCTGGCCAGTATAAGACACAAGTGTCTTGGGGGCCCCATGGAGCTGTGAGCAGAAAAAATGAGGTGCCTCACCAGGACATGGCTGTGAAGGTCACAGGAAACAGAAGCCACCAGTAGTAGTCTAACTTCTCCGAGAACACGGCCATCAGCAGTCCCACCAGCATCCCGTTGTACCCATGGAGTCCTGAGGCAATGGCAGACCTGGCGGTGAAACAGACTGATTTTGCATTTGAAGTTGGTGGTGTTACTGGGCCCCTCCCTCCTGGTGCTCTGAGGATATGCTTAATTTAGATGATTCCTTTAATAATAATGCTTAGAAAAAAGTCAGTTCGCTCAATGAATATTGGGCAGTCACATAGCTGCCAGCACCTTTCCTGATAACACACACACACACACACACACACAAACACACACACACACACCCTTGTCTTGCTGATCGACAATTAAAATTATGCACTTTGTCTGTGGTTAAGCTCTTCTTTATCAGGGGAGACTTAGACTGCTAAATATAGAGGGAATATAATAGAAACCTGAGGTGTGACACAAGGAAGTTGTGTGTGGGAGTGAGGGAGAGAGAAGAGAGGGAAGGAGAAAGAGTGTTATGATTACATTGTGTAAAGTTCTCTGTAGTTGGCCAGGCTCAGTGGCTCATGCCTGTAATCCCTGCACTTTGGGAGTCCAAGGTGGGAAGATGACTTGCACCCAGGAGTTCAACCAGCCTGGGCAACATGGTGAAACCCCATCTCTGCTAAAATACAAAAATTAGCCAGGCGTGATAGTGCATGCCTGTAGTCCCAGCTACTTGGAAGGCTAAGGTGGGAGGATCACTTGAGCCCAGGAAGTTGAGGCTGCAGTGAGCCAAGATCTCACCATTGCCCTCCAGTCCAGCCTGGGTGACAAAGCAAGACCCTGTCTCAAAAACAAAAAATTCTCTGTAGCTGGAATCTGTGTACTTTCTCTCTGCATGTCTGCAACAGAGTGAATAAGCTGGTTTAGCTTTGGGTTCCCAGGTGCCCCTTGGTGAGGAGCAGCCCAGAAGTGTGGTAGTATCCAAGCATGAGTCTAGCCACTCCTTCTTTTTCAGAGGAGAAGCTGGTGTATGCACCTACAATTCTCCTCCTGATCGTAATAAACACTGTCCTTGACCTTTCTAATTGCTCTGCCGGGTGAGGGGCATAGGCTGTGGGTGAGGGAGGGGCATAGGCAGCTTGTGATGCAAGGCCCCTGCCAAGGAGTGACCTGTGTGTGCTTGTGGTCAGTCCCTCTGCACCTGCCTTAGTTCTATGAGGGCTGAAGTGTGTCTGTGTGTCCGTTGCTGTGGCCCAGTAACCCAGCAATGTCAAGAGTATCTGTGCATGGAGGGTGCTCAGCTAGTATTTGTTGAATGAATAATGTGGGCGTGCTAAACCTTACCATGTGTTGGCTGTTCTTGCATGGCAGAAGCTTCTGGAAGCTTAGGGCTCCCTGAGATGCAGGAAGGGAATTCTGGCTAGAGGAGGGCTCCAACCCAGCAGGGGCTGTGGCTTAGGTTTGGAAGGGGGAGGACCTTTCACCTCTGTAGTGACCAGGAGGTCTAGTGACCTAGATAAGAGGAGAGCAGGAGGATGGGAAAGGGGCAGGAGAGAGCATATCTAGACAGCTTCCTGCAAGAAAGCTGTAGCACAAGGCACATGTGTGGACACTTGTACTGGACACAGGACAAGCTGTGTGGTCAGCTGCTCTTGAGGCCAGGAAGATATGGGGGCAGCTGGAGACAGGCAGTGGGTGGGATGGAGGGAGGTGGCAGAGAAGACCACTGGGGAGCACTTCAGGAGCAGAAATCCATGTTTTGGGAAAATCATTATTTTTAGTGTGTTTGTATTTTCTCTACATTTTCCCATTTGTGTTTGGTGATATAAATTAGTGCTTTTTTTGTTTTAATACCAATAGCTGTCCCACCCTGTGGAGAGTGTCCCTCCAGAACTCTTGTTTTTACTAAAACTTTGGTGGTTTCTGGATTTCCCTCCCTGACTATAAAATATGCAAAATTGGGTTCAACTCCAGTGCCAAAAAGGTCTCCATTAAGACCACATTCCATCAGGACACTGCAGCATTGGTGTTGTTGACCTTCAGTTACCATCTGTAAAGTATAGTCTTAGGCTAGTAGGGAATTGGGGGTGGGGACAGCGGGGGTGATTAAAGGGTAGTGGGGGTGATGGAGGTCATGCTTAGAATATGCAACTGTGTCAGTGGTTCATTGTGTACAGCAGTGAGCTCGTGGCTCCTTAGAAGATATGTGTATGGATGTTGTGTCCAGTGGCTAGAGCTTTGAGCCTATGATGCAGAACAAGACACTGACCTGTCAGCAACAAAGCCTAGATCTTTTCTAGGCACTGTGGGTGTATATGGCCCATTGGAAACCAACTTCTCCTGAACATGCTTAGAATATATCCAGAGAAAGAAGAATCAAAAAAATTAATTACAGAACAATTCAATCTAGTACTGGGATGTGTTCTGTGGTTGTTCAGAGAGAAAGAAAAGTTCAGAGAGCATAGAGGGAATCAGGAGTGGCTCCCTGGGGGAGGAAGGATTCCAGGGAACTGTAGAATTAGATAGACAGAGGTACAGCTGGTGTCAGGGATCACAGAAGCAAAAGTACTTAACTAGGGACAAATGTGATGTTGATTGAGCACTAGGTACTGTAGGACCCATCAAATGACACTTGGGGAGCCAAGCTGAGGGACTGGGTTTTTATCTGATGCATATTTATCTTAAATTCTTAATCAGGGTGTTTGTGAGGATTAGGCATGCCTGGTGTGCATCCCCCCTTGTAAAACTGCAGTCTGTGAAGTGACCCTCTGAATGGCTTGGCATGTTTACCAGTAGATTAATGGTGGGGAGGATAATCAAAGAATCAGAGTGTCAGCGCAGGGAGGGTCTTGGGCTCATCTCAGCTGGACAGTAGATTATACAGATGAGGATAATGGGGCTGGAGGGGGAAGTACTTGCCTGAGTCACACAGCTAAGAAGGCAGTGGGCTGGACAGAGTTCACCCCAGGTAAATTTCAGCACACAATGATGAAGCAGTGAGGCATGGGCTGATCTGCCAGGGGCTCAGTTCTGTGCCAGCTGCCCATGGTTGATAGGTACATGGGAACAAGGAATAGGAGGCCCACTAACTGAAGGAGACACAGGAACCTGGCTGGAGCCCATTTTTAATCTCACCCACCAGATCTGCATTCAGAAGAATTCAGCCTCTCATCCATCTGACTTTGAATGGCCTCCTAGCATGCTAGAATCTGAGTGGTCCTCCAACGCCACCCTAGAGGTGCATGAGCAACTTCTCACCAGGGCCAGGCTGACTCATGCATTTCCCTCGGTGGAATGAGGAACGTCGGCTGGGCCTGACGTTGGTTACAACACTTCCAGCTCTGATTACTTTGGGTTCACCAATGGGCCTCTGACCATGTTGTCCTCACAGGTGCCATGATGGGGACAGCATGACCTTGATTCTAAGATGCAGGTCATGCCTCCAAGCCTAAGTCCTGCCACCCACTGGCTGTGGCACCTTTGGTAGGTAGCTCTCCCCTTCCAGTCTCCTTTCCCTCACTTGCAAGATGTGGACTCTGTTCCCTTCACTGTGCCTTGTGCAGTGGTGGTAAGAGTCACAGTTAATAAGATATGACAGTGCTTCTCAGTTTTCTTTTTTTGAGAGAAACCCACTGTAAGAAATGCATTTTATATTATGACTTAGCTTTCACTTTCTTTCTTTCTTTCTCTCCCACGCACACATCCCCAACATAAATGAAACAAAAATTCCACCAAATAATACTTACCATTACCATATATAGATAACTCTCATCAGTTTTATTTTACGCTATTAACTTTAAAAAATGCTGCTGACAATTAATTCATGATCTGGAAATGGCTTGGTGATCCCCAAATTGAAAAACACTAAGATAGGGGATAATCCAGTGCTTTCCAAACTTCTCTGACCATCAGAAGCATCTAGGAGGACCTTGTTAAAAGTACCCACTCTCAGATCCACTGAATTTTCATAGCTATGAGAGGAAGGGGGAGGAGTGGGCCAAAACGATTTCTTTCTTTCTTTCTTTTTTTTTTTTTTTTTGAGGCAGAGTCTCGCTCTGTCACCAGGCTGGAGTGTAGTGGTGCGATCTCGGCTAACTGCAACCTCCGCCTCCCGGGTTCAAGCAATTCTCCTGCCTCAGCCTCCCAAGTAGCTGGGACAACAGGCAAGCGCCACCACGCCCAGCTAACTTTTGTACTTTTAGTAGAGATGGGGTTTCACCATATTGGCCAGAATGGTCTCAATCTCTTGACTTTGTGATCCACTCGCCTTGGCCTCCTGAAGTACTGAGATTACAGGTGTGAACCACCATGCCCAGCCTGAAACTATTTCTTAACAACCACCTTAAGTGATTCTGACCATCAGGAAAGTTTGGGAGCCACTGGAAAAATATACGGCAAAGTCTCAGGAAGTGGTCAAGTTCTACAAAATGCAAGTTTTTATTCTTTTTTCTTTTTCTTTTCTTTTTTTTTTTTTTTTTTTTGAGAAAGTCTTGCTCTGTCACCCTGGCTGGAGTGCAGTGGCACGATCTTGGCTCACTGCAACCTCCACCTCCCAGGTTTAAGAGATCCTCAGCCTTCCGAGTAGCTGGGATTACAGGCATGCACGACCATGCACAGCTGATTTTTGTATTTGTAGTAGAGACGGGGTTTCACCATGTTGGCCAGACTGGCTTCAAACTCCTGGCCTCAAGTGATCTGCCTGTCTTAAGCCTCCCAAAGTGCTGAGATTGTAGGCGTGAGCCACCGTGCCTGGCCCTTGTTATTGTTACTTGACTTTGCACCAGCCAGTGCGAGGCCAACTTCTCTTTCCACATCTGTATCTATGCCTCCTGCCAGCCCTGTTTGCTCCCCTTCCTCAGTGCCCCTTCCCACACTGTCCTCCTCTCTCTCCTCGCCTTCTCTCAGATCCCCCATATGCAACCTTTATAACTCAGAGGTAGCCTCTCTAATCTTCCCAACACTTGGTAATGTCTGTCTTCTCTGAACTCAATTATATACTGTCCTGTATTATTCTGAGACATTCATTGCCTATTAATCTTGTCTCCTTCAACTAGATGGTAGGCTCTGTGAGGGAAGAACAGCTTAGCTGTTCCTCTGCACCTCCCTCTGAGGCAGTGTTTGCAGAAGTCTCCACAGTCAAATGAATGTTGACACTGTCACATGCTGTGAGCAGGAGCAGTGTAATTCTGCAAGGACTGTCAGTGACCTGCTTAAAGTTGATACTCAGGAGACTTTGGCTGGCTGGGAGGGTAAGGTTGACTGATTACTCAAGTAAACACCTCTCTACTTTCTGTTCCACACATCTTGCTAAAATCCCTATAGAGAGGGACCCACCTGTCTTGGCCCAAGGCGAGAGCTGTTAAGGTCGAGACCACTGTCCCCAGGCCCCCAGTGATTGTCCACCAGGGATTCTGGATCAGCAGCCCTATGAAGATGATGAGGCCGCTGAGAGGATTGTTGATGAACATCACCTGAGCGGTCCCTCTCAGGACCCAGTCTATGAACTGGAGGGCAAGGTGCTTGTCTGAAAGAGACAGAGAGCGAGCCATCAGCAGGTCCAGCTTGGGCTGCTCTGCTGAACTGCTGGTTGGCATGGCAACCAAGGCAAACAGGAATGTGCAAGCCAGGACCCTTCCCATTCAGCCAGGCCAGGGGTCGGGGTGGAGGGGTGGGGGTAGAGGGGAGGCTGGTGCCCAGCCCAAATCTCTCAGTAGCCCAGCAATCATTCTGCAGTGGGTGGTAGTTTTTGCCATATAGACAGAGGCACCATGCTGAGAACAATTTAACGCTGTTCCAGCCACTGGCTTGGTTGGAAAAGAAGCCCCGGGAGCATTCCAAGGGAAATTTATTGGTCCAAAAGAAAGGGTGGGGAAGGTGGGGGGGTGGGGGCAGGAAATTCTTTTTTCTGTAGTGCTGGATGACTCAGTTAAGGGCTGGTATCTGAGCAGCAAAGAAAGTAGCCTGAAGAAAAGACACTAGGGAAGAAATTGTTGTAGCCCAGCTGTGAAAATCAGTACTGAGTCAGGGCCTGGAGGAGGCCAGGTATAGGAGAGGGGCGTACATTCTGCCTCATTTGCTGGTTTGGTTTCCATGACAACTGGTGCAGGTGTCGGGGCTAGTGGGAGTGAAGGGTGTGGCATTCCTTTCAGTGTTTAGTTCGAGAAGTTAAAAGGAAAGAATCCTGAAGCTTTGGGAAGGATGATACCAATATTTTCTTGGCACATAGCAGGCACATAATAAATGGCTGTGCAACAAGTGAATCGAGTGAAGGAATGATCATTCAGCTAGCTTGGGAAATGGCTTATATGTTGCTAATATGGTTGTCCTATATCTATTTCACATAGGAACGAGCAATTTGCAAAGAACTAAGATCAATGCATTTAATTCTGAAACCATGAGAATTCCAGGCCAGTAGGGTATATCATATCCCCTTGGAGTCAGCTTAGGGCTGAAGTTCCCCCAGCTGTGGACTCCAGCCCTGGGTGAGGTCCAGTCCTGGGCAGATCCACCCAGGGTGAGGGTGAATGAGTGAGGGAGAAGCTTTGGACCAAACCGGAGAGAGGGTTGTCTCTCTGGCCTGGCCTGGTCTGGCTGCCTCTCCCCAGGGTATTTTCCTACCTTTCAGCCAGATCCTGTACTCCTTCATGTCGCCCGTGAGGTAGCCCACTGCTTTGGAGAGGCAGATGCACCTTTGGCCTGCTGAGTCCCGATGGGCCACCCCGTCGTCTTTCCTTTTACTCCTTTCATTGAGCTTTTCGATCTTCACAATGTGACTGTCTTCATTGGAAGACCGGAGATCCTTTTAGGAGAAACCAACCAGACATCAAATGATACAGCTTTCTGAGAGCAGGGACATTTGGGGATAGAGGAGGGTGGCAGGTTTTTTGATAAAAATAAAGGATCATGAGACAAAGGGTGGAACACATGCCCATTGTCTGCGGCTGCATAGAGTGCCCCGTACAAGCCTGTTCTTCCCAGGACCATGCACCTTCTTCACAGCAGGATTTCTTCACCTTTGTGCCATGGATCTCTTTTGGCAGTTTAATGAAGCCCATGAGCTTCTTTTCAGAATAATGTTTGTAAATGCAAAGATCAGATAAATAGGACGGCAAACCAAGCCAATTATACTGAAATGCAGTTATAATCTTACTAAAAATTAAGATACACATGTATGCACAGCAGATCCAATACCTTCTGTAATTTCAAAGTAGTGATGAGTAAAGATATGGGACCTCCTCATCGCAAGTCAGGACAGCTCTGGAAGGCCATCCCAGCAGTCTTGAGTCCCTCTCTACTGCAGCAGTGGCCAGCCAGTCTACCTCTGTGCTACCACCGAGGATGCTAATGGCCTGCATTTCAACAAAGGCCTTCCCTTTGGAGACAGTAGGGTAGTTCAAGGGAGCAGGTTTAAGGGGAAAGATTTTAGAGACTGATTGAAAGACTGGTGAGTGAGTGTCTGTATTCTGTACTTGTCCTTAAAATCATGTCTCATGAAGAGCCACATTATCTAAGGCCAGGTAGGACCCACCATGGGTGTCACCATGTACTGACAGTGGCACTTCCTCAGTGTGCTAAGTTCACTGGGAAGGTGGGAAAGCGGCATCTTTTGCCCCCACTTTTCCCATCCCCTCCCTCCCAGGAAACATCCTAGGAGGGACACTTCTCACCTTTTCTTCAGGCATTTCCAGGAGGGGCAGAGCTGGGTGAGTATCCGGGGATGTCGAGGGCCAGCTCGGGCTGGTAAACTCTGCCTCGTAGAGTTTGTATCTGCTGGAAAGTGGCTCTGGCAGGAGAGGACTGCTGTGGGGGTCAGACATTCCTTCGGGTCACAGCCACTCTTCTATCGATGGACTAGACGGAAGGAAAGGGAAAGAGCTAGTGAGTCAGGACGGGGCCCAGAGGGACTTGGCTGAGGCTGGACTCAGACCTCAGGTCTGTCCTGGGGGTTGGACAGTGACACACGTGGGATCTACAGCTTGTGCTGTAGAGTTGAGGACATTTCTCTACCTCATTACCTTTCAAAATCCTCCCATTCTTCCGCGTCCAGAAGAATGTCCATTTGGCCGATGAAGATATCCCTGACCACTGAGTCAGAATGGAAGTCTCTCTTTTTCTCTTGATCACTGAGTGTTTTTTCTCTGCCTTTCATATTGCCTGCTGTGCCGTCCTATTGTGGTAGTTAGTGGTACACGTATGTTCCCCTTGATACGTACACACAGATCCAGTACTGATTGGAGGTGGGGGGTGTCTAAGAGAAACTCTTCCTGAATTTCTATGGAGGCTACATTGCTTACAACTGATCTCCAGTCTTCCTTCTCTTCCCTCTACCATTTCCAGCTCCTTCCCTCTTTCCCTTCCCTAGGAACAGTAGGAAGCACTGGTCTATTCTTCCATGAGCTGTGTGCATCCCAGCTGAAGGAGCTTCCCTTCCACATGGGGCTCCTGTCCCCGTACCACCAGGGTCAGGGCTTATGCCATGACTTGCTTTTGGAACATCCTTTGCCTGAGGTCCTCAGTTTCCTGGTTTTGTCTGGCTTCCCCTTGGTAGTGCTGTACTCTCTCCTTCCCATACAGCCATTTGTGCATTTCTTCTCTAGCCTCCTCCAGCTCAGTTATATCTTTTTATTTATTTATTTGAGAGGTGGTTTTGGACCTGCATGCGGTCTCCTCTCAGTATGACCTAGAGCTTTCCCCATTGCTCCGTGCTCCATGCTGCATCCCTTCAGTGTAGGACCGTCTCTCTTAGGACAGGGATCACAGATCCCTAACATGGGTACTACCATTCCGTATACTCATCATTCCAGACACCGCTCAAGGATTGCAGGATTCCCTTCAAAAGGGGATAAAGTCCCCTATCTAATTTTGCATTAGTTCCATTTCGCTAGGCTATTACCTCTCCTCCTCCTAATGAGAGGAATTCTTACTCTCCACAATTTCTTCTGAGCACCACTCACCTTGCTTGGGCAGAAACCCTTCTTCTTTGAGGCTTATCTCAAATGGCCATACCATCCTCTCCAACTGCCCACTGCTGCGTTACTGACTCTCTGGTCACTCTGTCATTCAGAGAAGACTTGAAGTGCTCCTACTAATCATCTTCATCCCCCTCCAGTAACTTTAAGCAGCTTCGATGTCCAGGCAGATAACTCATCATCCTGTTCTCTGGCTTCTCAGATCCTTGTCCTTCTCATCTCCAGTGAACCTTTTCATCTCCCCTTTTCAGCAACTGATTTCCACAGTCCCAGCATGGGCTTAATATCACACACACTGGAAATCTCAAAAGTCAGATCTCTCCTCTGGCCACTTCCTCTTGCACATTTGGCTCACCTGCTCAGGTGACCCCTCTGACAGCCCTTCAGCTCCCACAACCACCTGTCTTCCCTTCCCTCCTTGACCAACTTAACTTCATGGCCCCTTATGTTACTTCCTCCAACTCTCTTGCACCTGTCTCCCTCCCTCATGCTTGTATGGTGAAATTCCAGCCGGGATAAACCCAAATGCCTAACTTTTCCATGCTTTCACCAAACAACTGAACATGGCTAGAGAACAAGGGTAATAACCGAGTAGATTGCTTTCACTGTAAGTTGGATTGCTGTCCTCAGGTGAACACTAGGTGCTTCCCTTTTCTCTCTTTAGTCCAGCTCAGTCTGCTTTCTGCTATGGCTGCCTTTGCTGTGGTCTCTAAGGCCTCCATGGCAAGTCCACTTTCAGTCCCCATCCCACCAGGCTGCTCAGTGGTGTTCTGAGAGTTGATCACCCTCTTTGACACACTCTTTGGCCGTTATATCTGCTCCCCTCTCTGGTTGCTCCTTCACACTCTCTTTTGGCGGCTCTTCTTCGTGTAACAGGAGCATTTTGCAGACCCCTGTTCCGGGCCCTCTTCTCAGCCCTGGTGCTCCTACCCAGGTGACGTCAGCCCTCAGCATGGCTTCGTATTCCATCTCCCTGCCGATGACCCTCAAAACTCACATTTCCAGCCCAGTTTTGAGCAGTGGATTAACAGATTTAGTTGTCTACTTTACACTCACATATAGACGTTCCAAGTGCCTTAATTTGCCAAAACAACTCATCATGTTGCCTTCCCAAATCCTATCCTCCCTCACAGGTGACCACCTAGGAAAAGTCATCTTCCCCTTCCAAGCCATTCCTTCAGAAAACTCAGGAGTCACACTTAATGCTCCCTTCTTCTTACTCTCTAAATTTAACAATTCTGTCTCTAAAAAATATGCCTTCACGTTCATGGTCACCAGTTAGCCACCATCACCTCTTACCACATCTTCAATGACTTTCATTTGGATATCCCTACTTTTTCCCAGGTTTCTCCTCAAAGCCATGCCCCGCAGGGAAGAGTTGCCATATTAATCTCATGTTGGATCCCTGCTTAAAGCCCATCAATGCTTTCAGATGGAAAACTACCTCTTTGACAGGGTGTGCAAGGCTCTGAGCTGCCACTGTGCTTTAGTGAGTCCCTTGCTTTCTGGCTCCATGACTCCAGGCCCCATGCTGGCCTCCTTTTAGTACTTGTAAGGTGTTGAACACTTTCCACCTCAGGGCCTCTGCAAGTGCTGGTTCATTGGCATGAAGACCTTTCCCTCACTCTTCCTGGTCAACCCCTACACTTCTGCCAGGCTTTGTCTCAATGATCACTTGCTAAATAAACCCTCGCAGATCCACCCACCATGTTCTCCTGTCACATACTCTCATGGGACCAGGTATTTTTCCTTATAGCAGATTTGTATATTTATTTGTATGGTTTCTATCTTCCCACCAGAACTTAGGTTTCATGAGGACGGTGGCCTCCTCTGTTCTGTCTATTGCTTTGACCCCAGCTCCTAGCACAGTGTGTGGCATGTAGTAAGGGTTCAATAAATAAATATGGAAGGAAGAGGTGGGGGGGAGGAAGCGACTGTGAGCAAGGTTACAGGTGACTGATAGATAGGGAACACTTCTCTGCATAACTTTACAAATCTCTGTGGATCTCAGGGATCTCCAGTGGTTTCAGAACAGCGTGGGGCCACCCACCAGCCATGCATTTTCTGCAGGCAGAACCCCCTGTCATGTCTAGCACCGTTCTCATTCCCAGGAGGAGCTCATTAGACCACTGTGAATTTTTGTGTAGGTCTGCAAATGTCATTCAGATCTAACTAACCCTGATGCTGCCATAACTCCGGAATGGAGGCCTTTCCTTGTATTCTGACCCTGTAGGTAGGGTTTCAGTAAGGGGTGGGCACACTGCCATAGAGGGGGCATGCTGGAAAGGTTTAGGAGACAGTGAAATCCGACAAGCCCCAGAACCTGTTCCTCTCCAATGCGCTCTCTCCCTCTGGTGGCCAAGAGGTGATACAGCATCCCTGGCCCTTGGTAAAAATTTCCCTCCAAGCCAACCATATGAAAAGTAAGCAGGGGCAATCAGATATCTAGACACACAATCTGCATGACACTATACAACTGGATGAACTAGATATGTTCCGGAAAGGCCTTGTGTTAAATTCAGTGGCTATGAAATCTATTAAAAGTCTAGCTGAAAAGTGGTAATGATAAAGGTTTTTCCTAAACATATTTCATGGAATCTAAGATGTTATCAGCTGTAAGATTGATCACTATTTTATGTATCATAAAGAAAGAAGAAAATGCTTCCATTCATAATTTCAAGATGCATCCTGATTTTAGAAATGTTAAAATATGAAAATAATATACATCATATAATCAAGGAAATATAGTGTTCTTTTAAGTGGTGGGGCTGAAGTATACAGGTAGGAGTTGAGAATGGGTATACTCAGAAATTATTTCCTAACCGTAAGAATTTAAAGATTTTTATATTTCTTTTGATGAAAAAAAAATGTGTCTACTTTATAATCCCTGTAAGAACAGGGGCCATTACCTTGTTAATTTCTGCATTTATACCACCCAACAGAAAGCCTTACACCTAAAAATCCCTTTATTATTATTATTGCACAAGGGAAGTTCTTTCTAGGGTACTCTCCAAAAAGGTACTCCACCTTTGAGTCCCTTCTGTATGCAGACAATATTTCCATTTACAGATAAATCATGTCCTTGAAAAGCAAAATAGGAATTGTTTCTCATGTGTATGTTGCTCTCAGCATTTTCCAGAGCAAGCTCACCTCATTGTGACATTTGCAGGACCCAGAAAATGAGCAGTTTGCTGCAGAGTCAAGGTTAGACCCAGTTCCCCACTGCGCTCTCCATTACTCTGACTGCCTGGCTGGGCCATGCACAGCCGAGTGGCTGGCCCTTGAGCGCCTGGGTCCAGGGCCTCAGCCCGCTGTTGTGTTTCTCAATCCTATGTATCCTCTGCAGGAACAGGGCCTTGCACCTCCTCTAGGGAATACAGCGTTCCTTTGCCACGGGAATGTTTACTCTGTTACAACGGGGAATTTTGGCTTTGGGGTAGGGGGCGAGACATGCAGCACCAATGGCCCTGTGGAGAGCAAGTCTCCGCATCCGGAAGGAGCACAGGCTGTGAGGTGGGGCTGCTCCTGCCTCCCTGCTCTGCCACTCGGGGCCGCGTGGGCCTCCATGTCTCCGAAGGGCAACGTAGGCTTCTCAGGACAGTGAAATTGCTGACTTGGTTCCTGGCACATAGTAGGCGCTTAGTGATCTTACTTTTCCCTCTTCTCGTGCTCCCAAATTGAAGGGAGAGAGGGTGGGAGCAGCCAGATGAAGTACAAGCTGGCTGGTGTGAAACGGAACAGCTTTCAAAAGTTTCCATAAGGCGTCGCCACTTGTTAGAACTGGATGTGAAATCCCTGCCCGAGCCACGTCCGGGCTGAGGGCCTCAGCCCGTTCCCAGCTCAGCTCAGCGCCAGTCCATTAAACCTGCTTCCAAGAACACATAATGATCTGCTTGGCGCACTCAGACTCTCCTTGGCTGCCCACACCTCCTCTTCTCCTTCAGAAATATGGACAGAGAGGCTGTTTGGATCAGTCCCACGTCTCTCCAAAAACCAGGCCTCAAATGTCTGGCAAGGGGCTCCCAAAACAGACCAGCTCCTCCATCCTCTTTGTAAGAACCCTCCTTGTTGAATATCTACCGTTCGCCTGTGGGCTACCCTGGAGGGATCATTGCTGGAAGGCCCAGTCCTTGCCTGCAAAGGGCTCACATTCGAGTGCCCAGGAGAAGCAGTGAGCAGGCACTGTGTCCTGAGCAGGAGGCACAAGGGCAGAGGGCAAGAGGGCGGTGCAGAGAGCACAGAGCGGCTGCCCTGCCCTCCCAGCCCTGGGGAGACTGGGCTCAGCTTCCATGTCAGGACTTGGCTAAGCAGGTGAGAAAGAGGAGCACACTCCAGAGAAATGCCTGAGAAAATACATGGTTTGGGCAAGCAAGTCCCAGCATGGACTCTGCTACAGCATGGGAGAGATGTCAGCAGGCAATCAAAGACAAAACTAGGGTGTGAGAACCAGACTGTCAGGAGTCCTTAGTGTCTAGGTTTGGACCCAAATTCTTCCAATGGTTAGAAAAACTGTGGCTCCTGCTCTATTGTACTAATTTTGAAATTCTTTTCCTGATTATTTTCTCCTAAAGATCATCCATCTCCAGTAGAATTGCAGAAACACGCCCATGCCCAGTGAAGAGGGGCTGTGCCTATTTCGTATGCTCCTGCTGCCCTGGGATGTAAGGGGCCCATGTTCAAAGGGATTTCTTGAGTTGTTGGTGTGAATTAGTGCAGAGTCAAAGCTCTCTCCCTATCCCTAGTCTCTTGGGCTTAAGTATACCAGTCCCCTGGTCATCTGGGGATGAATCTCAAATGGCCCCATTTACTACTTCTTTTTTTTTTTTTTTTTTTTTTTTTTTTTGAGACAGAGTTTCGCTCTTGTCACCCAGCTTGGAGTGCAATGGTGCAATCTCGGCTCACTACAACCTCCTCCTCCCAGGTTCAAGCAATTCTCCTGTCTCAGCCTCCCGAGTAGCTGGGATTACAGGCGCCTGCCACCACGCCTGGCTAATTTTTGTATTTTTTGTAGATACGGGGTTTCACCATGTTGGCCAGGCTGGTCCTGAACTCCTAACCTCAGGTAATCCACTGGCCTGGGCCTCCCAAAGTGCTGGGATTACAGACGTGAGCCATTGTGCCTGGCCTTACTTCATCTTCTAACCAACTCAGTTATTGAGACCACAGCAGCTCTGGAGAAGTAAAAGTGATTAGCAGGTTCTCCAGAATATTAGTTGGATTGATATATTTTGCCTAAGACCTTGCAATTGATGCAAGGAGAGTTTCCATAAATTTCTACAACCTTAGAACCAAGAGGGATGTCCTCTCTGAAATGATGAAGGAATCCATTCTTTAACACCTCTGGATACCTAGCTTCTCCTGGCTGGGGTCCCTTTCCCATGAGGCAGGTTGGTCTTGTTGAGAACAGCCCTGCTTACTAGAAACCCTTGTATCTGTGGAGCTGACATCAAGTCCCTGGGACTTTTTCTCTTTGCTGTTTCCAGTTCTGTCCATTATACCTGCACAGGATACAGGGACTCCTTTTCCCACCTAAGAGCACTTCAGAGGTTGATCCTAAGCCTTCATTTTTCTAGGGCAGTCTGCTTGATTGTCCTTCACTCTGGCTCACCAAACACAACCCCAGACTCTCTGCCATCTTGCCACCAGGATCTCAGTGACAGCATCATTCTGAAAGGACCTTGCTGAGTGAGTCAGGCTGGGTCCCTGGGAGCACTGGCTTCACTCATCCCTGAGTTGGTAGACTCTGAAGGTGAAAAATCAGGTGTGTGGGGCTAGGTGGATGTTTGGTCAGGCTGCCAGAATGGGGACAGATGAGGCCCCTGGACTGGTGGATCACACATCAGGGAGATCAGGGAGGGGAGGAATCCAGGAGACACCTGGGCACTAAGAAGACAAGGCAGGTAAACAGTCCAGTAGCTGGGCTGAGAGGTGCCTTACTCAGGGCTGGGTTGTATAAGAGCCTGGCTGAGTGCCGGCTTTTATTAGGGGTGGCTCAGAGTTTTCTTGGCAGCTCCAAGTTAGTAAGTCTGATCTGGGCTGAGAGGAGACTGACTCACTGGGGCCAGCGGGTCAGGCTGGGTGGGGCAGGAGTCAGAGGCAGCACCACCTCCTCTGGGTCCTCTGAGGACTGGCTGGGGTTAGAGATGGCTGGTGGCCAGTGGGCCAGGGGCTTTATCTTTCTGGTTTCTGCTGCAGGGCCAGGGCTGGGGTTCTGCAGCTGAGAATCTAACCAGAGCCTGGCAGGGGAATTCTGGCCTCCAGCAGAAAAGCTCTGAGGAGCCTGCAGTGGCTGTGAGATGAGGTGGGGGAGAGAGCAGACCACTTGACCTCTTTTGATGCTCCTCCTTAGCTTGTGTTTGGAAGAATCTCATAGGAGATCGTCACACCCTTCTTATGTGACACTTTTTTCTTTGTTTTAGATGGAGTCTCCACTGTTGCCCAGGCTAGAGTGCAGTGGCGCAATCTCGGCTCCCTGCAACCTCCACCTCCCGGGTTCAAGCAATTCTCCTGCCTCAGCCTCCTTAGTAGCTGGGACTACCGGCGCACACCACCATGCCCAGCCAATTTTTTGTATTTTAGTAGAGACGGGGTTTCATCATGTTGCCCAGACTGGTCTCAGACTCCTGAGCTCAGGCAATCCGCCCACCTTGGTCTTTCAAAGTGCTAGGATTACAGGTGTGAGCCACTGCACCCGGTCCTTATGTGACACTTCTAAAGTGGGGTGACCCTTCAATGTTCCACATATTGAGCCCTCTCATCCCATGAATAAATGGCAATTTATTTATTGCCTCTTGCATTCCATCAGTTGCAATTATTCAGCCATCGAGTTCTCCTTCAGAGCCCTCAGTCTGGATCAGCCCATTATCTCCCTTTAAGCCAGGCCCTCCCCAACGCAGGTCACCTTCTAGCTGATTTCCCTCACTTCAGTCTCCCCAGTTTTTCTCCACCTTGCCACTGGTGATGGGTAAATTATCTTAAAACATGACTTGGTCGTGCCACTGCTCAAAAACCTTCTGAGGTGCTCCATGTCTGAGTGCTTCGCTCCTGAAACTGGGCATGAAACTCTGAGCCAGAGTAGTCAATGCCCAGGGCACTGAGAAGCACAGTTTTCTGGAATGCTGATTGAGCTTGATATGAACTAATATAGAATAATAGTTGTATATTTAAGCAAACATGGTTTATAAAATAGTCAAATGCAACTCTTTATATTATTAAAATAAAATATAAAGGGAAGAAATGTAGAGTCTGCAGGTGGCTGCTTCAGGCTGTGCCCACCTATTACGTAGGGGTAATGTGTCAATTCTCCCATCAGTTGAGGCTACTTAGGGGGAGAAGTTAAAAAGCTCTGAAGATAGCAACTGTTCTCAATCTCCCTCGGTTCTACCCAGGGGTGCTCCACTTGTGCCCAAGACAATTTTCAGCTTCTCTGCAGTGTGTGCCACTGTTCTGGGCAGGTGGCCTCCTGAGGTCCCACAGCTACCTCCAATTCAGTTCCACATGCACGAATATTGATCTCCTTTACTCACACACATCCTGCTCACACACCCACCCCTAACATGGCCATGGTGCCTTCCTGGCCTCTTAGGAGCATGGTGACCTCTGCTCTGGCTTGTGTGGTGGACTATTTCACAATGTAGTAGTCTCTCTCTCTCCCTCTCTCTCTCTCTCTCTCTCTCACACACACACACACACACATACACCCCTACACATACACACATGCACACATACTTATATACACAAGCTGCCCCGAGGTGGCTCTAGGTAGTTAATTTTAGTGTTATTAGACAGTGGTGGCACAGTGGAGACAGAATACCTGGATTCAAATCCTGGCTCCCCCACTGCAATAGTCCATTCTCATACTGCTATAAAGAACTACCTGAGAGTGGGTGATTTATTAGAAAAAAAAAAAAAAGAAATTTAATTGACTCACACTTCCACATTGCTGGGGAGGCCTCAGGAAACTTACAGTCATGGTGGAAGGCGAAGGGGAAGCAAACTTGGACCTTCTCAAATGGCGGCAGAAGAGAGAGATGGTGTGGAGCAGGAACTTGCCAAACACTTATAAAACCATCAGATCTTGTGAGAATTCACTCACTATCACGAGAACAGCATGGGGGAAACCGCTCCCATGATCCAGTCACCTTGCCCTGGGTCCTGCCCTCAACATATGGGGATTACTGGGATTACAATTTGAGATGATATTCAGGTGTGGACACAGAGCCAAACCATATCATTCTGCCCCTGGCCCCTCCCAGATATTATGTTCTTTATACATTTCAAAACAAAATTGTGCCTTAGCAACAGTCCCCCAAAGTCTTAACTTATTCCAGTATTAACTTGAAAGTCAAAGTCCAAAGTTTCATCTGAGGCAAGGCAAGTCCCTTCCACCTATGAGCCAGTAAAATCAAAAGCAAATGGCCGGGTGCGGCGGCCCACGCCTGTAATCCCAGCACTTTGAGAGGCCGAGTCGGGTGGATCACTTGACGTCAGAAGTTCGAGACCAGCCTGGCCAATGTGGTGAAACCCTGTCTCTACTAAAAATACAAAAATTAGCAGGGTGTGGTGGCACACACTTGTAGTCCTAGCTACTGGGAGGCTGAGACAGAAGAATCTCTTGAACCTGGGAGGTGGAGGTTGCAGTGAGCCAAGATAGTGCCAATGTACTCCAGCCTGGGTGACAGAGCAAACTGTGTCTCAAAAAAAAAAAAAAAAAAAAAAGCAAGTTAGTTACTTCCAAGATACAGTGGGGGTGCAGGAGGCATTGGATAAATGCTCCCATTTCAAATGGGAGAAATTGGCCAAAACAAAGGGCTACAGGCCCCACGCAAGTCCAAAATCCAGTGGTGCAGTCATTAAATCTTAAATCTCAAAAATAATCTCCTTTGACTCCATGTCTCATATCCAGGTCATGCTGATGCAAGAGGTGGGCTCCCACAGACTCAGGCAGCTCTGCTTCTGTGGCTTTGCAGGGTATAGCTCTCCTCCTGCTGCTTTCGCAGGCTGGTGTTGAGTGTCTGTGGCTCTTCCAGGTGCAGAGTGCAAGCTGACAGTGGATTTACCATTCTGGGGTCTGGAGTACGGTGGTCCTCTTCTCACAGCTCCACTAGGCAGTCCTCCAGTGGGGACTCTGTGTGGGGGCTCCAACTTCACATTTCCCTTCTGCACTGCCCTAGCAGAGGTTCTCTATGAGGTCTCTACCCCTGCAGCAAACTTTTGCCTGGACATCCTGGCGTTTCATACATCCTCTGAAATCTAAGTGGAGGTTCCCAAACCTCAATTCTTGACTTCTGTGCACCTGCAGGCTCAACACCACATGGAAGCCGCCATGGGTTGAGGCTTGCACCCTCTGAAGCAATGGCCTGAACTGTACACTGGCCCCTTTTAGCCATGGCTGGGATGCAGGGTACCAAGTCCCGAGGCTGCATAGGGCAGTAGTGGGGCCCTGGACCAGCCCATTGTTTTTCCTCCTAGGCCTCTGGGCCCAGGATGGTAGGGTTGCTGCAAAGTTCTCTGACATGCCCTGGAGTAATCTTCCCCATTGTCTTGGCGATTAACATTTGGCTTCTGGTTAGACAAATTTCTGCAGCCAGCTTGAATTTCTCCCCAGAAAATGAGTTTTTCTTTCCATCACATCGTCAGGCTGCAAATTTTCCCAACTTTTATGCTCTACTTCTCTTTTAAACATAAGTTCCAATTTCAAACAATCTCTCTGTAAATGCATAAAATTGAATCCTTTTAAGAGCACCGAGGTCACCTCTTGAATGCTTTGCTGCTTAGAAATTTCTTCTGCCAGATATCCTAAATCGTCTCTCTCAAGTTCAAAGTTCCACAGATCTCTAGGGAGGTGGCAAAATGCCACCAGTCTCTTTGCTAAAGCATAGCAAGAGTGACCTTTACTCCAGTTCCCAACAAGTTCCTCATCTCCATTTGAGACCACCTCTGCCTGGACTTCACTGTTCATATCACTATCAGCATTTTGGTCAAAATCATTCAGCAAGTCTTTAGGAAGTTCCAAACTTTCCCACATCTTTCTATCTATCTTCCTCCGAGCTCTCCAAACTGTTCCAACCTCTGCCTGTTACCCAGTTCCCTACTTGCTTCCACATTTTCAAGTATCTTTATAGCACTGTCCCACTATCTTGGTACCAATTTACTGTATTAGTCTGTTTTCATACTGTTATAAAAACTGCTGGCCAGGCGCAGTGGCTCACACCTGTAATCCCAGCACTTTGGGAGGCTGAGGCGGGCGGATCACGAGGTCAGGAGATCAAGACCACGGTGAAACCCCATCTCTACTAAAAATACAAAAAATTAGCTGGGCATGGTGGCGGGCGCCTGTAGTCCCAGCTACTCGGGAGGCTGAGGCAGGAGAATTGTGTGGACCTGGGAGGCGGAGCTTGCAGTGAGCCGAGATTGCGCTACTGCACTCCAGCCTGGGCGACAGAGTGAGACTGTCTCAAAAAACAACAACAAAAAAAAACTGCCAAAGACTGGGTAATTTATAAAGGAAAGAGGTTTAATTGACTCACATTTCCACAATGCTGGGGAGACCTGAGGAAACTTACAGTCATGGCAGAAGAAGGGGAAGCAAACTTGGACCTTGTCACATAGCAGCAGGAGAGAGAGAGTGTGTGAGAAGGAGGAACTTGCCAAACACTTATAAAACTATCAGACCTTGTGAAAACTCACTATCATGAGAACAGCATAGGGAAGCTGCCCCCATGATCCAGTCACCTCCTACTGGGTCCGACTTTGACACATGGGGAATATGAGGATTAAAATTCCAAACGATATTTGGGTGGGGACACAGAGCCAAACCCTACCACCCACCTACTTAGCTGTGCATCCTTGGGGAAGCCCCACAACCTCTCTGTGTCTTGGTTTTCTCATCCCATCTGTGAGGTGAGGACAATAATAGTGCCTACCTCATAAGATTGTTTCAGAAGAAATAATGCATGCAAGTTGCTTAGTGCAGTGCCTAGCACATATTAAGTAGCTAATAAACATTAGCGATTTTAATTGTTCATGCTTATGCTGTGAGTGATGTATTCATGTGGGTGTGTCTGAGCATCTTCAGGGCCATTGTCCAAGAACCCCAATCAAAAGTGAATTCAGGCAGTAGAGAGATGGGTAAGGAGTTTAAATGCTATTCTGCATGTTCTAAGAAGTTAACCTTGCCATGTTGGAATGTCATGGGCACATAATATTCTGACCAGCTGATTTGCTTATCTTGCCAGCCCGCAGAGTCTGAGCCATCCTTGCTCTTTCCCACTGAGCTCTGGGCAGTTCTCTCTGTTGACCTTGGGCTGGAAGATCTCTGAGTAAACACCTTAAATGGAGGCTGGGAGCAGCAGCAACTGCTTGAGAGCTCTTTATCTTTCCTTTTCCAGGCCTCAGCTATCTGTCATTGCTGTTTATGTATATGTCTCATCTCTAGGAGACAGCCAGGAGCCCCTTATCGGCAATTTCCTTGTTTTCTTGAAGTATAGCATCTTGTACACAATAGGTGCTCAATAAATATTTGATGAATGAGTGAAGTATTCACTGAAGATTGCAGACTATGAACTTTACAAATTCTGTACTGTTTGAAGTCACCATGCACATGGTATTTTATATGTTACAAAGCACTTTCCTTCCTCAAACTGAATTTATTTCCTCAATCAATCTCATGATGGGGTGTAAGCTATAGATGGTGCTCTTCTTCTTGTTTTGCAGGGTCAGTGATGTGAGGGTACCTGCTTCATGGGCCACACAGTGAGTTGACACAGGAGCTAAGACTGTCTCAGCCTTCTTTGCTCAACAGCATTCCCAACCTCTTTGTGTTGGGCCCTGGACTCTTCCCTAAGGTTCTCTCCCTCATCCAATGACTGTGGGCATGTGAGTCCTTAATTCTTCTCCCTAGAGCTGGGCCTTATGTAGCTTAAGCTTTTTGTCTTTGGATTCAATGTGTATAAACACACGTCTCCTTTCAGGTGCTGTGCCATGGTGTGAAGCTGGGTCTTCCTTTGTGCAAGCTGGGCTGGTATGTAGACCTTCTCCTTCCTTTTGGTGAGGATGCACTTCTCCTGCACTTGACCTCTGTAAGGGCTCAGTGTGGCATGTCCTTTAGGCCCTTGAGCTACCTTCTTCCTTTTCAACAGAACCTTGATCCCCTTTTCCTGCACAGATGTTTATTTTCTAAGAACAACATGGCTTTGGAGTCAAGAGGAAGGGCTGTCCCTGGGAGGGGGTAGAAATCGGGACAGATACCATCAGATGCTGTCCTAAGAGCTTCTTATTCAGGTAAAGCTCGGAGTCAGATGACTATTAAAGGTATTCCTGGTGGGGAAAAGGATAACTTGCAGTCAGAATGGGGGTGTTTGGAATGGGAGGAGGCTGGTGTTTGGTGAGGGTAGGGAAAATGCTTAATGGGCTGGTGTTGAATCTCAGGTCTTCTTAAGCACCAGCTGATGGGCCCTAGTTCTCCTAGTGGAGCACCTGGGTGTGCCGATCCTCTGTGCCTTACGTGGTGTTTCTCATCCTGGCAAAATGTGTTTTAGGGTCATCGCAGGCAGTAAACCTACACTCCTTTAAAACTGGCTTTCAGCACACATTTTCTGTACAAGAAGACCCTAAGTCATGCTTTTATCCTGACTTGGTGGAAGACTGACAGGTAGTAGGTGGTGATGCTGCCACCTCATTGGTGATCTGTGGGTGTTGGGGAAGACCAGGGTTAGAGCAAAACAAACCTCTAGGTGAAAGAAGACCATCAATGGATGTGTGTGGCCACACTAGACCAGTCTGGAATTCCATGGGGTGTTGGAATTACAGAGTTTTGCAAAGCCTACCATTCCCAACATATGCCTCCTGCTGGTCTATTGACAAGAGCTGAAACCTACCAGGAGACAGGGGTTCCTTTTAGTTCAGTTACAGCCTTGTTTCTAGAATGCCTTCCCCTTCCCTTTCAGCTTCAGTGTTCAGTGGATGTGAACACTCCTTCCTTGAAGCCCTGAGAACTGAGATCCTCAATCTTGACAGCACACAGTCATCTTTATCTAGGGACTTTAAAAAATGCTGATGACCGGGTCCCTTCCCCAGAGATTCTGACTTAATTGGTGTAACCCGGGCACTGGAATTTTTAAAAGCTCCCTAGGTAATGGTAATGTTCAGCCAGGATTGAGAAACCCTGACCTAGATCTTTCTGTCTATGCTCTTTCTGCACACATTTTATGCCCTTGCTACTCCAGGTGAATGAGGGTTCAGCATCAGCTTCACCTGGGAGCTTGTTAGAAATGCAGGCTCTCAGCCCCACCCCCATAACAGAATCTGTATTTTGAATAACACCTTAGGTGATTCCTGGGCTCACTCAGGTCTGCACACAGGCTTCTCAGGGGTGTAATGGGGCAGTGCTGGGGTGCAGACAGCTATAAGAAGGGAGAGGGGATGGTGGGAGAGGGGCTGGAAACTATCTTCATTTATTTTACAATTTTTGCTTAGTGGTCAAAGCATTCAGTAAGCAAGCAAAATCAGATTAGATTTAGCAACAGCAAAACCAACTAAACAAAAACTAGATTTATGACTTTAATTAAATGCCATTTGCATCCTGCATCTCCAGATGAAAGGAAATGGCAAGCACCTCAGTCTTTTTCAGCTTGTGTCTTGGCCAGTGGAATTTAAATCACTGCTTCCTAAGCAGCCTGCTCAGGGTTGAAGCAATGGCATGCTCCTGAGGAATCTAGTTATAGGTGGTACACAATTTCAGAAATAAAAGTGTATCACTTTTGGAAATGGAGTCTTGCTCAGTTACTGAAATAGCTAAATGAAATGCTCACCTTTTCTTTGTAAACTCACACAAGAGAATAGAGAGGAGAGACAGATCGGTTATTGATTTGCCCAACCCTGATGGGAACAGAAGCATGGGCCCTCTGGACTTAGGTTGAGGTGAACCAAACTTAGGAGGCTTTAATTGTGGTACCCTCATGGAGTCTTGGTATAAACTCCAATGAGGAATGCTGGCAGTGGGTGGTGGATGCCTTAATGGAGAGCTCTAGTAAAAACCATAAGTAGTTGAATAATAACTGTGCATTACCAAAGAAGAAAAGACATAAAAAGCCTCACCTGGAGTGGAAAGGGACATTTTGTGGAGGTAGTGAGAAGGGAAATAATGTAGTTATGATTGGCACAAAGGAATGAAAGAGTGAAAGGATTGGGAAGTTTTAGATAGATACAAGAAAGAAAGGAAGGAGAATAAGGAGAAAATGAGGTAAAGGAGGAGAGGAGAGAAAATGAAGCCACAGTGCAGGAGCAGTAGGTGTGATGGCAGGAAGGGATGTGCCAAGAAGGAAGCCAAACAAGCTTAAAGAGGAGATGGGAGCAGGGAGACAGGGAGACAGATGGATGCTCCTGAGCCATTTGTCCCTACTCTGAAGGGGGCAACAGCCTGTGAGCCTCCAAAGACTCCCTGGTGGGGCTTCTTCCCCTCCTCCCAGAATCCTGTGTAGGATGAAGCAACAATCTTCCCTGAGAAGCAACACTAGGGCTCTTCTTTTCCATTGCCCTGTGGCTCCTGGCAAACCAGCTAGACTTTGAAATAGACATCCTCTGGACCAGCTACCCAAGGAGAAAATGCAGAGGGGACCTGGCATGAAGGAAGAACTTTGCAAATTCCAGTTTTATTCCATGCCCCCCTCACGCCTAACCAGATTTACAAAATGAGCTTTTATTACATTCCCAAAGAAGCTACTTCCCAAAGAAGCTACTTAGAGTTGCATTAGTTGAGCATTAAGGGATGTGTGCATGCTGGAAGTGGCTGGAAGGCATTTGCCAAGATGCTTGTTGTCTAAATCCTCTGAAGCTTGACTGAGGTAATGGGACAGATAAGTTGGTTATATTTAAACAGCCAAAACTCTGAAAAGATGGAATTTGTCTGGACATCACTGGAAAGTAAATTGAGCTTGTTGTGAAATCTCTGAAGATATGTTTTCTAAAAGGAGGGTGAGTGTTGATGAGCAAAACGCACTGGGACGGTCATAGCAGTTGGAACAAAAAGAGCATGGACCCAAGAGCCAAATTGCAGCTCTTCTACTTACTCCGGAGCCATGTTGGGCACAGAATCCTCCTAATCCATGAGGCAGGGATGGTGAGAACTGCCTTGTAAGGCAACACACAGAGGGCCCAGTGTACTGTATATAGTGGGTATCAACAAGTGTCAGTTTTCACCTCTCTCCTCCCATCTTTTCTGGGGTTGTTCACAAGTGCTAAAGACTCCAACCATCAGGGATTTAATGAGAGTGGATCTGCTGAAGTAAATATTTGGAAGGTTAATCTTTCTAAAGCACCGATTTCTCTGTAGCACATCCTGTACCAGATAGTGTTCATTCAAAAGCATTTGGTGAGCACCTATTATGTACCAGTCACAGGGGATTCAACAGTGAACAAGAAAAAATTCATCGTACTCTAACGGAAACCAGAAAGTAACTGTTAATGCCCAGGAATGGGGTCATAGCAGTTCCCACTGTAGGGTAGGAGTAGAGAATGGAGGCATTGGAGAGAATCTTTTGGTTGTTTCAAGGACTGAGAGGCACTCTTGTGTCACTTGCTCTGGGGGAAACTACTGCCATGTTATGACAACACACAAGCAACCTTATGGAGTTCCTTACAGGGGAACTGAGAGCTCTTGTCATCAACTTGCCAGTCATGTAAGTGAGCAACTTTGAGAGTGGATCTTCCAGCCCCAGTCAAGCCTTCAGGTGACAGCAGCCCTGACTGACATCTTGACTGCAGTCTCATTAGAGAGCCTCAGCCAGAAAAACCCAGTTACGCTCCTCCTGGATTCCTGTCCAGAGACATTAAGAAGATAATAAGTGTTTATCATTTTATGTTGCTAAGTTTGGGCAATTTGTCACACCTGGGGCAATTTGTCACACCTTGATAGATAATGAATACATTAGCCATTAATAGCTCTTTAAGGATCAGATAAGGTGGTCTCCTAGCAGGAACCCAAAAAAGGTATACTTTTTATGGAGGAAAAGGTTCTTGGTGAAAGGAAGTAACTAATATTTGCTGAGTACCAACTATGTGGTAGGTACTGGTACCTATGTTATCTTATTTAATCCTTCCTAGCAACCATGTAGAATCATGTAGAGAGCACTTGCCTATAAATTTGGAGGTAGTCTGCTGACAAAATGGGATGACAGACCATGTAAGAAAGATCTGTTGGTTTCACAGTTTTGCAGGAAGTTAGTTTCCTATTGGTTGAGTCTTATGGGGCATAAATATCTCTAGGGGAAAAAACCCTGACTGGGGATTGGTTTTGAAGACACAACCCACTAATTGAAGAATTACATACCAAACCCTCTGGCTACCCCTTGGGGACATACCCAAGAAGTACTTAACCAACATTGCCTTCAGCGAGATTGAATGCAGAGACAACATTTAAATGCATGAAAAAAAAAATCAGAAAGCAAAGTAAGAAAATATTAAAACAGTCGAAGTGTTCCATCATTTAATTATTTGTCTATCCTTAGCAAGAACCTCTCATTTGCAATGTCTGTAGCCTTGAGGATGGGAAATACATGATTCCTGCCCTCCAGGAACTGAGGGATGATCAGACACATAAAAACAACGTAGGATGTATTATGTGGAAAATTCCTGTGGCGGAACCTGAGCCTGGCTTGCTCAGTCCTCCTCCTAGTGTACCTTACTATACCCAAGAGGCTAGATAACTAAAAATTAGATTTCTTAGCATTCCTTGCAGCCAGTGTTTTTTTTTTTTGTTTTTGTTTTGTTTTTTTTTTTTTAATTAGACTTTGTCAGTTATAGGCATTTAGGTAAAATTTAGAAGGTGAGAGTGAAACAAAAGATTTTTTCCTGCTCTTTTTGGCTATTTTCTGATGAAAGTAAGGTCATGGGCATATGTTTTCTTGCCATTCAGTGCTCAGCCACCAGCTTTACGGGGTTTGAGAAGCAGTAACTACAGTGGCATCGTGATTGTGGCTGACTGATTCCTAGAATACAGTGGTGGGTTCTTGAATGCAATAGTTTCAGTGGTGGCCTTGGAGGTAGTGGCTCTTATGGTAGATCAGTTTTGCGGAGTTCCAGGAGTAATTTCCGACCCACCTCTAGAGCTCCCTCCCGCAACCCTGCCCCAAATTTTGTAAGCCCTTATATCTCTCTATTAAATCTTTTTCTGCTTAAAATACCTGTAGTGATTTCTGTTTCCTATGCTGAACTCTCATTGATGGATGCCATAAGAAAGGAACCAGATAGTGTTACATGAGATTGGGGCAGGGGAGAGGAGGGGAGGGATGGAATAATTAGAAAGGAATTTTTGGAGGAGGTAACTTTTTAGCATAAAGGAGTAAGGATTTCAAATAGCCCAGGAGAGATGAGGGTTCCCTGGTGGGAGTGATTAAAAGGGGCTGTTTCTCCTTCCCCCAACTTGATACTTCCTCATCACCTCCCCGCCTCCAGCTGGATGGGTTATGGTTTTTATTAAAGTCTGGACTTGAATAGTTACTTGGAGTTTCTGTTTGTTGTCAGTGGGAAATGTGTTATTTCAGTATGGAACTCAATACCCCGAAAACAGATTTTCATGTAGTGGTCTCATGGATCCTGCAAAGATAAATGTACCTGGAAAAGGCAGTGCATTTCCTCTCCTGTAGCCTTCCTTCATCACCCTTCTGGAGACTGCAGGCTGCTGTTCCATGCTAGGCTCCTGATAACCTATCTTTCTGGGAGAGGATAAAATGGAGGGACCAGGTGTTCTCTGACATGGCAAATCAGAAGAAAAATCATTGCATTGGGAGTGAGGAGACCTGGGATCTAAATTTAGCTCTGCTGCCTACCAGCTGTTTAACCTTGGTCAAGTTTAATTAATAACCAAATCTTTAATATTTTGTGATTCTGCCCACTTCTCTCCAGTTTCAAGGCTGCAACCTTAACTCAGACCATTATTATTTCTCCTGTTATCTGTGCATCCTCCACAGTCCATTCTTCTTACCGCAATCAGAATAATGATCTAATCATTGAATCCCATCACCTCTCATTTAAGACTCTTTAATGCTTCTTTGTGCCCCCGGGAGGTCAAAAGTCCTGGCAGAACATAAAGTCTGATTTGTGTCAGTGGGCATCTTCACCCTCTTCTCCAGAGGGGGTTATATTTTAAGGTGAACTAAAACCAGTGGTCCCCAAAGTGGGGAGTTTGCCCTGAGGGGTACATGAGACAGTCCATCAGTGCATGGGTAGAAAATATTAGAACTTTTATGTATATTTTTATTCAGAGGTTAAGAAGGAAATCAAGCTTTACTAGCCTGGCTAGGATTGTCTTTCAAGTTGTTACCTGTCACATGTGGTCCTTGTCTACCGTGCGTGAAGATCAGCATTGCAAAGTTAAGATGCTGGTGGTTGCTCATGCAGGCCCTGGAGCCAGACTGCCTTGATTAGTGCTTCCTATTGGTTATCAATATTGTATTATGATGATGATCACTGCGGGGAAGAGTGGAAGCCTCATTGTGCAGAAGGATGTACACAAAATTGACACTCATATTAATCAGAGTCTTGCAAAGAAGACTAATAGAAGCCCAAATAATTTATACAAAAATGGTAGGGCTATTGGTTCCTTTGTTCTGATTGTGAGCTCATCACCACCTACACTGTAAAAGTAAAGGCAATGATAATCTAATCAGCCACGATGAGATTAGGCCCTCCAAAATGCCAAAACTGTGAAGTCTACTTTAAACAAGGATTTACATTCATTGACATTAAAGATGACCCTCACCTAAGTGTGCATTGTGCCTTGACATATTAGCTGATGTATGTACACATATGTAATTTATATTTAAAGAAACATATTGGGGGTGACTGCCCAAAAATATTTTTCTAATGGAATTGCACAGTAAAGAAATTTGGAGACCACTGAAGTAGGCACATGCTTGGTTCTGACTGTGCAGAGTTTCACTAGACCCCATATGTATCCTCTGATATAACATAAGAATGTGGACCTGTTTGTTACTGATGTTCCTGATGCATTTATAAAGCAGAGTTGTTTCTCTGCGCTATATTTTCAATGGGTTTTAAAGGAGTAGACTGCATGATTTGGAGTATTTTAACTGCAAAATCATTTGATCTGGATATTGTCAGATATTTACTTAGAATTTTAAAATGGTAAATATTATGTACCATACAAAGTTATGCTGCTGATAGGAGGCTATGGTAACATGCCTCCACATGATGGTGAATGGCTTCCTGACATTAGGATTAACTGGATCTCACACCAATTTCATCATTTAGAACGCAGTGAGAAATGACTTTTTTGCATCATATTCATTCTTGAAGTAATTTGTTTACCCCAGCCATCAAAACTCAGTCAATAAACCACGGGGATTGACAAAATGGCACTACATAGGCAACAGAGAAAAATTGGAAAAGTGAATTATAGGTGTGAGTGACTAGTAATAAATAATCAGCTTATTCCTGTTGCAGAAGTGTCTGTGACCAGGAGAAAATCTGACCAATGGAAAATTTGAATCCAACGAAAGTGAGCCACTTAATTATGTATGAAGACATTTGAAAGTAAATATGTTCTGGTTCTCTAAGTAAGACTGTTCTTCAAATACATAGTTTTGTTAAAAGCATGTCTTCTGACTCTTAGACCCTCTCCAGTTACCTGGCATCTGAAATTATGCCATTAGTGACTCACTCCTTTGGGGTAAGCACAGACCACTTCAGGTATCTTCTTTTGAAAAACAAGCACCCCTGGTAAGAATTAGCACATCAAGTCAATGACTCTTTAGGGTGACTTAGTCTATTAGATGATTCCTCCACTGGGAGAGCTCTGGCACACTGTTAGGATTCTGGGCATCCTGGGAGGGGCTGTATGAGAGGGGATGAGAGCCGAGGGTTGAAAAAGAGTAAAGGCAGAGGGAGGAGAATAGAAAAGGCTAGTTATAATGGTTTCAGTTTTGACGAAGAAATACCCTGATTGTAACCCTAGAGACTACATCAACCACTGAATTTATCATAACTCTCTGGTCTTGGGTAGGACTCACATCTTTCAGAATTAATTCAATGTAATACACTATTCAAGAGACCCCAATAAATACAGTGAACTCTCAGTTTTCAGTGACTCTGTCATCTGCTTGTTGATTGTCAATGGTTAATCTAGGACAAAGATCAGACCACTCTCTGGGAAACCACACGCATGTTCTTATCAATTATGGACCAACAAGAGACAGGAAGAGCAAATTTCTAGAAAGAATAGAAAAATGCTCTTCAAAGCACAAAATTGCTGTGATTGGGGATCACCTGTTGTACACTTACCAGGATTCCATTTCTCACTGTTGTGAATGATTGAGCAGTGGTCATTCTGATGGAATCTTTGTGATGATTCATTTGTGATGTTCCCCTCCCTGCTTGTTCAGCAAGCTGACACATCTGCTCAATACCACTCTATCCCAACAACTGATTGATTCAGTAGATTCAGTGAAAAAAAAGCAAAATTGTTTGACAAAATGTACTTTTTTGATAGAATCTATCAGTCAGTTGCTAACTAAATTGATGGGTTATTTTTATCTTGATTTTTTATTTTTGTTTTTGGAAATAACAAGTTAGCTAACTAAAAAGACCAGGTGTCTAATCGACTTGGCTGGTTGTGCTGACAGATATTTGAGATGACATCAATTGGCTAAACTGATGGGAATTTGAATGAGTTCAGTCAAAATGTTTGAATCCATCAGCGGGGAGTGTTTGCTTTGAAGAAAGCACACAAGTGTCTGCATTTTACCACAAGGAAGCAGAAGGCTTTTGGCCTTAAGATACAAAAAGAGGAGAATTCTTTGAAAGAGCCTGAGTGAAATTTTGTATCTTCTGATCTCTTGCAAGGGTCTGAGTTTTTCAAGGAAAGACCAACTTCTTTGCCCCATCACAGTCATGTTTCAAGTCTCTGCAGAGGGTAGAGCAGCTGAAGTGAGTATGGGGGTGAAAGTGTTTTTCACATCACACCAAAGACCCCTATGCTAACTCCACCCTTGGGGTGAGGCCAGAGCTCATCCATGGAAAAGCCACACAGTAGGTGAAGTGGCTTTTCAGTTTTCTGTAATCTTTGCTCCTGCCTCCTTGCCCTGCTTCAAATTCCTTTTTAGATCTTCTTCCACCTTCATTAGGGTATCCAGTGCCCTCATTCTATCCCTCTCCAGGGCAGATATCCAATCTCCATAAGGAATGAGTGACAAATCACTCTGCTCACTAACCCTCTCCAAGAGAGATGACATTTTCATTAAGGACTGACATTAGTTGAATACCTATTGTGTATTAGACACTGTGCTGGGCACTTCACACACACTATCTCCTTTAATGTTCATATCTATTTACCATTGTATGGCTCATCCATGGCCTTTTGATATTTTATGAAATAAGCTTCTTTGACTGAGGTTTAGAACTGAAGGTCTGGTGGAGTTTGCATATTTTTGGCTTAATCTGGGAAGTGAATGAGTATTCCTAGAGTGGGACTTGGATCCCAGAAAGAAGGAGACCCCTGGGCATCATGCACAACCGTACATGCCCTCACCCGACAGAATGGCCAATGCCAAAGGCTCTGACCATTCACATCTTTCAGCCAGTCCTGCCTAAGCAGATGCTTCCTGGATAAGACCAAAGAAAATGCTTGCAATCTTGTCCAAGGAAGTGTAAGTCACCATAGTTCAGCTGAAAAGACTTAAAGATTGAGGATCACCATGGTGTTGCTTCATCATGCTACAGACTTGGAGTCCCTTCAAGTCAATGCTTATTAATGGGCCAGTCTGATCAATTGATTTCAGAAAAAAGCATTGTCAGAATTTTCCTCAATGATGTTCATTTAGAAAACATTGGTTAGGCTCAGCTGGGAGATTCCTTCTGGGTCATGAATGGAGAGCACTAGCCAGTTGGACTGAAAAGATAGAGGGGAAAGAAAAACCCCATTGGAATTAAGATGACAAAGTCAAAGTAGTTGTACACAGACCCAGAAAATATTATAGCTCTGAGTGGTGAATGGATCCAACCTTGTCCCTTTCTTACTATGTGGCCATAGAACAATTCGATGGTAGAGCATGCACACTGTCCTCTTGGACATTCAGTCAGTTGCCCAGAGGGGTGGGGAAATGACTAGGAAAGGAGGAGATGACAGAGAGATCTGGGATCTGCTTAGTAAGGTTCTCCCACTAGACACTAAAGGCTTTGTTAGAATTGTACCTTTATGACCCCATGGGTTTTTCTCTGCAGCACCTCCATGTGGTAAGTTAGGATAAAGCTCAGAAAAGTAAAGTGACTTGCCAAGGTCATGAAGCCAGTTGGTAGCCAGTTAGAATGAAGCTGTAGGTTGGGCCGCGCATTCTCTTTTGTTTTTCCACCATACCATGTGGTGCAGCACTGATCATCCTGAGGGGAGGCAGTCAGGTTTGGTGGAATAAGGGACAGCCTAGGGAAGTGGTAAGGATGAGGCTCTGGAGGCAGATGACTGAGTTTGAGTCTTGGTCCCCCCTCCCATCCTATCCTACTTCACTGCATTATGACCCTGGGCAGAATACAGAGCATGAGTTCCCTCAAATGAGGATGGTCATAAAATTGACTCAGGGTTGGCTTCATGGACCTGCAACAAGTGCAATTTGCATATGGCCCTGTATAAACAGGGCTCTACAGTCACCATCTTGAAATTCACAATAATTCAAATATTTTCAATTATTTAAAAGCTTGAATTTGCGTTTTGTAAGGGAAGTCCAGTGGGACAATGGAGCACGAGCCACTAGATCTTCTGCTCACACTCAGTCCTACCTCCTGCTGCCTCCCTTGGTTCATGGTTCTTGAGTGCCTATTCCCCACCTCTTGGAGCCCAAGGACCTGCCCAGCCTCTTCCTCATTGCCCCCTACCCAGTGACTGCTGCTGCTCTCTGTGCAGAGGTGTGCACAGGTGAGGGTCAGAGTTGAGTGCATGTACCTTGCAGCATCTTAGCCCAATCCTGGTGCCAAGTGTATCCTGGCATCAAGATTACCATACCCTGAGGCTGCCTGTTCACTGTGTGTTGTGGTTGAGGTGGAGGGCCTGTGAGAAGAAGGGATGCCTGACTCAATTTCTCCACTCCTGGTTGGGTACAGCAGGTCAGTCTGATGGCTGGTGTGTGTGTTGGGGGGACCTGGTGGCCAGTGGGCCATTTGGGAGTACACTGAATTGCAGGATGGAACCCCTGGGTTCCCGTGATGGTCTTCACTCATCTAGCAAGTATTTTTGTGTCCCAAGCAGTATGACAATAAGTAGCAAATAAAAACACCATGAGAGGGAGGGAGAGAGAAAAAGAGCACTCGTGGAAGAAAGAAACAAGTTTTATATTTTAGTATCTTTAACTGCCTCTTATTTTCTCTGCTTTTTTAACAAGCGCCCTACATTTTCATTTTGCACCCATAAATCCTGTAGCTGGGTCTATATCTACCTCATGGGCTGTTGTGGGGATCAGATGAGCAAGTACCTGAGAAGGGCTCTGATATTGTTTGTCTGTGTCCCCACCCAAATCTCATCCTGAATTCCCATGTGTTGTGGGAGGGACCTGGTGACTCATGGGGGCAAGTCTTTCCCATGCTGTTCTTGTGATAGTGAATAAGTCTCACGAGATCTGATGGTTTATAAGGGGGAGTTTCCCTGCATGAGCTCTCTCTTTGCCTGCTGACATCCATGTAAGATGTGTCTTGCTCCTCGTCTTCTGCCATGATTGTGAGACTTCCCTAGCCACATGGAACTGTAAGTCCATTAAACCTCTTTCTTTTGTAAATTGCCCAGTCTCAGGTATATCTTTATCAGTAGTGTGAGAACAGACTAATACAGGCTCGGAACAGTGCCTGTTGCTCAGACACTGCTCAGTGTCCTCTTTACCCGTGTCCCTGCCGGAGGTGCAGAGTGGCTGGGTCATGCTCCCTGCACTCTGGAGAGAGACAGACACAATCATGTTCCATGGTAGGGTGTCCCTCCATTCACAAGCCCATCACAAAACAGAATTGTCTGCTCACTTCCTAAGTCCTGACTGACTTCTTTAAATTGGGCCAGGTAACAGAAAGGTAACTACTTTTGCAAGAGTCAGAGCAGGTCGCGGCCAGGACTGTCAGGCATCTCGCTGAACCTAACTGGAAGAAGAGCAAGGGGGATTGTCATATGGCCACATCCGCTGTGATTCAACTCATTGCCAGCAGGATAATGAATTCAAGAATCAGCTTCTGAAATGAACCCTTGATCAAGAGGGAGGCAGTAATTGTGCTGGTTATTAGCGATTACTCCTGGATGGGGGTTAGGGGTGTGAGCAATAGAATTAAATGAAATTCCTTTGAAAGTTCTGCTGTGCAAAGTAAGAGATATAAACGCTACATTATGTGTTTAAAATGCCTCCAGGGTTTGGTTTATAGACTTGTTTATATTTATATATTTATTTGAATGTTTATGACTTTCTCTCTGTCATTTTCACATTGGTATCTTCATACTCATCATGGTTTTATGGCCTCTTTTTGGAAACCAGTGGCTGCATATACCGGCACATGATTTGATGAGAGAAGAAGATTCAGAAAGAGAAAACGAGTTTAATATTATACTTGGGAGGAAGAGCCTTCCCTTGGGGTAAGAAAGTTAAAAATGAAGCAAGCGGTCTGCGTGCTTTAGTTAGAATATTGAGGAATTATTGCCTGAAGGCAGCTGAAAGATGCTCCTTAGAAAGATAAGGAAAGAGGAGCCTTGAGTGGTGGAGGGACTGATTGGAGGTCTCAGAGCGAATTGTTAGAAAGTCAGGACAAGAGTCCAGGTCCCTGATGCCCACCGCCAATGCAGACCCACCTCTTTTCCTTCCTAGACAGAAAGCCAACTTATCCACTGGGTACAGGAGGCACAATGCCTATAGCCCAAGATATTTTTAGGGGCCCATAAAAATGCCTTTTTAAAATCAGGAGAAAAAAATGCATACTATCTTGCTTGCATTATATTTATCTCAATACCAACACAGTCATAAAATATAATTTTTTTTATTTTTATGGAGGAAGGGACTTAAAAAGGAAAGCGTCTAGGACCCTCGCCAGTCATAATGCAGCGCCGTCCATGTAGCCCACCTAAGAAATTTGTAGGAGAAATGCTGGGGCCACTCTCCTGAGCAGACCCAAGCTGCAGTGCCATGTCATTTCTCCCTCCCCTTCTCCACTGCTTTGAAGCCCTCGGGTCTTGAATGTCTTTTTGTTTCTACAGAGAGATCATTTCAAACAGGGAACTGGAGCTTCTCGGTAATCTATTCTGATGGGTAAAATGAGACAGAGATAACCTACGTGGGCACAGACACGCTAACAGTCGGGGCTGGCTGGCTCCATTTTGACTAGAAGGCCCTTGAGGAGGTATTGGGCCTCGGGTCTCTACAGTACAGTACGTGTGAGCTGTAACTGTTGTGTGAATGTGTGGGTTGCCCATTTGTAGAAAGTCCCATTCAGTAAAATGCAAAATGTATTGGGAACCTCTGATTGGGTGTGTATGACTGGCCTGCACCTCCCCACAACCCATCCTCCCATGAGGCTCCCCAGTCTCAGTACAAGGGACTGTCACTTACCTGGTGGCTCAGGCCTCTTTCACACACCACACCTCAATGCACCAGCAATTCCTATTAATGCCACCTCTAAATTATATCTGGAATGTACTTTTTTCATCATCTTTACTGCTAAGTGACTGAGTCTAAGGCACCACCATCCCTCTCCTGGATTAGGTGAATAGGCTGCAGACCAGTCTCTCTGCATCCTCCTGTGCCTGCCCTCAGTCCATTTTCCACACAGCAGCCTAAGCGTTCCTTTGAATATGTAGCAGAGTCCCTCTCCTGCTCAAAACCTCTGCAGGGACCTCCCAGCTCACTCAGACACAAGCCAAAGTCCTTCCATGTCCTACTGGTCTCCATGACCTGCCCTCTGGCCACTTCTCTGATATCATCTTTTACCTCCTGCCTTCATCCCCCAACTTTCCAACCCTTTTAGTTACCGTTTTCCCCAAAACACTCACCACTACCTGACATTCTTGGGGAACTACCAGGTAGTCACTGGGATGAGGCCTTCCCTAGAGCAGGGTCTGTAACAAATGCCAAAATCAAATAATATTTACTGAATGGGTGGATAAAAGACTGTCACTGTAAACTCCATTTCTTTTCTTTCTTTCTTTCTTTCTTTTTTTTTTGAGATGGAGTTTCACTCTTGTTGCCCAGGCTGGAGTGCAGTAGCAGAATCTTGGCTCACTGCAACCTTTTCCTCCTGGGTTCAAGCAATTCTCCTGCCTCAGCTTCCCAAGTAGCTGGGACTACAGGCACACACCACCACGCCTGGCTAATTTTTGTATTTTTGGTAGAGATGGTGTTTACCATGTTTTACCATGTTGGCCAGGCTGGTCTCGAACTCCTGACCTCAAGTAATCCACCCGCCTCGGCCTCCCAACGTGCTGGCATGAGCCACCGTGCCCGGCTGCAACCAACCTTCTTTGGAGACTTGTCTGAGGTTTTGATGGGATTGGTTAATAGATGGCCCAAAGGCCATTTCTAGGGGATGGGACATCATAGAAGCACAGAGGCAGTAAAAGGGTCCAATGGTAGAGGAGGTAGGTGGGGGCTGAGTGGTGAGGAGTGCAGAGCAGCTGTGAAGGCAGTTTTTGTGTCATCTTGGTGAGGCCACAGTCCCCAGTTGATCAATTAAACACTGATCCAGGTGTTGGTATGGGAAGGTACTTTGTAGCTGTATTAAGTTTCATAATCTGTTGACTTTAAGAGCGATTACCTTCGATGATCTGGATGGGCCTGATATAATCAGTTGAAAAGCCTGAAAAGTAGCACCAAAGCTTTCTTGAGAAAATAGAAATTCTGCATGTGAACAATAGCTTCAGCTTTTGCCCAAGAGTTCCAGCTGCCCTTCCTGATGGGAACACGCACACCTGCCATGGTAGGAAGACTCTTGTCTCCCAGAGACACCCAAACCAACATAGCCCTACAGACCTCACTTTGTAAGTTATCCCCTTCTCTTGTTCAACTCCTGGGTAATTCCCATTGGGTTTCATATATCACAGGAAATGCCCATTCTGGCCATCTTCCTTCCCTTTTAATTGTAATATCTCCCTGTTCCCCAATAAGAGTTTGAAATATACCCACAGTGTTTTGAATGAAGATCGTGTTCTAGCTGCGCATGCCTCCATTAACCAAATTCAAGCTCAGGAGTCCTGGGGGTGAGATTAATTTTGTTCTAGGTAGCCGTGCCAATTTCCACTGCTTCCAATAGTATTTCAAACTTAGAGCACTTGGCAAGCCAGGCCTTTCCACATGGTTTACCCACATTAATTAATTTAGCCTTATGCCACTGTGGCAAGATAGGAGAGGGCAACTGGGGTACACAGGCAGAGTTTACAGGGAGACTAGAGAGGAGAGGTGCCTTGTGAACAGAGGAAGGGGAGGGTCTTTATGGAACAGATGCTTTCCTCCAGTCCGTACTGGGTGGTTTTCTTTTTCTTGGATGAAGTCCGTACCACTCAGCAGTAGGGCTCCAGGAAGCATGAGCAATGTGGGCCCTGTGACCTCATTTCTGCACTGCAGCTTCATGATTTGAGAGGGGGACCCTCCTCAATGAACACCCTGGGGGCAGCCAGCTGAGTCTGATGTTCGCTCCGAACATCAGAGTTTGAGTTGAACAAGGACGTTCAAGGCTTTGGAGTGTGTGGAAGTGAGGAAGCCGGGGAGCAGGGAAGAGGTCAAAGGCTGCCGCTGAGTACCTAGCACCTGCCAGGCCATGTCTGAGAGCATTTCTTGGTTCTAATCCTCACAGCAACCCTCCTAGGAAATAGAGGCTCTGCCTGGCATTACAGTCTTTGCTGTTTCAGGCACACATGGAAAGGAGAATCTAATTGCAAAGCTTGAAAGAGGCCACGAGACCTGGTGGAGAGTACACAATTTCTAGCCCCAACCATGTGACTTCAAGTAATTCACTTAATGCCTGCGTACCCCAGTTTACTTAATGGTTAAGTGGAAAGACAGTCTAAATGCAGTGGCAAAAGTGTGGGGTTTGAAGTAAGATTGCCTATATTTTAGCATCTTCCATGCTTCAGCTTAAAAAAAAAAAAACCCAGCAAAATGGGGAATACAAATCATGCCTACCTTACAGGGTTATTGATGAAATGAGATACTGCGTATAAACTGCTTAGCACAGGAGTGCAAAATAAATGTTAACTATCATTAATTCCTCACAGAGATGTTGTGAAGATCATTTTTCTAGCCCATTTTTACTGAGACCCTGCTTTTTGCGTAACATTAAGCTTAGTACTCTAACATGTATGCAAACACACAGAAAGGGTGTAAAGCATACTATTATTTTTATAATACAAGAAAACGGTTTTAAAAGGCAGTTGTGCAAGGAGGTGAAAATGCTGAGATGGTTGAGTAAATGAGATGGTTGGATTTCCGGGTGGTTAATGTGGAAAGGTTTCATGGCAGAGTGAATGTCTGGGTAGGGTTTGGAAAGAGGAAAGGATTACATTCCGGAGAAGGAAGCAGTCATTTCTGAAGGGGATGAAGTCTCACAGGGGTTGGGGGTCGGTGGGGAAGTTGTGCAGGTGTGGCATGCGTAGTTGCCTGGTGGGATTCTGTTCCGACCAGGGTGTGACGGCTGCTGGGGGTGGTGGAGCCAGGATAGTGATGAACCATGAAATCTGTGTGGGAGAATCTCACTTTGGTAACAAGACTTAGGCTCTAGAGTTCTGACTTGTTTCCAAGAGTTCCAGAGTTTAGAGCTAGAAGACATCTGGTTCAGCCTCCCATCTATCAGGCTAGAAAATAGTATCCCAATTTTTACAAGGAAGAGACAAGTAAGGTGCCATGAGCTGTGATGGGTCTAGTTTCTGGATGGTTGGACGGCTGTGCCCACTCTGCCTGGGTCTGCCCTGCTGTTCAGATGCCTTTTGTTCACAGAGGTAATGACCGGTCCAGGAGAGAAAGGAGAGGAGGGGATCAGAGAGAGAGGGACAAGCTGAACCTTTCAATCCTAACAGTCAAATGAAGATCAAAGAAAGCTTGGCAGGTGATCATTGAAGTTCACGGAGAAAACCTGCGGTGCCATTTTCTGACCAGATGAGTCTATGGGTTGTTCAAATTCTGCTTTCCCCAGACTCCATGCCCTGATTCCCTTGAACCTCACATCTAATGTCCAAGCATTCTTTGATGTGTCTTACACTTAAACATCCCATTGCTATAGTGCATTTCCTAATACTCTGCATCCTGGTACTGCGTGCTTGTGGTCCTTCTCAAATCCTCTGCTGTAGCAGTGACTAGTGTGTGCCATACAAATTAACCCTTCCCTCTTGTCCCCCAGCACCCTATGTCCCAAACCTTGCACTCTTGCAGTCTGTATCCTCCCAGCACCCTGTGCTCTAGTATTCAAGGTCCTCTCCTCATTCAAATCAAATTTTTAAAAAGTAAGCAGCACTAAACACCTCACTGGTTGAGAAACTCTGGCAGGTGCTATTTTGGGTTACCCACTGGCCTCTCCACTGGTCAGTTATAGTTACAGAAATTTTTACTGAAGGAGCTTAGGGGTGACGGTCTGGCCAGAAGTGGGGGAAAATGCTAATGTCTTAAGAGTTGTATTGTATATTTTTTACTTAGCTCGAATACTAGAGATCAATACAAATAGCATAGTTTTCTAAAAATCCTTTTATTCACCCTTTAGGTAAGATTAAGGAAATGCGGCAGGGCGCGGTGGCTCACACTGGTGGTTCCAGCACTTTGGGAGGCCGAGGTGGACGGATCAAGAGGTCAGGAGATCGAGACCATTCTGGCTAACACGGTGAAACCCCGTTTCTACTAAAAATACAAAAAATTAGCTGGGCGTGGTGGCAGGCACCTGTAGTCCCAGCAACTTGGGAGGCTGAGGCAGGAGAACGGCGTGAACCCGGGAGGCAGAGCTTGCAGTGAGCCGAGATCGTGCCACTGCACTCCAGCCTGGGCGACAGAGCAAGACTCCGTCTCAAAAAAAAAAAAAAAAAAAAAGATTAAGGAAATGCTTAGTTATCATATCTCAGAATGTCATTCTTGGGATTTCACTATTATTAATATTATTATTGTTTGGGGGTTTGTAGGAGATGATGGGAGAGCTCTAGCCTACGTCCCTTCGCACCAGCTCACACTGCCTCACATTGATGGCTCACTTTTTTTTTTGTGAGACGGAGTCTTGCTCTGTCGCCCAGGCTGGGGTGCCGTGGAGCGATCTCGGCTCACTGCAAGCTCCGCCTCCCGGGTTCACGCCATTCTCCTGCCTCAGCCTCCCGAGTAGCTGGGACTACAGGCGCCGCCACCACGCCCGGCTAATTTTTTCGTATTTTTAGTAGAGATGGGGTTTCACCATGTTAGCCAGGATGGTCTCGATCTCCTGACCTCATGATCCGCCTGCCTCGGCCTCCCAAAGTGCTGGGATTACAGGCGTGAGCCACGGCGCCCGGCCTCACATGTTATTTCTATTGGACAGCTCTGGTCTAGAACTTTGGATCTTTAGTTGTTTGACAACGCAGATTCCAAGGGATCCCCTTGGATTCCATCAGGTTGGAGAGCAAATCCAGAGAGTGTCTGATTTATTGTCAACAGTCATTCAGAGGAATAGCTTTACATTATTGCTCACCTACTCTTTGCCTTAAGAGTTAACAGAAGTTACAAGTACATAACCCAGACATGGGAGAGCAAGGATTTGGGCTTGGCTCTGCTGGACTTGAACTGTCTACTGGGTCTCCCAGGCCCTCATTAGGCCATGGTGCTTGGCTTCCCATTGCCAGAGACAGCCAGACAGAACAGGCCAGGGATCAAGTGCTGCCCCTTGCTGCTCTCAAATGCCTGTACCTTTTGGCTGTGCAAGGCATTCAGAGCTGGTAGGAATATAATACAGTGTGTTTTGGCTGTGAAGCAGAGCTCTGGGGACTAGACCACTGCCTTCTAGTCTTGAGTCTCAGGCAGCATGCTTGGCCACTATGGGAAACGAACTTTCCTGCATCTGCTTCCCAAGATGGGACTGGGAATGGGGCGCTTAGGGTTGTGTGGAAGCTATGTTTTTATGGCACTCAACCTCCAGGTGGAAATGCAACCAGTTCCATCTGATATCCTGATGCATGGTATTGGCAACAATGACATCAGAATACTGAGACATCCAGAGAGTTGGTGGATTTTTATTTATTATATAGGCTTCTATAGACTCATAGATTGGGGATGAGGAGGGAAGAGAGGTTGAAAAATCTAGTGTAATTTTCTCATTTTACATTAAAAAAAATGAAACAGAAAAGTTAAATAAAGGTTAAATATCTGCCCTAATTCTCCCAGCAAGAAGGTGGAAACTGCTATCGCTGGGCCAATTCCTCTTGGTAAGCAACCTTTCCCCCAGGATGGAAGGGAGGGATTTGATGCTGACTCTTCTTGACCCCAGTGATTACTGTATATATATTACTGCCCTGCCATGGGTATAGAGGTATTGGACTCTCTGTTCCTGTATCATCTGGCTATTGCATGCTGCTGAAGAGGTTAAAATCAAAAGGCTTCTCAGGGCTCCAAAAACTCTGCATGCTTCCCCATGTCTACCAGTGCCTGGCACTTGAAGCTTGGAAATCTAGTGGCTCTACTGATGGGTGGCAAATGGGCTAGCCTGGACCACAGCTGTGAAACTGATGAAATGTCTTTGGCTCTCCCAGGTCCCTTTTTCTGCATGTGTCTTCATTTCATGTACCCACAACTCTTAGTGTATAGTGGGGTCTCCTTTGGTGGAGAGAAGCAATCAGGTAAATAGCCTAGAGCCTTGCTACTCAAAAGTGTACTTTATGACCCAGCAGCAGCACTGGGTGCTTGTTAGAAATATTGTTATCTCGGCTGGGCGTGGTGGCTCATGCCTGTAATCCCAGCATTTTGGGAGGCCGAGGTGGGTGGATCACGAGGTCAGGAGTTCAAGACCAGCCTGGCCAAGATGGTGAAACCCTGTCTGTACTAAAAATACAAAAACATTAGCTGGGTGTGGTGGTGGGCACCTGTAATCCCAGCTATTTGGGAGGCTGAGGCAGAGAACTGCTTGAACCCGGGAGGCGGAAGTTGCAGTGAGCTGAGATCGCACCACTGCACTCCAGCCTGGGCAACAGAGCGAGACTCCATCTCAAAAAAACAAAACAAAACAAGAAATATTGTTATCTCAGACTCCTCCACAGACCTACTGAATGAGAATCTGCATTTGAACAGGACTGCTGGGGGTATGTGTATGCCCATTACAGTTGGAGAAGCATTGGCTTAGATTATTAGTAACAAGCTATTACCACCCTCAGGGATATTTGCATATCAGAAGAGTAAGGAGAGGGTAGGAAAACTTTAAATAAAAAAATACACCTCCAATGGGGGTGAGAAGAGGGAGAGTTAAGACCTCAGTGACTGACATGTGGTATTTAGGTCTGTGTGTTGGGGTGGGATTGGGAGTGGGGAGGGTGGTGGCAATTTGAGAGTTCAGACTCTGCAGCACCCATGCTGAGGTTCACATACTGGCTCAGTCACTCATGTTGGTTATGTGATCTTAGTCTGTTGTGAGACATTGGGCGACTTGCCTCAATTTTGTCATCTGCAAGATGGGGATAATATCATTACGTTGCAGGGTTGTTAGGATGAAGTGATTTAATCCATGTCTAGAGCAGTGCCTTAGAACAGTGCCTTAGCACACTGTAAGCACTCAATCAATGTCAGCTTTTACTCTGATAATTTTCTAGGCATGAAGCTGTCCCTGGCAGCTGGGTCAGAGATGCTGCCAACTGCAGGGTGTGACATTCCTACTTCAGGGCCTTTGCATGAATGGCAGGTGGGTCCTGATGTTCCTGTCTGCCCTTACATTCCAGGGGTCTGGACTTTAGACCCCTAGGGTGCCAAGACCTGGGAAAGGAGAGCCCCGCTTGGCTTTCTGCAAGACAAACTCTGTACACACACGTGAGCTCCTGCAATTGCCCATGTCCTGTGGCGGTTTCCAGAAAACAAAACCAATTCACCTCCAGAGACTCCTCACCCTGTTCTGTTTGAAAATAAACATGCAATAGTTTTACGATGTGAATTATAGTCCAGTGGGAAATGAACTAAGACTGTCCAACTTCTTTAGGATGGACCATTTCATAGCTGGGGGGAGTATGGGCCTGTGAGTTTATGCAAAAAACAATGTTGTCAGCAGCTCTGATCTGAGGCAAGGAGAGCCAGCACCCGCAGTGAAGCTCTCTATCTCATTTATCCAGGGAAGGGACATGCTTTGATGGAAAGAGCCAAACTGGGATTCAGGAACTCTGGGTTTTCAAACTGTTGGACCCTGGGCAAGTTACTCCCTCTTTCTCTCTCTGCCTTTGGCCTCTCAGCTAGAAGACAAGGTGGGGCAGAACCTAAATGTCTGCCAAAGAATTGCTGGAGTCTCATGCGCTCTGAAGCAAATCATCCCAGCAGCTAAAGTGGTCAAAATGAGATATTCACCCACTTGGGAGAGGAATGATGGCGACCACCTCATTTTCTGAGAAGAGCCAAACCTCAAGAAAGCCCAGTTCTGCTGGGGTCCTAAGGAGCTCTCACGCTCAGACACAGAAATTTGCAAGCTCCTCAGAATTCCTTACCTTTCTTTGCATTCTTTCTTCAATAGCGCCTCCCTCCTCCCCTCCCTGCCCCAGCCTTGCCACTTCCCTCTTCTTCAGCAAGTTAACCAAATTCTCTCTTCATGGACAGTTCAATGGAAAGTTAGTCTGAAACGACAGTATATCATATTTCATGAATTTAATAGGGTTTTCATGATTTTACAAAGTGCCTCCACCAGACACTCGCAGCTGGAGGCGGCTCAGCGGGAGGCTGAAGCCCTGCATCTGGGTTTTTCAACTCTTGCCAAAATCCATTGAATTTGATCCGGAATGACTATGAATCTTTGGAATGTACAGTCCCTTTTCTCTTGCCTTATCCAAATAAAAAAAGGGGAGTGGGGAGGGTGGTGCGGGGAAATGTCCTATGAGAATTCCATATGGAAACACTAAACGTGCATTATAAAGGATTTCCTATAAACAAAATCACAGTCAGAGATGTTGGCCCCTCACCATGTTGAAAACAAAGGGCCCTTGTGTGTGTGTTTGTGTGCACTTTAAGACATACACGTATATTCATTTGGGGTACCTTGCAGCCCCCCTTTCTCTCTCCAGCTTTTTTTCCTTTCCAGCTCCCCACCCCCAAAACTAGCCCCCAACTCTTAACAAGAACAAACTTTAATCGTTCTGTGCAGTAAATCCCCTACAAATAAATATCCAGGGCAACTTCAAACAGGCTTAATTGGAAGCACATGGGAAGAACTCCACAGTCCTGGCCGAGGCCGCCGAGTTGTAATTTAATGTTATGATCTGCCATAAATATGTGCCATAATGAGTGGAGTTTGGGTTTCCCTTCTGTGTATCAGAAAACTGCAGGTTTGAGTTTTTTCACATTTTTTCTCCTTTGCTCTCTTTGTTCAGTCATCAAACTTCACATTTAACACCCCCCCCCACCCACCAACCCCAAACAAAAAAAGACAACCACAATCTAAACAGACCTTCCTCTCCCTTTCACCTCTCCCTGTAACTCCCTTGCTTCAAACTGTGCATGACTGTACTGTCTTTCCCTTTGCTGTAAAAGAATTACGGTTTAGGGTTTATAGGGTTTTAGAAAAAATGTCTTCAATCACCAGAATGGGAGAAGTGAGGCTAAACCACCTCTGGGCCCTCTAATGCTTTTATCGTAGAATTGTAGCTGGAACAGGCTGGAGGAAACTGGGAAAGGTCACAAAATCAATCCCCCTGCCTGCACACTGCTTTATCCAAAGCCGTGAGGACCGTGGGTATCCCCATTCTCCTCAGAGATCACCAGAGAGGAGTTTTAGTAACACCCTCTGGCAGCTGCACCCTACCTCTAAGCTCACAACATAGGAAGTCTTTCACAGGGCCGATGGATGTCACATGACTTAAGGTCATTTCTCCTCATCCCATCCTTAGGGGTTGGAAGACATTCAGCTGTAGTCCTTTGGGATGACTTCATTAGGGAGAATGCCTCCAGCCATGTGGGTGGGAGAAACTCTTTTTATGAGACAGAATCCACTGCCAAGTCCCCTGTAAACAGAATTGTTACATATCAGGCCTGAAGGAGACTTCAGAGGCCATTCAGTCCAATTGCCCCTGAAGCTGGAGTCCTCTCAGCAGTGCCCCTGACTCACTGACCTCCAGCCTCGGCCCAGGACATCTCAGAAATTGGGAGCCCACCATTTCCCCAGCCAGTTCCTTCTATTTTCAGAGAGCCCTAGTGATCAGACATCTCTCTTTCCTGTTGGGCCCAGGTCCTCATTCTGCCTCTGGAGCTACATAGAAGAATTTGAATTCTTCTCTGAATGACAGTCTTTCCATGATCATCCTCACCTCAGCATTCCCCTTTTCAAGGATTAAAAAAAGGGTCAATCCGGCATTTTCAATCATCTCCCTGCTGCCCTAGCGCCCCCCTGCAACATATGGTCCAAACCACTAGGCAGAATCTTGGACTTTGTTTGTTCTAGTTATGAAATGGGGATAGCGGTGGCATCTGTTTCTGACTTCTAGGATGGCTATGAGGATTGCAATGAGATGAAGAGGTTTGTGCCCTCTGCGTTTTTTTCAACACCGATATAGCAGACCGTGAACTGGTGAGGGTGGGAGCTTCCACACATAGCTTCTTGGCCTCACTATCTTCACCTGCCTTTCCTAGCTGGGTGGTCTTAGGCCAGTCACTTCACCTTCCTGGGCATCAGTTTCTTTCTCTGGGAAATCAGAGAGCTGGATTAAGTGACTTCCAAGATCTCTTCTGGCTCAACAGCCTCATAAGGGCAGGTTTTGATGCCAACTCGTGCCTTGAAAGGTTCTGTATCTCAGATCCTGCTACCCTCTGCTCATCTATCCACTGGTGCTGACAGTGAACTAGACCAGAGGAGGAGAAGCTGTGGTTCTTGCCTCCTGGGAAACTACCTTTAGGTTCATGGGATAAAAAATAGACAAGAGGACATAATCGAAGGGCCAAATAAGATATTTTTTAACCATATGCCCCAAAAAGTATCCTGGAACGGGGTTCTCAACCCTGGTGTTGATGTATTGGTGAAAGCAACTGATTGTGTGTTGGCACCTTGCAAGCCATTACTGTGTTATTAGTATAGTTAACATACTGAGTTTGTGAGTGCATAATTTAACAATTAAAGAATGTGGCTCATGTCTGTAATCCCAGCACTGTGGGAGGCCGAGGCAGGCGGATCACTTGAGGCCAGGAGTTCAAAACCAGCCTGGCCAATATGGTAAAACCGTGTCTCTACTAAAAATACAAAAATTAGCCGGGTGTGGTGGTATGTGCCTGTAATCCCAGCTAGTCAGTAGGCTGAGGCAGGAAAATCGCTTGAACCTGAGAGTGAGCTGCGATCGCACAACTACACTCCAGCCTGGGTGACTGAGTGAGACTCTGTCTCAAAAAAAATAATTTAAAATAAAGAAGAATAAACTTTTTTTTTTCTAGTAAGGACAGTTATTCTTACTCCTGCATATTCTATGATAAGTTCTTAAATTGATAGGGAAAGGGGCAAAGTTATAGTTGGCATTTTATCTCCACTGCTCCTCATACCCCCAAGACTCCCCCTCTGATCCCTGACAGTGTCCCTTGGGAAGGGTGTGGTCTGTGGGATCCTCATTCAGCTTGAAGGTGGGGGTAACCTAAGGCTGCAAACCACTGACACACCTGATTGTAGATTGGGAGATGGAGGAAAGGGACCTGTGGACTCTGATGGAAGAGCAGGGACTCAAAAGGTGGACAAGCTTGCAGTACGCTGGGGCACGGCAAAGGGCAAGCAGTCACGGCCTGGGCAGGTCACCACTGTGTGTCATCTGGACTGGTACAATGGCCTGCCATTCTGCCTCCACTCTTGTTCCCCTGCAGAATATTCTCCATTCAGCAGCCAGAAGTATCCTTTGCAAACCTAAGTCAAATCATGGCACTTCCCTGCTCTGGACCCTTTAATCCCTTTCTAGCACACTATGAACAAAATCCCAATCAGTGCCAAGGCCTTCAAAGTTTATGAGCGTCAGCTTCTAGCGATTTCTCCCACTTCCTCTCCTCTCCTCCCCCACTCCTCACTACACTGACATCTGAGGCTCCTTGGACAAGGCAGGCGCACTGCTGCCTCAGGGCCTTTGCACTGATTGTTTCCGGGTGTGGGACTTGCCCCCTCACTTCACTGAGGTCTCCTCAGGGCAGCCTTCTGTGACCACCTCACCTAGAGTGACACTCCCTGCCATTCTCTCGTCTAACCCACCTCACTTTAAAATACTGAAAGCAATGGCAAAACCGCAATTACTTTTGCGCAAACCTAATAGTATTTATCACTAGCTGATGGTGTATTATATATGTATTAACATATTTATTACTTGTCGGTGCCACAGGAGGGCAGAGGGCACTTTGTCTTGTCTGCTTCCGTATTCCCCAACACACCCAATTAATCCATGTTGACTGAATAAGTATGTGAATAAAGCCTTACTTTTCCCAGTGCGAGGTGGCATCACAGGAACCCTCGAACCTGCTCTAAGTGCGAGATAGGGTGTAACCAGTTCTGCTCAGGAACAGGCACTCAAGGACTCTCGCGGAGCCATTGCTCAGAACAGGCCATCAGAGCATCTCTGAGAGTGGCTCATGCAGAGGGAGAAGGGGGCAGGTGGGTACTGGGGTATCTGCAGTAGGGAGGGAGTGGAGTCGAGGACTGGAAGAGCAGGTAGCGTGAATGGGAGGCTGTGGGTCACCAGACAAAGGAAGCCACCCTGTTAGTTTCACTTCTCTGGGCTCAGGGCTCCAGGGGAACTAAGCTGGATCTGCCTTGCAGGGTGGGTAATTCAGGTATGCCTATGATAAATTTCTAGAATTTTGGCTGTCAACTTCTCTGGTAGAATGCTAATTTTTCTTAATAGGAAACATAATCTTGGAATGTGAGAGCCAGAATGGTTCCCATTTATTCATTCATTCATTCAACTACTATTTGTTGAGGACCTATTGTGTGCTGTTTTAGATACTGGAAATATACTAGGTTAAAAAACTGACAACAATTTCTGACTTTATGGAGATTATATTCTAGAGAGGGGAGGCAATAATCAAAATATATCACTAAATGATATGCTAGGGAGGTGATAACTGCTATGAAAGAAATATGATAGGGGACGGAGTTACAATTTAAAATAGAGCAGTCAGGGAACACCTCACTGAAAGGTGTCCTGTGAATGAGATGTGAGGGTCAAATGAACAGCAAGAAGGCCAGAATGTCTGAAGCCCAGGAAGGAGGAGGAGGAGGAGGACATGGTGTCAAAGAGGTGAGGTGTGGGAATCTGATGCTGAGGGAGATGGGAAGCCACTGGAAGGTGTTAGGAGAGGGTGTCATGATCTAATTTCCACTGGTCATCTGGACTGGCCCTTTCCTTCTAGTGATCAGGAAAAGGCCCAGAGAGATTAATTGACTTGCCCACAGACTATTTTTGATGGAGCCAAGAAAAGAACTCATGTTTTCCTATTCATATTCCGTGAATCTCCCACTAAGATCTGCTGCGTTTCATCTCAAGATTCCGATTCCAGCACTTAACATTTTTTTCACAGCATTTTCATAAACATCACTTCGTTCTATATTCAGAAACCTGCTATCAGAGTCTTAAAGTCAGATTATAGAAGCATAGGCCAAATGACAGAGATGAAGGAATTTTCTAGCTCACACAGAGCTAGAGCTGGGTTCTACGACTTCTGATGCCTGGGCCTCTGCTTCAAAGTTGCAAACTCTCTTTTCAAAAAAGAAGGCCCTACATTCGCCACCTTGAGGCTCCTAAGGGGCAGCTCAACTCCTTGGCTAATCAACAGGTGCATTTCTGAACACTGTGCATTCATATTTAGCTTCTGAAAAATCAAACCTCGTTCTGTGATGGAAGGAGCAGTCCTAGAAGGAGGGCCATTTCTGTTGCTGAATTGCCACATGGTGCAGAGAAAAAAACTGCTACAGGTTGTTCATTAGCTGCCTTCAACCCCACATACAAAGCCGGAAAGAATATGTGGTAATTAGTAAGTGTGGGCATGTGGCGTAGGATCCTGATGGAGCAGGCATATGGCTGAGATGAGGCATGAGTTTCTGTTAAAGTGTAACAGATCTGGGATCCTCCTAAATTAGTCTAGCCCACAAGACAAGTACCATTTCTGCCTGAAGTTGTAAAAATGCAACACCATCTGAAAAATCACCCTGTATCCAAAATCTTAAAAAAACATGGTGGCCAGGTTATTCTGTCACTGTGTGGCTCTGATTCTGTGATTCTAGCCCTGCACTGTTTTAATACAGCGGCCACTAGCCAAATACAGCAAGTTCAAGTTGACATATACTGCAGTATAAATACATACAGAATTCAAAGACTTTACGTGAAACCAATAATGTAAACTCAGTAATAATTTTAAAAATATTTTGGGTCTATTGGGCTAAATAAACACATTATTAAATTTTTCTTTTTACAATTTTTAATGTGATTACCAGAAAATTAAAATTACACATATGGCTTGCATGCAATGGTGTACTGGAGCCAGCTCATACCAGTTCATGAGAGCCACTTGTGTGTCTTTCCTCTCAATTTCTGTGTTTAGTGAGGTCAGGATGGTAGTGTGAAATCAACCACAGTGGGTGTTTTTATACCATGGAAATTGGGGCTTTTTGTTTTTTTTTCAAGAGCTGGCTTACCAGCACATCACTCCTGACATTATATTTCTCAGTCATTGCTATTCTATATGTTTTATTTCCCAAGATTTCTTATCTGGATGTGCAGGTTGAGTGTGGGAGTTTTGGGTGCTTTCTTTTGTTTCTTTCCCCTAGTGCCTGTCTTATCTCATTCATTTATTCATTCATCCACAATCATTGAATAAATACCATGTATACGGAACTGTTTTAGACCATGTAGATTTAAGATGAATAAATCACAGTCCTGCTTTTAGGCATTCAGGAGCTAGTGAGAGTAATGATCCAGAACAGGATAGAAATTAGGGCAGATTTCCAAGGCAAAGATAAAAATGAAACCCAGTGAATAGGACAGACTGTAGTGCTTGGATGAGGGTGAGATGCAGGGGCAGACAAAGCTTCAGGGAGGAAGGGCTGTTTGAGCTGGATCTTTAAGGATGAATGGGAGTTGTCAAGAGAGAAGCTGGGGAAGATCATTTCAGGTGTAATGGGGTTGCCAAGTGGCTTGGAGTTGCCATGGCCTGGGAGGTAGGAATAGGGCATCCTGTTAAATGATAGTGAAAGAGGATTTAGAGCACAAGGAAGAAAGCTGTGTAGAACATGCTGAAAAGTCACACACATGTATTTGCTCTACTCCTTCCTGCTTCCCTTCTCCAATGTCTCTTTCCAGCAAAGGATAATTGGAATGTAGAACATCTAACCTTGAAGCCTCATGTCCCAAGGATCAGGATTCCATGCAAGAAACAAAGCTTTGATGCTAGACCCTGGTGGGTGGGTGGTGAGGAGATCAGACTGTACCTGGAGACACCTCTATAAGGGCCAGGAGGAAGATGAGACTCCATGAGTGGTGGTTGGGCAGGCAGTGGTTCCATTTTGTCATCTGGAGTGTTCCTAAGGGGGGTGGGTAACTTTGAAATTCCCAGGGGTATGTCACATTGGAGATGCCATGTGAAGATGCCCATCAGTGACATCAGTGTGGGAATGACAGGGAAGAGCCAGCAGGAGTAAGTCACAGATAGTGACATTGCAGTAAAGGGTGGTGGGAGAGCACATGGTCAGAAAGCTCTCTGTGTGACCCAGGAACATCATCCCCTCACTGGACCTCAGTTTCCTCATCTCTAAAATCAGCACGTTGGACTAAAGTTTGTGTGTGTTTATTGTATTTATTGATTATTTTACATTCCCTTTTCCTAACTTTTAAGCGTGGGGGTATTTCTCATAAAATAAACTTGAAATGAATTTTTTTTTATTGATATGGCTTTTGTCAGTATCACAAATGGTCAAGAGCACATAATAGAAAAAATCCTTTCTTATCTGTACATGTTATACCACCTGCTCTGGTATGTCTGAATACTAAGTCCTAAAGTGCAAAATTTCTAACCTAGAAGCAGAGGATTTTGCACATTTCCTAGCATCTCTAGCCCAATATCATTTTATTAATTTGTAACAGGCCATCTCAATCCCTTCTGAGGTCAGGAATTATACTACTTAAATGCTAGAGGTGGAGGCTTGTCTACCTAGACCATGTGCCCATGGTGAACCCTTCTTGTTCATCATCTCCTGGTGTCTGATTCTTGATGCTTTGGAAGTCAGTAGGTCAAGAGCAAAGGTATTCTGAGCTGAATGATGTCATGCATGTTCATTTAGACCTTTTCTCTTTTCATCTATATCTCATTGTTCAGGCCACTCTCCAGATGCTGGCACCATGTTCTTGGACTTCCCAGCCTCTAGAGCTGTGAGCTGAATACACTTCCATTCATTATAAATTACCCAGTCTGTGGTATTCTGGTATAGCAACAGAAAATAAACTAAGACAGAGAGCTTATTCACCAGGCTGAGCACACAATGGGGAAATGAGGGCAGCTTCTCTGGAGGACTAGAAACAGATCAGGCTGTGATTCTCTTTGGGCATCTTAGAAGTAGTGCTGCTCAGAGACTAGATCAAGTGACTGTCCTCTAGGGTCATTCGGGACTCAGAGTCCGCTGGATAACAATACAGCAATATCAACAACAACACAGCTAACATTGACTGCTTATGTGTCAAGCACTTCTCCCAACAACTGTGTGAGTAGAATTATTATTATATCCATTCTGAGGATGAGAAAACTGAGGCTCGGAGGAGATACACCACTTACCTTGGGTGAGTGGCAGAGGCAGGATTAAAACTCAGTCTGTAAGACTCAGGGCCCTTGATGTTGGTGTTGTTTTTGGCCCCACACAATGCACTTGGTGTGGTGAGTTTCTCTTCTCCATTGACTTCTAGCTTTCCTTAACTCTTAGAAGGACCTTGAGCTTGCTACTTCTCAACTCTCTCACCCACTGTTCTGGACTCTCCTGGCTCCACGGCCTCTCTCCTTAGCTTGGATACTGAGCCTGGACATCCCAGAGGGTTGCTCTCTAGGACCCTGGGTCCCTTGCTTCTCTGTCTGTCCCCCACCTGTCCTTTGTTCCTGCAGCCCTGTGCAAGGCACACGGGTGGCCCACGTCCATGAGATGCCCTCATCGCTGGGCCCACACCCCTCTGCCCTCTGTTCTCATCTCCCTTTCTCATTCCCAAAATATCCACTCTAGACAATCACTGCTCTTTTCGTCCCCATATACCCTCACTCCACCCTCCCTTCACAGTGAGAGAAGATGACAATTCATGGAGAAAGCAGGAAATGCCCTCCACATTCCCTCCCTTCCCCATGGCCCTGGTCTCCCTGCCTCTCTGCCATGTCTCCTCTCAAGGCCTTTCTTCCTTCCAGCTGTCCTGCAGAACAACTGTGCCTCCTGCCTCCTGCTCAGCCTGGTTTTGCCTGAGTATTTCCCTCTTCTGCCTTCAATCTGTCTCTAGCAGCAGTTTCCTCTTCACCTGCAAATGTGCCTGATTCTCTCATCTTAAAGTTGAATCCCTTGCCCACTGTCTGCCTTAAATTACAATCTTATCTCTCCCTCTGTCACCCCAGCCTCAGTCTGAATCTCAGCTTTGCCCCTTACCCGTTCTGTGACCTTGAGCAGGTTATATGACCTCCCTGTGCCTCCATTTTTTCATCTTTAAAATGGGGCTCAGAGCATTACCTGCAATATATGGCTGCTATGATTAAAAAAAGTTTAATACATGCAAAACAGCCAGAATGAGGGCTGGCATATGCTAAGCCATAACTGAGAACTAGCTACAATTATTCTCCTCCCATGCTCCCTAGACTGTCTTCTTCTGTGATGGCTAGGCACTGTTTTCCTTCAGGCTTCCCTCTCTCCTAAGACTGAGACTTCTAAGGCTCCTCTGAAGTAACCACCTCCTCCCCACACTCTCTCTAAAGGCTAGTGCTCCTCAGGACTGTCCTTTCCTAACCTTTCTTGCCTCAGCCTTGCTGTATGTTCTTCCCCAGTGATCCTGTCCACTCCCATGACTTTAGCTAAGACAGATCTGCTGACGATGACCACATTTGTTTTTTTCAAATTCTGACACTTTTATTGTACATGCAATCATGTTCATCATAAAAAAATGCAAAATGTAGATAAGTGCTACCTCCTTCCTGTCCCCACTGTCCCAGCTATGGTTCTGGTTTACTTTGTCTCATTTCCTACACAATCAAAACCTTGCCTGCTGTCCACAGACTTCTTCCTAAACACAAAGTCTGATCTCGTGGCTTTGCGTAAGGATTGAGGTATTGTGGCTCTTATAATCTGCTGCAATTTATTTCCCCAACATCAATATCCCATCTCTCCCTCCTATGTCCCATACTTGTTTCAAGGCAACCTCAAGGCTTCCCGAGTCCCCCATTCCTTTTCACAACTCCATGCTTTTGCACATAGTGTTCTCCCACGTGGTATTCTTTCTTCTTAACTCTTTGCATGGTTCACACTCCCTCTCTTTCTTTTGAACCCAGTTTACTTTACTTTAGCTGCAAAGACTTTCCCAACACCCCCAAGTAAAATTTGCTGCCCCTTTTTCTGTTTTCTACAAGTTTTGGTTCATACTTCCAATACTTTGCACTCATCTATGGGCATCTTGAGGGCAGGGATGAGGTTTTATTTGTCACTGTAGCTCTAGTGCCTGTTGTGGGCCTGGTGCAGCTGGTGTCTGGCCCATGCCTAGTGAACGAATGAGTGAACTCTTGATTTCATGCTGCTGACATGAAAGCTTAGAAAGGCATGACATTAACATATACCTAAAAAAGACAGAGGTTTGAACCATAAATGCAGATTTCTTTTTCTTTAGAAGAAAATATAATTTTGAAACATTTGAAAATAACTAGCCTATAAAGCCACTTAAACAGGGAAAAGCAAGTTCCCCATTTATGTGAATGTATCTGAGAGCATCACTACCATCCCCAACCCTATTGATGAGAAAAATCTTCCATGGTAATATTTATCCCTTGCATGAAGTTGTGTGTTTCTTCAAAGATCTCTATATTTGTAATCTCATTTGATCTTCATAACCTCCCCATGACAGACTGCAAAAATGGTCTCAATTCTCCATGCCCCCTTGCATCCAAGCCCATACAAAGAGCCTTGTAGCATTTCTTATCAAGAGGTGTAATCTATTTTCCCATCCCTTGGATCTGGGCTGACCTTGTGATTTGCTGTGACCAGTAGAATATGGCAGAAGTGACATTTTCTTTTCTAGTCCTGAGTCTAGTCCCCAAAGGCCTTGCAGCTTCTGCTTTCTCTGTTGGACACCTGTGACTACCATGTAAATAAGTTTGGGCCAGCCTCCTGAAGAATGAAAGACCACATGGAGCAGAGCTGAGTCAGCTGATTCATCACAGCCAAGACCTCTGATCCTTGAGCAAGCTGAGCAAAGCCAACTGGTAGCTGACCTTCTAGCTGCCCACAGACACATGAGCAAGGCCATCCTAGACCAGCCAGCCCCCAGAAACCTTCAGTTCCTAAGCTAAATAAATTGTAGTTTTAAGCCAACATGTTTGAGGTGATTTGTTACACAGCTCTAGCTAACTGATACACTCTGTGAGAGAAAAGGACAGGAGTAATAATTATCTCCATTGTTGGAATGAGGAATCAGAGGCTTGAGGAGGCAAAGCTTCAGTTCCTAATTCAATGCTATGTCTATAACATTGGTGGTTTTCAATAATTGGTTGGACACAGAGTTCTACCTTCAGGCAAAATTGTATGTATTCCAATATGGAAAGCCAGTCAAAAGAGTACCTATACTGTTGAAGGTGGCATAGGGCCCTAGAACCCTGTACCTTTCTTACTCCTTGGCTCTTTTCTGCAGGGTGGTCCCTGGGGGGCCCTGGATCAACGCAGTTCGACAACACTACATTTATACCACCAGTCAACCACTCCCAAAATATACATGGAGTAGCTACTGTATGCTTAGGCTTGGCCTTGAGACAGTGGGTGGCATTAAGGGCAAGAAGAATGTGTGGTTTATGGTCTGCAATAACCAAAATCAAGATGGAGAAAAACAAGTCAACAATTATGAAGTCATAACGAACCACATGAAAATGGTGACATGTAAGTGAGTGATGAAATTTGTGGTAGAAGGTCTAGGCCCTAAAGGTGTTGTAGAGAGGGTGATGGTTGTTTGGGAGATGTCAGAAAGGGGCTCCTGGAGAAAGTGAACTCCAAAGCAGGACAGGACTTGAATGGTTAAAGGAGAAAGAGGAGAGCCTTTCAGACAGGGAAATGGTAGGGTCTAGGGGAAGGGGGTACACATTTTGTTTGTGGGACAGACCAGGAAATATGGCCCACAGGGCTAAAGAAATTTTAGGGCCTTGGAATGGAGTGAGTTATCCATGGAAGTGGATTGTGAGCTGCCTCTATGTCCTTTAAGGTCCACCTTTTCCATGGAGCCTTCTCTCATTACTCCCCAAAGAATAATTTATTATTTTTCTGAATGCCATGTCCTTCATTAAGTAATTAATGACTTTTCCCCTCCACCAGAGTGCAAATTCCTGTAGGGCAGAGCTAGTTTTCTCCTTTCTTTATATTATTCATGGAGTTGACTTGGGAGATTTTGGCCTGTGAACTTTGACTAATGATAAATTTCACTATGGACATGTTGCTGTACTTCACAGCAATGGGATCACAACTTCTCAGTCTCAACCCCTGTCATTTTCATTTTACAGTCAGAACAGTATCACCCTGTCTAGCATTTTGGCTTGGGAAATGGGGTGCTAACAGATGGGCAATTGGATTTAGCACCTTTTGAGTCAAAGGCTTCTGGGTTCTAAGGGATGGGGAAAGGGGCCCATTAATCACAAATGACATTTTGTGAATACTCTATTATGAAAGATTGCTGGTTTTAAAACAGATTCACAAATTATGTGATGCTTCTTCTATCAACAGGTGAAGTCCAATTCTCTTGATTATGGGCTGGCCTTAGTGACTCTCCTCTTACAAATAGAAAGTAGCAGAAGTGATACTGTATGACTTTGAAGCTAGCTCATAAAAGGCAAGATAGCTCCTTCCTGGAGCTATCTTGTAGCTCCAGATATCCAAAGCTCTGTAGCTTTGGAGAAGCTTTTGAATCCCTCATCTACCATGTGTATTAAGTATGTTTTTATTCTCGGTATTTTGATGCTTTGATGTCTGAGGCCTTGCTGACCCTGGAGGTTAGCTAATTCCTAGAGATAAGAAACAACTCCCCTGGGAGGGTGCCCTTCATATGCAAACCAAATAACCAGAGCCTGTGCCCCAACTACCTCTTTTGTGGAGTTCTCTCACTCCAGACCTCTCTGTTTCAGGCCTAATCACCCCAAGGCCCTGTACCAGACAACTAAGAACAGCTGCTATGCCCTAGAGCCTGCTGAAATTATTCAAACTAGACAATCCTAAACCTACTTGCCCTGCCTCCCTTGCCCATTCCTTTCCACAGGAATACAATAAAGGCTCTTGACCAAATTCCAGCCCCACAACCCTGGTGCCTGTGTTTCCCATGTGGCTCCCCTCGGCGTGCCATGCCCATCCCCTTGGCATCTCTGAGTATAACAAACTGTCCTTGCAATGGCAGTTGTCTCTTGATCCATTGGCCTCACCACATCTGAATAATGCGGGCTAAATTTTAAAACACAGTGTAGGAAGTCTGCCAGGCTGGAAGGACCACATGGAGAGACCACAGAGACAGGGAGGGAGAGGCAAGGAGCCCCTGCTGTTCCAGCCTTCTCAGCCCAGGTGCCAGACACTGAAGAAGCCTTTAAGAAGACCCCTGCTCCAGTGGCTCATTCCTGTAATCCCTGCACTTTGGGAGGCCGAGGCAGGTGGATCATGAGGTCAGGAGTTCGAGACCAGCCTGGCCAATATGGTGAAACCCGTCTCTACTAAAAACACAAACAAATTAGCCGGGCGTGGTGGCGTGTGCCTGTAGTCCCAGCTACTCAGGAGACCGAGGGAGGAGAATTGCTTAAACCTGGGAGGCGGAGGTTACAGTGAGCCGAGATCGCGCCATTGTACTCCAGCCTGGGCGACAGAGTGAGTGAGAGAGACTCCATCTCAAAAAAAAAAAAAAAAAAAAAGCCCCTGCTCCAGCCACCTTCTCTCCAAACACCCAGACTGAAACTGCCTGGGTGTTTCCAAGCAGGAAGTGCCCATCAGCTCCTAGAACCAGGAGAGACAATCATACTAAATGACTATTGTTGTTTTGTAACACTAAGCTGGGACAGTTTGTTACAGTCATAAGTATCTGAAACAGGAGAGATGATTAGAGTTACAGTTCTGCAGATTTCATTTTTATTCCCTTTGACTGCCAAATCACTATTTATGACTCTTTAAGATCATTTAATTCTTAAAATTTGAAATCCTTCAAGTTAGAGCAAGATGCTGTAGATGGCCTCTGCTCCCCAGCCGGGGCACCAGGAATATCTCTCTTGTATTGCTTCGTACAGTGTCTCAAAGAAAACATCGAGAACTACTCAGAAATATTTCTAGGGGCACCAGGAGGAAATTCAGAGCCCAGCATGGCCAACAAGAAAAAAAAGTGGGAAGAAAAAAAAAAAAAAGAACAAGACAAACTAGGCTTTCAAAGAAAATTGAGGATCTGGAGAGCCTTCAACTATTTTGATTTATATTTAAACGTTTCTTGAGATTGAAGTCTTGATTAGCCCAGTTCTCTCAAGTTCTGCTTCAGCCCTGATTTATGGGAAGGCCAGGCCAGAGGAAAATGAAAGCAAAATGCGGTGTTCTTTAAAATTACCTTGGAGCACTTGAAGGAGAGCACAAGTGCTCACGTGGGGATTGAAAAGGAAGTGATGAGACGAGCTTCTGAAGCCCTAGATCTGCGGGTGCCTAGTGTGTGTGAAGGGGAGAGACTGTGAAGGATGAACTACAATCTCTGCAGGTGAAAACCCTGTAGGATGCTTTGTTTGGCTTGGTTCCCCATAGACTGAGTTCTCCATCAAAGTGGGGATCTGAGAGCCCAGGCTGGCAGCTTTGATTTAGTGACCCTTCCATCACCAGCTAGAAGGGAGAAACTTATAACATGGGGAGAAAGACAGGGGCATGGAGGGAGGGGGCTACCTGACAGTGGGTTGTGGTAGTGAAATCCAGACTCACTGTAGCTCAGGGACTGAATCACCCTCTGTCCCAGGCAAGAGAGCTCCCTGATTCAGATTCCCCACTCTGACCTTCCTTTTACCATGCCTTTTCATGGTCAAGAAACCCACAGGGCCCAGAAATAGTGCTCACGTGGAGTTCACTGCCCTCTTTTTCACCTCACTAGGGTTACCTGGGATCTGCAATTTCCTGAATAAATGGATCCAGACCCACTTCCATGGTCGGTGTGGACAGAGCTCCTCCTTGCTTCATCTTTCTGAGGATAGATATCACTGGTGATGTGTACATTTCAGGACTTGAAGGAGGCCAAGTGGTGGCTATTTATAGGAGGCTGTAGAAAAGCTTGGACACATGGCCTAGGATGTTCATATGCATATGCCCAGGTCTCATAAAATGTAGGATGGAGCCAAGCGTGGGAAGAGAGGAGAGGTATAGGCCAGAGGCCTCCAGCTTTGCTACAGAAAGCTGAGAATTCTGAGAATTTGAAATTCAAACTTTGCTTTTCGGTTGATGAAAAGGTACATTTGTCAATGAAGGAGGAAGAAACGTATTTGACATTTGTTATCTTGATTTATAACTCTTGCATATTTACCCATATGGTATATGTCAGCTTCCATATGTACTTGTGCCCTAGGTATGCAAATGTTAGGAGAGGGTCTGTGCAAAGGGCAGAGGCAGTGTGTGTTGTTGGTCTATTGTGTCAACCTGCAGAGAGCTGAGTCTTTCTCCAGCCCTCTCCCTTGAGGGTGGGACGGTTTTTGTAGGGTGGTACTGCTTTCAACTTTAACTCCACTCCCAAACCACCTCAGCTCAAGAGTCAGCAATGGCTGCTCCAGTCTATAGGAAGAACCCTGAAGACCTATGGGATATTCTGGACCTAATCTACTGTCTTTAACCTACCTCTCACCACTATCCTCTTCTCTTCCATGAACCTTCTGTCTGGTAGCACAAGCCCCTTCACTACTTCTCCATGCTCCTTCTCCCCATAACTCCCCTACATTACACACACATGCATACACAAGCACACATGCATATAGGTGCACATACACACATGCACGTGCAGGCAAGCAGGTTCCTTCCTGTCAATTGACTCATGACACTAATTCTGTCTCAAATACCATTCGCTCTTCTCTCCATCCCATCCAAATCCTACCCATTTAAAAAGATCTAGTTTAACTTCCTAAACTTTGTTTATTCATTAATTCATACGATGACTAGTAATTGACACTGTACTAAGCCCTAGCTTACAGCCATGTGAATACATATTTTTCTCTAATCCAGTTTGCCTTGATCTCTATTTTCTGAACATCTATATCATATGTCATTTCTACTTAATTTTAATAAGGTTTCAACACTGTTGTCTAAATTTTCCCAGTTGTAGATTTTGTCTTAAACTAGATGATATATTTTTGATGAGCAGGAACTCTGTGCTGGGCCATGTTTACATTTTACTCATTGGCCTACAGAATTTAGTGGCATAAAGTTGATATGTAGAAAAGGGCCATTGATTAAGTGATAGGCAGATTGATGGAGGGATCAATTGATTTGCTGCCAAGCCACATCCCATGTAAGGGAATTTTCAGAGTATGGGTGGTCTGGCTTCCATTCTTTCTCTGCCATTTTTAATGAATTGTTTCTAATGTATTATGGATGTATAATGCCTGAATTCATTTCAGCCCCTTTGAACATATTGATATTTTGGCCTGAAGTCTTAGTAAGAATGATTTCTGTATTATGACTTTGAGTTTTTATTTGTAACTTATAACAAATTACTCTTGTAGAAAATCTTTTGTTGAAATAAATTCAGTTATTTATTATTTCTTATTATTTCCATATGACATTTGGTTTGCTTTTCTAACATCTCTAACATCTCTTCTGGTGGGGCTGGAATCCCTGTTTCTATCTCTCTTCTTTCAAGAAAGAAGCTTATATTGAAGCAGTATTTCTCAAAAGTATGGAGCCTGGGTCAGTGCCATAAGCATCATCTAGAAACCTGCTAGAAATGCAGTTATCAGGACCCAGTCCAGACCTATCAATCATTTCAACAAGCCTTCTAGGTGATTCTGATGCATGCTAAAATTTGTGAATCAATCTATTAGTTGAAAGAACACTGAGCTGGCAGTGTAGACCCTGAATTTTGGCTCTGGCTATGTTATTAAAGGCTGTGTGACTCACTCTGAGTCTTGGTTTCCTTGTGCCCATTTTTCTGTCTGTCTTGGTGTTTTGGGGGATAAAGGCGGACTATTCTCCACTTGGTTTTTTAACTGCCAACATGGTGACAATAACAATGATGCTTCATAAGGTCGTCTTAACGATCAAATAATTTATTACGTACTCATCCTTATAGAATTTTTTTTTAAACCTCTCAGAATAAAGGGAGCCCAGGCTTTCATTATTTTACATTGGGTTGCACAATCGAGAAATCTTGATTTCCACCATTTGTAAGTGTTACAGCCCAGTGGGGAATGCACACACACTTGCCCATAGAATGAGTATACCTGAAGTGCCCCAATAAGTGGTATATACGATGACAATAACCTCAGAAGAGGAAGCAGCTTCTGAGAGCTGGAGTGGTCACACTGAGAAGGTTGCATCTCAAAGATGAGTTCTGGATTGAGACTTAAAGATAGGTTACAGATAGATGAATAGTGAGGAGGGGCACTCCTGGTCAGCTCAGGCAGGTGAATGCCAGGGTTAAACATGGCAGTCTAAAATGGGGGTGTAAAGTGAAGACAATGAGTAGATCAATTGCCAGGAATGGGGTATGTGTTGAGAGATTTAGTGGAAGATAACTTGGAAAAGATGTTGGGACTAGGTGTTGAGGGTCTTGACAGAAGGCAAAAGAACCTGGAAACTCCAAGAGAGAACACTAGCATAAGAGGTCAGTGGTTATGTTTTAGATGTCTTCAGGGTCAGTAGGATATTTACGTGGTGATTTGTTGGGGGCATCTTATCACATGCTTTTAGGAAAGAAGACGGAAGGTAGTTCTGAACCCTTGAATTCTATTTTGGGAATTGCCTTGGCTGGCTCAATGGAGCCAGTCTAAATGCATATGTGTTAATTAACTCTGAACAGCTTTAAAGACTGACCTAATCACAAAGTTTCAGATACCCCAGAGGAAAGGAAACAAGTTGATCATAGCGGTAGCTCTCAGTTCTGGCTATATATTAGAATCACTGGGGAGCTTTAAAAAAATCCATATCTGGACTCTACCCCAGAGATTTTGGTTTAATTGGTCCAGGATGGGGTCTATGCACTGTTTTAAAAGCTCCCCAGGTGGATCTAATGTGCAGCCAGGGAGTGAACCACTGCCCCTGGAGGAGCAAGCAGGTATAACTGTAGGTACAGATAATGTTCAACCAACCCTATCAATCAACCCATATTATATTTTACTCAATGAGAAAATGTTTCTGTTGTTTCAGACATCAGTTTTCTCTGATTTTTGGTGGCTCTTCAAGTAATGGATCAGACTGCCGTTGTCTTGGCAGGCTGGGGAGTCTGGCAGATATGAGTGATCTTGGCTGGTATAATAAAAAAATATGGACCCAGAGAAGAAAACATAAGATGTGGGCCCCGTTGAGCGGAGCAGTGGAAAGGCCATCTTAAGACTTCTGTGTAATGCTCAGCAAGGAGTCAGGAGCTACGGACTAGGACCATTACTTTAAAGACGTTGTCTGATTTCTTAGAATTTTATAATGATCACGTTTATTTTTAATACTCCCTTCTGTAGCCTCAAAGCATCTACCAGTAAATCCTTGAAACTGAAAAGGGCCAGCCGGCTCATTGTCAGGAGAGGAGAACTAGAGGGCTTTGTGGCATAGCATCTTGGAGGGAAGAGCCCCCAGGCAGAGCCTGGATGTGGACAGCTTTCCAGAGAAAAGAGCAGGCTGCCAGGAAGAAAGCCAGCTGGGAGCAACAGTCCCTCATGGCTCCATTGTGTTTGAAAGTACAACTAACCCAATGCTCAGCACAAAGAATTTATTAAATAAATGTTTGTCAAATTGACATGTGTCCTGTCCTGGCCTCCGTTATTTATGGATTGTGTGTCTTTGAGTGTGTTATTTATTCATCTACAGTACTGGCTTCCTCCTCCTTAAAGGGGAGTTAATCAGTCTTCAGGAAGTGCCCCAAAGGCACAGGAGAATCAACCAATAAACTCTGAGGAGTCTAGAGTTAGAGCCTAAAGTGACACACCTTTAATGACATGTCATTTCTCCAAAGTCTCAAGTTTTACCTTAACAACTCATATACAATGTTCTTTCCTCCATTCATCATAATTTTACTGAGTGCCTACTACATGCATGGCACTACTGTAAGCACTTGGGACTCAACACAGAGCAACAATAAAAAAGACCCTAGTTTTATGTTGTTCTATTCTAGTGGAGAGAGACACAATAAATTTCATGATTTATCTGAGTTTGTTGAAAGTAGAAATAAGGAAACATTATTTACAACTTCTAATTTCTAAACACTCTCCTTGTCTCATTTCACAATCTTGGTACCAAATGATACTCCAGGAGGAGGTGCATGGTCCTGGTGCCTGGCCTCCTGCCATGTATTAACAAAGGCATGTGGTCCTGGATGGGAGGACAGAGGATAAGGGGTTTGTTAGGATCAAGTAAAAGGATAGAAGGTATATTGCTTGATCAACATCCTATGTAAATTGTAAAGGGTGGCTACAATTTTTAGGAATTTTATAATTCCAACGTACCATGCTCCAGAATGCAATGGACTCAGTGCCTGCAGCTATGCTTTCTCTAAAGTGCTCTTATTCTCTTCTCACTCTCAGATTCTGGTATTTGGGTACATATAGGTGTGGTTGAACTTAGAGGAGGGTGCTTTAAGATCTACCATCTGGGCTAAATGCCAGGCATATAATCCAAGAGGAGCTTCATTTCAAGGTGAGATAGGTGAGGGTGTAGGGAGTCTGGAGCCTGGGTCTTAAAGAACGTATCAGATGTCATAGAATTTTGGAGCCAAAGGGTAGCCCAGGGTGGTTGAGTGACAGGTTTAAAGTCACATGGAAAATTAGGGATGGAGCTAAAATGAGGATAGAGGGCTGTGTTCTTCATCCTTCTTTGCTGTCAAGAGATGCTGACCACATACGAGCCCACATTGCTCCCTCTCCAGCTGGTGCCCCTCAATGCCACACACTTGCTATAGGATGAAAGACACTTTTTCCTGATTATCTGGAACCATTTGAAACAGTTCCAATTTTTTCTTCATTTTTGATGACTCTATAATTTAGCACAGAAAACAATGATGAGAGTCAAGGGATTTTGCAGTTTTAAAAGCCATTGCAGGGCTTTTAGTCAAACTCTCTTGATTAAGAATGAAGGGGGGTAGGCTGCAAACTGAAGCCTGAAGAAAGAATGTGACTAGCCCAAGGTCACACAGCTGGTTGGTCGATGGCTGGAAAGAGGCCTAAGGACTCCTGGCTCCCTTCCCAGGGCTGTGTCTCCCACTGTCATTTGGAGTGGTTATCGGTGTGGACTCACACTCTTGGTAGACAGATTATTTAATGAGCCAGCTAACTTTGCCATAATAGCATGAGCATTTGGTAGTAAATCAGGTCCACTGTCACTACAGCTTACCTAATTACCCACATGTAGTCAGCTAGGGTGGACTTTCTCCTTGAAATCCTTATTTCATAGAATATTGATTTCCCAGATATATTGTTGTGAGATGGCTAATGCTGGCCAGGGATGAGATATGAAGTCTGAATTAAATATACCTTGAGTTGCTTTTTATGGCATTGGATCTCTAAATCTTGAATTTTATTTTGTAAGGAGGAAGCTCATAGTAGATTCTAAGGGAGTAAGAAAGTGTAGCACTGGTATATTAATGAATCATTTAGAATAGAGTAAAGGGGTTAGTTCAAGGTTAAGAGATGAGTTTTATTTCAAATAGGGAGATAGTTGAGAGCATTTATAGGCTATTGGTGAGAAACCAGTAGAAAGAGAGAACTGGGTTTAGACGGGAGAAGGGCAACAGATTTTTTCAGACTGGAGGTAAGGATGGGTGAAGATAGAAATAAATAGAAGATTGAAGCTCTGTGTTGAGAAGCAGTTGGGATAAGGACAGTGGGGCATGAGGGGTGAAATTGAAGGCCCATGCCCTCCTAACTAGTGAAATGTTGGAAGTGCAACTTAGGCTAGAATCGGTACCTAATCTTTAGGGAGAAATGGGAGAGGTGGGCACTTCCTCCTACTTCCATCAAGCTAATTTAAATCCTACTCAGTCTCCTGGAAATGCTCTCAGTCCATAACAGCTTACAATACATTCCTCTTCTTTTACTGGATCCAGAATTTACCATCAATTCCATAGTGTCCAAAACATAACTATCCATAGCCCTGTATTACTCTTGTTTTATTCCAGATTGATATGCCACACATTTCTGTATCAGTCAGGATAGGTTAGGTTATGCTGCAGTAACGACCCCTCAAGTCTCTGTGGATTAAGACAACCAAGGGTTAGCTCTTACTTATACTATAATACATAGGTAGGTGCTGGCCTCTACTTCGTATTGTCATTCAGGGACTTGGGCTGACAAAGGGCTGCTCATCAGGCAGGCTAGGTGACAAAGGAGCTGCCTTCTTGAATGTTGCTGGTACCTCATGCCAAGGATAAAAGAATGCTTTCTGAAGTCTTGCCTCAGCAATTAATTCTGTGGCTCAGAAATGACATGACATTTTTGCTTACAACTCATTCTTCAGAACCACTCTCGTGGCTCTGCCCATCACAATGAGGAGGAAGTACAGTCCTACCATGTGCCTCAAATGGGGAGGGACCATAACACATTTAGCCAGCAGAACTCCTCCAGCTAGACAGCACGTCCCCTGAAGGCAAGGAGAGAGCAGCCCTCTGCTTCTCTGGTGGAGATGCTATATGGGGCAGCCATGGCTCCAATCATGAGGTAGGGACACACTGGCTGTGCCCATAGAGCTCATCAGTTAGCCTGGTCCTGCAGGCCATAGGCCATGAAGCTCATTAGGTGGGTGAGGTGAGGCGGGGGCAAGGCACAAGCCTGCTGGGGATGGCAGTGGGAGTGAAGGATCCCTCAGGAAGACACAGGAGGGAGGCTGCTCATGATGACTGGGACCTCGATGCTGCCATTTTGAGGGGTCTGGTGCCCCCACCGCCTCTCAGGATTGGGAGCTGGGCACTTTCATGAATGTTTGAATGAGGGGATCAGGACAGCTGAACACCCATGTTGGTTTGATTGCAGTGAACTGAGCATAAGAGCACTGGAAAGAACCGCCCGGGTCAAGCCTGTGACACCTCCCCTGACCCAGGAACTGTAGAACAGGTTGTGAGGGATGTGGCTGCCCTTCTGCACATCTTCACCATCTTCTCCTGAAAGATCCTGGGGTGGGTCTCTTATTCATGAATCACTTGCACTTGCCTGTTAAAAAGGTTTTAACATCATTTTATAGGCCCTCCTCTTGAATACTGACCATTTTGACTTTGAACCCAGTAACTGTCCAATGAAGTGATCAGGAAAGGTAGAGGCCGAGAGAGGTGGAAAGGTAGAGGCCGAGAGAGGTGGGCGGCTTGCTTGACGCAGGACAGCTAAAGACCAGGAGTTCTGCCTTCCTCACACTCCCCAGGATGGTCACACTCACCGGGCTAACCCCTGGACACAGGTTAGCTTTTTCAGAAATAGATTAAAATAACCTCACTCTTCTGAATTTAAAGGACACTCTGACTCTTTCCCAGTTTTTAAGATATCCTAGGTATTGAATAAAACAGAGAAGCTTCCCTTTGCTCAAGGATAACAGCCTGAAATCAGCAGACAGATCTGGGCTGTCCAGCCAGCTTGCTCTCTATCAGTCGGGGTCCCTTTAAGATGCAAAACTTGGAGGTAGGGAGGTCAAATGCAGGCCAGTGGAAGTTTCCACACTCTGTCTGTCTGGGCCAGCGTCTCTGTCTATCTCAGCTTAGGAAGGGTGGGCCCTTTTCCCACAGGCTTGAGATTTATGACTTTAGTCTGGGATGGTGGGGGTGGGCGTTGGCCTTCCCTACAGGAGCAAGTGGGTCTCTTCAATGGTAAACAGAGTTACAAAGAAAATTCCAAATGGGTACCCCTCAATCTGTGTCAGCCTTGCTCCCTGGTCCTTTTTCTCCTTGTGAGTTACACACACACACACACACACACACACACACACACACACACACACTATGTGCACATGTCCTCAGCTATAGAATGAGGCACAGTGATAGTGGTTTGTGTCTATATGTCCTGAAGTCCTCAGCTCAAATAAATCACCAGATTCCCATTGACCACATAAGGCAGAAACTTTTAGTTGTTACTTGAAAATACATTAAACACATACAAGCACACGTGCACACCCCCATTCTGAAAGCTTCTCACCTTGACTTCTAGCCCTCACCAGTACTTCTGATAAATCTGTCCTTCTGAGCAAAGCTGGAAGTATTCTCTGTCTGTACCGCCCTGCAGTTACCTGTTCGTGGAGATGTCATCTTCCTGCCCCCAAGAGTTTTCCTTTAATACACTGAAATATTGAGAAGCAAGAGCTGTAAGTATTGAAAGTCCTTGTGGAGATTAAATGGGAATCAGAAATCAGCAACTGGCTGGCTGAAGCCTTAATTATCAGTGGAGGGACACTCACAAGGAAGGAATTTGGGCTGAGTTGGGAAGGCTGGGGTGAGCAGTGATGTGGACACTGTGTGTGTGTGTGTGTGTGTGTGTGTGTGTGCGAGCGTGAGCGCATGTACATGCATGTCGAGGGTGACGACAGGGAGAGGCCTGCCATCAGCTTTTTATTAAGAGAGTTTTTAAATGGTCCTGTGTTTTAGGAAATCTGAATAAAGTTTTGTGCTTATGGGAGAATTCTCCCTACTTTCTTCCATTGAAGGCAGTATATCCTAATGAGAACACAGGCCCTGAAATCAGACTATCTGAATCTAAATCCTGGCCCCATGATTTCTAGCTGTGTGACTTGGGCAAACTCCTAAACTTCTCCAAGCCTCAGTTTCCTTGTCTGTAAAATGGGCACGATCAGAGCACTGACATTATAGAGTTGGGAGTGCTGAACGCCTAGCCCAGGGAGGGAAATCTGACTATTTCTTAATTTTCTATCTGAATTGACATTTGGGTTATTCCACATTTTTATTTCCTTACCTGTCACAACTCATAAACCAACCAAAGTTTTTACTTCCACAACAGAAATGCTTTGTTTCCTTAAGGAAGCTGTGCACAAACTGCCCACTACTCTGCCATTGAAACAAAACACACATGTCCCCACCTGACACTCTAGTGCCTTGTGACTTTATCTGGGGATAGAGCTGGAGCTGAGGTGTCAGCGTAAAAGGGCAAGGCAACTTTCTTCTCTCCTGGGTCAGGGCTGCCTGGGATGATTTATTGGAGTGAAGTGACCCCTGAGGCAGAGGGAGGAGGACAGCCATCACAGGATGGAACTGACATTCCTTCCTGTGCCTAGAAGGGCACTCTGCCTGTGGAGAAGCGGGTCAGGGCACGCACACTGATTCAGCCCTGGCTGTATGTGGGTAGGAGCCGATGCGTGTGCTGGGAACATCCTGCAAATGCTGTCGGGATGCCTGGGGACAGCTTGAGTTCTGCCACCGACCAGATGTGCAGTCTTGAGCAAGTTGCCTCGCTTTCCTGAGCCTCATCGTCCTCATGTGTCAGACTGATATCCACGACGCCAGCCCATTTCTCCTGCAGACTTCATGACAATCCCTTCCTTCCCTCCCTACACATGCTTACACGTGCACAAGTGCACACAACATATGCACATGCATGCTCACGTAGAAGCACATGCATGCGGCTGGGTGTGGTGGCTCATGCCTGTAATCCCAGCATTTTGGGATCCCACGAGGCGGGCGGATCATGAGGTCGGGAGATCAAGACCATCCTGGCTAACGCAGTGAAACCCCATCTCTACTAAAAATAGAAAAAATTAGCAGGGCTTGGTGGCGGGCGCCTGTACTCTCAGCTACTCGGGAGGCTGAAGGAAGGGAATGGTGTGAACCCGGGAGGCGGAGCTTGCAGTGAGCCAAGATCATGCCACTGCCCTTCAGCCTGGGCGACAGAGCAAGACTCTGTCTCAAAAAAAAAAAAAAGAAGCACATGCATGCACGCTCACAATACACCATAGTTGCAGGCACTCATGTCTATAAACGCATGCACGAACACACACACATCACCCACATGTGCTCTTCCACAGCTATCTGAATTGTATCCAGTTCAAGTTCCACCTCCTGACTTCCTGGGCCTTCCCATCCTACCCTCATCACTTGCTTGTCTCAACTTCAAAGCCTCCCCATACAAAGTCTCACTTTAGTTACCTTGTCATGTTTGAATTGTTATACTGCTGTGCTGTGTTTGTCTCTCCAAATGCAGTTAATTCCTTGACAGACTTAGGTGCAAAGATCTCTCCCCGAGAACCTCCATAGCGTGCACAAGTGAATTTCCTGTCATGATAATGATGCTTAAACTCCAGAGCCCTTCATTGGCACAATGCACGTACACAGTCACGTGTTTTTATGTAGCTGGCAAAAGTGAGATATTTCAACTATAATCTCTTAAAACCATTGTTTCTCCCTGGCATATTTCCCCCTGGCATCCCCTTCCTCATTTTGGGGGGCATTGATGCTGCCACTTTGAAAACTAGCTAAGGGGCAGTTGAGCTGGGGCTGTGTTTGGTTTAGGTTCAGTGCGAGGTGTTTGTGTAGTTTTAGTCACCTCTCTGTGTAACTCACTCATCAGTAGCTGTCACCATGTGGAAAAAGCTGCCAGGAACACTCCTGTTACCCACTGTGCAGACATCCTCTGTCTTGTGCCATGAAAGGGATGCAGTTGTACAGAGACCTGAGTATCTGTGTCCTGCAGAGCCCAGCACTGGAAGCATATAGATGGTGAAAGAGAAACAAGTTTTTAAATGCCCAGAGCCAGAAGCTACTTGGCGGGAAATTCCTCCAATCATTAGGTATGTAAAATCACAAGAGCATTCTCATCACTGCCTCATCAAAATAAAAGTTCTCTCTTGTCAAGAATACACTCGATCATGCAAAGTAATAAAATTATATATGCACCATTCATCTTGTTTCTTTTTTGATGGGAATTACTGACTTAGAATTTATCAGAATCCCCATGTTTAAATGTCTTGCTGATTTGACAGGAAATACTGACATTGATGGAGATAACATAAAACTCATTATACGCCACTACAATGAGGGCATCGATGACAATCTGGTTAGTAAGTTTCATAAATTCAAAGAGCATTTTAGATTTGTTGCTGTGAAAGAAAAAATGCCCTGAAATCTCATAGCTCATATGTGAAAGATACTTGACAGAGGTTTTCCCAAAGTTGATAACAATCCTGAAAATTCACGTGGCATTACCAGTGACAAATTGTGAGACTGAAAGAAACCTTTCCAAACCGTGAATAATAAAGTACAAAATTTGATCAGCTTGTTAGAAGATAGACGGAATTATCTTTGTATTCCCTCTATAAAGTCATATTGAAAAATTATAGTCATTTAAAGAGATGATCAAAGAGTTTGCAGTTTGGTAAAAGATAGACTGAATTATCTTTGTATTCTCTCTATAAAAATGATATTGAAAAATTATAGTCATTTAAAGAGATGATCAGAGAGTTGGTAGCCAAAAAAAATGTAGGAAGAAAAGTATTACGGATGTGTCAGACAGTTATTTTAGATTTTGTGGTGCCTGTAGAATTTGTCAGCTTTTTAAAATGTGTAATTTGTTGTGACTTCATTCTTTCTCAATAAAATTATACTTTCGAATGTAATTTTGCATTTGGGATTTTGAATTCTTTTCTTTTTCTTCAAGAGGGCCTTCTAAATTGTGAAAGCTTCTGGCCCCACAACACTGGTCTGCCCTTATGTTCCCCCCAGTTCCTACAGAGAGCTCCCGGTCACAGCACTCTTTGGCCTGTGGCTGCCAGCACAGACTTTGGCCATGAGGGCGGGGTCTGGGGTGGCACTGACAAGGCACCCATCCTGAGCCAGTGGGGGATGCAGGTCTGGCAGACCTCACACATCTTTAGAGACCACCTGCCTCTCATTCTACAAGGGGCAAAACTTTTGTCACACTGCCTCAGAGGGCCCAAACCTTCCCACCAACCGTCTTGTCAGGGCCTGGCTGGGCCCTGCCAGCCCCCCTGCGTTTCCTTTTAATAAAATTTAATGTTTTCATTTTCAAAGACCTAGAAAATCCAAACACTTTTTAAAAGCCCCGAGGAACTATAAAAATTAATAGCACAGGGATAATTTCTTTTTCAGTGGCGACTCAATTAAACCTGCCAAAGTCAGACAGTGTGATTTAAATGCACCGCTTGCAGAGGGACCAGAGCAGAGCAGGCAAACATGGAATGAAACAATAATATTTACCAATTACCCTCTTGGTTGTTTCCCACCCAGCCCCTTCCCCCCAGGGAGAATTTTTTCCTTCCCTCCCTCCTCTCCGGGGGCCAGAGCTCAGCATCCCTAATTGTTTTCTCCTTGAATGATCATATTGCTATCAACAAGTGACTGAACTTCTTCTCTGCTCAGAGTAATGGAAAAATACCACCCAGGCCGGCTGCCCGGGCCAACAAGCCACATGGACTTGTTGTGGGGCTAAGATCAACTTTGAAAACAGAAGAATGGCTCCAAGTTCAATCCAGCCAGACACTCCAGCCAGACAAGACATCTAACATTCCATGCTTAGTCCTGCCCCAGGACACTTGCTCCTGCTGTCCCCCTGCCAGGAATGCCCTCTCTCCTATTCATTGAACACTTACTACTGAGCACCTAAAGCTTGTATTTTCTTCAAGACCCCTATCAAGATCAAGTTCCTTTAGGAAAGCTTTCCTGATAAGACCCATATCCATGTAGATTTCACTCTTACTTGGTCTACCTTCAGCTCTTCTCTATCAGGTCAACTGACATTATCTTTTAATTACGTATAGACTGGGCACTGTCCTAGAGCTTTTAACTTGTAGATTCACAACATGCTTATCTGTTCTGCTAGACTGTAAGCTCCTTAAAGGGAGGAACTCTTCTGAATGCATCTCTTAGAATGATTCAGTGTATTTAGTTTGGTGTTGTGCACCCGATGGAGGTGTACTAATTGCATTTGAACTGGAACGGGGAGTCTCAACATTTTCTCTACAACAGGAGAGAGAACTGGGTGCCTCAGGAAATAGGCACAGGAATTTCAATGCAGCATTGTTTGCTTAAAAAAAATATATACCTGAGCTAAATGTCCATCCATGAAGGCATGGATAAAGAAATTAGGGAATATGATGACTTGCCATAGAGCAGTTAAATAAAGAAAATGGAGTCAAATCATCAATCTATATAGATCCCCAAATAGAAATGTTGAGTGAAAAAGACAAGTTGCAGAATAATGTTAAGATACAATTATGTAAATTCAGTGCCATATCGACAAATACTATATAGTGTTTTAGAGATCCATATGAATATATCCATTTGAGAACACACGGATGAAAAAGAAATATGTACAATTCATAATAGGGTTGTTGCTGGAGAGGGAGGGAGGGGAGTGGGAGTGGGACCTAAGAGTTTTTAATTCCTTCTGAATATTTTTCATTTTTATTAAAAAATATGAAGCAAATAAGAGAAGGTTAACATTCACTATTTCTGCTTGGTGAGTACATAGGTGTTTGTGAAGTAGAGTCAGGCATGATAGCCACCCAACGGGCTGCCCCTCCTCCTGGCATAAGACTGGACACCCTTTCCCAGCCTCATTTGCAGTGAGCTGCAGCCAGGCCAGGAACGTGGCCTCTGGAACACCTGGCCTGGGTTCCGCAGCCCTAGCAGCAGACAAACTGCTTGTTTTGCTGTCACTCTCTTGCAGAGAGCTTCCCCAGACTAAGTGGGACTATAGGGAACAGGAAGAGGGAAGCATGACCACTGAGCAAAGTCCCAAGGCCTTCTTCTGCCCACAGGATGGATTTTCAGCTGGCTCCCCGACAGGCACGTTGCCTTCATTCACCCTCCTACCCAGAATGTCCTCCCTACAGCTGTTATGGCACATACTCAACCATAAGACTCTTCTGCCTGGTCCAGGCCACTGTGGCTGGTGACAGTGGCCTCCCGTGGCTCATCCCTCACTCCTCATATCCTCCCTCCAGTCCTCAGAAATCTTATCTCTACTGCTTATTTTGTCTTTCACCACACAGTATCCTGTGCTGTTGCTTATATCTTGGTGACAGGGACAATGCCTTATCTTTGTATCTCTCTGTCAGGGAATGACCTAAGTTGACTTTTTCCGTGTTAAGCAGAAGAGAAGAGAATAGCAGTGTTTAATTTGGTCTTCCTCTAGGAGCCCAATGAGGATAGCACATTGGCCTCTTCTGAGGCTAGAATTTCTAGAGTTGGGGTAAAAGGGACCCTTCCTGGAGAGAGGTGGGGACAAGCAGGAAGTCAACCCCAGGACATGAAAGAGGTGAGGGTATGGGGGCTCCAACAATGAGCTGTTGGGGAAGGGGCTGAATTTTATTTTCATTTCAGAGAAGATCAAGGCTAACTCTAGCCAGGGTTTCTTGCATTGCTTTAAACTTTATGGCTTCCTGTGTTTCTTATTTTTGTTATCACTTTTCATTCCTCCATAGGGGCTTCATATAAGTTCCCTTAGAATGCAAGGGGATTGTTTGTCTCAGAGGCAGCTGGGCAGGTAGGGGAGATATCTGGAATCAACTTCCTATTCCTCAGCCTATCCTAGAGGAGTAGAAGGCTCTGTTGAGAGGGTTGGAGACCATGGCTGAGAAGGAGGGCCAAAAAGGGGCTAAATCCCTGAGGTATATGGATAAAAAGGAGGTGGCAGTGGGAAAGTCCAGGATGGAGAGGAGATTCTGGGGGTAGAGATGGGGTCTTCATCTGTGGTGGAGCAATGGTCAGTTACTGACCTTTTGGCCTTAGACAAAGCTATTTAGCCTCTCTAAGACTCAGGTTCCTTATTTTTAGAAAAGAGATAATACACCTTGGCTGGTCTGCTAAGGTTTTAATGAATAAAATAGGTACAAGTGTTTAACAACCACTGGGTGCTATCCAAATATATGCTATTGCCCTGGCTAATGCAGTAGATGCCAGACAAATGCAGGCCAGTCAGAATGAATAGGCAGATGACGATGAAGCAGTGAGCTCCCTGGGAGGGGGCATATGTTCATAGGTGGGTCCAGAGGTCCAGGGCAACGTGTAGGCAGAGGACATTTAATAGGGACTTGGGCCACACCCAGGAAGCCTCTGCTCCATGACCTTGATGTGGTGATCCCTTATCTCCTGAAGGCCAGACACCTTGGGTCAAACATTCTCTTCCCTAGGGAACAGCCTTTGGGCTGAAACCTGGTACTTTCAGCTAATGGTGGATCCTGTGGGTTCTGGCACTACAGCTGGAGGCCACAGTAGGGTGCACCCCAAGGAGGACAGGGAAAACAAAGCAGTCTCTTGGATGTTAGTAATCTAGTCTCTACTGAGTTTAGCCAATGGCACCAGAGCACCATAACCACATGTTTAGAAAATAAGGTGACAACAATGAAGGTGATTAGAGAAGGCTTTGGTACAAATCCAAGTTGTAAATATTTTGGAGGAGAGTGGGAGGACCATATGGATTTTATACCACAGGGCTTTGTCCACCTGAGACACCTAATTTCCCATTTTTTCTGGGAGACAAAGTCTGAACATCCTATTTGGACACTGGAACCTCCCACAAAGTGGCCAGATGGTATTTCTGGTGATCTCTCCTACTTTGGCTGTCTTGTACAAGCCTCCTTTCTGCTGAGTGAGCAGAACACACTAACCCATTTTAACGTGCCATCTTGTTCCTTTTTTCCTAGCCAACTCTACCATCTCATCAGAGCCCAACTCAAATCTCACCTTCTTCCCACAGGATTAAGGGGTTCAACTTCAATGACAATTCTTGATCTTCACCACTCTTCCATTTCTAACCTCCCCAAATGCTCAGTGCCTCTTTCCTTTGTTTGACTTTTTAGCATTCTCTGACTAACATTGTGGCTGCTTACGTATCTCATCTTTTCTTTTATACTATGAGCCCCCTGAGAGAACTGATTGAGTTTAGCCTATAACCCCCTCTAATCCACCTAGCACAATGCTGGACACATAAGAAACTCAAAGGGGCCAGGTGCAGTGGCTCATGCTTGTAATCACAGCACTTTAGGAGGCCGAGGCGGGCGGACCACGAGGCCAGGAGATTGAGACCAACCTGGCCAACATGGTGAAACCCCGTCTCTACTAAAATACAAAAAATTAGCCAGGTGTGGTGGTGCACACCTGTAGTCCCAGCTACTCTGGAGGCTGAGGCAGAGGAATCGATTGAACCCAGGAGGCGGAGATTGCAGTGAGCCGAGATCGTGTCACTGCACTCCAGCCTGGCGACAGAGTGAGACTCCGTCTCAAAAAAAAAGAAACTCAAAGGATTCTATCTCTATCTCTTGGAAAGATAGAACCCTGGTGACCAAATAATCCTTTGTCCCTTGGTATCTATGGTCAAATGGACACTTGTGGCGAATTCAAACTCATGCTCTCCAAGGTGCAAGCACTAACAGGTGACCCAACCTGACTTTGGCTCACACTTCCATAGTTTCTAATCCACCCCAGTGAGACTAAAACTCATGATTATTTCCTACAGAAAACACAACACCTGTGGTGATGCTGCTTTTGTGGTTTCTTCTCTGCTCTACACTCAGTTTCTGACCACTTCCCTTCCACTCCTGGGACACAAACTCACAGTCCAGTATGAGCTCCCACATGGCCCTCCTTACCAGTGCCATTCCTCTCTCATTTCCATCTTCTCTGTACAGTGTCTACTGCTCCAGTGCTTACTATTTAGCTGGGGTGAGTGTGATGAGCCAGACTCACAGATTAATACTGTATAAGGCAGGGTCGTACTAGTGACATAAGTGATGCTTTCCAGAAAGACTGAACTGGCTTCAAGTGGGTGTCCTTAGGGGTCTACAATAAGGAGACAGCATTTGAACTGAGCTTTAGAGGACAGATGGGATTTGGAAGGACAAAGGAGAGAGAAAGGTACCAAATCAAGAGCCAAGGGTGTTAGGAGAAAGTGACTTGAGAGAGTAGCTGGAAAGGAGGGACTATAGGAGGTGGAGAAGAAAGGTAGATGAAGGACCAGGAATTGGAATGATCTGAGAGGCTACCTGGCAGACAGCTTGGCAGGCCCTCAATAATGCCAGGTATTTATACCTGAAGTGGTTTCTGAGTGTCTTTGAGTGGACATCCTGGGTGTGTCACTTATGGAAATGCCCCAATCCTCAGGTATGGGGTGAATTCATCAGGAGTTAAAGGGAGGACACCCTCATGGGTCTATACTGATGCCAGTCTAGGAAGGGTCTCTCCTAAGTGCCTAACCTGCTTTAGGGTGTGAATGGTCTCTAGGAAGGATTAATTAAATGGGCAAGAAACTATGGCTAGGCTCCTTGCAAGGACAATGAGAAAGCACTTGCCAGGCAGAACAGGCAAAATAAGGGAAGAAGACCACACTAGGAGGGGATGCCTAACTCACAAACTCCAGGCCCAATATATGGGGCCTCTGACATTGTCTTAGGAAGGGAAAAACTTCTCATGGCCGTCATCCAACTCCAGAGAAGCTGAGAATAGGGACCCTGAAAGAGGCAGCATTTGGGGACATTTTTGGGAGGTGAGAGGAGAATGTGAGTCAGACCCAGCTGCTCGAGGCTATTTCCAAACACCTTTTCCTTAGGAAGTTCAAGAGCACATAGCCACAGAACCTGAGCCTACAGTGTGACAGGATGCCAGGAAAATAAATGCAACTTACACACATTAATGGAGCCTGGCAGCCTGGCTTGAGCATGTTAGGCACTGCTTTCAAAGAGACGCATTGGCGACTGAGGACATCAAGCTCAGCATGGCAGGGACTAGAGGGAACCTATTGCAGAAACAGTTAGAGAATGGGAAACAGGTAGCATGGCATGAGATGATGGGGTGAGAATGAAGCAGGTTACAAAGCTGCAGCAGTCAAATGTCTATTGAACTGTGACTGGTCGAGGGTCAACACTGTGGCCAGTGCTTCCATGGCAGCAAAACTAAGAATGCAAAGGATATTGGCTTCCAAATACCTGAGAACTGTACAACAAGCAAAGGTGCTGGCTGTGCTAGCATTGGCTACTCTTTCTTGAACACTTACCCTATGCGGGGAGTGATGCTATATTTCACTGTAGCATAAACCTGGTTGGACTCAGATTTGCAGATCTGTTACTTTGGGTTTATTTGGGACATGTGGGAATGCCTTCTTTTGGTGGGTGTATTCTAAAGATTTCTTATATGCATAAAGTTTTTGGCAATAACAGTGTAAGAGTGGTGTGTCTCAGGAGTGGGAAAGTCAAAACCATGTACCCCTATGGGAGCTCCATATTGGAATCGACTGCCTACATCATTTTTGGCAGGCACAGTCAACACATCTGTGGATTTAGCTATATACAGATTGCATACAATGTCATAGGTAGATAAATATAAATTGTATTGTGTAAATATAAATACAGAATTTTAAGCAGCAGGGAAATCACAATATATATTGTCTCATTTAATCTTCACACGAATCCCATGATTTAACTACTATTATCTTCATTTTACAGAAAGGGAAGTCAAGACATAGAGAGATTAAATAAATTGCTCATGCTCAATTAGCTGGTAAGTGTCTGAAGTAGGCCGAGAACCCAGACCTCCTTGAAGGTCTTAGTTTCTATGCGCTACTGGAGGTATCTACACAAGGCATAAAGGAAGACTTGTCAGGGATGCTGATAAGAGAATTTTTGCCTTATGGGTAGGGTTTGATAAGATTCCTTCCATGTCTTCAGGTCTGTGGTGTGGCATCTGGGGTTTTCAGGAGGCCACACCATAGACCTGCAGGGTAAAACACTAAAATATATGATAAGGTGGTTTCTGTGGTCTGCATGTTGTGTTTCCCCAAAATTTATATGTTGAAATCCCAACTTTCAAGGTGATGGTACTAGGAGGTGATTCAGTAACGAAGGAAAGCACTCATGAATGCAATGACTGTCCTTATGAGAGGGACTTTGGAAGTGTCTTTGCCCCTTTCACCACATGAGCATGTAACGAGGAGAAAATGGCAGTCTGCAACCCAGAAGAGGGCCCTCACTAGAACCTGACCATGCTGGCACCCCGATTTTGGACTTCCAGCTTTCAGAATTGTGAGAAATAAATGTCTGTTGTTTATAAGCCACCCAGTCTATGGTAATTTGTTATAGCAGCCCAGATGAACTAAGACAATGAGCTGGACCCTGCACACTCCAATGCAATGCCAACGATGTGGAATTGGGCAGGCAGTCTGGCACAAGGGCAAGGTGAGTGAAGTCTGTTTACACCCCCAGAATCCCTGTTTTCTTTGTAATTTTTCCTTGCTGTTTCTTTAATGTTACCCAGCCCTTGGCGACCCAAGTAGCTGATCTGTCTCCATGAGGGAACATTAAGCAGCCAAATGGAGAAAACTCAAGCTGGAGGCCTCAAATACATCCACTCAGAGTGTCTAAGCATTTTTTGATTCATAATAAAAAAAATTCCTATCTTTGCCTTGGAGATCCAGAGATGCCCTGATTTCTGGTGGGATGGGAAGTGTCCACTTTGAATTCTAAGATTGGTTTATGTATGAATCCTCATCAGCCATGAAGAGTCTGTTGAGCTTTTTTTCTGTAGATTGTATTAAGGAAGTCACAGGTAGACTCTTTGGTTTTCAAATACAGCTGCTCCCCAACTTATATTTTTGACTTATGATATTTTCAATGTACCATGGGTTTATCTAGATGTATCCCATCTTAAGTCAAAGAGTGTACTGAGTGTGTATCACTTTTATACCATCAGAAAGTTGAAAAATCATAAGTCAAACCATTGTTAAGTCAGGGACCATGTGTATAAAACTATATTATACCATTGAATGTTCTTATTAAAACCATGAATGCTCCCTTCTCCCCTCCCCTTGGAATTGTGATATACTCCTTATGAGGGTATGCTACCTTGTACCTCTGCCCTCACAACTGAGAATCACTGGTCTCCTGGAACCCTTATAGCTGAGAAACCAGAGATAGGAATTAACTTGGTCACAGCCACAAAATAACTTATTCAGCTCATTCAATTTGGTTCTAGTCAACAAATATTTATTGAGCAACTACTACATCCCTGGTATCCTAAAGGCAACAGGTACATTTGCAGTTTCAAATCCATCTCAAGGGAAGGAACTCTCTGACTAAAGGACTGAGTGGTAGAATTTTGGTACTGATGGGGAATAGTCTTACTAAAATCCCACATTACAGACAAATGTCTGCATAACTAATATAAAAAGGATCAGCCCTGCATGGATGCCCAGGTTTGAAGATGGCAAGAAATGAGGGGGTTTAGAGATCTTTCCCTAAAGTAGCAGCATATCTGCTGCTCCTCTCTTGTCAACACCCTCTTCTCCTTGGAACTGGTCTTATACCCTGCCTGCTGTTTCCTTTGTTGTCGTTTTATCCCCACCATGTTGGGCAGAAGGGCGGCCCTCCTTATTCCCCCCCACACCCCCATCCTTCCCAGCACAAGGTTCCATTCTTTATTAATGCTGTTTTAAAGCCAGCACGGAGCTGTTTTCCAGATGTGGCCATGCGCAGACAGTAATTGTGCTCTGTGATCCCTTCCAGCTGCTCCCGTTGCTTGCCAACAAATTCCCTCCACCCCCACCTTGCAGCCCCAGGAGTCCATGTTTGGGGGCTGCAAATTAGGGCAAACGTTGTAAAATGATCATGTGCTACCCATGGCCTTCCCCAGAAGAATTATGGACTTTATAACTGAGCTAATTGGCATTAGGTCTTGCCTGAAAGGTCAACAGAGTGGCAGAGAAACAGGATCTTTGTAAATTGATCGGTTGCTTTCCCCCTTCTTCCCCCCAACTCCCTTTCCAGTTTTGAAATATGGCCTACCTGCCCCATGGAATTGCTGACTCTTGTAAATTACTGCTTTGACTGTATGGGACTGTGACACATTGTCTCATATCACGTGGAAGCCAGTGGGGATGTTGAAGGGGTGCATAATTATACCCTGCAAATTCTTCTACCATACCGCAAGCTTCGGCCTTCATGCACCTCTGTGAAGTGGGGCATTGTAATGCTCTTGACCTTCAAATCAGGCATGATTATTCAAGAGTAGCATACAGCCTTTGGCTTTTTTATTTATTTAGTTTTGCTCCGAATACATGAGTTCATTTGGAATGATCTTGCAGCACAGCATACACCATTGCCTTTCTGTTGTTTCTCAGATGGGAACCCTTGTATGGCGTTTTTTTCATTCCACAAATTCTTATTGAGCGTGTTATAGGCAGGGTCCAAGACTGACTTTAGGAGGGAAAGAAAGCTGTCTTCTGGAGTCAGAAATGTTATGTTCTAGCTATAGATTGTGTGGGTCCCTTTCTGCTTAGGGCCAACTGAAGCCTTATGGTTTTGAAATGTCTGTCCTTCCCACATCTGGCACTCACTATTTGGGGTTAAGCGTTGAAGGTCCTTGCTAAAACATACATAATATTTGGGAGGAATAACTCATTAAACTTGTGGTTCTTGCCCTTCTCCCCTTTTTTTCTTAGTAAAGGGCCCTCGAGAATCTAATGAAAGTTGACCTCATACAGCACACCCTCACCCCACTCACAGGCATTTTGCTTACAATCTCCAGCTGTTCTTGACTCTTCAAATCTCAACTATGGATCAATGCTAAGTTAGGAATCCCTGCTCAGTTGTCATCCTCACCCATCAACACTATTGCCCACTTAAGCTGATTAAGCCCCTTCTAGCAGAGAGGTTGGAGGAATCAGGGCTTAGGCTGGTCAAGGGAATGGGAAAAGTGAGGGAAGCAAAGCTTCAGTGGCCTACTTTGGGGCCACAGTGACATAGGGGGCCTGAAAATCAACTATTTGTATGTACAATTCTTTTTCAAATGTATGGAAGCCCTGTTGGGCTATGAACATTGTGGATTTGTTTAGAAATGTGGACATCAAGTGTTTGCCCAATCCACAAATGCCAAAATGGTAACTGTTATTAGGCTGGGAAGTGTTTGTAAGGTTATTAAATGACAAACAGGGTTTTTTGAGCTGGGAAATTTGGGAGCCCCTGATCTACCCTGTCACCTGGGTAGATCTGATGGCCCAGGTCACCATCATCTCTCACCTCATTGCTACCTTAGCCTGAGCACATTCTCCTTTCTTCTATCCCTAGCCAACACTGCAGCCAGGATGATCCTTTTAAAATATTAGGTTCTCCTAAATTGAACCCTCCCATGGCTGCTATCTCACCCTGAGCTAAAGCCAAATCTTTGCCATGGCCTCATGCTCTGGGCTGATCTGTTGTCCTCCCCTTTGCTTTCTTTCCCCCAGCTCTGCAGATCCCTGCTGTTCCTCAAACATGCTGGGCAAGTGCCCATCTCACGTCTTTTGCACTGGCTGCTACCCTCTGCCCATCACACACCTGTTCTATGTCTTCAGATAGCTGGTCTCCTTCCCCCTTTCCAGGTCTCTGCTCCTCTTTGTCTAACCACTGCCTGCCATGACACTCTTCCTCCCTCATCCATTTTGTTTTTCCACACACACCCAGCACCACATAACTTCATGGTTATTTGTTTTTGTTTGTATTTTCCCACCAGAACATCAGCTCTGTGAGAACAGGTACTTTGTCCAAGGTGTCTATGGCTGCATTGTAGTGTGGGCTAAGTCGGTATTTGTGAAATGAATGAGTGTCCCAGCTTGAGGACACGGGGGTTGGGGGGTGGGAGAGCAAGAAAGGAGAAGGGAAACTCACACAAAGAAAATGCAGGGGGTGGGGGAGAGAAGGAGCCTGGGGCTGGCAGGGCCCAGCTGCATTCCCCTTCTCCTTGCTGCTATGCGGGCCATGGGAGTCAGAGGACTGAGGCTCAGTCACTCAAACTCATGGCACCTCATCTATCACATGGAGCATGTCCCTTGTTGTCCTTTCTGCCCTAATGCAAGCTGCATGGAGAGTTTTCTTGGGCCCATTTCATTCTCCTGTGTCCCTTGTATCTTTCAACGCCAAGGAAGGGTGGGCTAATAATTAAGGACATATATGGACAAGAGCCCTGTATGGGTCACGGATCTGCTACTAAAAAGTTAGTTATTTCACTTCTCTGGGTCTTATTTCTAAAGCTACAAAATAGAAGGGTTTGTTAAGAAAATCTCAAAATCTAAGTGATTCTATTATGAAAAGGAATGTGAGATGCAAATTAACTTTAAACTCTTATGAATACTATGCAATAGTACTTATGGCAATATCAGCTGAGGATCAGTGTTCCAGAAGGTGGCATTCAGATGGACAAAGGGAATTTCCACATAAGTCTCCCCTTCCAACTCTGGGATGTGGTGCAGACGACAGTAAACGTGGATGAGACCAGCTTTCCACTGTGAAGCCAGTGTATCAACATTTGTAGCCACTAGACATGCAGAAGTGCTACCTTTCACAGTCACTGCCCTGCCCTCCTCTGGGCCAACCTTCCCTCCCACAGCATGCACTCACTACTCTTCCCTTCTGTACATTTCCTGCTCCCCATGCCTTCATCTTACAGCCTCCCTACTTGATAGCCCTCATGTTGACACATCTCACTTCCCCTTTCTCCCAACATAGAGGAAGACATGCCAGAGAGCCTGGACTGACATCGAGGGCCGGCCCAGACAGAACCTGGTCAGAAGGGAGCCTCCCCAAATGGGTTGAGTTCTGTTGTCCCAACAGCGGTAGCTGTTTTCTTATTGGTGAGTTCCAAGCCCTTGGCCCCCAGTCTGCTGCAGCTCTGCGCTTTGAGCATCACACTGCAGCTTTTCCTTAAAAGGTTTTCACAAGTTCAGAGCAGTCCTGGGTATTGGGGAGTTGGAATTATTTTTACCCATGTGCAGCTGAAATAGCCATCTGCCATCACACCGCCCAGTTCCCCACTGTGTTTAAAATCCATCTGGAGTTCTTTTTTTTAAAATTCCCCATATTAAAAAAAATAGTGTCTTGGTGCAAAGGAAGGTATTTCTTCATGTCTTTCCTGCCTGTAGCAGAACTTGTCTTAGAGTACAGAATGAACTTAGGGCTACTCATTGCTTGTTCTAAGCCATATTGATTAATTATTGGTTCTAGGCCCATGTTTTTCCTTACTCTAGGGACATCTATCTTTCTGTATCTAAATGAAATTCACAGCCCAGCTCATGTCACCTCCTCCATGAAGCCTTCCTGATTATTCTAGCCCTCTCTTCTCTGAAGTCACTACAGCAGGAATAAGTCAGTTCCGTAGCTCTTAGTCCTTAATTTTCTTCTATATGCCTCACCTGTGTTGGCACTGTATCTCTCAGCTCTGTGACAACTGGGACTATGTTGATCTTGCAGTCATCACAGGACCTGTCCCAGAAGGAAACCTTCTATAGTGTCCTGGAATGTCCTCTAATCCCTTATTTTCCTCCAAGACTCCTCAGATCCAGCCTTAAACAGCTCAGATTTTCACCACACTTGGATTCTTATAATGTCAATGAAATTGCCAGAATTCAGTATAGTGCACACTCTCTGTCGAGAGCCATGAGGGGCTCAATAAATGACTCTGATAAAATGAAGGTGGTAATGGTGATTGAGCCATTCATTTATCTGTTAGGATCCTGATAAGTGTCAGGCACACAGGCAGGTTCTGGGGTTCAGGGATGAATACGCCACACTCCCTACCTTCAGAGAGCTCACAGTCTAGTGGAGGAGACAGACTGTGAGCACTTCAAAGTGATTTCAGATGAGGGAGCAATTAACTCAATATGGGATTTCCAAATTTTGATATTTGAACTTGAGGGTTCAGGAAGAGGATGCACAAGGGCATGGAAGTGGGAAGAACTGGGGGGTTCAGGGAGCAGCCATGGTTCTGTGTGGCTAGGGCAAAAGAGACATGGGAGATGCTGAGAGGTCAGCCTGGAAAGCAGGAGGGTGAGGAAGGGAGCCCCAACTTGCTTGGCAAGAGACTCCCACCCCAAGCTTCCTCAGTCATTGTTCAAATTGTAATGGGTACATTTATTAATGAAAACTTTTCTTTGGTAATGAGGTCTGTGAGTTATTCCTCTTCTACATGAAGAAGGACTTCCTTTGATTTATCTTATATTGTTCATTTCCATCTCTCTATGCAGCTTGATGTAGTTGACACCTCTTAAGTTCCTCATTGCCCTTAGTCCAGTTACATGCTCTTTAAAAAAAAAAAAAAATAAGACATGGAAAAACATTTGGAAACTAGGAATTGGGAGATATATCCTTCTATTACCTTCATGACTTTGGTCAATTTTTAAAACTCCTTTAGGCCTCAGTCTTGTCACCTAAAAAATAGGGAAAATAACACTAGAGCCATCTACTGTACTGGATGGTTATGAGGCTCATAGTATAACCATACATGTAAGAAAACCTCAAAACACAAGAAACTCAGCACAAACACAAGAGCTTATTACTCTGATGGAAGGAGCCAGTCACTCCTTCCTCTTGCAGACTCCCTTGCCAGGCTGCAAAACTTCACTAGGTCCCTTGGTCTCCCAAGGCAACTTGCCGTAGCATCCGACTAGCATTTTTGCCTCCACATAAGGCGGCATTTGCTCTTTAGGTATAATAAATTACCTGCACTCCACTGGGGCAGAGGTGGAAAGCGGTGAGGTAGAACGGATTTCTTCCCCCCTGCTTCCCTCCCTCTCCCTTTTCACGTTCACAAGTGCGCTTGAACAAGCTGTCTCCTGTCTGGGGAAGGCAGAGCTGGGGCTGCACTGAGGTGGGGCTCAGGATTTGAGAAGGCAGCTGCTCCATCCTTCCTCCCAAATGCTTTCTACAGCTTGGCTGGCTCTGGCCCTGCCATGCTGGTAGCACATCTGAATATCAGTTGTTTGCATAAATTGTGAGCCCAGCACATCGTAGTCCTTCTTTTGGGGCACCCCAGTTTACTGCCTCCAGGAATCCACCGAAGGCAGAGCATTGATGGACCAAAAGCCAAATTCCTACTTCATGAACTACTCCTCTCTAGGGAATGGTGAGGCCCCTTGTGGTCACATTGCCAGTCCTTTGTCCATTTTACTTCTATTCGAGCAGCATCGCATATCCATATCTGACTGTGAAGAAAGGGGAACTGGCAGCATAGGAAGGAGGATGGAGGAGGCGCTAGCCTTCGGCAATATTGTGAGACTAATCCTAAATGCCTCTCTTGGTCTACTCTCTGGGGTCCCTTTTACCTTCATCTAGGTGCACAGGATCTTTACAATACCTGCTGCAGATGCTCCAACATGCCATCCAGTCCTGTCCCCACAGTCCTACACTTGGCTGCATCTAGATTACCATCAAGGGGTCAAAAGATCACCAAAGGCTGGAGATCTGCCTTCCAGCTACAGGTTAAGTGACATCACCTGTGTAAACTTCAGCTTGTATACAGCAAGGGCAGTGAGTTGGGGAGGGATGAACTCTGATCCCGGGTAGCTGTAAACTATGTGATTCTTATTTTTTGTTTTCAGGATCTCATTCCATTGCCCAGGCTGGAGTGCAGTGGCATGATGATAGATCACTGCAGCCTCAAACACCTGGGTTCAAGCAATCATCCCACATCAGCCCCCTGAGTAGCTGGGACCACAGGTGCATGTCACCACGCATGGCTAATTTTTTTATTTTTTGTAGAGACAGGGTCTCACTTTGTTGCCCAGCCTGGTCTCAAACTCGTGCACTCAAGTAATCCACCTGCTTCAGCCTCCCAAAGTGTTGGGATTATAGGTGTGAAACACCATGCCCTGCCAAATTTGTGATTATTTAATCAAGTTCCTCTACTACTCTTTTCCCCGAATCAAAAATCATTTTTTTCCTGTGGTCCATCCTCTCAGGGTCTTCTTCCTCACTGAAGGAAGTCTTCTTCCTGTGCTAATGGAAAAGCTGATGCCACAAAGTGTCTTTCTGGTAGCCTCAGGCCCTCACTCCAAACTCCATTCTTAGCCTAAGCCCAGGATGACATCACAGGGCAGGCCTGCTTTCCTGTTTCCTTTTGAAGAACTTCCACTGGACAACAGTCCCTACATTCACTTCACGGCTATCATGGGTCATTCTCTTGTTTTGACTCCTGCCTCCCATAACCAGATTCCTGAGTTTCCCGACATCAGAAATCAAGCTGGCACCAGGCTGGGCCCTTGGAATGTTTTGAGTAATTGATTTCTTGGGAAAGACTCCAAGTCCTGGGCTACAAAGTCCTATTTGAACCCATTCTCCTAGCCGACGCTGCCCACCTTTCAGTCTTACCCTCCTCTGATCACCCCAGGCCAACCCTTTTGCTCTTTGGGCCCTCATAGACTTTCTCATTATCTGTCTGCTGTGCAGCCCTTCTGTTCTCCAAAGTCTCTTTCTATAAAAACGTCTTCCTGGGCCAGATCAATACTGGGCTTCAACTTCATTTCTTAACTACAATTCCTTACAGTTATGTAAGTATTTTACCAGCCACCTTCATGAAGATCATCTCATTTCATCATCTCCTAGACATTATCATTCCCATTTTAAAGGTGAGCAGACCAAGGGTCAAGGAGACTAAATGAGCCCAAGATCACAAGGCGGTCATCAGAAGGCCCACAAGGGGCTGGCCGGGACTCAGATACAGTTCCCAGGTCCCAAGCTAAGAGTTCCGTCAGTTCCAACATAGGCAGTGAAGCTCATGCATCAGTGGGGCTGTGGGCACTCCTATGCTCTGGCTTAGTTTATTCCAGAGTGGCCTGCTCCCTGTTCTGCGGCTCTCTTGGCTGAAGATATTCTAAGAGTCAGAGGAGGAACTGCTGCAGGGTAAGACAGACTGGAAGGGCATTGGAGGGAAAGGGCTTGGACACAGGGCATTTCAGGGGCACAATGTCAGGCTTTAAATGACCCTGAAAAAATTTTCCCTGAGAGGACTTGTTAAAGGTGGGAATGAGGTTCTCTGGTGTTCAAAGTAATGGGTTTCTAAACATCATAATGCCTCTTAATCCAAAATCAATAAAAGTTTTTCTTTTTTTTTCCTTTTGTTTAGCTCAGATAGCAAAATTCTTGGTTTCATAACTACAAGAACTGGTTGGTCTGGTAGCTACTGCTACCTGGGACATGAAGGAGCTCTGGACCGTCTGATTAGCCCATGCCCTAATCAGAAAGGAGTTTAAAAAGTGCTCTCTGCTCAGGTTGGCTCAAGAGGGTCCGGGGACCATAGATTAGTCCCTGGGTTGAGAAGGCTGGGCATGGTTTGATTATGTGTTTCCTATGCCTTCCAACAGTGGCAAGAGTAGCCAGCCCATAGGACGGAATGAAAATCAAGGTGGACCTTGCTTTAGGGACATCTAAAAGCATCCAAGAGAACAAATAAAATGAATAGCTCCCATTGAGAACTTAGTATTTGCCTGGCAATGTGCAATGTGTGTATATATATTTTTTTCTGCATTACAACCTCATGAGGTAGGTCCTATTAGTATACCCATTTTACAGATGAGGAAATTGAGGCACAGAAGTTTAAGTAAAATGCCCAAGGTTAACAACTAGTGAGTGATAGATTTGAAATCAGTCTGGCTTCGAAACCAATCCTTTGACTATTAAGCTCTTTGACCTTTCAGGGCTAAGATACACTTTTTGTGAAAGAATTGCCCACAGGCTTCCTTTCCATAGCTAGGGCTCTCCTGCTCCAGTAATGCTGATCACTGATTATAGGGTCTGTGTTAGAAACAGAGGCAGCTTCAGACAAAGAGAGGTAAAAGCATAGCTCAGTGTCTCTAGAGATTCAATTTCGTTTGCATCGATTCAACTCAGTTCCACACGGAATTCAGCATCACTGTGTGTCAGGCAGATTGCTCTGTCTTTAGGAGTCTCAGATGAAGCTGAATCAATTCAGAAATAATTTTTGAAAGCCTTAAATGTTTGAATAACTTCTCTCAGCAATTCTTCTAGGAGTTCGTTCTAAGGATATAAAATCCTGAATGTAGGGAATATTAGCTCTGAAGATGCTCCTCTTTGTTTATTGAATAGCAAAAGTAATAGGCATGTTGCTGGGATAGGGACAGACTGGTTATAACACATGTATCTAACACAGGCATCATAAGCTGCAATGACACAGTGGATATGTGGGCTGAGACCAGTGAGGCAGGAACGAGGGCAGTCAGCAGTGTCTTTAGTTCCACTGGAAATATACAAAAGGTTCCCAAAATCTCTCAGTAATAGTTTTATAGCATTTCTAGGAAAAAATAAATGCTTCATAGTTAGATTTATTAAGTATATGAGTGCAAATAAACGAGGAATACTTATGTCCTAACAACTTAATAGCTGTTTAAAAAATATTACACATAATTTGAAAGAAAAAATATATAAATCTCATTCTTAAATATATTTACTAATGGGATATGTGTACCTATTGAGCATCGCACAATTAAACTAGAGTCAGAATGGACACCTCTACCTTTGTTTCCTGTTTGATGATGATTTTCCCATGGTACTTGCTTTTTAACACAGTGACCAATGAAAACCCAGCTTTCCAAAGATGTGATGATACCAAGTGTAGCATGATCTACTGTTAAAATGCTGAGCTCACTCAAGCTGCTAGTCTGCATGGTGTCTGACAATACTGAATATCATGGCGTGTTTCTTGATAATTATAAAAATCCTAAACTGTCCTTGTGGTTTTCCTGTGGGAGCCTGGGGTTCTTTGGTACACAGTTTGGGGGCTGCAGACATATGTTCTCTTCTATTTTGATAGACATATGAGGACAAGAACTATTTCACTTCCATCTTGACTGTAGCAAAAGAAAATCAGCCCAAGAGCATGATAAATAGCAACGGACCCTCAGCCTGAGTTTTATGGAGGCCACAGAGAATGGGAGGGACTACAGCAAAAAGACAGCACCAGCAGCTTCCATCCAGCTCCACCTATGTGGCCCGATGGGGATGTGCTGTTACCATTTTTAAAATAAAAGCTTAAAATATTGACTTTAATTCTAAAATATTATTTATAACCACTGGGCAGGCTAATGCTATGCTACACAAACAAAGCATGTCCGCAGATGGTGTTTAGCTTGAAAGTTTGGGATACATAATATAACAAATTATCACGTAACCATTAAAATGACATTATTGGCCAGGCATGGTGGCTCATGCCTATAATCCCAGCACTTTGGGAGGCCGAGGCGGGCAGATCACCTGAGGTCGGGAGTTCGAGACCAGCCTGACCAACATGGAGAAATCCCATCTATATACTAAAAACACAAAATTAGCCGGGCATGGTGTTGCATGCCTGTAATCCCGGTTACTTGGGAGCCTGAGGCAGGAGAATCACTTGAACCCATGGGGCGGAGGTTGCAGTGAGCCGCGATTGTGCCACTGCACTCCAGCCTGGGCAACAAGAATGAAACTCCGTCTCAAAAAAAAAAAAAAAAAAAAAAAGACATTATTGATAAATATATATATAATCACATGAATACATATTTATAATATGTTAAATTTAAAAAGGTAACTAGTAAAAATCATAATATCATTTTTATAAAAGCTATTTATGGATACCAAGATGACTAAAAGGATATACAACCAAGGGTAGTGAAGATGGTTATTCCTGGGTAAGGCATCATGGGTGATTTTAATTGTTTTTTTCTTTGGCTTCTTTGTATTTTCTAAATGTTTAAAATAACCACATATTTCATCCAAAAAGTTTGATGTTTTTGTGTCGTTTTTTATAAAGAAACTTAGAATGATTACTATGAACAAGACAACATCAGGAACAAACAAGAATGCAATTGAAAGTTGTATAAGAAAAAGTCCCTGGTTATATAGACACTTAATGAGTGGGAGAGAGATCCTATATATTACTAGTACTGTATATACACTAATTGACAAAGCAAACAGGAGAGTTAAATGATTATATGTATATGTAAGTTGCTGAAGGGATTCAGGATAGGAAGAAAATTGGAGGCTGGGATGATCACAGAAGAAAGCTGTGTGTGGGGTACCCAAGACCATCTGAAGTTCAGTGATTTACTAAAGAACTTAAAGGACTCAGTATACTATCATACTCATTGCTAAGATTTATTACAGCTAAAGGATATAAAGCAAAATTAGCTAAGGGGACGGTGCATTGGGCGACTTTCAGAGGAAATCAGGCACAAGTTTCTAGAACCCTCTCCCAGTGGAGTCACATAAGATGTGCTTAATTCGTCCAACATTGGGTTGTGATAAGTGTAAAGTGCTATCCACCAGGGAAACCCATTAGAGACTCAGTGCCCAGCATTTTTACTTGGGGCTGGCCTCATAGCCACCCTTTGCCTCCACCTGCCAACATTTCAGAACATAGGTGTTTAGCATAAACCACGTGGTTTGTACAGTTTAGGCACAATGAGCCACTCTTATCAGTTAGGCAACGGTGGGAACACTCTTAAAATCCAAGTTCCTTGACACCAGCCAAAGGCCAACACTGCAACAGGCTTTTGTAGGGATAGCAGTCTCATATCTGCCATGTTTCCTTTTTTTCTGTACCAATGCCTTCATGGGGGAGAGGTGAGTTTGAGCTGAGCCATGTTTTAGGAAGGTAGAGAGAAAAAGGGAAAGGGTTACAGGTGTAGCCAATGCTCACAAAACAAGCTCTTTTCAAATATCAGAGAATCTTAATACTGAAAGGAGTTTAGAGGTCATTAGTCCAGTACTTTCCAAAGGACAAACTTATACCACTGGTGGTAAGCAAGACAATTTAGGCCATCTATGGATGAACAGTTTGTATTGTAGTGTTCATATATTTATTTTGATGTGTATTTAAGAGTCTCATGCTCTACCAACTGAGTTAGCTGGCTTCTATTTTGATGTGTATTTAAATATATAAGATAATATAATTTTATATATATGTGTGTATTTTTTTTCCCTTAAAACCCTGATACCACAGATATTATCTTGGGTAAGCCTATTATTTTAAAAAATGTGAGTCAATTTAAAGACACAGGCTGGGCGCAGTGGCTCATGCCTGTAATCCCAGCACTTTGGGAGGCTGGGCAGGAAGATCACTTGAGGTCAGGAGTTTGAAACCAGCCTGGCCAACATGGTGAAACCCCATCTCTACTAAAAATACAAAAACTAGCCGGGCGTGGTGGTGTGCACCTGTAATCCCAGCTACTCGGGAGGCTGAGGCAGGAGGATCACTTTAACCCGGGAAGCGGAGGTTACAGTGAGTCAAGATTGTGCCACTGCACTCCAGCCTGGGCAACGAGGTGAGACTCCATCTCAAAAAAAAGAGACGCATATTAAATAATATTAAATACTAAGTAAATAGTTAAAAATAAAATGATTATATAAAAATATTAAATTATAGTAAATATTAAATAAATAACAGCCCAGGGATAAGAGGCCACATCCAACTCCTTGAGGGTAGTGAGATGAGCGAATGGTGGATACTCGTCAGCCTCTGCTCCCTTCCACTGCAGAAACCTCACTGTCATGTTCTCCCTTTTGCTATAGACTCTCCCAGTTTCAGATGCTTCATCTGTGAAGTAAGAGATTTGAGCTAAGCCTCTAGGGTACCTTCCAGATCTACTAGACAGTACTTCACTGATCCTCTGAGACTTAGTAATGGAAGTCAGTGGGAAAATGAAATTCAATTTTTATTTAATATTTTTCAGGAATCCTTTTTTTCTTATATAAAACAAGATACATCTTTATGGATGCTATCATTGTTTATCCACTGCAGAAGTTTCACGGAGAAAAGAGAATACACAAATCACCACAAAGCTTTCTGCTGCACACCACTTTCAGTGTCTTAAATCTAACTTCTTCATTTCTCCATTTTTTTGCCAAATTCTACTCGAATACCTTTTATGCTTGAGACACTGGCATTGCTGAGTTAGCCTGATTCTGTCTTCCCCTTGCCCATTCCTTGAGATGCAGTCCTCGGCAGTAATCTTTTGGCCGTGACGTCCACCGTGGGTTCCCCTGGGCCTTCCAAAGGCACTCATAGCAGTTCTCAGCCATGCCCTCTGAGAATTAGAAGCCCATTGAGATCAGAAAGTTATTATTAAGGAGGGAAACATACCTTTGTGATAATGCTAGAGGCTATTTCAGGCAAGAGAGCTGAAAACCTAAGCCAGACTTTCTGATTGTTGATGCCAAGGAAACTCAAAAGCAAAAAAAAAAAAAAAAAAAAAAAAAAAAAAAAAAAAACCCTCTCTCTTTCATCTAACAAGCCCCTAGGAAAGATGCTCCTTGTAATGGCTGTCAAAGAAGTTAGCCTGCTGTCAGCAAGAGGTCTCTGTCTTTCAACATTACTAATTCCTTCACCACACAAGTACCTATTTTGTGCAAGACCCTGTTTTGTGCATTGGGAACACACAGTAAACAGGGTGTCCTTGACACCTGCCCATCTGGAAATTATATCTCATGAAGCCCCAGCCATAGGCGAAAAGAGACAATGCAGTGACCTCATAGGCTCTGACCTGCCTCTGTATCTCCTACCAATTATCTCCCATTTGTTCAGATTTGAACATCTAGATCTTGCCTTATCCATAAGGCTTGAATGTCTAATGTCCAGCAGGCAGGGCTGGGTCTGGCTCTTAGGTCAGTCATTAGCTCAGGCCTAGAATGATATCTTCCTAGTTACATTTTAACTAACTTTTAAGGCTCAACCCAAGTTAAGCCATTTCTGTGAACTACTCTGTACTAGAAGCCCTAAGAAAGCCTGTTCTTCCTCAGTTCCACAGACACAGGTCTGGCCCATGCCTTTTACCTGAGCAGCAAAGCTGACGTCTGTAAGCCTGTTCTTTGGAGACAGATGAATGGACTAGGATGGGCACCAGATTCAAAGGCAACCTGTCTCTAGGCTGGCCAGATGGCTAATGCGATGGTCTTGGTTTGGGAGATTTGTCTAAAGGAGCAAAGGGGCCATGTGATTTCAGTGGGCCAGTCGAATCTTGATAAGGGGCTCATCATGCTGTCAGTAGTGGCAGCAGATATGGGCACAGGGGCACACGTGTGCACACACACACATACACACATATGGCTGAATCATGGGAGTGGCAGAACCACTGGCAAGAAGACAAAGAATCCTGTTGTTGAGGGGCACAAACTATCCCTGACTCCTGAATGGCTTAGATCCCTAGACTCTGAGCTTCCTATTTGTCATGGTGCCCTGGGAGGAGGCTCTTGTGCTTAAGGCATCCTGAGCTTGTGTTCTTCTCAAAGGGCTGAAATAAGACATTCCTCCTTGTCCTTCAGCCTCACCCCTTCCCTCTCATCACCCTCTTTCACAGGCTATTTCTTGCCTCTCTGAGTTGGAACCCAATGGAATCCTTGATTCTTAGCTTCTTAAGGGCGAGGGCAAGACTTCATAGAGTTTTACTGCAGGCCCAGCCCTGTGCCAGGTGGCAAGAGGGAAAAGAAGGGAGGGAAGATGTCCCACCCCAGCCCTCAGGGAGCTTCCACCCTGGCAGATTATTATTATTATTGTTATTAATTTGAGATGAAGTCTCACTCTGTTGTCCAGGCTGGAGTTCAGTGGCGTGATCTCAGCTCACTGCAAACTCCACTTCCCAGATTCAAGCGATTCTCCTGCCTTAGCCTCCTGAGTAGCTGGGATTATAGGCGCCCTCCACCACACCTGGCTAATTTTTTTGTATTTTTAGTAGAGATGAGGTCTCACAATGTTGGCCAGGTCGGTGTTGAACTCCTGACTTCAAGTAATCTGCCCGTCTTGGCCTCCCAAAGTGCTGGGATTACAGGTATGAGCCACCGCACCCGGCCCACTCTGGAAGATGATAAAGCCTGTGAGCAGCAGCTTGCTAACTCTCCAAGCAGTGTGTGACTGCCCACAACAGGGTGAATTTGGAGTAAGGCTCAGCAGCAGCCCCGCGCACTGGGGGTGGGAATGTGGGGCTGGATGGAAAGGAATGCGAAGGTCCTCCAGTAACTGAGAACAGCAGGAGCAGACCCGAGGAACAGGATGTGGCTGGGCAAGGGGGCCAGGAAGGAGAGTCCAAATGGGGTGTAGGGGCTGGGAGGTCCTGCCCACTTCAGTCCTTACCCTGCCATTAAATCTGGGGCAGCAGCAAAATAGGTGTCCCAGCCACTCTGCCCTCTCAGTCACCTCATCAGGCACAAAGTGCCCAGGATTAAAAAAGAAAGAAAGAAAAAAAGAAAGGAAAGGAAAGACCTCATTATATGGTTGGAAATCCTCATACCAGAGATAAAATTTTACGAGTTGCCTATTGCTCAGCACCCCGTATTTTTGACATTCCCTGTTTCACATACAGTATTTTAAACACATGAGATACAGACATTACTGTTTTTTTTAAATTTTTTTTTTTTTTACTCTTTTCATTTTTTTTCTTTCTGTCATGGCTTAGTGGGTAGCTCTGAAGTTTTTAATACTGAAGGGCCCATTTCATGTTATTTATTACCCTGCTTGCATGAAAGCTGAGGACTATAAATCGTCAACACAGGCCGTCTAATTCCAGCAACAGCAAGGTTTCGTCACATGTAATTAAAAGATCCCAAAGCCATTGGAATGTAATGGATTTGGAAATGACACCATGGGGGCAAGGGGAACAGGCCCAGGAAGAGGCAGCCGTATTTCAAAGGCTCTCCTGCATGGTCTGGGATCGATGGGGCTGCCTGCCTGGGCTCCATGGGGTTGCCTGGCTGGGCTCCAGCAGAGCTGGCTGACATGGGGCTAGAGGCAGGGTCTGGATTTGATCTGATCCTCAGCTCTAAGACCAGGCCCTTGCAAGTCCCACCTCCATGGAGGGGCAGTGACCTTTGAACTCACAAACTCCATTGGCCTGGCCTGTCCAGGCAGCCATCTGTGATGGCAGTGAGCATCCTCTGTCCTGGCAGGTGGGTTTCTAGAAGCATGGAAGTAACATAGTCTTACAGATAGACATAACCTAAGCCCAGGGTAGGGGAGAAGATCTTGGTGTTCATCTTCCTCACAAGTACAATAATCCTTTTATTCTTGCCCAACTTTCTTCCAGAAGCCATCACTTTAGCAACCTCATGCTCTGTCTGAAGATTCCCACCTGAATCCCTGCATCCACCTAGAGTCCATTGCTCTTTCCTCTGGGCTCCCAGAGGACCTCGACTCTCCAGTTTTTGGAACATTATAGTGCTGGGTGTGGTTATTTTTTTACTTGACTGCTTCTCTATCCCCATGGGCTTCTCATGAGCAAGGAATGTGTTTAAGTCTTCTCTGACCTTTATAGGCTTTACACAGGCCTGCCATATAGTATGTGATCAGCAAAGCTGTGGCAGGAAGGAAGGGATGCAAGATAAATAGGGGAAAGGAAAGAAAGCAAAAAAGGACAAAAGGAAGGAAGGAAGGAAAGAAAGCAAGCAAAAAAAAAAAAAAAAAAAAAGGGAAGGGGGAGAAGGACCTTTGGTCATTTCTTCTCATCTCATGGCAATAATATGATGACCAGAATCAGACTTCAAGATTGCCCTCAGTGGTCCCTGCTGGTATTCAGTTTCCTGCCCTTCCCATATTGTAGCAGGGTTGATGTGTGTGACTAATAGCATATGGCAGAGTGATGGTATGTCAATTCTGAGATTAGGTTATAAAAAAGACTGTGGCTTCTGTCTTCTTCCCTCTTTCTTTGTTGAGTCACTCACTCTGGAGGAAGCAAGCTGTTATGTTGTGTCAGCAGTCCTACGGGGAAGCCCACAGGGGAACTGAAGCCTGGGGCCAGCAGCCAGTCAGGAACTGAGGCCTGCCAACAACCAGGTGATGAGATTAGGAGTGGATTCTCCAGTCCCAGTCGAGCCTTGAAATGACCGTGGCCTTGGATAATAGCTTAACTGAAACCTCACGAAAGACTCTAAGCCAGAGCCAGCAAAAGCAAGGTTTTGTCCCATGTAATTAAAAGATCCCAAAGCCATTGGAATGTAGTGGGTTTGGAAATGACACCATGGGGGCAAGGGGAACAGGCCCAGGAAGAGGCAACCATATTTCAAAGGCTCTCCTGCATCTTCTGGGATCAATGAGGCTGCCTGGCTGGGTTCCAGCAGGGTTGGCTGACATGGAGATAGAGGCAGGGTCTGGATTTGATCTGATTCTCAGCTCTGAGATGAGGCCCTTGCAAGTCCCACCTGCATGGAAGGGCACTGAGCTTTTGAACTCACAAACTCCATTGGCAAACCCAGCTAGGCTTCTCCCTCATTCCTGACCTCAGAAACTGTGTGAGCAAATGAGTGTTACTTTAGGTTTCTAAGTCTGGGAGTAATGTATTATGCAGTGATAAATGACTCCTACAAACACCATCTATTTGTTGATGGCACCACATTTTTATTTCCAACCCAGACCTCTCTGCTGAACTCCAGAACTGTATATCCCACTGTCTCCTTTACATCTCCTTCCTTTACTCCAAAACTCAACTCCTGGTCAATCTCCCAACCTGCTGCTCCATAGATTTCCCCATTGCAGTTAGGGGCAACTCTTATCTGGATGCTTGCTACCAGCTTCCATCTGCTTCTTGCTTCCTTCAGTGGCCAATGCGGTCTATTCTATACCCAGCAGCCAATGATCCCAACCAAATGTAGGTCAAATCATGACACTCCTCTGAACAAAATTCACCAATGGCTTCCTCATTTCACAGAAAAAAGGCTACGGTCCTTAAATATCCTACAAAGCTGTCTTCTGTTCCTCTCTGACCTCACCTCCTACCTCTCTCCCCACTTGCTCACTTCCCAGGGAACACACTGGCCATTTTGCTGCCAGCACACTGCCACTTTAGGGCTTTGTGCTGGCTCTGTTCCCTGTCCAGGACTCTCCTCCCCAGTTACCTGCATGGCTCACTCCCTCGCCTTCTTCACGTCTTTGTCAAAAGTCAACCTGAAGTCTATCTTGATAGCTCAACCCCCAGAACTCCCAGACTTCATTACTCTGCTTTCTTTTTTGTCTCCTTTTACATAGCACTAAAATCTTCAAAATTATTCTATGATTTATTTATTATGTTTCTTACTTATTTGCCCATCTCTGCTGGTATGTAAGCAGCTCCTGAGAGCAGGTATTTTGTTGTTGTTGCTTTTGTGTCTATTTTATTCATTGGTATATCTTCAGCACCTAGAAGAGAATACCTAGGACAATGTGCCTGGCAAATAATGGTGGTCTATAAATATTTGTTGAAGGAAGGAAGGAAGGAAGGGAGGGAGGGAGGGAGGGAGGGAGGGAGGGAGGGAGGGAGGGAGGGGAGAGAGGGGGACGAACCACCCGATGAGAGCTCTTGCACTGTGGTCTGAATGATTGTTTAGCAAATGCAGTTCTCCTGGCTAGACCACAAGGTCCTTGAAGGCCTGCAAGGATGCCCACCCAGGACACCCAGCATTCAGGACAGGCCCTGCTGAGACCAGCTTCAGGGAATGTCTTTGATTGATTTGCTTTTGGCAGCCCAGGAGGCTCCCAGTTTCATTGCCCTTACAATGTGACAAATCTGGATATTTTTACCTCCTTGGGTCTTTGCTGCCATTCATATGCAGCTTTTTTTGCTTTGTCATGGGTTGAATTGTGCCCCCCAAAAGATATGTTTAAGTCCCAACCCCCAATACCTGAGAATGTGACTTTACTTGGCAATGGATTGTTGTGGACGTCATTATCTAAATTAAGATGAGATCATACTGGAGAAGAGCGGCTCTTAATCTGACATGAATGGTGTCCTCTGGAGAAGAAGAGACACACACAGAGAAGGCCATGTGAAGACAGAGGCAGAGGTTAGAGTGATGCATCCACAAGCCAACAGACACCAAGGACTGCCGGCCATCAGCAGAAGCCAGACAGAGGCATGGAATGGGTTCTCCCGCACAGTCCTCAGAAGGAGCCAACTTTGCCAACACCTTGATTTCAGACTTCTAGCTTCCCAAACTGTGAAAGGATAAATTTCTGTTGTTTTAAGCCACCTAGTTTGTGGAACTTTGTTAATGTCAGAGTACCCAGGTACTGGGAAATTAATACACATTTTATGCTTTCTTGTTCAAGCCCACCCCACTCTTGTCTCAGAGCCATCTCTCAGCATTAACAGATTGCTGGACACCACCTCAGGGCACAACCACCATGCTCTCCAGACTGTTTTCTCTCACATAGGCAATACAATACCTCCTCCAAGAAGCCCTCCTGGACAATAAGAAGGAAAAAGGAAGTCAATGTTCTTCATATCCCTGTATTTTTAGGTTAAAACTCTAGAACATCTGGCTTTTTTATTCACAGTTGATGTGCATCCTATTGGCTTAAGATGTTGACAGTCCATCTCATCTATTTATCTTTACTTGCTCATTCATTGCCATGTTGTTCCTTTGATTAAATGTCCTTAGGGCAAGAAACAGATCTGTCTTCTTCATTGCCTATAGTTCCAAGTCCAACTATGGCAGAGGAGAGGCACTAGGGCTAGGGGATAAAGACTGTTTAGTAAGTAGGGATCTGGTTCACTTCTTTCCTTTTCCTATTTTACAAATGAGGAAACTGAGGCTCAGGCAGAAAAAGTGACCCCGAAAGATTAAGAACCATGAAGCTTTTTCATTTTGTGTCCATGCAAGAGTGCGAACATCAGGCCTTTTGCTCACTCAAACAGTTGGAAACATACTCCTAGTCACTTGCACAGTCTCTGCTAACTCTGGACTCAGAGCTAGGTTCAATCCCAGCCCCATTATTCCTTCTTTGCACAATCTTAGACAAGTTATTCAACCTCCCTGAGCCTCAGCTTCCTCATCTGTAAGATGAGGATGGAAATATATATCTCACGGGATGGTCGGAACAATTCAATAAGAACGCTACGGAGTAACGGAGACTGTGTACTGCAGAAGCTCAGTGAACCTTCATTCCTTAACTTTTATTCTGATCACATAAACTCCAGACAGAAAAAGGTAGAAACCAATTACGCTTCCAACAAACTCTTTCTATTTGTCACATTCAGCTCAAGTTGGAAAAGTTGTCAGAAATGATGGAGGTACGTAAAATAATCTCCTCCAGCTTTGTCATTAATAGCAAGTGTTATGTAGTGCTAACAAGCTCCTTCCCCGGCAAATGAAGGGCAGTGATACTCACCAGACGCGACTGACTAGAAAAAGACAATGGGAATCTGACGTTTTGGAAAGATCTCCAAACATCAGAGCACAAACAGAAAGAGCTTTTTGGTTGCCTCTTCACAAAGGATCAGGTATCACAGCAGATGGGAAAGTGGGCAAGAATTACAGACATCCACCAGACCTTAGGTCTCATTAACCAGCTAATTCATTTAACCAGAATGCCTCATTTCCTGAGAATTCCAGTAAATTGAGATTTTACAGTATGTTAATGTTTGCAGGTTGTATTTTTCTTCCCATCAGTGACTACAAAGATGCCCTGTGGTGCAGTCAATGGCACATAGGGCTGAAAATAATCTACCATTAACTGATCCATGAACTAGTTAGTTCTCCTCTGTGATCTCAGGGTCACCTTTCATCTAATGCATGGTTGGAATAATGATCTCTGAGGTTCCTCGGTTTATAATTTTATATACTCTTGCTCTATTTTCAACCCTTTGCCTATGTCCCATATCCTCCACGAAGGCTCAACTTGTCCCTTGCTTGACCTTGAGTGAGCATCTGTAAAATGTGAGATTTGGACCAGATGAACTCTAAAGTTTCCGACATGCTATTGTTTCAAGGGTCTACATTGTTATTATTATTATTATTCATTAGAGGATTAAATTTACGAGGCCTTGATCTCAAGTGTTTCTGGTGAAATAAAATGAAGAAGCTCAGAGGCCTGCTTACACAGTATAGTAGAAAAACCACTGAGCTGGTTTTAGCTCTTTTTCAGCTGCTAACCAGCTTTGCTGTCCCAGGCATGTCGCGTCTGTACCTCTCTGGGGTTTTTTTCCTTTTGACTATAAATTTAGGTGCTTGAGAGTTAGTCTTTGTGTGTTTCTAGCTCCCTGTTTCTAAGACTTGCCACTCCACTGTAGAATCATCCCTCCAACCTCAGTGAAGGCTTGTAAGGAAATGCTCTGCAGTGATGAGGAGGGGAAAGTGAAATTCGTGGAGGGAATGCATGTGAAATGAACCCTTTAGGTCTCTCCCACGTCCAAAATTGCAGCTTTGCTTCCTCACACTCAAAGCACCTTCCCAAGCAAAATCACGATTTTACCATACCTCTCTGTTCCCTAGATGGGAAGCACAAAAGCTTAAGAACTGGGACAGCTCAAAAACCTAAACCCTAAACAAGGTTTTTTGTTTGTTTGTTTGTTTGTTTTTCTTCTTTCTACATTCTTCGTGATTTGGGTTCTTGGGCCTGGAATGTTTGGCTTTATTAAAACTACTGAGCCAGATTTAGTCATTAGAAAAGGTGATACCAGAATCTCTGGGACACATTCAAAGCAGTGTGTAGAGGGACATTTATAGCACTAAATGCCCACAAGAGAAAGCAGGAAAGATCTAAAACTAACACCCTAACATCACAATTAAAAGAACTAGAGAAGCAAGAGCAAACACATTCAAAAGCTAGCAGAAGGCAAGAAATAACTAAGATCAGAGCAGAACTGAAGGAAATAGAGACACAAAAAACCCTTCAAAAAATCAATTAATCCAGGAGCTGGTTTTGTGAAAAGATCAGCAAAATTGATAGACCACTAGCAAGACTAATAAAGAAGAAAAGAGAGAAGAATCAAATAGACGCAATAAAAAATGACAAAGGGGATATCACCACCGATCCCACAGAAATACAAACTACCATCAGAGAATACTATAAACACCTCTATGCAAATCAACTTGAAAATCTAGAAGAAATGGATAAATTCCTCGACACACACACTCTCCCAAGACTAAACCAGGAAGAAGTTGAATCTCTGAATAGGCCAATAACAGGCTCTGAAATTGAGGCAATAATTAATAGCTTACCAACCAAAAAAAGTCCAGGACCAGATGGATTCACAGCCGAATTCTACCAGAGGTACAAGGAGGAGCTGGTACCATTCCTTCTGAAACTACTCCAATCAATAGAAAAAGAGGGAATCCTCCCTAACTCATTTTATGAGGCCAGCTTCATCCTGATACCAAAGCTTGGCAGAGACACAACCAAAAAAGAGAATTTTAGACCAATATCCTTGATAAACATTGATGCAAAAATCCTCAATAAAATACTGGCAAACCGAATCCAGCAGCACATCAAAAAGCTTATCCACCATGATCAAGTGGGCTTCATCCCTGGGATGCAAGGCTGGTTCAACATACGCAAATCAATAAACGTAATCCAGCATATAAACAGAACCAAAGACAAAAACCACATGATTATCTCAATAGATGCAGAAAAGGCCTTTGACAAAATTCAACAACCCTTCATGCTAAAAACTCTCAATAAATTAGGTATTGATGGTACGTATCTCAAAATAATATGAGCTATCTATGACAAACCCACAGCCAATATCATACTGAATGGACAAAAACTGGAAGCATTCCCTTTGAAAACTAGCAGAAGACAGGGATGCTCTCTCTCACCACTCCTATTCAACATAGTGTTGGAAGTTCTGGCCAGGGCAATCAGGCAGGAGAAGGAAATAAAGGGTATTCAATTAGGAAAAGAGGAAGTCAAATTGTCCCTGTTTGCAGATGACATGATTGTATATCTAGAAAACCCCACTGTCTCAGCCCAAAATCTCCTTAAGCTGATAAGCAACTTCAGCAAAGTCTCAGGATACAAAATCAATGTGCAAAAATCACAAGCATTCTTATACACCAATAACAGACAAACAGCCAAATCATGAGTGAACTCCCATTCACAATTGCTTCAAAGAGAATAAAATACCTAGGAATCCAACTTACAAGGGATGTGAAGGACCTCTTCAAGGAGAACTACAAACCAGTGCTCAATGAAATCAAAGAGGATACAAACAAATGGAAGAACATTCCATGCTCATTGGTAGGAAGAGTCAATATTGTGAAAATGGCCATACTGCCCAAGGTAATTTATAGATTCAATGCCATCCCCATCAAGCTACCAATGACTTTCTTCACAGAATTGGAAAAAACTACTTTAAAGTTCGTATGGAACCAAAAAAGAGCCCGCACTGCCAAGTCAATCCTAAGAAAAAAGAACAAAGCTGGAGGCATCATGCTACCTGACTTCAAACTATACTACAAAGCTACAGTAACAAAAACAGCATGGTACTCCTACCAAAACAGAGATATAGACCAATGGAACAGAACAGAGACCTCAGAAATAATGCCGCATATCTACAACTATCTGATCTTTGACAAACCTGACAAAAAGAAGAAATGGGGAAAGGATTCCCTATTTAATAAATGGTGCTGGGAAAACTGGCTAGCCATATGTAGAAAGCTGAAACTGGATCCCTTCCTTACACCTTATACAAAAAGTAATTCAAGATGGATTAAAGACTTACATGTTAGACCTAAAACCATAAAAACCCTAGAAGAAAACCTAGGCATTACCATTCAGGACATAGGCATGGGCAAGGACTTCATGTCTAAAACACCAAAAGCAATGGCAACAAAAGCCAAAATTGACAAATGGGATCTCATTAAACTAAAGAGCTTCTGTACAGCAAAAGAAACCACCATCAGAGTGAACAGGCAACCTACAGAATGGGAGAAAATGTTTGCAACCTACTCATCTGACAAAGGACTAATATCCAGAATCTACAATGAACTCAAACAGATTTACAAGAAAAAAACAAACAATCCCATCAAAAAGTGGGTGAAGGATATGAACAGACCCTTCTCAAAAGAAGACATTTATGCAGCCAAAAAACACATGAAAAAATGTTCATCATCACTGGCCATCAGAGAAATGCAAATCAAAACCACAATGAGACACCATCTCACACCAGTTAGAATGGCGATCATTAAAAAGTCAGGAAACAACAGGTGCTGGAGAGGATGTGGAGAAATAGGAACACTTTTACACTGTTGGTGGGACTGTAAACTAGTTCAACCATTGTGGAAGTCAGTGTGGCGATTCCTCAGGGATCTAGAACTAGAAATGCCATTTGACCCAGCCATCCCATTACTGGGTATATACCCAAAGGATTATAAATCACACTGCTATAAAGACACATGCACACGTATGTTTATTGTGACACTATTCACAATAGCAAAGACTTGGAACCAACCCAAATGTCCAACAATGATAGACTGGATTAAGAAAATGTGGCACATATACACCATGGAATACTATGCAGCCATAAAAAATGATGAGTTCATGTCCTTTGTAGGGACATGGATGAAGCTAGAAACCATCATTCTCAGCAAACTATCGCAAGGACAAAAAACCAAACACCGCATGTTCTCACTCATAGGTGGGAACTGAACAATGAGAACACATGGACATAGGAAGGGGAACATCACACACCAGGGACTGTTGTGGGGTGGGGGGAGTGGGGAGGGATAGCATTAGGAGATATACCTAATGCTAAATGACGAGTTAATGGGTTCAGCACACCAACATGGCACATGTATACATATGTAACAAACCTGCATGTTGTGCACATGTACCCTAAAACTTAAAGTATAATAATAATAAAAAAATAGAAAAGGTGGCAGACAGAATTTTTTCAATAACTAAAGCTCATGTACCTTCTCTTCTTAGGCTCTCAAGCAGCACTTTATTGGCCATTGTTTGACACACATTTCTAACATATTTAGACATAGATGGTTCCCAAGACTTACAGAAGACTAGATATGGAGAACCTGAATAGCAAGTGGGTTATGAGAGGTGCTGGCATTAGGAAGAAATGAAGCTGATAGTATGAGATATAAAAGAAAACCTGTCTAGATTCAACACAAAAACACAGAAATACAAGGATATTTCTATGTTTTTGTAGATTTAGTAGTCTATGATATTTTTGTCTTATTTAATAATGAGTTATGGAGAAGAGCCTTCATTTCATTTTAGCATTTGCTTTATAGGAAAGTAAGGAGGAAATAATCTCTGTCAGGAGAATTGACAACAAACATCAGCCAAATTTTTTAAAAAGGTTATTGTTAATGAGATTCGCTTGAGCACAGGAACCTTGATTTGTATTCAACGTCCCAAGTACCTAGCACAATGCTTAGCACACAGTGAATACTCAATAAACACTTCATGAATGAAAGAAAAGAAGGGTTGTTTGAATGGCTGTGTTTTTTAATTTCTAGGAAATTCACTTGTATACCATATCATGTTTCCTAACGAGTCCTTGAACAAAAATTTGTATGGGACACCTACCAACTAAGCAGGCAAGGTCCTCTTTCTCAGAGAATGATGCTGGTTCAATGAGAGCTTCTTGTAGGAGTAGATGTGAACCATCTTGGTGCCTGGCTTGGAAGCCTGAGAATACGTTAGGAGTCTGGCACTCTTTTATGCCTATTTTGAGGAATTGAAGGCTGTAGGAAACTCCATTCCAGACACTTTTACTTTAAACTGTCACATACAAGATAGCCCCCCACCAAAGGGCTTCAGAGATGGAATTCCATGCAGGAATGGTGTGCTAAAGAGAACATGTGAAGTGACCATGTGACCCCATTCTCCTAGGCCTTGAGTTCTTAAGTCAAAACTCCTTTTCTCTTGCTGACCGAGATACTTCAATTCAACCCTAAGTCTTGGGCCTCAATGTAACAGGACTAAAGATCGAAAGGCAGAGGGTGGAAAAAACTGGGGATTGAAATTTGAGTTAAACTTTACAAACTCAATCCATTTATATTCATTGATGGCCCATATGCGCTCGGCATAATATGCAGAGATCTTTAATAGGACAGTGCCAAAGAAATGGAAGACATAATTTTTTTTTCTTATGGAAAACCATCTAGGTGAGGAGGAAGTACCAGGTTGTAGGAACCACAACTTCTGTCTCTTGGATTCCCTCCAGTCCACATGATTTTTCATATAGGGTTTCATATGCAGTACCTCAGTCAGTATATGGCCAGACAACCAATTGGAAAGTAGACCACAGTGAGATGTCTGCTTTTTAAAACAGTATTTTTTCTGCACAAGGTTAAATAGCTGTTTTGACTGTGTTAATTTTCTCACCAATAATTTTGTTTTCTCACCAATAATTTGTTATTGCTGCCTAACCAACAGCCCCAAACTACGTTTTTCTCATGATTCTGCAAGTCAGCAATTTGAGCAGGGCTCTTGGCTGGGAGGCTCTTTTGTTCCCTCAGGTCACTTAGCTGCATTCAGCTGATGGTAGGGCTGGAAGGTGTCTTGATTTTACTCCATGTGGCCTCTCTTTCTCCATGTGGCATCTGACCCCTCAGAAGTCTAGCCTATGCTTCTTTATAGCCGCTGGCTTCCCCAGAAAGCAGAAAAGTGGAAGCTTCTAGTCTAAACTTGAAATTGGCACAGTGCCATGTTTACCATACATAGTTTATTGGTCAAACAAAGTCATGAGGCCAGCCCCAGAGTGGGTGAACTAGCCTCTGCTTCTTGATGATAGGAGCACATAGGGAAAGGAAGAATTGATAGCAGCCATCCTTGGGTGCTATCTAGCACAGATTTAACTTTTTTTCAATTAACTGAATAGATTTTGAGACTCTAAGTAACTTGAGTGCCAGGATCAGGGCTTGTTCATCTGTGTATCTCCACCATCTTCCATAGTTCTGGTTCAGATGGAACCTATCAGGGTTTGACTGAGCCGAGTGTGTGTGTGTGTGTGTGTGTGTGTGTGTTTTAATTCGGGGGGAGGTGGAAAAATGGGGTTCCTATTGGCTGCATAATTAATTCATGAAGTAAACTGAAATAAAGAACAACTATTTGTGATTTATGACCCTGTGGGGTGAGTGCCCCTGGACAGCATGGATGTTCGAAGGTCTTTAGTCCAGGTAAAGTGACAGGTAGGATCCTGAGATGTCAGGATGTCAGTGAGTCTTTTTCTACATCAATTTTGAAGTCAGATTTGAAACTACAGGAATGATATTGAAAGATTAATGGCAGCTTTAAATATCCACCTCCCTGTATAAATCTAGAACGATGTTATGCCCTCCAGATAAAAAGGGATACCTCTTGGGAGTAATTTCTGATATGTTTTTGAAATCTTCGCATATAGACACCCCCCCCCCCCCCCGCACACACACACACAGGTGTTGTGAACAGTTGTAACTTTGGTCAAAAGAGTAAGTGCGGCCTGAAACCAAACCTGTTCCACAAGTTAGCATGGGGCTGCATCTGCCTGGAGGGAGGAGGAAATAATTCCCACATGGATGTCATAAGGGCCTTTTAGCCTAATGGTGGCCCTATGGGCACACACATGCATTTACACACATGTACACACACAGAGTTTTCTGCCCTTGATTACAGGACGATGCTCCCAGGAGGCAGTGTCAAGACTTCACATCAATAAGGTCTTTTTTTCTTGGAAAGAGCTGTTGATTTGGTCACAAGAATAGCTTTCTAGGAGAGAAATTGTGCATAGTAGACAAGAGTTATGAACTGTAATCATTCACATTTGTATGTCCATTTATAGATTTGTAAAGCACTTAAAAATATATCATTGCATTTAATCCTCACAATTCTATGACTTAGATACTGAACTTTACAGTTGAGAAAAATAGACTTAGAACAAACGATTTGCCTAATGGACATGGCTGCTATAAGTATCCAGGCTAGAACTTAACCTGAGACTTTGGACTCCAAATGCCACATCCTTCCCATATCATGAGTCTGTAGAAAAGACTTGAATGTATTTATTTTCTCTAAATGTTGTCTTTCTTTTTGCAAAAAGTTGAATAGGTTAAGGCATAAGTTGAGTAATTTATGTAATTCTATTGCTATTGCTAACTTTAAGGGAAGCCTGTCTTCTTGCTTTTATCTTAAGCTGTTTTCTCTAACACCATCAACATCATCTATAATAAATGAGACATCTAAAGGGGTGTGAGTTAAGATTTTTGAGATAAAAAATGGGATCATAAAGGCAACTTTACTCCTAATCATCTCAAGTCTTGGATTTGTTAGCGTCATCTCGGGAGCTGAGAGGTGCCACCTAAGGGCTCAGGATTCTATTGCTCAACAGAACCTTGATAAATCTGCCATCCCAACGCTTCTCATCAGAACAGGGAGCACCTAAATTCTCCAGGACAGACAGCCAAACTTCCTTTTCTTGGAAGATTCTTGGGAACAGATACTGGAAGATCTTAGCTCTGTCATTGACCAGCTATGTGACTTTTGGGCAAGTCATGCCCCTCTCTGGGCCTTACTTTTCTGGTCTAAAAAATGAAGGTTTTGGTAGATTACATCTAAGATCCTTGTAGGTCTGACATTTTTTGTTTATAGCCTTCCATTATTATCCATCCAATGTCCCTTATTCTGATTTTCAAGAATCTTCTTCCTGTCTGATTCCTCCTTCCATGATTAAGTTTTCTCTATTCATGCTCTTTGTGGGGTCATGGTGAATTTCTTAGCAACTCCCTCCTTGTCCATAAATTTCCTGATCCAGACTATTAGAAAAGAACCCACCCTACTTTGCCTGGCTCAGGCCTTACAATCTTGTTCCATTCTGCTTGTCCACAATGTATTTCCCCTTCCTCTTCCCCACGAACTTTCTGTTCCAGCTAAGTCAGAATTCTACCCATCTTCCCCCTCTATATGACTCAGTTCTCTAATATTATACACCCTATGATCCCTCACTGACCTCTCAAGTTCACTCCAAAATCACTTCTTATCAGAAGCAATAGCTTGGCCCTACTGTTTTCCATTTACTGGATTTTCTGGTTAGTTTCTTTATCTTTCCAAGTAAATTACAAGCTACTTGACTCAGATATCCTGTGATTCTTTCTTCCATATCCATAGTGCCAAGCAGACTTAGTCTGGTGTTTTTGATTGGTAGGATGTCTGAAAGCACCAACCTATTGGTTAATGCCTTCAGAAAAGCCTGCCTCTCAGGCACCAGAATTAGGAATGAACATTTTGCTGCAGCCTCAAGGCATCCTGACAGTGACTTCTGGCCGTATCACACAAGGTTCTCTCAGATCATAGCAGCTAAGAGGATTTTTTATTACCTTCAGCTGGACAGGGAATTCCAGTGACTAAAAACCATGAGGGGTCACTGTTGGGAAGAGAATGGTTGTGCAAGCTAAGATACGCTGCACTAAAGACTTTCCCTGCATAACCCAGATACTTATAGCCACAATGTAAATTCATTTTCTCTGAAGCTATCCCTTATGTGGGGAACGTTCCAATACCTTACTGCCTTCTTTCTTTATTTAACCAAGTAAAATGATGCTTTTATTTACCATTTAGCACTTTTAAATTTTCTTGCCTTTTTGCTTACAAATACCCTTTGAGCTACTGAATTGATTTTGCTGAGATTTGTTACACTATGAAAGAGTCTGAAGATGCACCTGGAATTCCATCATGTCTCAGCAAACACCTAGAAACAAAATGGCCACCACCAACTACTTTAAAAACAGCACATCTCCTGCAAATTTGAATTTGTACAACTGTAAATGGGGAGTTGCTATTGCATTGTGACCCATTGTATGTTCATGGGTCCCAGTTCATATGGACACAAACAGAAAATACACTCCTGCTCTTAGGAAGCATCATCTAAAATGTGATGATGATAACTCCTGGGCAGATCTACCAAATGCTAATTGGAATGCATTGAAAATAGTTAAGTTTGTGAGCATTTTGAAATCATCATGGGTGATATAAGCATATTTTTATCACTAGTGTTTAATAAAAGCCATTTCTGTGTCTGGGCCAAGGGCTTTGGCACATGTTCAGAACAAGTCAAAGGAGTTAATAACCAGTAATAAAGGGAAATGGAGCCAAGGCATATCTAAGCTGCATATCTCTAGGGATCTTGGAAGTGGTAGGAGACATTCTTCAAGACATGCATGGTGGATGCACCAGCAGCACTACAGTCATTCACTTCAAGCCTAATCCACTCAACCTTTCCCAAAAGAGGAGTCAGGGAGACAGAAGTCCAAGGATGGGCCCATGAAGTCTTGTTTCATTTGCTTAGTTTTATGATTAACTGCAAGATACTGCATTTGATTCATTACCAATAGCAGCCACATTAAAGAAAATACCCCAGGTAGGTCAGAGAGAAAATTTTTATAGGATGGACAAGGAGCTGAAGGGAGGAGAGTTTTGTGTGTGTGTGTGTGTGTGTGTGTCTATATGCAAAGATTTCAAAAACATCTTGGGAATTACCCCCAAGAGGTATCCTTTTTATCTGGAAGGCATAAGATTGTTCTAGATTTAAATAGGGAGGTGGATATTAAAAGCTGCCCATAAGCTTTCTATATTATCCCTGTAGTTTCAAATTTGACTTCAACATTTCATCTTGATAATAAGGAGATGCTTTAAGTCTCCTGAATTAGTCCTACCAGAAATCTCACCAAAGTTGGGAGAAAACTTTCCTTCAACTCCAAATGCTAGGGTGAGGAGAAAATGGGGCAGGAAAAAGGGCAGGGGCTGGTGGGGCCATGGTGCCTCTATCTTATTTTTCATATGGAGCAGCTGAGGCCAGATAAGGCAGGTGAGGCATTTAAGGGCTTAGCAGTTAGGTCTACACCTGTGTGTTTTCGTATACGGTCCTGTGTTCTTTCCATGAAGATTGTCACTTACCCATTTCTCTAAATGAGCCCTGAACTAAGAAGAATGAAATGCCAAAGTTTCATGTGTATGTGTCATCTGTTGGCCTTCTGATGTGGATATATAGGGCTGGATAGGGAACTATGTTCAGGGTACCTTGCCTACCATAGGTGATCAGGCTGCTCTGGGCTTCCTTGAGGCCAGTGTCCAACCCTTCCTCTCACCTCAGGTCCAGCTGGGCTGGTCCCACACCCCATCAAGGGCACATCCCTCTCACTGCCTTTGTCTTTTCTTTCTTGCATTCTATTCACACCCTACTGGGTCTTCAAGTCCCAGCTGAGTTGAATGCAGTGCAATGGGATTGAACAAGCATTTATTGAGGACCTCATCAGTACAAAACATTGGGTAGCCAGACACTTGTTGAGGTGTTGAGGGCACTAAGTGAATAAAATACACTCTCCATGCAAGGTTCAAGAGGAAAACAGGTCTGTAAACAGTCAAGTCTCACAGTCTAAGGCTGAGAATAGTAAAGAATAAGTAATAGTAGTAATAAGGATCACTTATTGAGCACCCACTAAGGACCAGGCTCCATCCAGGTGCTTTATACTTGTTACTGCCAATCCTTACAATAGCCAGGAAAGACAGGTATTAGAGGCAGCCCAGAGTATTCAGGTGAGCTCCAGTTTTGTGTCCAGTCCTGAGGTTCAATTCAACTCCGTACTTTACAAATTATGTGTCTTTGGGGCAACTTTCTTAATTTTTCTGCATCTCTCATTCTCTTATCTGAAAATGATGACAAAATCTTCTTCAAAGGACAGATGTGAGGGTTAAACAGTAAAAGGCACACAAACAGCCTAGTGTAGGGTAAGTTCTCAACAAATGTGGCCAGAGATCTGGACGACCTGGGAAAAGTGAAATAGTGCCCTTAAAGGAAGCCCTCAGTGGAGATCCAGGCAGTTGCTGTGTCAGAGCAAAGGCAGGTCTCAGGTGGGGAGGGTTACAGGCAGGATGTATCATTTGCACTGGGTCTCCAAAGACAGGGGAGATTTCGTGGGGTTAAAGAATGATAACTAGTGGCTGGGTGTGGTGGCTCACACCTGTAATCCCAGCACCTTGGGAGGCCAAGGCAGGCTGATCACGAGGTCAGGAGATCAAGACCATCTTGGCCAACATGGTGTAAACCCCGTGTTTACTTAAAAAAAAAAAAAAAAAAAAAGCTGGGTGTGGTTGTATGTGCCTGGAATCCCAGCTACTCAGGAGGCTGAGGCAGGAGAATCGCTTGAGCTAGGGAGCCGGAGGTTGCAGTGAGCCGAGATTGCGCCACTGCACTCCAGCCTGGGTGACAGAGTGAGATTCCATCTCAAAACAAACAAACAAAGAAACAAAAAAAAAACCTGGTGATGGGAGTATAGATTGCTCCTGCCCTGGGCGACCTGTCTTTGTGATACTTATCCACATCTCAAGGTGTCTGGCTGGGTTATCCAGACTCAGCATAGGGGCTGGGGCTGGAGCTGGAGGAACTTTCTTGGCATTTCCCTCCTTTGTTTATTTAATCCTTTTCTCAAATTGAGTGTAAACTACAATTCTCACCAGCTGAGAAAGTGGAGAACCCCCACCCCACACCCCACCAGTGACCAGTGCAGACTACAGCTTGCCGTAGACCACTTATGGGGTCATGGTAAGACACTCTGCCCTCTCACCCATGACTTGGAGAGATCAGTTTTTTGGTTGCATGCGTGCCAAGCCATGGCATGCTCTGCGTTGGAACTTAGCAGAAATGGGAACCCCTGGCAACCCAGATGCTTAAACCAGGTGTCCTCAGCAAAATGGCCTCTGACTTCTATTGCCCAAGGCAACAGGGTATAGCTGGTTTGGTGATATGATTTTCTAATGATCCACATGTTAATAAGAATTGGGGAATCCAATGAGAGCCTGAGTAAAGTGAGCAAGCAAGCAAACAGAAATCTTCACGCAACAAACAACAACCACAATAACAAGCACACTGTACAAAATTCATGAATATTTGTGGTCTAAAATAAATGAATGAACATGAATGGAATTTCCTGAAGAAAGTGCTATTACCAAAACCATCATCTATTTTAGAGGTCGATGGAGAACTAGGCCTGTTTCCCGAGAACTGTCAGTGCAGAATTAAATGTGCTATGTGGCATTTCCATTCTGGGTAGTGAGTTATGTAGGATTGCTCCCGCCCTGAGCTCGGGGCCATCTCCAGCAGAATGAGAGGCAGGGACTGAGGGATGGTGCCGGGAAGCTGCCGCTCTGGGGATGGCAGGGCTCAAACTCTCCCAGGTCTGCAATGTCAAGGGTGCACCTTCCGGGGTTACCTTCTCGAGTTTATTACTGCAAGCTGGACATTTTCTCATGGGCTTATAGTGTTTATGCTTCTAGGGCTTAGCTGTTTTGGATAGCAAGGCTAAACATAAAAAAATGCCTCCTTTTCACAACACATCATACCCAGAACTTGACGCTGCCAACTTTCCTACAGCACTTTCTATTTCTTAAGGTGCTTTAACATGCATGCTCCCATTTGAAATCCACAGTAACCCCACGTGAAGGATGGTGATCTCCACTGATATGATGTGCAAACTGAAGGTCAGAAAGGCACATAACTGCCTTAGACTGCCTTAGATTGCCCAAGGGGCAAATAGTCCAGGCAGGATTAGAACATGAGTCTGCTGACTCCCAGTCCAGCACGCTTTCCTCCATGGCAAGCTGCCCTCAAATGAAACATAGCTCAAAGAGTAACGATGTCTAAGGCCAGTTACCCCATAGGCCTCTGGGAAAATACCTCTTACTTTCTGGATGAATATGCCCACTCACAATCAGCCACACCCCTTCCTGCCTCCCTCAGCTTGAGTCCCAGAATCACTTGGCTGTTTAGAACAAATGCATTTATGAGGGCCAGCTCCAGAGATTCTGATTCTGTGGGAACCTGCATTTTTGACACACTCACCAAGTGATTCTGATGCACATTAAATCTTGCGACTTGCTGGTTTATGGAATACAATGGATTTTAAAGGTCACTTGAGCCAGACATAATCTCATATGTAAATCTGTTTCCTCGAAAGGTAATTTTATTTAAAAAAGAAAAAAAATGAAAAAGGAAACAGGGTTACTTTCTGAAGGTCTTTTCCAAAGTTATACCTCATATCTAAATGTCCTCTCTCTTCTTTCTGGCTTCTCTCAATTTTCCAAGTCTTTTTTGTACCTTTCTTGTGTTACTCTCTCTGGTCCCTGAGCTGTATCCTGCTTATGGTACTATCCAGTTACTGAGTGTCTGTCTTGTGTGAGTCTCTATCCCTAACCCTGTGCACTCTTTCTGAGTTATGTATTCTGCATTCCCAGTAGTCCTTAGCACAATGCCAGAAACTGCAAGTATGCTTTGGCTGTAAGCTTGGAATGAGTCATTTAACCCTGTCGGACTCAGTGCCTAGCACAACTCTCCATCAGTAAGGATAATCAAGATGATGTAGAAGCAAAGCCCATCATCAAACTGGCATTGAGTCCCTATCAGGTTAAAGCCTCAACTAAGCTCTCAGAAATTCCCTTAAAAAATATGACTGTTGACAGGTCACTTGATGTAGAACTGAGGTGATGGGAGGTGCAGGTCATGTTTCCAGGCCATAGGTGGGCCTGTTGGATGGTCATAGACACTACTCTTGCCTGGGCCAGCTGTTAAGATTCTAGAGTATCTCAGAGGACCTGGTGGGAGGAGGAAGGCCCACCCATTCCCACTGCTGGGGAAGCACCCAATCACCAAGGCCCTGTCACCTGTGCAGACTTTCGGTCATAATAATAATCATGATCCTAACAGCTTGTATATGCCCTGGGCTTTGCCACTTAGTAAGCCTTTCCCTTATCTTCTCATGGTAACCCACAAATTAGATAGATTGTTCTCTCTGGTCTAGAGAGGAAGAAATAGATGTTCCCAGAGGTTGAGGTAACTGCCCTAGGTCACACAGCTAGATGTGTGAGAACCCACATTTTCTGATGCTGAAATTTCATGCTCTTTCCAGGACACCATGTTGCTTCTTGTCTCATGGGCCATACCTCCTTAGGATGGAAACGCCCAGAAAAACACTTCTCTATAAAGATCTAGCTCATTTGACATGCAAAGTTTATTCCATACATTTTAATCAAAAAGAACAGAAATAAATGCAACTTTAAATGCATTTAGTCCATCATTCAAAAGGTATTTATTTAGTGCTTAGTACCATGTAAAAGCCCAGTTGCGGGCACTGGGTCAGGGACAGGGGGACATAAGGTAAGGGTGTGTTTAAGGCATGCCCATGGACTCGCAGCCTGCACCACCCATTATCCTAAGTCTCCATCAGGTGATCTGCCAACAGTCACATGTAGCACACTCATATTCCTGAAAGGAATTTTTGAGATTTTAGTTGAGGCTTTATACCTGTTAGGGACTCAATATCTATTTGATGATGGGCTCTGCTTCTGCAAAAACCACATCTTGATTCTCTGCACTGAAGCAGGGAATAGTGCTAGGTACTGAGTCCAACATGGTTGAATGACTCATTCCAAGAATATGGCTAAAGCATCTTTTTAACTTTCTAAAGACATACCAAATATGGTTTCCACCCTCTACGTACTTCAACCAAATGGTACGTACAAGACATGCCCATTGGCCCAAAGAGATCTAAGCACACCACAGCTGTGATTTCTGGTGTGTGAAAGTGGCAGTAGCTGCTAGCTCCCATCCATGTATGCAAGGGCCTGCTAACACCCAGAGTAGCCTGATACCACTGCCAGGTAGTTGGTGGCACCAGCCTGTTAATTCCTAGTGTAGGAGTCCCATCTGATTCTGGTTTCCTTCAGAGACCTCCCCTTAGTGTAGAACCCAGAGCGATCTCACAAAGGGCTGCTAAACCACAGGCTCCAGGGGATGAGCAGATCCCGGAGTAACAGCACGGGTGGAATTTCTCTGAGCCTTTAGCTTAATTTCTTAAAATTATCAGACAGGAGATCTTTGGCTTAGCCCCTTTTTGATTGCCAAGTGCACAAGTTGGGGTTTATATGAGCTCTCTCCTCCTTCTTCGTGCTTACTCTGCCCCCTTTTTCCAATTAGTTCTCTGGCAGGGAATCTTCCTCAGCTAGCAGCTAACAGTAAATTATGTGTCTGGGATTCCCCCAGGGGTGAGTGAGTGAGGTGTATGTGTGTGTGCTCATGCTCACGCATGGGCATGGGGGTGCTGAAGTGGGAAAGGAGGATCCAAGTTCAAAACCAACACTGGAGACTCTGTGAATGGGCAGATAAAGAATAATTTCCCCTGAGGGTCATGCCTGGCCTTGGAGCATTCCATCTCCTACAAGAAGCAATCAAATGGAACTCTGCTTGATTCAGGGGTAGCTAATCTACCAGGGATATTTTTTTCCTTCCACACCCCACCTTGCCTTCTGTTGCCTTCATGGGTTTCTGTTCATTTATACATGGATTCAGTTGCTTGTTAGTGCGCTCTGCAGTGCTTCCCTAAGGATATAACTCTGCAGATGGACGACATTTTTTATTTTATTTTCTTAGTATTACTCTTGGCTTTTTGGAGGATTTTTTAAAATGATTATTCCTCCTGGTATTATTTTAGTTTCCAATTACAGTGTGGGTATACTCTAGCACACTGCTATTTTGTAAATGGATGTATATGCTTATTGTTAATTGATTCCCCAAACAGGCCACAAATGCTTGCATTTAGATTGTGTATTATATTACTTGCATGCCACCAGGCTGGCCCCTTGCCAGCTGGGGCTCTCAGCTTAACCAGAATCACAGTGGACACATCTCGTTTTCCCTGACACCTGTGCAAAACAGCTTGCTTGCCCTGGCCTTTGCTCTCCAGGGAGAAGGAGCTAAGGTGGCCCTCTGTTGAAGAGGTATCAGAAAACCTGAGGTCCTCCTGCTCTTTTTTTCTAAGAAAAGAATTAGAAAAAAAATTCAATTTTAGTCACCTAGATTATCCGTCTTTTTCTGAAAACACAGAGGAAGGGCCAACTCTGGTCTTTATCCCTGACTATCAGTGGCCAAGTCCAGACACCAGCAGTTTGAGCCACTCCTCTGTAAAGCTTTTCCAGCGACCCCAGGCAAGTTAACAAGTCTCTTCCTCTGGGTTCTCTCTGACATGACTCAGCTCCAACAGTTACAGGGCTGTTTTACTTACTAATGTCTATTTCACCTCTGGACTGTGAACTTGGTTTGGGACCTTTGCTTTCCACCAGTGTCTATGCTGTACTTGACAGTTGGTAAATAGGCTGAATGAATGAATGAATGAATGAATGAATGAAGACAAATGCTATCATAGGGGAGTTAGATGGAGTTTGACACTGGGTACATGTAAACAATGGATGTGTAATTTTTAAAGAGGATCATTAGTCATTCAAAAATCATAGTATTTAATGGTATGAAAGGTGAAGTGTGTCTCACTTGGGGAACAGGGACTCTGTTTGCATCAGCTGTGAAATGAGATGGACAATCTCAAAGATGTTTCAGAGGCCTTGGAGCAACCCGGAACTGTGTGATGTAGGCTTTGTTAGGTAACAGTTCTTTTACAGAATAGGATTGCAATTGGGAAATATATATCCTATTCCATTCCATAAAATGAAGTAGGAAACAGACTGAATCTAGATGTTGTGTTAATTATTAGTTATTATTATTATTATGGAGTTAAGATATCTAATTTAAGATGTCAAAGTTAAGATATGGCATTGATTTGTAAATTCCAGTTCAACAATCTTCTACAGCAGTTACAATAAGCACCTTATTCTTATATCCCTTGCCCCCTTGAGCAAGCTGTTTGTTTTCTAATTGTTCTCTATAACCAGTGAACTTCTATTTTTTGTACCCCTATGAACTTAAGCTAATATTTTCTCCCAGGGAAAGAGAGATTAAAGTTTTCAGTGGAATGCCCTGAAGTCCCAAAGGTAGAATTCCAGGCATCAGCCAAAAGGACAGAAAGTCCTGGAGGGAGGGTCAGGGTAGGGAGTTCCTCGAGTTCCAAGATTTACAACTTCCAGCCAAGCATTGGTGGCCGCCTTCACCGCCGGGTGAGACTGGACCTGGCCATGATAAAGTCTGTCAAAAGAAGCAAATTCGGCAAGCTGGATAGCAGCATGAATGTTGATGCAATTCCAGCCTGAGGTTTAATGCCACAATTAAAAGAATAACAAACCCTCCTGCTGAGAAGCCTTTTGGCCACTCTAGACCTTTTAATTCCCATCAGAAAACAGCATGTCACTTCCAAGGGTTACCCACAACAGGGCTTGCTTTGGAGACCTAGAGGCGTAATTATCTATTGGGAGGGGGGAGGCTGAGGTCAGCCTGGCTGGGGCGAGGGTCTGCCCTTTGTGCAGATATTGGAATGTCTCGGAATTCCTGCCAAACTCAATCAGCCAGGGCCGCGTCTCATGAGAAGTTACTTCGGGAGGTTATTAGTCTGCCCTGCTGCTGACTCAGGCAGCCTTCCCTAAGCTAACCAGAGGCAGATGAATCTGTGGGAAAAGCTCTGTCTTCATCATGAAGCCCACAAGATGGAGGTGGGCCCTGAGCCCTCTGTGTCCTTCGGTGAGTTGTGCACATCTCACCGAACTGTGCTCCAGGAGAGCAGGGACCCTGCCAGTCTCATTCACCTCTGTGTCCTTGTGCCCAGTTCACAGACAGCACACAGTGAGAGCCTGGAGAGAGAAGAAATAGCTCTCTCTGTCTGCACAGTGCTTTCTCTTCTCTTCCAGATACTGTTCACCTTTCAAGGCTCAAGTTCCACTCCCATGTGAAGCTTTCTCTGCTCACAGCAGCCCATTCTGATCTATTTCTTCACAGAGCAGTGTGTCTCCTGGTGCCCCCAACACTAACTTAACCCCCACTGGTTAATCTTGAAGCTGAGTGAGCTCCTTGGAGCCAATGCTTGTACTTCTCCCATCTTTACTTATAGCATCAGATACAATGTCTTTCACGTGGCAGAAATCAATGAACAGGAGAAACCTACAATGCTGGAGTGGGAAAGTGCTGCCCAGATCAACTAGGCCAGTGGGTTTCTAATTTTTTTCCTATTAAGCAGCAAAAAGAACCCTGTGTTCTTTTCAAATGAATGATTATGGAATCTCCTCCCCTGCATATAAAAGGTAAGAAGTTTGCTTCTTTGGGTTGAGGAGTGTACAGAGATTCAGAAAGCCCATCTCTTATCTTTCTCTCCCACTCTCGTCCCTGGGGCAGCACTTGAAAAATCACAGATCTGTCTAGGACCTTCCTTTTACAAATGAGAAAGCTGAAGGCCAGAGAAATAGAGTGACTTGGCCAGGTTCACACACTTATTTTAGCGGCAAATTTGGGAGGGGGACCAAGGTCTTCAAACTGTTACCTAAGTGACCTTTCCATTCTATGACATTAACTTTTGGCTGAAAGAAAGAGAAAGGAAGGAAAGGAAGAAGGGAGGGAGGAAAGAATGGAAGGGAGGAAGGAAGGGAAACAGTAGTGAGGGGGGAGAGAAAGGAAATAAAGGAAAAACTATATATTCAATACATCATGGAGAGTTTATATTTTCTTCTTTCTGACCTCAGCATCAACACAGCCTTATGCTTGGTATAGCAGAGCTCCTCTCCAGTTAAAAGTTCAAAGATTAAGTTTTGTATGGAGAATTTCAGAAAAGAAATTTAGGTACAAATATTAATGATTAACTCAAATAGTTATTAATACTAAAACTTCACACTATCAACTTGAGTTCTTACAGTTAGTAATTCCTATAGTTACCACAATGGCTTGGGTATTTGAAGCTATGTTCCATGGATAACTTCAAGGAGGGCATGCAGGCATGCAAAGCAGGCCCTGCTTCATTTACAAGAACAGCTTGTCTGAATCCTTCTTTCTCTGGTTCTGTTTCTTGTGATGCATGGTTTTCTGAAGTACAAACCCAATGATTGCACCAATTCGTTCCTTTGCCCAGGCCTGCTCTCCCGGGCCCAATGTGTCTACATCCACAGGGATGAGTTGCACAGGTTGCCCGAGTGTTGGCTGGGCTATGCGTGCTTTTTTTCTTCCCTTCCTGACTGCAGAGTGGGACCTCCTCTTCTTTTCTAGATCCTGCTCACCTTTCAAGGCTCAAGTTTCATCCCCATGTGAAGCTTTCTATGCTCACAGCAGCCCACGTGCTGATCTCTTCTTTCTCAGAGCATTGTGTCTCCTGGTGCCCCCAATCCGAACTTAACCCCCACTGGTTCTGTTGATTCCTTTGTGCTCCATTTCGCAGTCTACTTAATGAGAAAATGGAAGCTCAGAAAGATTAAAAGACCTGCCCAAGGCCAACCCAGCTAGTTAGTATTAATCAAGCTTAAAACCCATGTTTTTGATGCCAAATTGACACTGTCTACACTCTCTATAATCATTGCTCCTTAAAATTCATTTTAGCTCAGTGAGGCTACAGTCAATATGACAAAGCAGTTACTTTAAAACCATAATATCCAGATTTCATAGTTGTATTACAAACACTTGAAGTCTTCCATTTTTAATCATTCATTTGAACAAATATTTATCCACAAACTACTTAGTGTCAGACACTGTTGTCATGCCAGGTACATACTGCAGGCCTCTTTAACATGTGTGTGAGTGGTATGCTAAGTCTGCTCAGTCAGCATGTTCTCCTCCACCTATTCTAGGAAAAGTCAGTGCTGTCAGGATGCTTCATGGGGTTCTTATTTTCTTATTATGTTTCAAGAGAATCATTGAACTTGGTACTTGCATTTCTATTTGACAAAATGTGGAACAGGGGAAAGAATATAGCCATGATAGGTAGAAATAAATCAATTTATTAATATTTCAATTAACATTTCTATGGATATTAATGGATATATTAATAGCCACCCAGTGCAGTATAAGCAAAAGTGAGTTTGTGGTAGTTACTACATGGGTGTTTCCCCATCTACGTTTCGAGGGTATAAGTTGGGCTTTACTCATCTTTGTATCCTTCATAGCATGAAAGCTTGCACATCATAGATGCTCAACAAAGTTTGCTGATTGCTAGGTATGCCTCTTAATATTACCCTATGCTTACCAAGGAATATAGGTCAGGTCTACGTTAGGATGCTCACCTAATGTAGGCATCCACAGCATTTTCTAATAGATCCACAGAGTTTTCTAATACATCAAGTTCATCTACAAGGCCAGTTTTAAGTGATTTTCTAGCTCTGATATGGTTTGGCTCTATGTCCCCACCCAAATCTCATACTGAATTATAATTCCCAATGTTGGAGTTGGGGCCTTGTGGGAGGTGATTAGATCATGGGGGTGGTTTCTAATAGTTTAGCACCTTTCCTGTAGTGTTGTCTCATGGTGGAGTTTTCACAAGATCTGGTTGTTTGAAAGTGTGTAGCATCTTCCCCTTTGCATGCTATCTCTCTCCCGTCAGTCATGTGAAGATGTGCCTGCTTCTCCTTCACTTTCCACTATGATTGTAAGTTTCCTGAGGCCTCCCCAGAAGCAGAAGCCTGTACGGCCTGCAGAACCATGAGCTGATTAAACCTCTTTTCCTTGTAAATTACCCAGTCTCAGGCATGTCTTTATAGCAGTGTAAGAATGGCCTAATACAACTTCCATGATATCATCCTTGGAAAAAATGTTTTTTTCCATCTGCTGGCTGATTCTATTAGTTTGATTAGGACCAACTTTTTAGTTCCAGAGATGAAACTAGCAACTGTAAGTTAGAAAGGGTAGGATCTCTACCTGAAAATTAACATGAATGGCAGAATTTTTCACTATTCCAGGCAGAGCACTCTGTGTGTTGGGTGGAGAAGGAGGTGGAGATGTTTCCTTAGTCTGTGGGGTCCCTGTGGAAACTGGGTCCATTTTTGGCTGATCAAGAGAGAAACTTCCTCCACTATGGGTCTGAGTCGGTACAGTAAGAATGAAACAGAGTATCTCATATCCTCAGGTCACCCCAGAGATATGTCTTTGTGTCCCAACTATTTGTGGGACCACAGCCCTAACTCTTATTGAGAATGCTGGGACATCTGGAGCCAGGCAATAGAGGCACAGTTCATCCACAAATTCTTTATGTATATATGGATAAAATCTAAACACTCTTACCCTTCAACCTTTACATTTGGGGCTACATTCGAACTTCTATGTATCATAGTCAACTTCTGATTACAGTCCTATTGGCCTCAACTAATTTAGAAGGTGGTGTTGTGGCCAAAGAAATGAAGTGCCATTACACAATGGAGTGTGTAGTATCATTCCAATGTAAGTAGCATTAAAAAATATGCTTTGTTCTTGGTATACATTCCCTCTAACTTCTCATCAATACAACGATGCTGGAAATTTCTTTATCACATATTGGGCGATAAGGCTTAAAATGAATGTTTCTCTGAGAAAGGGAACATCATGATTTATACTCACATAAGGTAAATGACAGGTTTGAAAGATTTTGTACAGCAGATTTTGATCCAGAGGCACACAGAAACAGTTAGAAGTAAAATCTGGGGAGAGGGTGGTATATAAGATGAAGATATGCTCCAGAAGAAGTCTGAGTAGAGAACAAGTGTTTGCTAAAAGCTGGCCCTGATGACCTTCAAGGTAACCCCATGATATGAACTCTCAGGATACTGCTTCACTGAGGCTGTGGTGCAGCCACAGAATAGGGTAGCCATTGTTGGTGGTGACATAGGCTAATAGTAAGTTTCTGGGGCCCATCTATTCAGAAGCTTGGTCAACAGAGACTCCCAAAGAATCACTTGCTTGATCACACCCTGAGTAGACAGAACCTTGGATTTACCTGCAAGTTACTGACAGAAAGTACTTGAAAACATTCTGAACTAGCCACGGTACTGGTTGCTGAGAAATGATGTCTGGGAATTCCGCTCTGCCTTCCCACCCTTCCAGCTCCCCCCAATCCAGTAATGGCCTTGTGATCTCATCCTCTAAGACAGATTTTGCAGGCAGAATGAGTCTGATGTATGTAAATCTTGTGCCCTCACCAGACTCTCCCGGGGAGGCTGCCGTGAAGAAAATCTATTGCCCTAATCAATTACCAAACTTCCAAATGAAATAGATTGTTCTCTCTTGCTGGAAGACCATCAAGCTGTCATTTTTCTTGGTAATGAGCAGCAGTGCAGGAGGGAAATTGCACTTTCTCTGTGGCACTGGATGAAGGGGTTCCAGTAAGCAAGGGCTGACCAGGAAAGCAGGGAGTTACCTGCCAAAATGATGGAAAGGCATCTGGAAGCCTCTCTCTCTTTTAAACTGTACTCCAACGAATTTCTCTTGACTCTTCAGTATGCATCAGGCAATTTTCTGGGTATGGCAGTGTAAAACTGAGAAAGGACTCTTCTCCCTGGCCTAGGTATCGCCCATCTGACTTTGATTTTTTTTTCTCCACTCCTTCCATGCTAGTCTGGTTCACTCCTAATTCCTGAGCTATATCTGAAGAGGACAAGAACTCATTTGGGACCCTCACCTCCACCATCTGATGGGGACTGGAATTCATCTGTTGCCCAGGGATGCTCCATGGATATTGGTATATAGTTCCCAAGCATTTCTCTTTCTGCTGAAATGTGCTCCTGTACATGCATCTGGGCTCCTGCCTTGGTTTACCCATATAGCATCTTTATTCCAATTTGGGCTTGGAATAGCACCTCAAACTTTAGTCTGTTTGCCTGGGCTCTGCCTAGGTTCCTTCCCTGAGAGCTGAGAGCCCATTTTTCTACCTTCCTCTTTCTTCAGGGTCAATGCCTTGATGCCACAGTCTACCTGTCTTCAAACACTGCTCCTCCTCTGAATATTTTCTTGCCATAGTGCTTTATCTCCTAAAGTGAACTCCCTGGTGTGCAGATGGAGGCTTGAACCCTATGTGGTATCACCAAGCACCTTGGGATCTGTACTCTTCATCCAAAGTACTTTTTATAAGGACCCTTCCAGGGAGCAGTACTTGACACAAATGGAAGAACTCCTATGGGTAGAAATTGGGACACTTGGGTTAGTTTCCTCTTCCCTTTGTATGTAGTTTCAACTTCCTTCTTTCTCAAACACATACACCTGAGACCCCAGCTCATCCTGCAAGCTTTTCCTGGTTATGGCACTTACTCACCTTTCAAGGTGCTCACTTTCCAAATGGAGAGACAGCTAGACATTTAACAGCTAAATATCAACCACTGTGATAAGGTAATCTGTAAGGTGTGTACTAAGGGTGGTGGGAGTGAGCCCAGGGAAGGGATATAATAAAGAACAGATTGCAAGGAGACCTTAAGGGAGGAGTAAGAGTCGACTTAGGGGACAAGGGTCTTCTAGTGGATCCCAAAAGGATCCACTCCTGAGTGATGTCAGAGAGTCTGAAAAATTAATGTTTAAGCTACTATATAAATTCTAGAATTTCAGAGATCCACTGCCCCAAAATATAGAGGTGTATCAATATTCTCCCCATAGGAGCTATAACCTAGTTGGGGAGGAAATTTTCTCACAGAGTAAATAGTGAAATAATAATGTAAGGCTATACATAATAAAGTGCTACTTTAAATAGAAACAAGTGCCAAGGATGTGTCAAGTGCAAAGATGTCTGGGCCAGATAATGCCCCTTGCAGAAGGCTGGGAAAAAAGAAAAAAAAACAACAATAAAAGGGGAGTTAACACAGGAGCTAGGAATGGGGACCTTTCTGCTGTCTGCAAATCATATGATGTGGATGGCTGACCTCTTGGCCTCTGCCCTGCAGAGGACTCTCTTGGATTTTCAGGAGAGGAGGGGGAAAAAGAAGTCTTATTAAAAATAACAGCATTTGGTGTGCATGTGTGTGAGTGCTGTGTACAGACACATTTAACAGTGCAGCCGCTCTGAGCATTGGCTGGTGGGGAAGAGTCCTGAATGCAAAGTGAGGTGAGTGGCCTTTGCAAATGCCAGCTGGAAATGCTGCTCTGCTGTGTAAGCAGGACAAGAACAAGCTAGGGAACTGTCACCTCTCCAAACAAGTTCTCTCAATGACGGGATCAGCTGGCTGTTCTGAGAGGGGCTTTGGGCATCTCTATGCCTCTCTCGGTGGGTAGAAACCCAAGTATGGGGAGCATGGCTGAATGCCTTTTGATTCTGCCTCTGGGTGGGGCATTGGCTTAGATCACTTTCGGGAGGCAGGACCCTGATCAGCAGGCAAAGGGGAAGGCAATATTGTGACATTCCATGAAAGATTGGGCCAGGCTGTCCTCCTGTGGGCACCACTCCACTGGTGGCAGGGTTGGACTGGGGGTACTCCCTGCCTCCACAGTAGGAGCCGCATAGAGGGGCCTGGGAGTATAGGAGAGCCTGGTCTTTTGTTCTATATGCCTTCTCATTTTCCATCAAACCTACGCTTAGTATGGCTTGGGGGCACAGATAAATCACTATAAGTTGCATGATCTTAAGGAGTTTACTTTATCTCAGACAGGCTCATTTTTTTCTCCCCTATCACATGGGAATTGTAATGACCACTGTAAAACACAAATCTATTGTCACATTTAAGTGTGAGAATAATTATAAAAAACATTTAGCACCTGTAAGAAGCCATCCAAAATGCTCACTTCCATGCCCCTAATTTTACAGATAAGAACTCGGAGGCTCAAAGAGGTTAAGTGTCTCACTTGAAGTTGTCCATCAAAGAAGAAACTGAGCCTGGAACCTTGGAAGGACAGTGAGGAGGTGAGGGAGAAATGTTTGGGGCTTGGCTCTGCCCCTAACAGGGGGTAGGATTATGGGCAACCCCTCCACTCAGATTTCAGGTTCCCCTTCTGTTAGGCAGAGGATGGATGGGATCCTCTCCAAGGTCTCTCAGGTTCTAACATGGAACCAGCAATGTTCCTTTCTCTATGCAGCAGAGGTCCAGTCCGTGACCTACAGAACTCTGCATTCCATAGAGAAGTCACAGTGTGGGGCCCTGGGTCAGACATCTCTACAAACAAAGTTCATCGCAATGGAACTTCTCAAGGGCTTTGGCCCCTGGAACCTCCCTCAAGAACCATCCAAGGGAGGCAGGGATGGGGGCCCACAGGGTGCAGAGTGGCGACCACTTGAGTGGCAGATTGCCGACACCATGTGACCTGGCTTCCCAGTCTCAACTTTTCCATTCTGCCCAGTTTATTTTTCTTTCCCTGTCCCCTCCATGACCTGAAATGCTGTCACAACCATATCTGGGCTTTTCTGTAAATGTCTTTTTTTTCTTTTAAACCTTGATTGCTTTCATGCTAATAAACTAGAACTGAGGCTTACTGAGAAAAGAGAAGTAGGTTTCCCTGAAAAACATTTATGTGTATGTAACAGAAACAGATAGAGACTGAGAAAGAAAGACAGAGGTAGCGAGAGAGAAAACCACAGGAAGAAAACTTATGGAGAATTTGAAAGAGAGACAAGCAGATATTGATGGCCAGAAAGACAGAGAGAGAGATATATATATATAGGGAGGAGATGACTGAGGTAAATTTAGGCAGAGACAGGGAGATTTGGTCCATCTCCTCTTGTGTGCCTATCTACAAAGAGGGATGTGATGGAAACAGTTGAATCCACAGATGAGTTGGGTAAGACTGGGCAAGGTATCCCATGAAGGGACACATAGAGTCTTCATTTTCCTTCTACTTCTTGGACTCTTCCAAAGGCTTGCAATACCACTGGCTATACAGGAGGCTCCAGGATAGAGTCATGACCATCTGAAGTCCCTGAGTTTGGGGCCATGGGTCCTCTATCCTAGCATTTTGCCTCAGATGGATCTGAAGGTTTGGGGGATGCTGGCATTGTTATCCATGAAATCAACTCAAAGGTCATCTGTCACCCCCCAATATCTTGATAATTTGTAATTCTGTTTACATGTTTACATATTTTTGTCTCATTTGCAAGACCAGTTTGTTAATTCCCTGGAGTAGGCATTTTTGTGTGTGCATGATGCCTTGAACCTAGTAGCCCTTTGATAAAGTCCAGTTGAGGGACTGGGCCTGTGTCAGACAGCTTCCAGTGGCCCATCAGAATGGAGGATTCCAGAAGATTGGGTGACCCATCTAAAGGACACTGGCCATTCTGCAGAAACATCTTGTAGAAAGTTGAGCACCCATTAGTAGGCTGGCAAGCAAAGAAAAGATGAAGGCTGTATTAGTCTGTTTTCACACTGACGATAAAGACATACCTGAGACTGGGCAATTTACATAACAAAGAGGTTTAATGGAGTTACAGTTCCACATGGCTAAGGAAGCCTCACGATCATGGCAGAAGGTGAAAGGCACATGTCACATGGCGGTAGACAAGAGAAGAGAGCTTGTGTAGGGAAACTCCCCTTTTTAAAATCATCAGATCTCATGAGACTTATTCACTATCACAAGAACAGCATGGGAAAGACCTGCTCTCATGATTTAATGATCTCCCACTGGGTTCCGTCCCACAACACATGGGAATTCAAGATGAGATTTGGATGGGGATACAATCAAACCGTATCAAAGGCCCTGCCCTCTTCCAAATACTAATAGAGGAAGAGAAGAGTCACAGCAAGAACCCAAGTGAAGACTAGCCTGTAAACAAGTCAACACAGGAAGACTCAGGAGGTCAGCCCCAGCTAGAACATGAGATCTACGCAGAACAATTTTTCAGAGTTCTGAGATGCCTCTGTTGAGCATGTTGGATGATGATGTTTCTAAGTATTCCAGTCTTTCTTACCTTTGAGATAAGCAGAGTACATGGAATCTATTTTAAGCTTGCATTATAGGATTGGAGTGGTACCTGGCAGGCTCTTGTTTGTTCAGGGATATTTGCCCCATTGCCAGATGGCCCCAGATTGCCATGTTTTTCTAGTTGGTTCTTCTTACCTTTTCTCACAGTTCCTATTTATTCCTGTTGTATGTTTCTGCTTCCTTATTTTACTTTGCAGTAAGCAAAGAGAGTCTGATGGGACTCACATGAGGGAGAGTTACAGGGACACTCTCACCATTCTTGTCAACTGGCCAATTTTATTCATTTCTCAAGTAGCTTAAAAGTCCCTTCTTCCAGGAAGATGTCCGCTCCCCAAACGGCAGCAGAAGCTCCTCTGCATTTTTCTGCCTAAGATACCTACCTCCCTGAACACAGTTACATGCTCAATAGGCTGCCTCCACCATCAGATTGTATGCCCACTGAGGACAGAGTCTGTGTCCCCACAGATTCTTTAGTGCCCAGGACTGCAGGGTGACAGTGAGTGTTCAATCCATATTTATTTAATGTGGATGTGTGTGACCTGAGGGTCAGCCTGGTCTCTCCCATGGAGGAAAGCACTTCCCTCAATGCTAGACCCTGGTTATGGGGCAGAGCTTACCAAAGACTGATTTCTGGGTGAAGCATGACATGGTGCTCCTGTGGTCCTCTCTGCTCCAGCCTGCCTTGTTTCCTCCTTGTCACTCTCTCATCTGACCTCTGCGCATTGACTTCTCTGCCGGTCATCAATGCTCTCCCAACTCCTCCTCTTTGGCAACCTGCCCTTGAGTTCAGAGACCACCTCCCCTAGGACCTTCCCTGACTCTACTTGAACCCTCCCCTCCTAGGGTCTGTAGTGCTCATTTCAGTGTGCCTCTCACAGTGGGGACCCGGGGTTATGATGTCATCACCTTGTGTAGTTATAATCTCCCTTTCTTACACAAAAAAGACAACACTGGAGCTGTAGGGATTCGTAGACCTTGTCCTGTCCATCTCCTTCAATGTACAGGAAAGGACAGTGAAGACAGGGAGCTCAAGTGACCTCCTCCAGGGTATATAGCTGGTGAGTGGTGATATCCCCTTGAGGAGGGGGTAAGTCAGGTTCCCCTCAGGGGAGGAAAGTCAGGTCCTCTCACTTTACGTCTGGGCAGATTCCAGTTCCCCTTCATTCCTAGGATTTTGTACACCATGGTACCCTAGCCCAGGGCTTGAATATCAGTTTCTTAGGACTGCTGTGACAAATTACCAATAAACTCGGTACTTCAGCATAAGAGAAATTCATTCTTTCACAGTTCTGAAGCTAGAAATCCACAACTAAGGTGTTGGCAGGGCCATGCTCCCTGTGGAGGCACTAGAGAAAAAATTTTCTGGCCACTTCTGACTTCTGGTGGCTCCTGGCATTCCTTGGCTTGTGGTGGCATCACTCCAATTTCTGCCTGTCTTCACATGCCCTTTGTTTCTCTCTCTCATGTCTTTTTCTGTCTCTTCCATTATTGGATTTTTGGGTCCGCCCTATCTAGGATTATATCATTTGGAGAGCCTTAACTTGTCTGCAAAAAACTCTTATTCCAAATAAATTCACATTCCAAGGTTCTGTGTAGAACTATTTTTTTGATGGGGCACGATTCAACCCACTACAGCTCGGAATTCAGCAAACACCCAGTTGCCACTGGATTACTGACAGATAGTGGCTCTGCTGGTGTGTGATCAGGCTAACTGGACAACTAGAAGAAGGCTCTGTGGAGGTGGTTGGGTTTGATGGGGAGAAGAAGGTTGGGTTTTCTAAGTGAGGATAAAGTGAAGGGCAGGTCTCAAAGGCTAGTGGGAGCAGGACTCCTGAGAGACTTGAGGACGGGGCCTCAGTTAGTGTGTGAGTCAGAGCTGGGAGGGGTACAGGACTGGACCTGACACCTTCAAGGTCCCCCTGCAGCCTCAAAGCTGGCTGCAGCCTTGAAGCTGGAAGCAGAATCTCCTGCTGGGAGGCTAGCAGACACTTTGCAGTAAGCAGGAAGCGGTGAGCCTCCCTCCCTCAGAACATCTTTTTCAAGAAGGTGCTTCTCTGAAGTTTTCAGCTTGGCCCTTCCTCCCCACCCTAGTTCTGCGGAGAGAAATCCACATCAGAATGGACAGGGTGAAGGCAAGTGGCCCCGTCACACATCCCAGTCAGCTACTTGAGAAGAAGATGAGAGAGGAGGCAAGGCTAGGCTTTGTGAAACGTGTAGGCGGGTCTGTACACAAACATCGGCTCATACAAATAAACCAAACCTGGCCAAAAATAACAGAAAAGGCAACAGATGCTTCCAATTAAAATGTCAGCGTCTCCTGAGAAGCTGAGTTCTCACGTGGTGTGGGTGCTCGGGGGGCCGAGGACTACTGGAAGGGACCACATATGGAAATCTGTTTGCATTATACCATGTCCCAGATGCCACGTAAGACACTGGCCTGACCTTGCAATTAGCACATTGGCTGTTTCTGGGGTGAGGTATGTGGGGATGCAGGGAAAACTCAGAAAGTTGTGAAAGAGTGATTGTTCCTGCTGGGTCCCATAGGAAGCAAGAAACCCAGGAGCATTCTCAGGGAATATTACCCTGTGGGCTCCTCACCCACTCCGTCTTCCCTCTTTTTTGGTTCCATTTTCCCATATTCTTCAACGTCGTTATGAAAGGAAAATGAATTTACATGGATAGCAGGCAGTCTTGGTGGAAAAAGACTGTCAAAGGCTGTCACAAGGATGTGGCAGGGGGTAGGAGGACAGAGGGACAATCCCTGCCCCATCTCCCTGTCTGCCCTTGGTGGTGGTGGTGGTGAGGCATGTAAGACACTGGATGCACACTGGACTATCCAAACAGCCTCTCCCTAGCCTGCTGTACTTCTAATCCCTCATAAAATTGTTTCTTTCCGATTTGCTTTGCTGTTTACTCATCATAGGTCCTCATTTCCCTTTGATCCTAGAGTCACTTTACTTTTATTTTTCTTTTCCTAACTCTCTTTCTTTCTAGCCCCATTGGGTAACTGCTAAGGAAACCAACAAAGGCAGCAATGAAACAGCAGATTCTTTCCCAAATCTCACCATCTCATCAAATCAAGAGGGAGTGTGTATTTGAAAGGGTGCCTTATTCTGATAAATGAATCTCCTTCTTCTCCTAATTATTTTTATTATCATCGCTATTATAATAAAATCCACATTTTATAGCTAAAGATCCAACTAATGTCCACAGAAAGGAAGAACAATGGGGAAATTAATGAACTGAATCCTCATTTGTGTTTCTGCAGGGGAAGATGATAATTTGTTGGTTTTAATAAGTTCCTGGATTGAGTTGCTTCCACAGGCTAGTGCTGCCAGGCCCAGGTATCCACTGGGTAATGCAAGATGTGTAACTCAAATATTTTTATGTGGATTCAAACACATTTTCATTTCTTAATGGTCACTATTACTGACCAGATAAGAGAAAGACTTATCCACATAAGGCAAACAAATGATTAGTTTTGACAACAGAAGCTTAAACAGGATATTAACTAGCAGCCATAGAGATGGGAAGGTTCTGGATGGGAACAGTTATGCAGACAAACCCACAGTATGGCTACTATGTACCAGGGTCCCATCCCTTACCATATGGCTGTGGTCTGGCAAATGGTTCACTGGCAATTCATTACCATATCGTTTGGAACTCAGGAGCAAACCGTTTATGATTAGCAAATTCATTATGCTATCCTTGGTACCTTAAGGGGACACTGTGGGCTTTCCTCCCCTGTTGTTATTTTAAGGACATATGACAGGGAAGGAAGAGCCCTCCCTTTTCCAGCTGCCTCAAAGTATTGTTTGCTGGAAAGTTTGCCGGAATCTAGATAGAATCTTTCAAAAGAAAATAAACAAGCAAAAAATCCCTGCAGTCATGAACTGTAGCCACAGCTGGAACTATTGGAACATTCCAGGAGATGAAAACAAAGATTCCCTCCTCCTTCCCTTCCATCTTACTGAGGACCCATCAGTCACCCTTGTGAGTGCACTTTAGCCATAGCAAGAGCAAGATCAGAGAGAAATAAGGACTTATGACCATTAGACCAGGAGACAGGAAGCGATGGTTCTGGAAGGGGCTCTGTTACTAACTTTGGGTAAGTCAGCTGAATCTTTGATCCTGAGGTTCAGAATCTGCAAAATAGATAAACTCCTCTCTGTTTTACCTACTTCCAGTGGTATCTTTGATAATTCAGGGATAATTACTCTGAATCTACCAGGCTGATTAAGCCACAGCAGATCAGCAGGTGAGGTATTGGAGAGATTTATTTTTAAGCCATTAGCAAAGGTAGGCAAGAAGAGAGGGGCACCAGTCTCTCTACTATCAATAGGGTCTGCCCACCTCTGTAATTTAGCATTTTAACTAGAGTTGCCAAGAAAGAGTACGTGGAGCTTTGCATAAGGTGAAAAAGTGGAGATTGTGTCTGAGAACTGACTAATAGGAATGTGTTTTGCAGAGACTAAAGCTTGATGGAGTAGTCAAAATTCCTGAAGAGGCAGAAAAGCATTAAGACAGGAGGGTTACAATGGCAAACAGAAAAGGGAAGGAGGAAAAATAAGAACCAGACACTGAGTTAGTCACGTTGGTGTGATTTGTTAAGCATTGGCTAGGGAGGGATGTGGCAGTGCTGAAGGGAAACTTGCTCAGTAAGCACAGAGCATGGGATGACCCCATTTTGGTTAATGTACATAACGTGGAGAGACCCCTTGTAGAGCTTGTTCCCTGAAGCCCACCATAGCCTGTTCCCTAATCTCAAAGCCTGACTCTAAGTAAAAATCCCAGGGCTTAGACAAGGGCCCTAATATCCTAAAAACAAACACAACAATCAAAAATACTATCACTCCCCTGCAGCATCAATCTGACCTAAAAGAAGCATGCTTGCCACAATCAACATTAATTACACATTTAATTAACTCTCACTTTATTTCCTTCTTAGAATTCCAAGGGTCTCTGGGCAAGACTTTCCATGGACCACATCTCTGGAAAGAGCTGCCCATGGAACTTTAAAATGATGCCTTCTTCTTGTGATAAATTTCCCTGTTGCAAGCAGTAGAAGCATTACAAAAGAAAATATTTTATTGATCATTCCTTAAAAAAAAAAAACCAGAAATAGGACACATAGGACACATAGGTCCTTATCAGAATCTTGTGGTTTGGAAGAAGCACCACCTAGAAAATCCAGGATCCTGGGTCTGAATTCTGGGTCTGGTGCTGATTCATGATGCAACATTGAATGTGTCAGTTAACTTATTTATGTTTCAGTTCTCCTATCTACAAAGTGACTGTAAGGTAAACTTTATTACATTGACTAGATGCGCTGTCACAGAATGTTTCTTGGAGCATAATCTTACTATTCCCAGTGATTGCAGAGGTCCGGAGCTGTTCCTTTGCTTTATGAATGTTAAAGAATGAATTAGGGTACTTTTCAGCTTGATCACTCTAGCATCTCATGGTGCAATATTGTTGCCCATGTTTATGATATATGAGGATATAGTGACCCTTGTCCACAACACAAATCCTAGACATGGAACTGTTCCTATGGGAATAAGATGCATTTTATGGTCTTCCAGGTCTGTTGAGTCCAACCAAACACCTACAGCATGCCAGGTGATCTGCTAGGCTCTGGGTTACCGGGATGAGATGGCACAGACCCTGCCCTGGAGGAGCTTATGTTCTCATGGAGGCAGCTTAATCTCTAAACAATTAACTTTAGTTCAAGATGATATGTGAAACAATAGACTATCGAGAGTTTCTCAAAGATTTCCCCCCAAGAATCAACTGCATTGGAAACAACTAGTGAGTTTAACAACCCCACCCCTAATCTTCCCATATCTGTATCTCTCAGGGTGGAATTTGGGAATCTGCCTGTTTCACAAGTCTTCCAGCATCTTCTGCCCCACACTAAAGTCACTATGGGAAAAGTTAACTATGGGAACTCACAGACAGATGCCACGGAATCCTGCCTTTAGGGACCACTTATTTGAGTTCTATGCTCCTCTAAGCCCTGTGAAAAATCCAATAACATTTACTATAGAATCCATTACCTCTAGGAGCTTATACTTTTCTCAAGAGCCATAAAACCAGGATATCACATCCAAGGATAAGAGGAAGAAATCAGGGTTGGAGCTCATGTCCCATGATGTTCTTGCTCTAGCCAAGACTTGTGGGCTTCCTCCTTCATGAGTGATTTTTTCCCCAGAGCGGAAGTCACTTGCCCCACCATGGGAAGATGTAGCTCTGCCCAAGACTCTGGGACCACTCTGATCCGGGGAAAGTGTTGAGAAACCTTTCAGGAATCCCTTGTCACTTCCAGTCCTGCTCTGACTGGGTAATTCATTATCGGACCTTGACTGTGTTCTGGGTACTCTAAAGCTAACTTTATCCTTGCCCAGTGTCCCGGCAACTCTATGGCCCTTGCTCTTCTGCATCTTTGCCAGGGACATGTCCTTCACCTGCACCCTGTTCAACAGAGACAATGACACTTCTCTACATGGCAATGCAGCCTAATGCAGGTGGGAGACGAAGCATTTATACAAAAAGCATTGTGCTGGAACTACATAGCAACTTACACATTTTCCAGAGAGATAATATTATGTTCACTTTATTAATATGTTTTAAGGACTCAGTCCACAAAGCTGGTAAGTGGACGATTCAAGTCTCAGGTTGGTCCTGACTTACTCATAGTTTGTGGCCCTCATCATAATCACAGGTCCCTTATAAGGGGAGTGTTGATGGACAGGACATAAGCAGAGAGTCACTCTCTTTTCCTGGCTATCCTCACCTTTGGCGAGCCAGTTTGCCAGAGTCAAAATAGTCTGGCATTTGGAGGCTTCTCTGTTCATTATTCTCTGTGTGATCTTGGGCAAGTTATAGCCTTTTTGATCCTCAGGTTCTTTGCTGGTAAAACGGGACAATACACACATACTAGAGGTCACTGTTGAGTGAACTGAATGAAATAATATAGGTAATGTCCTTAGCTCAGTAATGTTAGCTTCTCTCCCGTTTCCTCTCTTCCTGCCCTTGTATGTGGAGCCCCAGACCCTTGTCTTTCCTCACCCCTGCAAAGGAGGTCCTTTTGAGAAATACTTCTTGCTATGTTATCTTATCTGACAGTGACCAGGCTTGTTCTCACAAGACAATAGCTGATCCCTTCCTTCTCATAGTGCTGTGAAAATCCCACCTCTTCCCGAAACCAGATAGAACCTGGTGAAAAGGTAGAGACGGATCCACTTTAACTTTGCTGGTCTGTTTGCATTTGCCCCTGACCTTTATATTCTGAGTCTTGGCTGGGTGCAGTGAAGTAAAGAAGGGGCTGGGAACAAGGAATGTGCAACAGTTCTGACCACCATGCTCTTTCTTGAGGAACTGGAAACCTGCTAGAGATTACTAACACACTCATGCGTCAGGATAAGGGCAGGATTTCTTTTTTTTTTTTTTTTTTTTGAGACGGAGTCTCGCTCTGTCGCCCAGGCTGGAGTGCAGTGGCGCGATCTCGGCTCACTGCAAGCTCCGCCTCCCGGGTTCACGCCATTCTCCTGCCTCAGCCTCCCGAGTAGCTGGGACTACAGGCGCCCGCTACCACGCCCCGCTAATTTTTTGTATTTTTAGTAGAGACGGGGTTTCACCGTGTTAGCCAGGATGGTCTCGATCTCCTGACCTCGTGATCCGCCCGCCTCGGCCTCCCAAAGTGCTGGGATTACAGGCGTGAGCCACCGCGCCCGGCCTAAGGGCAGGATTTCAAGTCAAGGATTTCAAGAAAGTATTTTATAGCAACCCAGCATGCCAGAGAGAAAGCAGCACTCCTTGGGGTGGGTTCCAATATAGGCCAAGTGATCAGGAGGAGTGATTATTTCTACAAAGGATAATCTTTCTTGTACACTGTATTCTTTCTCTCCATGCCCCCTTTTAAAAAACAATAAGTAGCCAATTATTACCAATTTATTTGCGGCTTCTTATAATTATATTATCCATGATTAACTCACTGGAGTCTAATTTGACTCTAGAGTTATTTTGTAGGAATGCTCTATCGTCAGGCATAGTGAGACTCTTGTCAGAGCAGGCTCACTCTGTTTGGCTCACAGAGTTCAATTAATGCACGTGGAGAGAGACAAAGAAGAGGATGAGAAATGGCAGGCGCCCTGGTCTTGCTGAGTTGCAAAGTCCCTCCACATTCATTATTTCATTTGATACTCAGACTAGCTCTATGAGGTAGCTAAGATACCTATGATCATCTCCAGTCTACAAACTGGGACATGGACCCAGGTCAAATCACAATGTGGTGCCCAAGATGGGATTAAAACCCAATGTTGACACCCTCCTGGCCCCTCTTCCCCAACACACTGCAGCTCCAAGGATATTGATCAATGATTTTGACAGTGATCATTTCTGTAATACTTAGAAGTTTGCAAAGTATTTCAAATTCCTGATCTTATTTAATCTTTACAACAATCCCGCAAGGCAAAGAAGAAATTATAATACCCATTTTTATAGAGGAGATAACTTTGGTTTAGAGAGGTGAATTGCCCAAGATCATACAGCCTTTAAGGTGTGAAAACTGGATGAGAATCCTGGGATCAGCCTCCTGATAAAATGTTTTATTCTATTATAGCACCTCTGAATGTCGAGCACTCACCAGAAATGTATGGTTTAAGTGTAGTGTGGATCAGCCACATGACATCATAGTTACATTTTGTAAAAACAGCTATTTTCTGTGACAGAGGCTCTTCTTAATTTAGGGACCTTTTGAGATAATGTTTACACATGTATATACATATGTGTGTATGTGAATATGTATCAATAAAATGACATTTTGGGGAGACTCTAACATTGCCATCAGAGTCTCAAAGGAGTGTGTGACCCCAAAACAACCAGTGAGTCTGGTGATTCTCGTCTCTTCTCCACCAGTGAAAAATGAAGGTGGTGGTGGTGGTGTTTGGGACTGGGAAGAAAATGAGAAGGCTTTAGAGAAGACCAAGGGGACAGAGTCATGCAGGCCAAATGAGGTGAAAGTTTTAAGGGGCTGGGTCCAAGTAATGGTTACAGTGACAAAACTGCAGAGGCTAAAGGCTTAAACAAGTTGACACATTCAGCAGTTAGAGAAGTTTCTGTGGAGCTGTGGGAACAGAAAGCTGACTGTGGGTGTTAAAGAAGGTGGAGAGTAGGAAGGAGAGACAGTGAGTGCAGAAACCTTTCTTTACAACCTGGCAATTAAGCAAAGTGGAGAGATGGAATGCCAGCTTGGAGGGGAAAGCAGGACCAAGGAAAGTTCTCTCTCTCTTTTTTTCTTTCCCTTAAAATGGGAGGAAGACTAATTGAAAGGGAGAGACCAGCTGAGGGAGAAGGAGCCTAATTAGGAGACAGGAGGAGATGAATCCTGAGCTGAGATGGAGGTTAACTTCAGAGCAGATCTGACAGTCTCCAGGAACAGGAGTGGAGATGGGAGGGAGAGGTGAAGATACAGAGGGAGTGTGAGCTTCTTGCATGATTCCTGCCAATTTCATCTACCGTAGAACTTATGGTGTTGCAGCAAACGGCAAGTGACACCATTCAACCAGGCTGCTTCCTGTCACCCTGGGCACAAAACTTCTTGGCTCTGGGCGTCTGGCAGCTTCTCGCTGCCCTTCCCTGTCTGTTTTGCATCCTTATTTCCCAGCTTCAGGCACTGACCCTGTCAGGTGCTTCTCCTTGAGCTCTCAGCCTCACAGAACTCTTCTGAGGGTGATTTCAGTAGTAAAATACAGAAATGTGTTCCCGGGAAGTATGTAGCTGGGAAATTGTTTTCTTTGTTGTTGATTTATTTGATTGCTAAATCTTTTTTAAAAACTTGCACTACACAATGTACAGATATATTGCATTATAGTTATGAAATAGATTATATTTGTCACTTTCTATTTTTAAAGTTTTTTTTTCTGGTCCTTGGACAGGAATGGACTTCCATGTTGTTTCTAAGGCATGAACAGAATCTTCCTCTTATTTTACTTTTAGTGGCTTTCCCAGAAACATAACCTCCTAAGTCTATGAAGGAAACATTTTCAATGAGATCTTGAAGCTTGTCTAAAGGCTTTCCCCTTGCTCTCCTCCTGCAGTTCTCCAGCTATTATATTTCTGATAGAAGGTATTCAGAAGGCATTCATAGGCAGAATCAGATTGCACGGACAGCTTCCTTAAGCTCCTGAGTCATTGGGCCATTTTCGCTGGGGACAGATCCGTCACCAAAAAATCCTCTCTGCTTGCCAAGCTAGTTAGTGACCACCCCATTCTACTTGTGAAACTGCCCCATGGCAGGATGTGGCATATTTGGGGCTTACTTTTGAATCCTCCCTTCTCAATGGGAACACCATGCCTACTGGTTGTTCTTTGTCTCTAATGTGCTCATTGTCAGCCCGCTGCTGCACTGTGGGTACCAGCAGGGCATACATCAAAGCTGGAAATGGATTTCGTTGGAAAGCTCAAAGCCAGGTGTCAACAGAGAGGCCTTGTCTGGCCACCCTTGAAAAACAAAACCTATTCTCTTGCCCCACTGCTCTCTGTTTCCCTTGCTTTGTTTTATTATTTTGCATAGGACATAGGGTGTATTGCCCTCTGCCTGAAAGATTGTATGTCTATCTCTTCAGTTGAATATGACCCCCACACAGGATAAGAAACGTTTTCTGTTTTGAACCTGTTGTATCCTCACTGGCCTAACACAGTGCCTGATGCCTGGAAGGGGATCAATACACGGTTGTTGAATTAACTGTTGAATGACTGTGGCTATCAGGTTCATGCTTGCAAGAGTCCAGGAAGCAGTAGGGTATAGTGAGGAAAGAGCCAAATTGGGAACCAAGAAATCCAGCAATCACTTTCTGCCTCTGTCATCAGCTAGTATGTGTGTGTGTATATATACACATATACACACTCCCATATATATGGGAGTTTATTAGAGAGAATGGGCTTCACACTATTACAAGGCAAAGTCCCACAATAGGCTGTCTGCAAGCTGGGGAAGAGAGAAGCTGGTAGTGGCTCAGTCTGAGTCAGAAAGCCTCAATCCAGGGAAACTGACAGTGCAGACTTCAGTCTGTGGCCAAAGGCCTGAGAGCCTCTGGCAAGCCACTAGTGCAAGTTCCAGAGTCCATAAGCCAAAGAACCTGGAGTCTAATGTCCAAGGGTGGAAGGAGCAGGAAGAAGTCTCCAGCATGGGAGAAAGAAGGCAGCCAGAAGGCCCAGCAAGCAGTTATCTCACCTTCCATTTTTTTTTGAGACGGAGTCTTGCTCTTGTTGCCTAGGCTGTAGTGCAGTGGTGCAATCTTGGCTCACTGCAACCTCTACCTCCTGGGTTCAAGCAGTTCTCCTGCCTCAGCCTCTGCAGTAGCTGGGTTTACAGGCACCTGCCACCATGCCTGGCTAATTTTTGCTAGAGATGGGGTTTTGTATTTTTGCTAGAGATGGGGTTTCACCATGTTTGCCAGGCTGGCCTCGAACTCCTGACCTCAAGTGCCTGCCTCAGCTTCCTAAAGTGTTGGGATTACAGGCGTGAGCCACTGCACCCAGCCAAGGTTATCCCACCTTCTTCTGCCTGCTTTGTTCTAGCTACCCTGGCAGCCAATTGGATGGTGCCCACCCACACTGACAGTGGGTCTTCCTCTCCCGGTCCACTGACTCAAATGTCAATCTCCTCTGGCAACATCCTCACAGACACACCAAGGAACAATATTTTACCAGCTATCCAGGCATCTTTCAGTCCAATCAAGTTGAAACCTAATATTAACCATCACACTTGGAAATGTTACTTCTCTGAATTTCACACTCTTTTGTATAATAAAGATGATACTTCTTTCATAGGAGGGTTGTGAGCACTGAATGAAATTAAGTATGTTAAGAATTGAGTTTGTTCACATTTGCCGCTACTATTAGGGATCAAGTTGCCCTTGGTAATGGGAATCATCTCTGCTCATTCTTCTTTCTCACTTCAACTGTCTGGTTTGAAAACAGATTATCACATTAATAGGCATGAAGCATTGGCCCCAGGAAACTGGTGTTGCCACACGGAGCTTCATGAGGCCTTTGCTCACATGAATTGCTAAAGTGCCTTTGGGTGGTCTTCAAACTTTCAGCAAGCAGGTCAGACCTGGGAGTTGGCGCTTGCCAAGGTGCTGGGATAGCAGCACTTGGTCTCATGACATAGGCGTTCCGTGTTCTTTCCACTCTTTTCTCTGTGCTCTGGGCTGCTACGTTGCAGATACTAATATTTTACCAGTTCAGCCCCAAATTTAACTGGCTTCTCTTAAGGGCCATTACATATTAAGTGACCTAAATCCCTCGAGAAATGGAGCCAAGTTATCAATAAGTATACCTTTCCCAGGGTGTCATAGAGAGGTCCAGGGAAGAAGGGGGCTAACATAGGCAATGACTTGCTTCAGTAAGAAGGCAAGAGGACACTGTCTCATAGAAATGTACATTGATATAATCCCAAGGTTGAAGCAAGACTCAGTCTTGGATTTAATCACCACTCCTCTGATCTGTCCTCAAGGCTTCAACCCCTCACCTTGCTTTGTAGGATCACCGGGTGGCTGGGTGGCATTTTGAGGTCTACAGTGCTGACTAGGGACCAGTCAAGTGAAGTTTATGCCCTAGAGTTTAATTTAAAATAGAAATATGCCACCAGGATCTTATAAACAATGCTTTGAGGCCCCGGCCATTGTATTTTGTTTGTTTCTTGTTTGATTTTGTTTTGTTTTTATTTCCTATTTTTCTACTTTGGACAAACTTTCTTCCTCCATCCACATGTCCAAGTTTTTTGTGGTTGTTATTATTGTTACTTTTATCCCTCCTTCCTCTGTCTGTCTTTTCTTTCTTCTCCTCCTGCATCCAAATTCACTCATGCATTTGCCAAGTATTGACCGAGAGGTAGGGACGAGAGAGAGAGTCAGACAGGATGCAGCGTATGCAGAGATCCACAATTTAGGGGAATCTAGGATCCAAGTGAGGAAATATGAAGCTGGGAGGAAAGCAGTGGCCAGACACTGAACAACCTGGCTTTCTATTTTATGAGTTTTGACTCTATCCCAAAGCTTATATTATGGAGATCCATTAAGAAAGGATGTGTGTGTGTGTGTGTGTGTGTGTATGTGTGTGTGTGTGATGACCCGATTCTGTTTTAAAAAGCTCTGGCTTCCTTAGACCAAGAACGGGCTGGAAGGTGCTGTCTCGAAACAAAGTGTAGACTAACAGAGGGGAGTGGACAGACTGAAGAGAGGTGAAGGAGATAGGAATAGCAGGGCATAGTGACTGTCTCAATGATGGTGTGGAGGGAGAAAGAGGAGTCAAAGATGACTACCAGGCCGGGCACAGTGGCTCACACCTGTAATCCCAGCGCTTTGGGAGACTGAGGCAGGCAGATCAACCTGAGGTCAGGAGTTTGAGACAAGCCTGGCCAACATGGTGAGACCCTGTCGCTATTTAAAAAAAAAAAATTTTTTTTCTGGGCATGGTGGCATGTGCCTGTGATCCCAGCTACTTGGGAGGCTGAGGCAGGAGAATCACTTGAACCCAGGAGGTGGAGGTTGCAGTGAGCCGAGATTGCAACACTGTACTCCAGCCTGGGTGACAGAGTGAGAAAAAAATAAAAGATGACTACCAAGTTTTGGCTTGATCACAAGGGTGGATGGTGTTGCTGATAACAGAGAAGAAGCGGCACTTCTTGTTTCTTGTCAGGGTTGATGATGAGTGACTATGGACATGATGAAGGATAGCCTGAGTTGAGGAAGGGACCATGAATGTACAGTAGGCACTAATTTGGGGAATTTGTGATTTCTCCTGTAGAATTCAACTGTCCAGATAGAAAGGTGGACATGGAAAAATTGGGCTTTGCAAATGGTCACCCAATTCTTGCCTTCCTGGTCTCCAGATCACCCTTCCTATACCGCCACTCTGGAGAAAGAAGTACAGAACGCTAACAAGGTACAACCACTTTCTACCCTGCCAGGACTTGACTTAAAAGATGACTATGCACAGAACATTGTCCAAGATGCTTGCCTTTCCTCTTTGCAGACATGATTTGGCAGGAATGTAGTCTTCCATTTAGGTGATTAAGGATGTGGCTTGATGTTTCTATTTAGCCTTTATGCAGTGGCCTTTGTGAGCCAAGTCAAATCTCACCAAAGTTTCAAGTGAAAAGCAGTTGTTCCTTACCCACTGAATTCAAATATTTTATCAAAAGTGTTCATTAAATGCCTAATGTATGCAGTGAAAAAATAAATATGAGTCACAGAACAACACTTAAAGAAACATGTCCAGAATCCATAACTAAAAAACTAGTATAAAGCAAATCATAGAAGGTAATTTTGGCCTAGGAGTTAGAGGACTAGAATTATTCCAGCCATGTGGCTAAAATGCTTATTGAATAGTGATTTCTGGCACAGTCTCTCGAGTCAGAGTGCCTCGTTCAAATCCTGGCTCTTTCCTTGACTACCTATGCAACTTTGGATTATCACAAAGTAATTAATATACATAAAACACTCACACCAGTATTTCACACAGTGGGTTAGTATTAGATAATGCTGTTGTTATTATAGGTGTTGCTATTATGAGCTATATACCATGAACAATTGAATTCTATCTTTGGGCAGCAATGTCTTTATTCATAAAATGAGGGCAAGATATTATCTTTTCTAACTATGTTCTGAAGTGACTTGGGGCTCCTCTGCCCCATCCCATTCTACATTTTATTCATTTTATCCATCATGTTGGGGTTTCACATATGTTTTTACTTGCAGAAAGGGCTCTGAAAAACAAGTTGCAAATCATTAGGCCAGATGGTGTAAGGTCTGTCTTCAACAAAAGTTTTGATTCTCTGAGTGAAAGACATGCTCTTGACAATGGACAGTGGGATGAAGTGGTCTCAGAGGAGGTGGCCATATACCAGGGGGAGCTTCTTGGAAGAAGTGAGTTGGAAAGTTAAAATCTGGGTGTTTCTAGCAGTTGGTGAACCTGGAAGAGAAGTTGTAATTCCCAAAGAGAGGTGAGTGTGGAACATAGATATAGAACCAAAACTATGCAGGGCGAAAAAGTTTCAAAGACCCAAATCCCTGCAGTAAGGGAAAGAGAGCGAGTAGACAAGGGCTTCAAGATAATTGTCTCAAGTTGAAGTTTGACTAAAGTTTGAAGCAATGAACAAGGTGAGAAAAGATGATTGGCTCTATTGAGGAAAGCAGCACCTCATCTATCCTCTTTTTTGCATGGACAGGAAAGCAATGTTCAGAGGAAGAAAGCCCTTGTCTGTGGGCACAGAATTAGTCACCAACTCTGGTAGCCATTATTAGCTGCGAACCAGCTAGCCATTCCCCCTTTTTCCTTAGCAATAGTAATCCCAACTTTTTAGCTAGGCACATTGCTGATTGAATTAAAGAAAACATTTCTGATATGGCTTGGCTCTGTGACCCACCCAAATCTAATCCTGAACTGTAATCACTACATGTGGACTGAGGGAAGTGATTGGATTATGGGGGCAGTTTCTTCCATGCTGTTTTCGTGATAGTGAATTCTCATGAGATCTGATGGTTTTATAAATGGTAGTTTTCCCTGCACTTACACACACTCTCTCTCACTTGCTGCCATGTACAGCATACCTGCTTCCCCTTCCACCATGATTGTAAGTTTCCTGAGGTCTCACCCGCCGTGCAGAACTGTGAGTCAATTAAACCTCCTTTGTTTATAAACTACGCAGTCTCAAGTATGTCTTTATAGAAGTGTGAAAACAAACTAATACAATTTCCTAGCCTCCCTTGGCATTAGGGATGATCCAAAAATGTCCATGCAAGTTAAGGGCCTCCAGGAAAGAAGTTTTAGAGAGGTACAGTCAGCCAATAGGGACCATTTTGCCCTCCCCATCTTCACTTCTTCTTGTGTCTTACCAGGATGGCTTGGAGTTGCAGTGGTCACCTCAGATCTTAAGGTCACTTTGGAGATGGAACCCCTGTGACTAGGAATGGCAGAACAGAAAGGTAGAAAGAGATTGAGTCCTGGGGATGTGGCAGAGCCACCATCCTAGCCCCGTACTGCGTACTTCTGGACTTCCTTTAAATTGAGAGAAACATGTTCCTACCATATTTAACCATTTGGTGTTCTAAACCCCATTCCTAGCTCTGGAATGCCCTGGCAGAGCTGGTGCTGGCTGGGACCCCAGTGGTCCTTGGTGACCTTGCTCAGCAGTGCTCTTTCCACAAATGACCCCACTACTATCATGTGCAGAACTATCTTGGTGTGTGTGTGTGCATGAGCAGACATCCACAGCCAAGTAATTTTCAAAGCTGTCAGCTCTGCTCTCCTGTAGCCTCCTGCTCCCCACTGCCTTCTCATTTCCACCAGAGGAAGGTGAGGCTGCTGGTGAGGAGCTTTTTCCTTTTCCCTTTTCTGAATTGTTTACTATATTAAACACTCAATATCCACTGCCCAGAATATTATTATGCTAATATTTCTCTGATTTATTTTTACTTTTATTTGTAATTAAAGAAATAAAACACTATAGGTACTATCGCACCCTTTTTATCCTTTCTGTGAGCCTATTCTACTCCTTCTTCCAAAAAGGCATTCTCTTGAACTTGCATGCATTCTGTGTTTTTATGCTTCTATTATGCATATGTCTGAATCCATACGTGATTGATAACATTGTTTTATATGTTTTAAATATGTGTGTAAATGGTATATTAATGTGGTTTGATTTTTTACACAGACCTTGGATTTTTTCAAGATCATCCTTCTTGATGCCTGCATCTAGCTCACGGGAACTCACTGCTGTGCCTGTACAGTGTTTTCCCATTGCTCTATTGATGAACATTTAAATTGTTTTCCAATTTTCAATATTGTAAATAATGCAATAATAAACATCCTCTTACCTGTCCTATTACACACCGGAGTAAGAGTTTTTCTAGGGATTATATTTAGACATAAAACTAGTTGTCATAGGGTATGTATATCCTTACTTTTACAAGGTATTTCTAAATTGCCCTCTAAAGAGATAAAAACAATTTGGACTTCCTCTAGGATGGCAGTGCCCATTTCCCATAAAAACTTGGCATTGCTGAACCTTTCAATTTTTGACAGTTGAATAGGTGTGAAATGCTATCTATTTGCTTTTTAATGGGCATTTCCCTGATTATCAGTGAGGTAGGCCATCTTTTCATATTTTTATAGGCCATTTTGATTTCCATTTCTGTGAACTGCCTGCTTTAATATTTTGTTTTTCTGTTGGGCTGTTTGTCTTTTACTTATTGTTGTCCCCATCTGACTCCCTATCCCATATACACACATTTTTGGAGATTAACCCTTTTTAGGTCACATGCATTGCAAACTTCTCCTCCAAATCTCTCACCTGTCTTTTAGCTTTGTTTATGGTGACTTTGTTCCTACAAGACTATAAACTTGGTCTTAAATTTTAACATAGTCAAATTTATTGATCTTTTTCATTACTTTTGTGTTCTTAAAATTTTTTCTTAATCAGATATTATTAAACTATCTTCCTGAATATTCTTTGAATAGTTTAAAAGATAATTTTTTACTTTAACTTTTAATCCATCTGGAATTTATTTGCAATATTTTGTGTTATTTTGCATATGAAATTGAGCTCTAATGTTAATTTTCCAATATGAAGAGCCAATTTCTGTGACACTATGTATCAAACAGTCTATTCCTTCCCCACTTAGTTGTAATCACCCCATCATGTACCAGTTTTCCAAAATGCCTGGGTCTCTTTCTAGACTTTCTAGTTTATTCCACTGGTCTCTCTATCCCTATACTTCTCTTGCACAATTTTTTTCCTGTGCTTTGATGTCTACAGTGTAAATTCATCTTCTTCATAGTCAGTCTTTTTCAAATTTCTTTGGACTGTTCTTGGCCCTTTGGCTTTCAAATGAATTTTGATTAATCTTTTAATAAAATGCTTCCCTCCTACCTCATTCGACACATACTTCTCTCCCATCTCATTCCTATTCTGAAGGCTACTGCCCTCAAAGATCTAGTTTCCAGCCTTGAATCTGCCACCAAATGCCCGTCTATTCTTGTGCAAGTCCCCTAATCTCTCTGGGTTTCAGTTTCCTCACCTGTCAGGTCTGCTTTGCCTATATCACAGGATTGCTGAGCTGATGAAATGAGATAAAGATGAGAGATGCTTTGAACAGTTCAAAACACCAAGTTAAAGAGTTAAAAACAATAATCTCTATGTGATCTGAGACAAAATGTGAAATTCAGATTATTTCTCCCCCAGTTTTTTCTACACTTTGTGACACTCCTTTCTGTCAAACTTCCAGTGTTTTGCATCTTCCAGTGAGATGCGAAGGTCTTCTGTTCAGGGTAGAATTATTATGTTGATGGGCTGGGGACAGCTGGGATTTATATGCCCTGGGTCCCATTTTGGATTCTCTCTTTGTGACTTAATGTAAGGCACTTAAACTCTTTGAATCTCAATTTCTTCACCTTTAAGAAGAATATTAAAAATTCTCTCCCCCAAGTAGTATTGTGTTTTTGTTTTTGTTTTTGAGACAGAGTCTTGCTCTGTTGACCAGGCGGGAGTGCAGTGGTACGATCTCGGCTCACTGCAATGTCTGTCTCCTGGATTCAAGCAATTCTCATGCCTCGGCCTCCCAAGTAGCTGAGACCACAGGAGCACACCACCACACCTAGATAGTTTTTGTATTTTTAGTAGAGACAGGTTTTCCCTATGTTGGCCAGGCTGGTCTTGAACTCCTCACCTCAAATGATCTGCTGGCCTCAGCCTCTCAAAGTGCTGGGATTATAAGTAGCATTGTGAAATTCAAGAGATTTAGTATAGGTTAACTGTTACATAAAATGTGAAGCCCTATAAGAATCATGAGCCATTATTATGAATGTTCTTGCTGACATATGCATGCAGAAAGGACTTACAGAAAGGCAATGATGTTTCTCACCACTTGAATCGAACCATGTAGGATAATCAAAACCATTTTTGTCTACAAGTATGGTTGGCCCAGTGCAATGTCTTCACAGTCTTCTAGAAGATGCAGGAAATCTTTTTCAAAAATAATATGTCCTTTAGGCTTTGCAGCCTGGATGTGTGGAAAAGTGGAGGTAGCTGGGGAGTTCGTCTTGTCCATCTGGACAAACAGGAAGAACTATCCTTATGCAGTGCTGGCTCACCACTGACCCGAGGGAGTGAGAACGTGGGGACTAAAGGGTGGGAACAAATCAGTCTTTGTACCTTCCTTGCTGAGTGTGGATACCATTCAGTTAGATTGAACATTGAGGTCAGCCCTGATGTAATGTGAGAGCACTTCCCCTGGAGTGAGCAGATGGTTTTGCCTTCCCAGCCCCTTAAATGTTTTTAACCCTTGCTACTCAGGTGACCAGAGCATCTTCATTTCCTGCACCAGGATCAGACTTGGGCTTGAGCCAATGACATTCATGGGCCAGATGACCCAAAGCTGTAGTCCACCTGCTTACTGTAACACAGAATGCCCTTTTCCCCACTAAGTTCTTACCCTTTCCTCAGTTCTGTTGAAATAAGATTTCTGACCTGTTCTTTAGCCACTTCCATGGCTGACCATGAACTCTACTCTTTTGACCACCAGTACCTGCTGAAAGTTGCTGGAATCCTTCTAAGCCAATATCAGGACTACCTGTCCTGCCCTGCCCTGCCCTCAGCCTCTGCCAATGCCACTTCTTTGCTGTTGTTTGGGCAGAACCCTGGATTTGGATGTTGGTTTGGATCTTAGTCCCCAGAACTTACAATCTGCTTGTTTTTTTCCTCTGGGGTCCACACCATATCCAACCCAATCTCATCATTCTGCCATGCTCACGTTATCCCTGCCTGCTCTTGCTCTCATGTTCATACATCCTCAAAGAGTCCACTCTCCTTCAAGGCCATACCTCATTTCTCCTTACACTATAGATGAAACACATGACTATTTTCCTTCTGATTCCTAAGTTCTGAGTCTAGGACCACTTTGTAATCAGGTTTAATTCCAGACCACAGCTGACCTTTTATTTTTTTCACATGTAAAAGTGAAGCTTAGGTACAGGTATTCTAGAAGTAGCTGTGATTATTTGCTTAAATCATCTTTCATGAATGAAGGACATATTACCCTAGCTATTGGGAGTTGACCTCGGAGAAGAAAGCTGACTTAGTTACACCAGCAATTCTCCCCAACACACATACACAGGGCAGCCCGTATCCTGTGACTGCTTGATGTGGTCATAGCAATCAGAGAAAGAGTTTAAAGTCTCAGCCCCTCTTGATAACTCTGAGAGGCCATCCCATTTTAGGTATCCCCAAGGGGTCAGCTGGACCTTGTGATGAGCCCAAAGTCCAGCTCCTCCCTCTGCCTATTCTGCCTCTTTTAATTCCACTCCTCTGCAGTGGCTGATCCCGAAAGCCCTCTTACTTCCAACACACACACCTTCATCTCAGAGTTTGATGCTTGGGGACCCCAACCTGCAACAGGTATCCACAACTATTTCCTTGCTCAACCAACCAACTCTCTACTGACTCACCATCTTTCCTCCCCATGGTAGGCAGAATAATGCCCATCTCTACTCAAAGATGCCTGTGCCCTAATCCCCAGGAACTTGCGAATGTGTTGCCTTATATGTCAAGAGGGACTTTGCGGATGTAATTAAAAGTCATTGAACTCAAGATAGGGAGATTATTCTGCATCATTCAGGTGGATCCAGCCTAATCATATGAGCCCTTAAAAGTGGAAAACCTTTCTTGGCTGTGGCCAGAGATGGACTACAGAAGAATGGTCAGGGAGATGCAATGTTGCTGCCTTTGAAGATGGAGGAAGGAGCCATCAGCCAAGGAATGCAGGCAACCTCTAGAAGCTGGAAAGGGCAAGGAAATAGATTCTTTTCAGAGTCTCCAGAAAGGAGCCCAGCACTGCTGGTACCTTGATTTTAGTCCAGTGTGACCCTTGTCAGACCTCTGACCTACAGAACTGTATGTAAAACAATGAATTTGTGTTGCTTTAAGCCACTAAAGTTTGCAATAATTAATTATAGCAGCAATGGGAAACTGATACAGTCCCTTAGGAGTCATCTTAATACTTGCTCTTTTGCATGATCTTGGACATGCCCTTCACTGGTCTGAGCCTTAATTTTCTCACCTGTAAAACGACAATTTTAGACTACATGCTCCAAAGCCTTTTTCAACCTGACATTTTTTCATTCTAACTATATGGATTACCTACTTTGCAACATTTATCTTTTTATTCTAGCAAGGCAGAGTTTACTTGTCTTTTTGATGATTATTCTGGGAAAACCTATTTGAGATGCTGCAGGAAGCAACAGAATGGCCATACAACAGGATGAGGAGTGAGATACTCTTTTTCTTTGTCTAACTCTTCTGGTCTGTCTTTATGTTGATTTCTAAATTTTCTATTCTGTAACTCCTTATGGCCATGGGAAAAATGCTTCTCAGCTGGTGACCAATTTATTAAACAAAGCTAGATGGCTAATAGATTTTGTCATTTTGCTTTTTGCTAGTGGACCTGCAAATACATTTTTATTTTTTGGTTATGCTGAAAATAATTTGTGAAAAATGGTAGTTACCATGCTTTTAAGTGGGATCAAAGGTAGCAGTGTTCTGACTGCTGGTTAAAGTTAACTCAGCCTCTAGGAAAATCCACCACTTTTCAGATTAAAAAAAAAAAAGTCCCTAGCCTGAATTTTGTCAGGAGAATGTATAATAAAATGCCACTGTAATTAAAATACTTATAAACCCGCAAGACACAGCTGTTGTGAAAGGAAAACAGGATGCTAAAATGGGATAAAAGGAGACCCTTGTCTGGCTCCTTTGCCCTCCCAGTGGGTATCTAATACAGTTGCCATTAACTGCTCTGTGTTAAGAAAAGCTGAGCTGACCCCAAAACAATAATGGCAGTAGCAGAATTCTAATGATGACTTTCTTCCACACTTATCTAGATGGTATGCTTTTCAAAGCACTTTCTGTCTACTCACTGATTTGAGCCTCAAGTTCTCAGTATTTCCCTAAGAAAGTAGGGGAAGTAGAGAGGGTGAACATCATCCACTTGATTTGACAGATGAGAAAAACATGGCTTCCTTGGAGTCTAAATTAAACTTGTGTCATCACAGCAGCCAACAGCAGGTCTGGGGCCGGGGGCTGGTCTCCGTGTTGAGGTCTAGGTTGACTATAGCTCATTGCTCCTGGCAGTTGGAGTCACCCAACACAGGGTCAAACACAGTCTCCAAAGACTTTACACTGCAAACCTAGAGCCACTGTAACAGTTCTTTTTGCACTCAGTAACAAAAAAAAAAGTCACTGGAAAATTATTCACTAAAGTTAGCTAGGAAAAGACCAAAGAGTTGAAGGGAAGAAAAAACTATAAGAAACCAAGAAGTGGATTTCAGACTGTCACCTGCCTACTAGGGTTTGTGATGCTGGCCACACAGTGTTGTTTCCAAACATACCAAACTGGAGGGCACCCATTTTCTTCCCTCTTGGGGCCCCACTCACATTCCTTGGAGAAATTTCCAAGAACCCTCTACATTATGGCCTCTATAAACTGAAATCACCAACATTAATACTATTTGCTCCTCCTCACCAACCCAGGTGCAATTAGGCTGACCAGCCTTGAAAAAAGTAAGATGACCTGAGGTCAGTAGCATGTAGTGGAATAAAAAAGAATAATTTTCCTAGATATCCCAACTCATTTGAACAATGAGGAATTGAGACTAAGTCTCTTCAAAGATTCCATTTATTTTGGTAAGATGCCATTTTACATTTAGTGTAGTAATACAATTTTGACTTAAAAGGCCAGGGTTTGAGAACCAAGTGGCCAGTTTGACTGGGCTATCATGTGATCATCATGGTCATTATCCCTTGGTCTCCTTGAGGGTCAGTTCTTTCATCTATAAAATAGATATGATCATAGCGAATCTCCTTTTCACTATACAAGGTTGTCATGAGAATCAAATAAATAAATGCTAAAGCACTACACAAGAGATGTTATGATTTTATCTTTGGCAGTAGTGCTAATCATTATAATAGCAGCCTATTAATAACAATGATATTACAAGAAACAGCAATTGTGGTAGTGTTGGTAAGGTACTTCTGGAATTATTTATATATGTGGCTACTTGCTGGAAAAGCCACCCATGTGTTGAGATAATGTGTATTGTGCTCTTTCTTGAATTATCTCCTTGGGACTTTACAACCCTAAGAGGTATATCTTATTACTGTCATTACACACACGCACACTCAAAAAAAGAAAAACCAACCAACCAGTCAACAAACAAAAAGCTAAAGCAGAGAGAGAGAGAGAGACAGTGAGTTAGTTTGAAAGCTAGTATCTTGAAACCCCAGTGAGTTCTGCTGACTTCCAGCACTGGCAGGCACACCTACCACTTCCAGTGGAGAACAACCTTGAAACCTAGAATCTTTAGGACCTTGTTGCCAGTGGCTTATTGCCTTAACCATGAGAAGGGGATATAGCTGGCATTAGAAGTTCCTCCATATAGGGAAGAACAATTGACCATTCAAAGAGTCATTGATAAGTTAACTAATCCCTGCTCTGTGAGATATATATGAATGCCAGTAAAAGTTTCCTCAGCAAGAAGGTTCTAATGCTATGATCTTTCCTGACAGCACTCACAGTGTGTGCTACCCTTCTGCATGGTGGAATTGTGGGGAAGTAACTACTAGCCAGAGACTACCTCAAGGCCTCTTTCATCAAGGAGAGGCCCATATGATTAGTTTTCACCAGTGAGGTATGAATGAAAGTGATGTGTGCCAATTTTAGGCCAAGTTGGGTAGGAAGTGGGGGTGTCATCTTCATTTTCTCCTTCCCAATCAACCCAGCTAGATACAGAGGACCTAACATACAACTCAGAGTCCCTAGAAGATGGAGAAAACACAGACAATTGGCAGGTGGGTTTCTGAACCATTATTTGGACAAAAACTCTTTTGGCTATTATATGAGTGAAATGTGATCCATTTTATTAAGCCATCAAAGTTTGAATGTTATCTGTTACAACAGCTATTCTATTATAGATCCCAATGAAAAGAGATCCACCAGTATTTCAGACCTAATCCTAATCCTCTGCCATCTTTGAGGCTATTACCCTCCTCCCCCACTGATGCCAGCGCATCCATCTTGAGCAGCTTTCTTTGTGCTTAATATAAGTATAGAACAGCTGGTCTGCTTGTCAAACAACCAATAAATCGATGCCTGGCAAAACAGTAGTTTTTATCAGCAAGTGACCTTAAGATAAACTTTATATTGCTAGGAAATCATTCCAACCCCAAATCAGTGGCACCCCAACTCAGGCCTCCCTGGTGGCATGAGGAAGGAAAACTAATGAAGTATGGAGGCTATTAATGGCTTTATCTTTTCTCTCACCCATTCCCTCTCCTTTTTTCAAATTTGCAATTATGTTCAGCAGTGTCAGATCTGTTCATCTATTTTTGACATATAAATAGAACCTATCCCTTTTAAATTTTTCAGAGGAGATGAGCATGTGATTATTGTTACCACTTGTCTGGAAGCAACCAGAATGGAGTGGGGAAGACTCAAGGAGGAGATCTTCACAGGACTCACCTCTCATCACAGCTCCCGTGTGGTTGTAATCACCCCAGAGGGAAAAATAATTTCGGTTTTTTATGGTTTAATTATTGGTGATAGCAGCTGTTTTGAAGACACAAACACAGAAGCAAGTTCTAGAACATACTCACAGTTTCCTTGGTCACAGTGTTGTCAGTGGTTCTATAAAGGTCTTATGAATCTCTACTTAGTTGACCACAAGTAGTAAGCAAGAAACAATCCTGTAAAGAGAATGGAGGTCAGAATAAAGAAGCCTTGAGGGTTTAAATCGCTTCTTGAAAAGGTAATAATATTTACTCTTTTAAAAATTATAAACAATACATGTTCCTTTTACAGAAAAAAAAGAAAAAAATAAGGAAACAGGACATAAAACTCATCTGTTATTCCACCATCTAGATACAACTACTGTTAACCCAGGAACACTTAAAGAGTGTTTCATGAATATTTATGTATACATGCAAATATATTTTCTATCGGTCTTAGTTTACAAAACAGGGATCCTATTGTCCTTGCTGTTTTGTGACCTTTTCTTTCATTGAATAAGATATTAATGAATATCCTTTGCCAGTAAATAAACTTCAACTCTGTGGTGGACACATTCTAAGATGATTCCCTTTGATCCCCACCCCCTTGTGTTCTCACCATTGTATAACTGTGTGATCACTCCATTTGAGTGTGGGCTGAACTTCTGACTTACATCCAACCAATTGAATATCACAGTGTTGGGATATCATTTCCAAGATTAGGTTACAAGAAGACTCTATCTTCTTGCTCATGCTCTCTTATTCTCTGGCTTGCTTTCTGCCATGGAGCCAACTGCCATGTCATCAACTGTCTGCCCTACAGAAATGCCCGTGTGTCAAGGAGCTAAGGGAGACCAGCCCAGGAGGAGCTGAATCCTGCCAACAATCACTTGAGTGAACTTGAGAGTGAATCCTCTCCATGTTAAGCCTTGAGGTGATTGTAGCTCCATCAAATACCTTCATTGTAGCCTTGTGAGAGATCTGAGTCAGAGGATGGAGTTAAGCCAAGCCCAGATTCCAGACCCTCAGAAACTGTGAGATAATAAATTTGTTGTTCTAAGCTACTAAGTTTTGGTGTAAAACAGCCATAGATAACTGATACAAATCACATAATTTTTAATAGCTGCTTCATATGTTAATATGTCTGTACCATAATTTACTCAATCTTTTGTTGCTGCACATTTTGGTTATTTTGTTTTGCTATTATAAACAGGGCTGCAATGAATATTATTGTACTTAAACATTGGTACACGTTCTTCTTTCCTAAGGATAAATTCCTTGAAGTAAAATAGCTGGCTTTCAATGGGTATGCATTTTTTTAAAGCTTTTGGTATGTTATTCCCCAATCACTTTCTGTTAGGATTGTATTCATTTACAGTCCTGCTGGCTGTAGTTCAGGTTAATTTCAACTACTTTATCTTGAGTTGTCTCCATGAAAACCAGTTAGAAACCGAAACCAAAGCCCCAAACAAGAAAAGCCCCAAACAAGAACCCAGGAAAGAAAACTAAGGTTGAATCTTGAAAACTATGAGATAAATTTGAAGCTAAACAATTTTCAAAGTACCATTGTTTTGAAATAAGTCTGATAAATTCAACCACCCTCAAATTGTTATTCTTATCTTTCAATGGACACAGAAGTCCTGAAAATGTGGTGATACTCATAGTCTTCACGAACTTTGAAAGGGAAAACAACAATTTCTCTGGTTGAAGTCAACATAACAATAGGCTAGTTTGAAAATCCTGTTTTTTTTCAGTTGCACAAAGGATTGTCAATAAATTCAACTTTTTAAATTACTAAGCTGGATAAACTGAATTCAATAGATTTTTTGGAAGCATTTTGTATACATAGATACCACCACCATTTCCAAATTGCAACCCTTACTGTTGGGGAAGAGTAAATATTTTAATGAATGCTATATATTTTAACAAGCTCTGAACTCTGCGGTTGGTTTAAGCTAAGGGTGCAATTTCAGGCATCTAAATAAGTAAATAAATGAGGAAGAAAATCCATATTAATTGCAGTAATTTGCGGCACTTTCAAATTCTTAATTAAGAAATAAAATAGGATTCATTAGCCATGCCCAGTGTAGATGGCATACATAGATCACCATTATGACCAGACACAAGACCTGAAGTCATTGCCATAAATGAAATAACAGAGAAAAATCACTGGTGCATTATTGGCCAGAATATGCAGGCACAAAGAGGGAGGAGAGAGGGGAGAGAGACACATAAAATGCCTGTCCTCCAAAACCTGGCCTGGGGATTGCATTATCCCAAAACATCTCCCCTGAGCCTGGAATCCTGCCTCCTCCTAATTTTGGGGATTGGTTCCTCCCTCAAGCCTCACACAAAACTTCTCTTAGCCTGTCTGACAACCCTGCCAGTGCTTACTTTTTAAACTTTATCAATCATCTGCCCCAGGTCTTTTGTGTACCTGGACTTCAGGTCTCTTTGTCTGCTTCATTTTCTTAGTGAGTCTTAATATATATATATATATTTTAAAAACTGGGAAGAAGAAAAGAACTTTGGTTATAACCAGAAGCATTCTGACTCATGCTGCTTTTTAAAAATTAAGCATTAAATTAGAGAGAGCACATAATTTACTATTAGAAAAATTGCTTTTGACTGGGACAAATGTTTCTCTGGACAGGGCACCAGACATTAATTGGGACTGTTCCTGGCAATCCAAGATGCTTGGTGCCTCTAATGAAAGCCCATGCAGGCCCCCAGGGGAGGGGGAAGGTGGCAGTGGGCATGAGTTTTCAGGCATGTAAGGGGAGCTCTGCTCTGGTTATGTGGGCTGTGGGGGTAATCTCAATGTGTGCTTGTTTGGAAGAAAGAGCACTGATGTACCTGGCTGTGGGCAGAGATGGCTGGTCATTGTATTCCTGGTGAGAACACAAATGTAGACTATAGGCATGTATCCCTTGGGCCTTCCCTTTCCTGCTGTTCTACCTATCTTAGTGTTGATATCCAGGTAGGCATGAACACTCTGTGGAGACAGGCACGGGCAGGTGTGGGCAGCCAATTGCATTCAGCTCAGCAGTGAGAAGGGTACAGAGTACAGGGCATGAGCAATTTGAAGAGGTCTGGAAACTCAAGGTGAAGAAAGAAAAGAAAGAAAATAATACACTGAAGATCTCTAAAAGAAATTGAAGAATCTTGTCTGGGATTAGACATTGAAAAATTTTGGACAGGTAGCAAAGTTTTTGGTGTTACTTGTAGACTCAAGCAAATCAGAAATGAGCATATACACTTCTCAAAACCTATTATATCTTCATGTGGAAGGCATAAGAATAGTCTGAGACATACTTTTTGTTTTGGGGGCACTTATGGGTTGCTTCCTTAAGTCAAAGGCTCCCTTTCCTTTGAAATGGAAAGCAGAGAGAAAGCTGGACTCTGCTAGCCCTACTTACTGAACCATGCAAATCCTTTCTTGGGGAAGGCCATCCACTATTCCACACCCATGATGAAGACCCTCATGGAATTTACGAGAGGTGCAATAAATGTTCACGTCTTGCAATGTTCCATTTCCCAGAGGATCCTTCCTCCCTGGCCACATCCGGACAGAGTCCAGACCTTTGGGGGCTCAGAGGCCTGTTGCTGTGGGTAATGTGAATGATTATTTCCATTCCTTACCAAAACAGGGGGAGAACAGCATCATTATGCCTTTAATTTTCTGAAGATTTATGGTAAAGCAGATACAGAGCTTTTCCAATTTTAGAAGTAAGACAAAGAGAAACAAATTCAAAATACATCCATAAAAACTGAGGCTAGACACCAGACTAGGAAAAGAAAAACCGACTATATAGAGTTTTCCTGTAGAATTCACTATTTCCTGTGTGCTAGGTACTCTAACTTGGCACAGATAGTGAGTGAGAGTAGTATGCTGACAAGACATAACAAAGGATGAGAAAAAAGTAGGCAGGAGATGTCAGAGCCATGACAAGCCCTGGGAAGTATGCTTTATTACGCTGTTGCAAGGAAGATCAAGGAGAATTCATTGTTAAAGTTCTTTTGAGGACAGGCCTGAAATACAGTTATATCTCAATTATTACATTTGAGAATTGTTTGTTCATTCCTTTATTTATTCATTTTATTATTAGCTATTAATATTAACAAACATTAATTGAGCATTTTCTCTTTGTCAGATATAGCGTTAGGTGCTAGAGATTTAGGGGAGGAAAATTGGGATATACAGCTTTTTAAAAAGAGCTTTACTTTTAAGACAGTGTTGTTAAGATAGCCCTGCCCACTTCCTTTTGAATTTGTTCCAAGACAATAATAATAAGAAACAGAAATGCAAACCTCACCTTTGTTGAGGAAGGGCTGCCAAAAGCAGTAAAGTTCCAACCTAGGGCAGGTAGATGCTGAAAGGTGTCTGCTGCCAAAGACCTCAAGCAAAGCTCGCAGAGCACAGAGTTTGCCAAAGAGGGCAGAACCAACACCGTCTTTTGGGGGTCAACTGGTCTAAGGTGAATGGCTGCCTGTAAAAGCATCCCTGGACTCTTCCATTAAGAAAAGGGGAGGTGGTATAAATAAGAAAACACTTAAAAATTCTATTTAAGCTTGTCTGTTGGGAAGGCAGGTTAGAGAAGATAGGTTCCACTTTAATTGGTCTTGGCAACTGACAATCTCTTTTTTTTTTTCTGGAAAAAGGTAAAGGCTAAATTAACTTGTACACATATCCACACACACAACCTTGTGTGTTGTCAGGCACATCCCTATAAACTAGAGAGATGCTACTGGATGACATTATAGGCTGGCTCTTCACGCCTTCCTTTTTCTGCAAAATAGCTGGTTAAGAAAGAGCTTATCTCAGTCAAATATGAGCCAGAATTAAACAGAAACCATCAGAAGAACTCTACAAAGATATTGCAAGAAAAGAAGGTAATGATAAAAGGAAACAGACAAAGAACAAGTACCAAATTGTGTTACCATCAAGCTAAAGGAAACTGTGCCAAGCAAACTATCATAGACAGTGGCTGGCAAGATGGCTGCATAGAAACAGCTCCAGTCTGCAGCTCTCAGTGAGATCAGTACAGAAGGCAGGTGATTTCTGCATTTCCAACTGCGGTACCCAGCTCATCTCATTGGGACTGGTTAGACAGTGGATCCAGCCCATTTAGGGCGAGCAGAAGCAGGGTGGGGCGTTGCCTCACCTGGGAAGCACAAAGGATCAAAGAACTCCCTCTTCTATTCAAGGGAAGCCATGAGGGACTGTGCCTTGAGGAACAGTGCATTCTGGCTCAGATACTATTCTTTTCCCATGGTCTTTGCAACCCACAGACCAGGAGATTCCCTTGGGTGCCTACACCACCGGGGCCCTGGGTTTCAAGCACAAAAGTAGGTGGTTGTTTGGGCAGACACCAAGCTAGCTGCAGGAGTTTTTCTTCATACCCCAGTGGCACCTGGAACGCCAGTGAGACAGAACCATTCACTTCCCTGGAAAGGGGGCTGAAGCCAGGGAGCCAAGTGGTCTAGGTCAGCGGATCCCACCCCTATGGAGCCCAGCAAGCTAAGATCCACTGGCTTGAAATTCTTGCTGCCAGCACAGCAGTCTGAAGTCAGCCTGGGATGCTCGAGGTTGGTTGGGGTAAGGGCATCCGCCATTACTGAGGCTTGAGTAGGTGGTTTTCCTCTCACAGTATAAACAACGCCACCAGGAAGTTTGGACTCAGTGGAGCCCACCGCAGCTCTACAAAGCTGCTGTAGCCAGACTGCTTCTCTAAATTCCTCCTCCCTGGGCAGGGTATCTCTGAAAGAAAGGCAGCAGCCCCAGTCATGGGCTTATAGATAAAACTCCCATCTCCGTGGGACAAAGCACCTGGGGGAAGGGGTGGCTGTGGGTGCAGCTTCAGTAGACTTAAATGTTCCTGCCTGCCGACTCTGAAGAGATCAGCAGATCTCCCAGCACAGCACTTGAGCTCTGCTAAGGGACAGACTGCCTCCTAAAGTGGGTCCCTGACCCCCATGCCTTCTTACTGGGAGATGCCTCCTAGCAGGGGTCGACAGACACCTCATACAGGAGAGCTCCGGCTGGCATCTTGTGGGTACCCCCCTGGGACAAAGCATCCAAAGGAAGGAACAGGCAGCAATCTTTGCTGTTGTGCAGCTTCCACTGGTGATACCCAGGCAAACAAGGTCTGGAGTGGACCTCCAGCAAGCTCCAGCAGACCTGCTGCAGAGGGGCCTGGCTGTTAGAAGGAAAACTAACAAACAGAAAGGAATAGCATCATCATCAACAAAAATGATGTCCACACAAAAACCCCATCCAAAGGTCACCAACATCAAAGACCAAAAGTAGATAAATCCATGAAGATGAGGAAAAACCAGTGCAAAAAGGCTGAAAACTCCAAAAACCAGAACTCCTCTTCTCCAAAGGATCACAACTCCCCGCCAGCAAGGGAATAAAACTGGATGGAGAATGAGTTTGATGAATTGACAGAAGTAGGCTTCAGAAGGCGGGTAATAACAAACTCCTCCAAGCTAAAGAAGCATGTTCTAACCCAATGCAAGGAAGCCAAGAACCTTGAAAAAAGGTTAGAGGAATTGCTAACTAGAATAACCAGTTTAGAGAAGAACATCAATGACCTGACGGAGCTGAAAAACACAGCACAAGAACTTCATGAAGCATACACAAGTATCAATAGCCGAATCGATCAAGTGGAAGAAAGGATATCAGAGATTGAAGATCAACTTAATGAAATAAAGGATGAAGACAAGATTAGAGAAAAAGGAATGAAAAGGAACAAACAAAGCCTCCAAGAAATATGGGACTATGTGAAAAGACCAAACCTACGTTTGACTGGTGTACCTGAAAGTGATGGGGAGAATGGAACCAAGTTGGAAAACACTCTTCAGGATATTGTTCAGGACAACTTCCCCAGCCTCGCAAGGCAGGCCAACATTCAAATTCAGGAAATACTGAAAATGCCACAAAGATACTTCTCAAGAAGAGCAACCCCAAGAAACATAATCATCACCTTCACCAAGGTTGAAATTAAGGAAAAAATGTTAAGGGCAGTCAGAGAGAAAGGTCGGGTTACCCACAAAGAGAAGCTCACCAGACTAACAGCAGATCTCTCTGCAGAAACCTTACAAACCAGAAGAGAGTGGGGGCCAATATTCAAAATTCTTAAAACAAAGAGTTTTCAATCCAGAATTTCATATCCAGCCAAACTAATCTTCATAAGAGAAGGAGAAATAAAATCCTTTACAGACAAGCAATTGCTGAGAGATTTTGTCACCACCAGGCCCGCCTTACAAGAGCTCCTGAAGGAAGCACTAAATATGGAAAGGAAAAACCGGTACCAGCCACTGCAAAAACATACCAAATTGTAAAGACCATCAATACTATGAAGAAACTGCATCAACTAATGGGCAAAATAACCAGCTATCATGATAATGACAGGATCAAATTCACACATAACGATATTAACCTTAAATGTAAATGGGCTAAATGTCCCAGTTAAAAGACACAGGCTGGAAAATTGGATAAAGAGTCAAGACCAATTACTGTGCTGTATTCAGAAGACCCATCTCATGTGCAAAGACACACATAGGCTCAAAATAAAGGGATGGAGGAAGATTTACCAAGCAAATGGAAAGCAAAAAAAGCAGGCGTTGCAATCCTAGTCTCTGATAAAACAGACTTTAAACCAACAAAGATAAAAAAAGACAAAGAAGGGCATTACATAATGGTAAAGGGATCAATGCAACAAGAAGAGATAACTATCATATATATATATATATATATATATATATATATATATATATATATATCCTAAATATATATATATATATATCCTAAATATATATATAACCTAAACATATATCTATATCTATATCCTAAATATATATCCTAAATATATGCACCCAATACAGGAGCACCCATATTCATAAAGCAAGTTCTTAGAGACATACAAAGAGACTTAGACTCCCACACAATAATAGTGTATTAACACCCCACTGTCAATATTTGACAGATCAATGAGACAGAAAATTAACAAGGATATTCAGGACTTGAACTCAGCTCTGGACCAAGCAGACATCTAAAGAACTCCCCACCCCAAGTCAACAGAATATACATTCTTCTCAACACCACATCGCACTTATTCTAAAATTGACCACATAATTGGAAAACCCTCCCTCAGCAAATGCAAAAGAACAGAAATCATAACTGTCTCTCAGACCACAGTGCAATCAAATTAGAACTCAGGATTAAGAAACTCACTCAGAACTGCACAACTATGTGGAAACTGAACAACCTGCTCCTGAATGAATACTGGGTACATAACGAAATTAAGGCAGAAATAAATAAGTTCTTTGAAACCAATGAGAAGAAAGACACAACATACCAGGATCTCTGGGACACAGCTAAAGCAGTGTTTAAAGGGAAATTTATAGCATTAAATGCCCACAGGAGAAAGTGGGAAAGATCTAGAGTCGACACCCTTACATCACAATTAAAAGAACTAGAGAAGCAAGAGCAAACAAATTCAAAAGCTAGCAAAAGACAAGAAATAACTAAGATCAGAGCAGAATTGAAGGAGATAGAGACACAAAAAACCCTTCAAAAAATTAATGAATCCAGGAGCTGGTTTTTTGAAAAGATTAACAAAATAGATAGACTGCTAGCCAGACCAATAAAGAAGAAAAGAGAGAAGAATCAAATAGACACAATAAAAAATGATAAAGGAGATATCACCACTGAACCTACGGAAATGCAAACTACTATCAGAGAATACTATAAACACCTCTATGCAAATAAACTAGAAAATCTAGAAGAAATGGATAAATTCCTGGACACATACACCCTCCCAAGACTAAACCAGGAAGAAGTTGAATCCCTGAATAGACCAACAACAAGTTCTGAAATTGAGGCAATAATTAATAGCCTACCAACCAAAAAAAGCCCAGGACCGGATGGATTCACAGCTAAATTATACCAGAGGTACAAAGAGGAGCTGGTACCACTCCTTCTGAAACTATTCCAAACAGTAGGAAAAGAGGGACCCCTCCCTAACTCATTTTACTGGGCCAACATCATCCTGATACCAAAACCTGGCAGACACACAACAAAAAAAGAAAATTTCTGGCCAATATCCCTGATGAACATTGATGCAAAAATCCTCAATAAAATACGGGCAAACCAAATCCAGCAGCACATCAAAAAGCTTATCCGCCACGATCAAATGGGCTTCAACCCCGGGATGCAAGGGGGTTCAATATACACAAATCAATAAACGTAATCCATCACATAAACAGAATCAATGACAAAAACCACATGATTATCTCAACAGATGCAGAAAAGGCCTTCAATAAAATTCAACACCCATTCATGCTAAAAACTCCCAATAAACTAGGTATTGATGGAATGTATCTCAAAATATTAAGAGCTGTTTATGAAAAACCCACAGCCAATATCATACTGAATGGGCAAAAACAGGAAGCATTTCCTTTGAAAACTGGCACAAGACAAGTATGCCCTCTCTTACCACTCCTATTCAACATAGTATTGGAAGTTCTGGCCAGGGCAATCAGGCAAGAGAAAAAATAAAGGATATTCAAATAGGAAGAGAGGAAGTCAAATTGTTTCTGTTTGCAGATGACATGATTGTATATTTAGAAAACCCCATCATCTCAGCCCAAAATCTCCTTAAGCTGATCAGCAACTTCAGCAAAGCCTCAGGATACAAAATCAATGTGCAAAAGTCACAAGCATTCCTATACATCAATCATAGACAAACAAAGAGCCAAATCATGAGTGAACTCCTGTTCGCAACTGCTACAAAGAGAATAAAATATCTAAGAATCCAACTTACAAGGGATGTGAAGGACCTCTTCAAGGAGAACTGCAAACCACTGCTCAAGGAAATAAGAGAGGACACAAAAACAAATGGAAAAACACTTGATGCTCATGGATAGGAAGAATCAATATTATGAAATGGCCATACTGCCCAAAGTAATTTATAGATTTAATGCTATCCCCATCAAGCTACCATTGGCTTTCTTCTCATAATTAGAAAAAACTACTTTAAATTTCACATGGAACCAAAAAAGAGCCCATGTAGCTAAGACAATCCTAAGCAAAAAGAACAAAGCCGGAGGCATGATGCTACCTGACTTCAAACCATACTACAACGCTACAGTAACCAAAACAGCATGGTACTGGTACCAAAGCAGATATATAGACCAATGGAACAGAACAGAGGCCTCAGGAGTAATGCCACACATCTACAACCATCTGATCTTTGACAAACCTGACAAAAACAAGCAATGGAGAAAGGATTCCCTATTTAATAAATGGTGTTGGGAGAACTGGCTAGCCATATGCAGAAAACTGAACCTGGACCCCTTCCTTACACCTTATACAAAAATTAATTTAAGATGGATTAAAGACTTAAATGTAAGACCTAAAACCACAGAAACCCTAGAAAGAAACCTAGGCATTACCATTCAGGACATAGGCATGGGCAAAGACTTCATGACTAAAACACCAAAAGCAATGGCAACAAAAGCCAGAATTGACAAATGGGATCTAATTAAATTAAAGAGCTTCTGCACAGCAAAAGAAACTATCATCAGAGTGAACAGGCAACCTGCAGAATGGAAGAAAATTTTTGCATTCTATCCATCTGACAAAGGGCTAATATCCAGAATCTATAAGAAACTTAAACAAATTAAGAAGAAAAAAACACACAACCCCATCAAAAAATGGGCGAAGGATATGGACAGACACTTCTCAAAAGAAGACATTTATGTGACCAACAAACATATGAAAAAAAGCTCATCATCACCGGTCATTAGAGAAATGCAAATCAAAACCACAATGCGATACCATCTCACACCAGTTAGAATGGCTATCATTAAAAAGTCAGAAAACAACAGATGCTGGAGAGGATGTGGAAAATAGGAATGCTTTTACACTGTTGGTGGGAGTGTAAATTAGTTCAACCACTGTGGAAGACAGTGTGGCGATTCCTCAAGGATCTAGAACCAGAAATACCATTTGACCCAGCAATCCCATTACTGGGTATATACCGAAAGGATTATAAATCATGCCACTATAAAGACATATGCATACGTGTATTTACTGCAGCACTATCCACAATAGCAAAGACTTGGAACCCACCCAAATGCCCATCAATGATAGACTGGATAAAGAAAATGTGGCACAAATACACCACGGAATACTATGCAGCATGAAAAAGAATGAGTTCATGTTCCTTGCGGGGACATGGATGAAGCTGGAAACCATCATTCTCAGCAAACTAACACAGGAACTGTAAACCAAACACTGCATATTCTCACTCATAAGGGGGAGTTGAACAACGAGAACACATGGACACAGGGAGGGGAACATCTCACACCATGGCCTGTCATGGGGTCGGGGGCTAGGGGAAGGATAGCATTAGGAGAAATACCTAATGTAGATGATGGGTTGATGGGTGCAGCAAACCACCATGGCACGTGTATACCTATGTAACAAACCTGTACATTCTGCACATGTACCCCAGAACTTAAAGTATAATAAAAAAAACTATTATAGACAAACATACAAATAAAAAAACAACAAGCCTCAATGAAACAAATCATTATATAAAATAAAATATCAAGAAAGACATGTCCAGACAACTGAAAGAGCAAAAAATGAGCTAGCAGAGCTCAGGAAAGTTGTAAAGGAGAAAAAAAGAGTCATCACCAAAATTAGGGACCCATCAGCAGCAACAAGACGGTGAAAAGAAACTGCTCAAGACACAAAAACAGACTTAAGAACAGGATTGATCAAGTGAGCAGAACACATGAAAATGGATAGTTAAAAAGGAATAAGAAAGAACATGATAGAAATGGAAGATAAAATAGATACAATAGATCTATGCTTATGCATAAATGTAGTATTTGAAGAATACTAAAAAATATAGAATAGAAAATGTATTTGGAGAAGTATAATTTCAAAACGGTTTTCAAAAATAAAATATTTAAATCTGCCTACAAAGCAAGGCAAAACAAACAAAACATAAACCGTCTCAGGAAAAATTGATACAGAAATGATACCCAATGGTAAAGAAAGACTCTCTTGCCATCCCAACAAACAAAAAGCGAAACAAACAAAAGAAAACCAAGATCAAAACCAGAATTTATTTTTCAAGGGGGAAAATTAGGTTGGTGCCAGAGTTTTCCATAGCAACATGATGCTTATAAAACCTCACTAAGAACAAATAAGAAACAGTAAAAATGTGTTAAACTCAAACTGTTGTTCAAGTACAAATGCTTCACCACACATCCTAATAATGCAGAAAATGCATTTATCTGATCTCATCTTGAAGAAACTGGAGGCTGAAATTTAACTAATCAGTAGAAAATGAAGAAACTATGGCAGAAGAACTGGTGGTGGGTTGTTAATGACTTTAGGATTACAACACACACACACACACAAACTGGAAATTATGATTTGAGAACACAATGTAAATATTAATGAACTATAATAACATTTTAAAACACTGAAACTAAAAAAAATTCAGAAGTTGAAGGGAATGAGAAGGTAGCCAAGGGTCAAAGGTTACCACTTAGTGCTAAAGAATCAAATAGAAGGAAATGTTTATTAAAAAGTATAAGGTTGAGATTAGCAGAAATATCATCATCATCATCATCGTCATCATCATGATTAATTAAAATTCGGTAAGAGTAGAAAAATGAGAGGCTACAGAAGAGGAACTATACACATGTCATTATCTTGCAGAGCTGACAGTCAATAGCTAGTAAGGATACAGAGGATTAAATATATTGTATAAACTATCAGAAAGATAAACAATAAAGAATGAAAAATGTTAAAACCTTCCCAACTATCTCTATGAACCTACACACAAACCAAATTAAAATATAACAAACCATAACTGTTAGTGAAAGATAAAAAGAGGCAATAGAGGCAGAAAGTATGTGATGTCTAAACTGAGTACAAACACATCTATGACATTAAAAAATATAAAAGTAAAAATGTATCAGTCAAAATAAATAGATTCTCCATTTAAGTTACAATGTAAAGAACAATTTTGTGCTATGAGCAAAAGACACAATTAAAATAAAGTGACTGGAAAGTTGAAAACAAAAGGAAGGAAAAAGGCAAGCAAGCAAATCAAAACAAAACTAGAAATCTTAGTTTTAATATCAGGCATGTATCAGACAGGTTGAGTACAGGGCTCAAAACAGTAAATGACACAAAGATAGAAACTTTATTGAAACCTGCAATGATGATCTAAACATTATAAATATTTATGCACCAAAAAAACATAGCAACAGCTTTTATTAAGCTAAAAGGCAGTACATATAAAAACAAAAGGCAGGAGATGTATAAAGAGTAAGAGAGCAATACAATTCCTTCAGTTTAAAGATATCAGAATACTTTTAGAGTCACATTACACTTCATTTGGGGATTTTCTCTACTTTTCAACTCGCTGTATTTTTACAAACAGCTATAAAAGAATTGACAGTATCTTCTCCCTGCTACCATTCCTTTCATAGCTCCCCATATCTGCTGCATAAGTCCAAGTTCCTTTATAATGTGTCCCTGCCTACTTCTCTAGTGTTCTCCCACTCTTCAGGTGTTCACAGACATGCCCCACACTGGGAGCTTTCCTTTTCACACCTCCTTGCCTTTGCCTTGGTCCATGCCGTTTCCTTTCTCTGGATGCTCTTCACTCCCTCTGAAAGTAGGTGGACATAATTTTTAAGACTTCACAAACATGTCACTTCCTCTGGGGAGCCTTCTTTGCCTCCAACCCCCACCAGGCACAGGAAACAATTAATACATGCTTACACCACACTGGCACTAACCCAGTTCCTTGGGATCAAGACAAGAGAGATACCTTTGCTCCACCTCATCCTTCATTCCCCACACGTAATTAGGTACAAAGGCCTGCCAGTTGTTCCCTATTGTTTTTCATTTCTTCTATAACCACCTGACTGTCACCCCTGTATCCCTGAGCTCCTCTTCTCTGAGTATTTTGTGGAAGCATCACCCTCTCCTGTTGATTCAGCATCTGCCCTTGCATCCATCTTCTTAAGTAACACTTGGTCAATCAGCTCCTTTGTTCCAGGGTCTCCAGTGGGTTCCCTTTCCTTTATGATCAATTCTTTCATCTGATTTCAAGGCTTTCGGAGCCTGGACATGATGCCCTTTCCTAAATAATTGTCCATTATTACCATCTTACACACCGTTCCATCCACACTGACCATCCTTCCAACAATGCCATGGACACATACCATCTCTATGGCCATCCTGACCTGTACCATAATCACCTTTCTCATGTTCTTCCTGCTTTTCTTCCCTACATATCCAAATCCTGCTTCAAGGGCAACAGAGGGGCAACCTCCGCTTCCCCTCCAGCCCATCAGGCCACAAATCTCTGCCCTGAGCTCTTGTGACATTTATTATCAACACCTCAGCTTGGCTTTTATCTTAATTCATGCTGTGAGTTGCACTTTACTGTACATGCTTTATCTCATCAGATACACTTGACACCTCAGGGATTATGTCTTGTGCTTCTTCTATATTATCTTTGATATCTTACAAGGGGTCGAGAATATAGTAGGTGCTCAGCAATTATATATTCTTTTTAAAAACATAGAATCCATTGCTTTTGTACATGTCATTTAGCAGGATGCCAGTGCATTTGAATCCTAAGCCTTAACCTCTTTCACGGCTTCTTCCCTTCCAGGTTAGAGTGACCCAATTTCTAACCATCATTTTCTAATTATTCAGCTAGGCTAATTAATTACAATGGAGTTGCTTAATATTTTAAAAACTGCTGCCCTTCCATTATCTCAGTGGGCCTTCACATGATACGGTGTTGCAGGCAATGCAGGGATTGTTGGCTTAATTTTACAAATAGGAAAATAAAGTCACGAGTCCAAGACCACACAGTATGTCACTGGCACAAGGGAGGTCAGACTGCCTAGCTTCTGCTTGTTGTCCCTTATTCTTTACACCAGAACAAGCTCTGCCCCTTTGCTAAGTTTCCAGAACTCTAGATGATTAAATGCATTTTGAAAGCATTGATTTTTGCTAAAATGTTTCCTTATTTTGCTTTTGATTTCTCCCTCCCAGTGAAGATACTGCCTCTTCCTTGATGGTTAGCATCCTTTTTCTTCCATGAATGATGGCTCCACTCTATCCTCCTTTTGTTCTCTTTGCCTGAGTTTCCATTTAGCCCCACCAGCCCCTGGAGAACCATTCTGGCTTAATGCCTCCTGCATCCTTTCAAATTGTTCTTGTTTCTTAGCTCGGGATTTCCTGCAGGGCTGGCCTTCTCAGCAAATGAAGATCCTCCAGCGGAAGGCACTACTCCTGACCAAGGTTCTTGATCCTGCTGGGAGGTGGGGGTGGTGGCTGGTAGAGGAGAGGGTGCAGCCCTGCCTTGATTCTCTGGGAATACAGGCAGGTGGCTGTGCTGATGCAGTTCTGGTGAGCCCTGGAACTTGCCTGTACCTCATTTTGTTCTGACCAGCCCCTCTCTCCCCATACCTCCCACACTGTCTTTAGAATGATCTACCTCCACCTCCTCCAGGACAGCTAATTCACAGTGTGTTTTTTTTGTTCTCTACGTTATATGTATCACTTTTTAATTTGTCTGTGGGAGAGGGTGGAGTGGGTTGGTAACATTTACCGATGTCCTGGACTGAGTAGGAATTACCTTATATTATGTATCTTGAATGGATGCTGGAGTCACCCTTTAGCATAACTGTCCATTAGGTAAAATGAGTTTTCAGTTGTCTCAATCCCAGTAGTGTATATCTATTAGTTTTGTTTCCCTTCCTGTCCCTATGACCCTGAAGGGGACAAGGTAACCCAGCCTGAGTACAGATGGAACCTCAACTTCCTGGCTGCTGGGTTGGCCTGAGAAGAGATGGGCACGTGACCCAAGCCAGACCAGTCAGAGTCCTTCTCTGTGAGTTTCAAGGGGAGCTGGATAGAGGAAGCCAGCTTTCCTCTCTGGCTATTAAACTGTCAGGATATGAGGTTGCAGGGGCTGATGCCAAACCTCAACAACAGCCAATATGGGGGAAATGACATAACATCCGCAGAGAAACATAAATGGGGATTGAGGGATGGGTGATACTAGAACTCCAATACCAGTTATTCGTGAGGCCAGCTCCCACCCCTGGGTTTTAAGGAGCTTGGCTATATGAGCCTGTAAATTACCTTCTACTGCTGGAGCCAGTTTGATCTGTTAATTGCAATCAAGAAAATCCTGTCTAATATAATCCCTTTCTGTTGGTGACTTCTCCCATCACAAGTCCCATATGCTCTGTGCCGTCCCTGGCTACCCCAAACTGAGTGTCCTTACACTCAGCATCACTGTGGGTTCATTGGGGGTTGATTCCTGTCTGCTTAGATACCCCAAAAGTCACACCCACATGGACATTGTGTCATCATCAGTAGATAAGAAATAAAATACACATGTCCCTGAAAGAATTAGAGCTCCGCGGGAGAAGGGTTCTCTACCTGCTTTGTTAACAGATGTGCCCATCTGTCTAGGTGGGGCCAGGCACACAGTGGGCACATGAAGAATATTTGCTGAATGGAGGAATCAGTGAATGTGGTAATTTATTCATTCACAGGGGTATACAGGGTGCTTGGCTGCCTCTCTTTTTCTGCTCAGTCATCTCCAATCACTGCCCATTGCATTCCGAATTTAACTCTCTCTTTTATTTACCCTCAATCTACTTGGCTGGCCTTCTCTCTTATGACTACCCTACTTGTTCAAAGAACCTCCTAGTGTGCAGCAGGATGTTAGGTCACCTGAGTTTTTGGTCTGTCTCTGTGGACTCTGTGCCTTGGCTTGGGTGATTCCATCTATCTAGGATGCATCTTCTCTCTGTACTTCACAATCCCACATTTTGAACTCATGCCTCAAGGCCCAGCTCAGATGGAACTCATGCTCTATTCCTCTCATTCAGAAAGAATCTCACATGCTGCTCAGCTTTGCTAGCACATTCTTCAGCCTTCATGCTCTCTAACTTGTACTGATACCAGTTACTGATGCACATGCCCTCCCTTCTCTGGCAGACTCTAGGTTTCCTGGGTGCAGGCCTCCTTCTGCCTCTCTTTGTCTTTGTCCATCATCTTTTCCCTCTACCCCCTTCTTTTCTACCACACCCCTCTGTACTCATAGTCAACCATATCCTAGCAGTCTCACACAAAGTGGATGTCCAGGTAATATAATACATGAATAAATCTGTGTAAATTAGTGCAAAACGATCAACTGTGACCTGACCGAGATAAGCACATAGAATCAGGCTGCAGGGCTCGTTGCAAATTGGGGATAATAATCCTCACTTTCTCCCATCACAAATCCCATATGCTCTATGCCACAGACCTTGTGGGGCATGGCTGATAAAATCTATAGTTTAACCCAATGCCCAGCATTATTTAAAGCACTCAGTAAGTGTTGGTTGTTGTTTTTGTTATTAACAGGTCTTGGGCTACCTAGGAAGTCAGGAGGACACTTTTTTTTTTTCTGTCCAGCAGACATCTCTTATATTTGCAACGTGACACTTTTCTCCATTTTATACTTAGCAATGTGGTTTCCAACGCATCCATGCCCTTCCAGAGTCCTCCCCTATGGCTGTCTCTCAGCCAGCCAGGCAGTTGGCTGCTCCTCCCGTCATAGCTTACCCCTCGCCACAGCTGCTCTACCTCTAGGAAAGCATTTCCTGGGTCAGGTGGGCTCCTAGCTGACTGATTTTGGGAGTCCATTGTCCCAGGCATGCTTTCATGGTTTTCTTGAGATAGGGCCCTGAGGAAGGGAGGAGGAGAAGGATGGATGGATGCATGCATGGATGGATGGATGAAGGGAGGGAGGGAGGCTTCGGGCCCAGGTCTGGGATGACAAGATACTTTCTGCTTTGGGAGGCCAGAGGAGGAGGGAAGAAAAGATCACCTCCATCATGGACTACTGGCCCATGCCCTTCACTGCCCTGTCCTGGGCCTTGGAGAGATGATAGAAAATTGGGATGGGAGGCAAGCCTGGCTGCTTTCACAAAACCCTCTTTGTTACCACAACTGCCAACAGTGCAGCTCCATGAGGAAATGGAGCTGTTTGGGTGCTTTCTTTTATTTTCCCCTCTGCACACATATGCAATTGATTCTGGAGGCACTGCTTCTCTCACTGAACCCCCAAATATCTCCAGAGGTTTGCAAGGGGATGACACTGTGACAGAGATAGTGTTTTCTTCTCTCCGTTTCTTTCTGCATTTCTCTCTCTCTCTGACCCTCCTCTGTCTCACTCTGTATGTGTTTTTTCTCTCTTTAGCTGGTACCTGTGTGACCACCATCTCTTGTCTTCCTATTATTTCTCTAGCTGTCCCTTCCATTGTCTGTTTCTGTCTCTCTCCTTCTGAGGCTGCCCCTTTCCTTGTGCCCTTCCCTACTTCTCTCCTGCCTGCCTGCATTTTGGCTTTCCTTCTCACTGCCATGATGCTGTCACGGTGAGAAGGGGACAATCTATCTGTCAGAGACAGGCTCTACCAACCTCCACCATCTCTCTCCTGCTGCCGGCAATTATCTGGAGGTTGGCATTGGGCCCAGAAACTGCCGCTTGTACCACCCCACGGCTCAGGGCCTGCTCCTCCACACCAGCCCCCTTGGAGGATCACTTGGTGCCGTGCCCAGGATGCGACAACCTGCAAAGGTCACACGCACTCCCAAGAAGATGGACTGCTCTACGAGTGGAACTGACAGTGGGCAGATTTGCAAATGTCCCTCTAGACTTTCTAGCATTCCACAAAGGCAGGCAAAGAGCAGCAAAAAATAGAAATTACACGAAATTACGCACAGCACTGGCCCTCTCCACCTGAACATCTGCCACTCATGCCGGGCTTTATTTCTTTGCTTCTTTTTTTCAAAAGTGGCTTTTGAATCTATCTTATTTGACACAATATAACTAATTCATCCACAAGACTTCATTGAACGTTGACAGTACGCTAGGTACCAGGTGGGAGCTGACCTTACATTTATAGGATGCTGTGCAGTTCTGTAAACAGAGTCACAGCTATGACCTGACACACTCTCTCTCAGAGGTCCATGGGGTTTCAGAGCTGACAGAGACTTGTGAGGTTATTTAATCCAAACCATTTATCTCAGAGATGGGAAATTTGAGGTCCAGAGAAGCTAAGTTACCCTAAATCAGACAGTTAGTTGGTAGCAAAGACCAGACAAGAACTCAGATATTTAGGTTCCTGAGGAAATGTTCGTTTTACTCTTCACCCCACTACTTCTGTTGGGTAGACATGGTGGAATTATTATCCTTTAACAAGGGAGGAAACTGAGCTTCCAGGAAGACAAATGATTCTGCCCAGACCATTTGGTTGTTAGGCGTTAGCGTTCTTGTATCTCATTTATTTTAAAGTATGTTCTTCCAACCAGTCTACTAACCTTGCAAAACATCCTGGTAATCAGAAAAATTAGAAATAGGGTGGGCAGGGCTAATCCTCCTGGACTGATTTGAGCCTTTTCAGCTGGCTCTGAGCAGGGACACTGCTTTCATCAATACGGAGGCAAAGCCCTGTCATAAAGTGCTTAATCATGTTCAACGAGCCTTTTGCCAAGGGTCTGCCATGTGTCACGGGCTTATTACATGGCAGGTTAGCCCATATCCACACACTCTCACTAGGAGATCTTCATGTCCATAGGGTTCAGTGACTAGCTCACCACCTGCCCACTAGGGATTCACCTCTGTGCACTGTGGTACTGCCTCATGCAACACTGGGAAAACCCCAGCCAGAAACGGAAGCATGCACACACACAAAAAGATGACTGAAGGATTCTAGAATGTCCTACAAACCTGGCTACAACCACCCATGCTCCCTGCATGTGTCAAATGTGAAGATGTAGATAAATGGCCTTGCTTTTCGCAATGTGGCCTTTACGTAATAATGGCAGCTGTCATTTATCGAGCATCTACAGTGCATGAGATGCTATGTTAGAGGCTCCCCCCTCATCATCTCCCTTAATCCTCACCATCACCCCATTAAGTAGGGATCATCTTTGTCATCTGTGTCCCTAACTGAACATTTGGGAGACCAACGTCACACAGCTGGTGGGTCAAGCTGCTGGGTGTCGTGTTCAGGCTTTCAAATGACAAAGCTTATCACTGCTCCACACCAGGCTACCCAACTGCCTCCCCCTTTGCCCAATTTACAGGGAACCCAGATTAAGGTAGCAAAGGGAGTACAGGCTTTCTACAGTGAACTCATGGTCCCTGGTTCATGGAAGAAAGGGACAGCAGAGCCACCATGTGAGTAGGAGAAGATGGAACTGGTTATTGCGTCAGGGGTTGGGGTGGGCTGAACCTGCCTGTATACTTCCTGGGCTTCCAAAGATATTCTGTATCAGAGCACATTATAAGAATGGACATTGATCACTCCGAGGGAAACAAAAAGTTAACATACATTCAGCATATTTCGTTTTAAAAGGAGAGAAATCATCATAATGGTGTCATGATAATAGAGGCCATATATTGAGTGCTTAGCAGGTGACAAGCAGTTTGCTAAGTGCCTCACTTCTATTTTACAAAAATCTGCAAAGTAGGCATTCTCCCATTTTGCAGGTGAGGAAATTAAAGTCCAAAGATGTTAAAACAAAACAAAAAAATTAAAAAAAATGCAAAACCAGATTGATTCAGATTGTAACTGTAGAACTGGGATTCAAGTGTCAAGCCGCCTGTTTCCAAAGCTGCTCCATCTACCACGTGGCTCTCAAGGAAGTATACACTGCTGATTAGAAAGCTTTCCTACTAAATAATTAAAATTTCAGAATTATCCCTGTACTTAAAGGGATACATTTCAATTACCTGGAACAGTCACTGAGGCAGAACAGCCTCCCTGACTACACTCTTTCTCTGCTCCGTTTCAAATCACATATCTCAGAACCCTCAGACTCTAGTGGACAATATATGCCTCCTGCCTGGCAGCATCACGAGGGGACCCTAAAGCTAGGGAATTTATGGGCCCTGCTAGACAGTGTACAAGTCCCTTGCCTGCTCGGAATGCAAGTCTCTGGCCCGTGGACTCTCCATGGAAACCAGGGCTTGGTTCCCGCAAGTTGGCTGGCTCTAAAAGTCTATGCCTTTTGTACTGAGGTTTTATTTTCCTTTTTGATGCTGTTATGGGGGACAGTTGAAGAGGAAATTCCCTGTAGTTCAACAGAATCTAGATTTATAGAGTAGTATGAAAATATTTGCCCTGTGTTTGAAACTGCTGAAGAGGGAAAAAGAAACGTTGTTTTCTATGGAATTATGAAAACAGAAACATTGATTGGTTTTGTTTGGGGTTTTTCACTCATTCAATGATAACTTGATGTTTTCTGGTGCTTGGAGAGGGCCAGGTTTCTTCCAGGTAGCACTGGCAACTAGGAAAACTGTGCAGTTTGTTTCTTACGCTTTCTGCTCCACCCTCTGCATCCCTCCTACCACGTCTTCCCTTTTCAATTCCCACCTGCAATAATCCCAGGCCCCACATCACCTCAGACTCTCCCAGGGAGGAAAACAATCTAGCATTAATTCACAGTATTTACGAAGAATTGATGAGTTGCAATCTTTTATAAATTGTTGTCTCTTTTTAAAAAATGCTGAAGATGAGTAATTCTCCTTAACCCAAATATATGATTATGCTCAAACGATGCAATTTTAGGCACTTGTGAGAGAAGTAAGTTTGGGCAGAATTTCAAGGCCTTTTTGTTGCCCTTCATGTCATATCACACAGGCAATGATGGGCTCTGTCTAAATATGAGGCTGATTCTGACTGTGCACATGGATTTTGCTTCAGAACGACCTCTTTACAGAGCTGAAACTATTCTAGGCACTTTGATCTCAAATATCTATGGGAGCCTTTCTAGCAGACTGGAGGGACAGGTCCCAGAGCTTTGTTCCATAAAATAGATGAGGTTCTAAGGAATAGATTGTAGTCTAGAGCTTCTAAAAGATGGTCAGGATGCTGTCCTTTGCAGGGGAGGAAGAAAGAGAAATGCAATTCTCACTAATTAATTGCTCAATTACACCCAACCTAGGCAGCTCCTATCCACCTAGGTTCATCCTCACATGGTCCAGTGTTCCCTAATGCAAAGGAGTATCTCTGAAAGGTAACCACAATGATGCTTTCCCCAATGCAAGTTTTCCCAATGCAATACAAGATTCTAGTAGGCTTAGGTTTACCTCTGTTTGAGCCACTGTGACCTGCAATTTTCAGTATTGGGAAAAGTAAGAAACTGAAGGACATGGGAAAGGTGGAGTAGAAAATAGAAAATAGGGGCAAATTGGGTGGAAGGGAGGAGTGAGTTTTGGGGGGCAATGAAAAGGAATTGTAGAAAATAATCTTGGCCTCAGATGGCCTTTGTGAGGGAGTGGGAGCTGAGATCTCATAGGAAAGGTTGGGTCAGGTGCCTGGACTTAGGACACCAGGTATTGAGAAGGGGTTCATACAACACCTACTCAGCTTCACCAAACAAGTCAAATAAAGGTGAGTCAAAGCCTTTTTTCCTTCCAGCTTCTAAGTCACACTGTGAAACCCAGGAGGCAGAAGCCAATAAAATCTTAAAGACACCCAAGGTCAAGGCCTACTCATTTTAAGTGCTTCTTAGGGTGAATATTTTCTGCCACAAAGCAAAATGGATTTACATGTATCGCATTAAAACTGCAGGGGAGGAAGAACATGAAAAGTTGCCAAGGAGAGAGGGATTGTAAATGGAATTAATAGTACAGAACTCATTAGGGCCCATTATTACTAATTTAAGATACATGAAATGTTAGTGATATTTCCTTTATTTAGCACGTAGCATTTGTTGTTGGGTAGAGTGAACTTTATTAAGGCTTTCTTAGCTTCTCTTACAGTTCAGACCTGCCAACCCTATTTTCCCATAAGTTGGGAGTTTCACAGAGGAAAATTCTTCTATCATGAAGGGCTTTCAGGAACAGTCAGGAAGGTCCCTTGAATCTCAAATTCTGGGCTAACCCTTCTGCAAGGTGGACTGGGCAGCCCTAGTGTGTACATGTGGGGATAGCACCTGAATAGGAAGACTTCATTGGGAGGGTGCTGCAGCATGGAGGTGGTGGTGGGTAGATTGGGTGAAGAGTCAGTGTGTGATTCACAGAGGACCATCAGTAAGGAGTCTCATCTTCTACCTCCTCTCCTTTGCCTGGCTTTGGTGGCTGCCTGAAATGGTGCCATGGTAGAGCCATCATTGGGTGAAGGCAGCATTATTTCCTTTCAGGTGGGAATATGCTTGAGAATGGAATAGATCACTCACATCTTCATGCCAGTGGAAACTCAATCTCTCAGAACCCAATGGCTCTATCTTAGAGAGCAGTTTTAAGTACTAAAGGAAGCTGGAAGAGTCCGGGATATTGGGTGCTGACCAAAAAGATTGGACCTGGATGGGGCAACATGAGAGCCCCAGGTACCTGGTGGGAAATGGGCTAAGGTTTTGAGGAAGGAGATGTGGCAAAGGGGAGGTTGAGGATGTTTGGGCTGAATGCAACCATCTCCAGGTCTCTGCTGTTTTCTCAAATTTGTTTTTCTTACAGCAGAGTCAGGCCACGCTTTCAACGTGTTTATAGGTTCTTATAAATGGGGATGCTACCCTCAAAGGCATGATCGAAGCCACAAACTTAAATGAGAAAGGCCATAGCATGAGAGCTTTTAGTTTCCAAACCTAGTCTCTGAATGTCAGGCCAGGAGGGGGCTGGAGATGTCCCGATTCTGTGTGTGCTTTCTGAGCAGGCTGGTGCACCAGGAACTGGGCGAGGCCCCGGGAATAGCAGGCTGCAGGTGGTATATGCTTTCAGTCCAGCTGCTCACCTTCCTTTCTTCTTGGTTGAGAGAACTAAGGCCCAGACAAGGAGGTGGTGTGCTGAAAGTCACACACCTTCTTTGAGGCAGAGAAGACACACTGGACGTTTGTATGACATCACAGCAACCTCCCCCAGTGTGGCCAAGTGGGAAGCTCTCTGAAGGGTAAAGTCTCTTTGAAATAGGGAGGTGAGGGCACAACAGCACAGAGTTTTATCCTCCTCTACAGCACATGGAGACAAGGTCGAATAAGCCAAAGTCTACAGAGATGGAGCTCAGCAAATGTCCCAGTTGCCGGGGCACTCTTGCTTTGGGGCTGACAAGTAGGCCCTCTCTGTCTCCACCCTAAGACTCTCATTTGCTTAGCGCTTGGAAAGGGGATCCCTGGCAGGCGGTGGTGAAGGGCAAATGACTATCTCCAAGCTTGGCTGGTGCCCTTTCCATTGCTGGGGAGAGTTTGGATTCTAATATTACTCTTATGGAACTACTCAGCAGATGTCCTGCACTGACAAACTCAGGGATCTCTGAAAATCAACCCTTATTCAGAATGGACTGCCACACATTGTCCCTCCATCTCAGGACTTCCCCTGGCTTTCTAGAGAGCACCTTATTATCGTTGTCCTATTTTACTGTCATTTTTACCTCCAAAGTATAGCTTTCGGTACATCAGTATATTCATTGCACCAAACCACTTGTAAATTCTCCAACTTTAGTGGAATTGTGAAAAGTCTTGAGGAAGTTTCATCCGGGTGTCTGTTGACATGTGACTCTACCCTCACTCTCTCTGTCACAGATCCACAAATGTTTGAGGACACTGGGACTCAGAGGCTGTCATGTGGCTAGTAAAATTGCCCTTGGGCAATTTTAAAATTCTCTCTGCATCTTAGTTTCCCCTTCTGTGAAAAGAGGAGGCTGGACTAGATAGGTTCTAAGCTTTCTTCCAGTTATAACTTAATCCACTGAAGTAGAAATGGCTGATGGGCCAGGAGAGGCATTTATAAAATCAAATGCATCAATAGCTAATCATTTCAAGCATGATGTCACAGAGAGAAAACGGAGACTTTTAAGTGTGGGAGTAGAGAGATTTGGGAGTGTGGAGCCCACACAGCCGGAAGGAAAGACTTCTTTCCCTGAGTGTTACCCCGAGTGTGGGGTACCCTGCCAAATAGCTGTAGGCCACTCTGGGTTTTCCTGTGATGCCAGTTTCCCTTTCCTAATGTTCCAAGAAGAACATTTTCATGGAAGACAAATCACTGGTCCTTGACCCCTGTGACAGCAAATGGAGACTAATGAGAGGAGCCAGGACTTACGAGATGCTTTTATATTAATGCCTGTTGCTGCAAACCCTTTCCAGAAAGCTCCTTTGTGCTGCCCAGCTTTTGTTGGCTCCACTCTAGGGGCTGCAGATGGCAGGTGCTAGGCAGCAGTGCTTCCCTTGGGCAGGCATTTCTTCTCTGTCTATCTCCCTTCAGGGATGAGGCCTGAAATCCCCAGCCCAGGCTCTTTGCTATTACCTCACATTCAGAACAAAATCCCAATGTCACATCAGCATTTTTTTTCCAACACCATTCTCCTACGAAGGCTCACATGTGTGTGTCTGCAGCTTCCCTGTCACCTCTCCCGGCAACTTTCCTCCCTGATTCTTGACACTCGTCTCCCCATAGGACAGCATCTGACTCCAGGATGCTTCTTCTCCTCCCACCGCCCCAGCCCCGGGGGTAGCTGCTCTCATGATCTCCATTTTACAGATGGTTTAGACAGACGCACAATTAGGTAGTGACCTGCCCAAGGACACACAGGTAGTAAGTGGTAAAGTCAGAACAGGAAAGCCAGGCAGTCCAGCTCCTGAGCCTGTGTTCTTGGCCATGCAGATTTCCTTTTTTTTTTTTTTTTAACCTCCATAACCTTTCTGATTGCCAGTCACAATGTCCTGGTCCCCAAACAGGTCACTACCAGTGACCCTCTCTAACTTGTTGCTTTCAAACACTGCTCCTAGGATTTTAGAACTCTCAAATGCCTCTGGGCTTGAGAAATGTGGCCCAACTGCAATTCAAAGCAAGCCTCGCCACTTTTATGAAACTCCCTTTGCTACCCGAGCTATGAGCTACCAACACTGAGGCTCCATGGGGAAATGGAGCTGGTTTGGGTTCTTTTATTTGTTCCCCTCTGCACATATATGCAGTTGACTTTGGAGACCCCCTGCATGTTGCTTCTCTCTAAATCCACCACCAGGGACATGCCTCAAACCAGAGATGCTGTACGTCTGGGATGGTAGGGGGGCTTTCAGGAACCATTGTCCAGCAAACTGGCTGAAAAAGGGCTATAGTTGTTTACTGTACTCTATTGATCCAGTCTTAAATAAGATTTAGTCTTATTTGGTAGCTGAATCTGAGACTCAATGAGATTAAATATTAAAAAAACCTTCGTATACTACAAAGTACTAGGCAAAATGTGCTTTGTTATAACTTACTAATATTCAACTTTCACCCAAAGTGGAATTGATTTTTTTTTAATTTGTATTGCTGTGTGCTCCCTAACTAGGAGGAGATCCTGGCAGCCCTGAGGTCTCCAGGTCCCTGTATCTTGTGGGTCCTGCAGGGATGTCCTCTACAAAGGCTCCGTCCCTCCAGGCACATCTTGGGTGGAATAATAGAGCATTTCCTCATGCTTCCCAACCCTACTGCCCAACTTGCATTTATTCCAAAGGCTGTCTTTACCTCAGCTTTGAAAATCTGCAACAGCCCTGCAGCTGGGAAGAGAGTATATCATTTGGCTTTTTGCCCAGAAAATAAGATGCTTCAAAAAGGTCATCCAAAAAAAAAAAAAAAAGTCTCCTGGGGAAGAAAAGGAAAAAAACACCACTCTCTCAAGGTTAATTGAGTGGAAGGTGAACTTTCATCACAAGCCATCCCTTTGAGAAAGCTACACGTCCTCCAGTACGTGGAGAGGGTAATTCACTGGAGACATGGACTGGGCTGCAGTGTGAGAACACATTGCTCTCTTAGAGCTGGCCCCAATCCCTGAGCACTTGGAGAGAGTGTCTTCACCATGGAGGAGCAGATGGGAGGTGCAGACATGCAGCCACCTTACTGAGGAGCCCAGGCCTCTACAGGAACAGAGGTGTAAGGCTGGACTCCTGCCTTCAGGGAGCTTTTGCTGTTGTGGATGCAAGGAGACTAACAGCCAGCATAAAATGGATAAGAGGACAAACAGCATCCCCTGGGGGCACTGACTCTGCAGAGCTCTGGGTGCTTAGAATGAGCTGGGATGAATGGTCGCAGATGGTGCTGCTCTGAGTTATGAGAAGCCTGACTGGAGACTTAGCACTTCCTCTTCCTCTTCCTCTGCCTAGCCCTGTGGTTCTGAACAGGGGATGATTTTAGCCCCCAGGGGGCATTTGGCTATGTCTGGGGACACTTTTGATCGTCACAGCTGGGAGGGAGGTACTACCAGCACCCCTTAGGTAGAGGCCAGGGAGCTTCTAAACATTCTACAATGCACAGGTGAGCCCCCAGAGTAAAGAGTTACCCAAACCAAAATGTTAATAGTGCCCAAGTGAACACTATTAACTGGTCTAGAACTAACTCCCAGCACCCTCATTCACAAGACTTCCTCTTTCCTTTACTTTAGGTGTGTGCTCAAAGCCCCCTTACCAGAAATCCCTTCACAACCATCTTACAATAAGAAAATACCCATTTCTCACTCCATCACTCTTTCTCCTATATCTTGCTTCAAGTTTTTCATAGCTTTTGTCTAATATACGTAAATGTATCTGTGTTCAACTGTTTATAGGATTGCTGCCCTCTTACACTAGAATGTAAGTTCCATGAGACCACAGACACTGTCACTTTTGTTCATTACTCTAGTCCCAATGTCTAAAACAGAAGATGCAGCAAATGCTCAATAGATTTTTTTTTTACTTTATTATTATTATTATTATTATGCTTTAAGTTCTGGGGTACATGGCAGAATGTGCAGTTTTGTTACGTAGGTATACACGTGCCATGGTGGTTTGCTGCACCCATCAACCCATCACCTACATTAGTTATTTCTCCTAATGCTGTCCTTCCCCTAGCCCCCCACCCTCTGACAGGTCCTGGTGTGTGATGTTCCCCTCCCTGTGTCCATGTGTTCTCATTGTTCAACTCCCACTTGTGAGTGAGAACATGTGGTGTTTGGTTTTCTGTTCCTGTGTTGTTTGCTGAGAATGATGGTTTCCAGCTTCCTCCATGTCCCTGTGAAGGACATGAACTCATCCTACTTTATGGCTGCATAGTATTCCATGGTGTATATGTGCCACATTTTCTTTCTCCAGTCTATTGTGGATGGACATTTGGGCTGGTTCCAAGTCTTTGCTATTGTGAATAGTGCTGCAATAAACATGTGTGTACATGTGTCTTTATAGTAGAATGATTTATAATCCTTTGGGTATATACCCAGTTATGGGATTGCTGGGTCAAATCAATATTGTGAAAATGGCCATACTGCCCATAGTAATTTACAGATTCAATTCTATCCCCATTAAGCTACCATTGACCTTTTTCACAGAATTGGAAAAAACTACTTTAAACTTCATATGGAACCAAAAAAGAGCCTGCACTGCCAAGACAATCCTAAGCAAAAGGATCAAAGCTGGAGGCATCACGCTACCTGACTTCAAACTATACTACAAGGCTACAGTAACCAAAACAGCATGGTACTGGTACCAAAACAGATATATAGACCAATGGAACACAACAGAGGCCTCAGAAATAACGCCACACATCTATAACCACCTGCTCTTTGACAAACTTGACAAAAACAAGAAATGGGGAAAGGATTCCCTATTTAATAAATGGCATTGGGAAAACTGGCTAGCCATATGCAGAAAACTGAAACTGGACCCCTTCCGTACACCTTATACAAAAATTAACTCAAGGTGGATTAAAGACTTAAATGTAAGACCTAAAACCATAAAAATCCTCTAAGAAAACCTAGGCAATACCATTCAGGACATAGGCATGGGAAAAGACTTCATGTCTAAAATACCAAAAGCAATGGGAACAGAAGCCAAATTGACAAATGGGATCTAATTAAACTAAAGAGCTTTTGCATAGCAAAAGAAACTATCAGCAGAGTGAACAGGCAACCTACAGAATGGGAGGAAAATTTTTGCAATCTATCCATCTGACAAAGGGCTAATATCCAGAATCTACAAAGAACTTAAACAAATTTACAAGAAAAAGACATTTCTTAAGTTAGTCAATGAATGGATGCTAGCCCCAGACAGCTCTGTGAACCTGGATCGGTCACTTAACTAGTCTAACATGCATTCAGATCCTCATGTTAAAAAAAAGGAAGTTGAGGATTAGAATGTTTCATTGTGGATTCCCCACCCTTCCCCAGCTCTAAGCTTCTTTGATTCTACAAGAAAGCAGAACTTGGGCTGGGTACAGTGGCTCACACCTGTAATCCCAGCACTATGGGAGGCCGAGGTGGGTGGATCATGAAGTCTGGAGTTGGAGACCAGCCTGGCCAACATGGTGAAACCCTGTCTCTACTAAAAATACAAAAATTAGCTGGGCCTGGTGGCATGCGCCTGTAATCCCAGCTACTCGGGAGGCTGAGGCAGAAGAATCGCTTGAACCCGGGAGGCAGAGGTTGCAGTGAGCCGAGATCATGCCACTGCACTGCAGCCTGGGTGACAGAGTGAGACTCTGTCTCAAAAAAAAAAAAAAAAAAAAAAAAAAAAAACAGAAAAGAAAAAAGAAAGCGGAACTTGCTATGGGAATTTTGGTTGAGGGAGAGGGCAGGTTTCAGTAAGGGAGGCACTGTGAATGCAAGATGTGCATGTTTGAGTCCCTACCTCATGTGGATGCAGTGAGTGGCAGCTATTGTTATCTACGCAGAATGACACTAGCCTTAGGCACAAAGTTCACAGGATCACAAAAATACTCAAGAATTACAAATAATATTTTAATACAATATTTAAAAATGAAAGTTAATGCAAAAATCTATAATAAATGAAACACCAAAATGTTAAAGACAGGATTGTATTACTGGTTTTTCCTTTTGCTATGGGCTCCAATCTGGCTCAACACAGCACTGCTACTGATCCTGTCTTTATTTAAACATTTTGATACTTTGCTTATCATAAATTTTTGACATTAATTTTTGATTTTAAAAATGCCCTGGAAGCTGATTTGTCCTGATTACTGAGATTTTTGTCACCTCTGTCAATTTTGTGCCCAGAGTGAGTTGCCTCACTTGGTTTGCCCTAGTTCCTGCTCTCAGCCAGGGGATGCCGGAGAGCAATGGGCACAGCTAAAGGCAGAGGGGAGCCTCCTGCCATTCATCCCTAGGGAAGAAAAATGGTGAGAGTTTTGGGGACAGCTAGTGGGACCTTGGAATTTGAGGGCTGGGCTTCCCAGGCAGAATGAAGCTGAGTAGGTGGGTCTGAATTTCCAAGTGAAAAAGCAGAAGATATCCTCAAGGCTAGAGGAGATCTAGGTCCTGGTTTGACTGGGACATTCCTGGTTGCACCAGTTGTCTCAAGGCAGTTATTAACAGTGCCTCATCTTGCTCTCTAAGATGTCCGGGGTTGAACACTAAGTATATGGTCACCCTGGGCCAGGCTGCTGTCTAAGCAATTGCTTCAGTGGGCCACTCCTGAGCACTACAAAGGAGAAAGATATTGCCCTTCACTTGAGTTCTAATCTCTGTGGATCTCTGGTGCTGCTGAAGAATGCCTCAAACACCACTTTCAACCTCAGCTAAGCTTCATAGCTCTTAGCCTTTGCCGTGTAGCTATTTTTTATGTGTGTGACCTTACCCTTGTCTTGCTAGAGTCTTAGCCCCTCATGGCTTTGACTTGTGACCTACTGCCAGCTCCACAGAGTGGCTGTCCCAGGAGCCACACTCACAAAGAAGCATTTTTGTGAGTGCATGGCGTTTTTCTAGTCCATGGTGTTGGAGAGAGAAATGTAAATGACAAGAAAAATAATAAACACATAAAATTAATGTCAGACTTTTTAAAGGCCTAATTTCTATGGCATTCACCTAATGTTAGAGTCCTTCTTTGTTGCATTGTTTCCCCTGAACCTAAAATGTAGATATTGGCTAAAATGTCACGTACCCAGTAAGAAATACTAAATTCCATCTCACTCACACACAAACAATGGATGAAGGACATAGTATGTAAAGTCAAGTGGTAATAAGTACTGAAACCAAAGGGATGTGCACTCTTGGATGATTGGCAATAATGCACTTTAAAAAAATTCACTGGTGTTTCATTATCCTTGTATTTTGGGTTGTTAGTACCCCAAGTGCTGGGTTTCATATTTTATAGGCACTGTCCTGTTTAGTAAATGGCAGACCTGGGATTCAAATGCAGGCATCTCTGAGTCCAAGCTTTTGGCTAAACTTCTACAGTGTCTTGCCTCTCATCCAGGATCAAATCAGAACTTGAGAGTGTCTCTTACACACACATCGTGTCCTCTGTCAAAGGGACATGTGACCAGATATCCCCCCAGCTGTCCCCACTCTTGAGTACCCCCCATATTTTTGATTTGAAAAATATTGCATTGAAAGATGATTTGTCTTGATTACTGAGCTTTTTGTCATCTCAGTCAATTTTGTGATTAACTAAGGTTCTGATTAACCATGTTCTGGTTAACTGAGGTTTGACTTGCAGAAAGGGCAAACAGATAAATTGGGAAGCAATCATTAACCGAACCCATAATATGATCTTTCAAAACAGAATGTACTTGGTCTTTTGAATAGTTTGTTGCTGAACCATAATTCTTAAAATTCTCAGATAGGAAAGGAATTTAGGAGTCATCTGGTGTAAATATCTTTGACTATTGAGTTGAGATGCCAAGAAATTTAAAGAAAAATGGTTTATTGGAGTGCAATTGCAGGCATAGATAAACTGTCTCTAAGATGTAATGTGAACGTGAATAAGAGAAAAGGGAGCTTATTAGCCTCAATTTAATTATTTTTTATTTATTTTAAGTTGGGCTTTTATATTCAATTTTGGGAATAAGAAAATTTCATACAATGAAATTTCTTCCCCTCTTTTAAATAAACAAAATCCTACCCATTCTTCAAATTCTAATTTAATTCTAAGCTTTTTCATGGAACTCTCCCAAGGATCAGATAGTTATTTTTCCTTCCTTTGAATTTGTATTTTTCTTAGTCTTCACTATGGCACTTAGCATTTAATTGTTGAATTGCTTTCTGATACTTTTATTCTTCCAAATTGAACGCATTAAGAATGCAGGAAGTGTATCTTCAACTTCTTGCTCCCCGAGAACCCCCTCTCTTAGGGACAGGCTTTCAGCAAGTTCTTTCAGGGCCCTGCCTATTTTCAACTGGGCATTCAGTTGAAAATCCCTGAAGGGGTCAGGGTTAGTTGACTGGACCATTCAACTAACTTACAGCTGCCAATATTGACCTCTCTGTGCTTGAAGGCTCTTTTTCTTCAGCATCAATTGTGGAAAGCTTACTGTTTTTATATATGGCAGGCCAAAACTTCAAGGAATTATTACTCCTCAGGAGCAGTCCTCAAACCAATGGCTCTTGGGAGCTGGTGTATAAACACCGTGGCTCCCTTGTCCTTTGAAGTGGTTGAGCCATGTGTTTTGCACCATTTCCCAGAGCTTCCCCAAGAGTTAAGGCTCCAATGGCCCACAGTAGCAGCTGGCTAAATGATGGACCCTTTATTCTCTGCCTTTTCTCCTCATACTACCTTCCCCATTTGTCTCCTGGTGTTACCTGCAATTCTTGACTGAATGGTTTGCACTCAAATCCTTTATCTTCAGGGTCAGCTTCTGGGGTAACTCAAACTAAGACAAGCACAGAGGCTACAGTTAATATTTACTTGTTGATCAGATAATTAATAGACTGTCAGAGTGTAACCTTGCAGATATGGGGATTGTGCATTCTGTATTCAGAGGGCGTGATGTTATCCCCTGCAGTGGTACTCATTTAATTCTAGTTGAATGGAACAACAATGATGGTCAAGGGTCCCACCCTAAGTTCATCTGGTTCTGTTCACTAATCTGTATTTGTGATCTATTACTGACTCTGGTAAGCAGTGGAGAGCCAAGGGGAATTATGTCAAACCCCTATAACCCCTCTCCCATCCCTGCTGCTACCAGCTGTATATAATTCTCAAGTTGTATTGTCTTCAGAGTGATTACCTCCTGACAAGGCCAAGAAGAAATGTTGACCCTGGGTTAAGACTAAACCAAAGGCCCCTTCCCTTTAGAAGCCTAAAAGGATGGGAAAATGCACACCAGCAAGATGTTTCCTAACAGGGCCATGTCAAATTTATAGATAAATAAAATATCAAAGATCAAATGAGGCTAGATCAGCAGTTTGGACCTCTCCGCAACCAAGCAGAGAATGTGCTGTCTGACTCTGTCTTGGACTGATTTCCAGTTTTGTGATTCACAGCTGCAGCCAGGCAGAGCACATCCAATAATGCTATTTGTTTTCCACTTTTTAAAAAAGGCTGGGGAAATATATAAATGGTTCATAGAAGAAGCGGGCATTAGCAGACAGTCTGACCATAGTGAGACAGGCAGATGGTTCATGGGACCGATGCCAGCTGGGTGTTTCTGTAAGTGATCGTGTATCTCTTCTCTGTGTCCCAGCTCTCAGCTTGATTAAGAGGTCAGAAGGAGGCTTCTGCAGCATGAGGCTGGAGCACACATGATCTATGACCAATCTGTTGGTCGCCTAGAAACAGCTCTCTAAAAAGGCCCAAAGACAATTCAGTTTATAAGCCCACACGTTTTGGGCCTAGTAGTGCTGGCTGCTATTAAAACTAAGTTTGATTCTTGGGGTTTGTTTTCCTGAATGCCACTCAGCCCCTTTAACTTTTACGCCCCATCAACTCCTTCTCTTCTTAATATGATGGTATCATTTGGTAAGTGGAAACACCCTTCAGATGGGATTCTGGGAAGTGAGTGAAGCAAGCAGGCAGTTAGGAGAAAGAAGGGGTCAGGGAAAACTGGGTGAGGTCTGATTTTCCCTTTCTGCACTTGCTGAGGCCTGACTGGGTGTCCAGCACTGGGGGAAGATGTAGGAAAAGGAGACTCCATCGTCTTTCCCCGGGCGCAGGAAGTTTATGTGTATGAGGCAGAGTAACCCAAGGATGCCAAGGATCCAAATGAGAGGTATGAACAATGTGTTTTGGAAATGGTCAGAGTTGGGGTCAGGAGAAGGCTTCAGAGAGGAGGTGGAATGTGGGATAGGTGAGATTCTCATAGGTGAAGAAGTGGGATTTGCAGAATTGCCCCTCACCCTCCACTAACCTTTGGAAAGTCTCAATCTATATGCTCTTTCATAGTCTTTATCCTTGTTTGTCTGAAGAGCACAGGATGGTGAACTGTCCAGACAAAGGACTCAAAGAAAAAAGATGCTCAGGCAATATACTGCAGGGCAGATGAAGCACTGGCCTGCCTGGAATGGGCTTTGAGGCTTTGCTCATTGATTTGCCAGTTAAATCCCACTCTTGAGTGATTCTCACAGCTGACCTGAATGCCCTTTGGGATGGCCACCTGCTGGCTGCACCTTCCTCTGCTTATGTCCGCTCCACATGCCCATCTGCTCTGTTACAGATTCCGGTCAGTGATCCTGGACTGAAATTTTACTCTCTCTCCTGATCAGAAAGGAAAGTGATTGTGCTTTCCAACTATAAATCTATTTAGTAAATATTTACTGGGTACCTACTTTTAGCAAGGCACCAGGGTAAAAATGTTTGAAGATCTAAAAATCTGCAAATACAGTCTGTCTCTTTCCTCAAAGAATTTGCAGTCTCTTCATGGAGTGGAGTTAAAAATAAATACATGAATGAAGATGCTGCAAGCCAGTGAGATATGCACCCAGAGAAGAGTAAGCAATGAGGTGGGAGTTAGAGGGAGGAGCTGTCACTTCTGGATGGAGGGACAAGGGCAGGTTTTTTGGGGAAGAGTCTGCGCAGAGCAACAGGACTTGAAATTGAGGGAAGGCAGAGCTCTAGGTTTTATCTAAAATTCTGCATGTGGAGTGGCAGTTAGTAGAAGCTGATTCTCATGTCATTTCTTTCTCAAATCATTTCATGTGTTTTCATTACTGAAAACAACCCATCTAAAGGCCATGATAACTTCTGGAAAAAGTCCATGCTAATTTCTGGTTTACCTAGAGCTCTCCCAGTTTACATATTATTAATTAACCTTCTTTCATTGTACAAACTGTCATGGTTTGAGAAATGAATTATATAGGCATCTTAATTCTTGACAATGCTTTCAGCAGCCTTTCAGAAATTCTAAGGTCACAATGTTGGATTAGCTGTTTAAGCTGCAAGCAACATGGTAGATTTTGGGAAGGGATGTAAGCTTGAACCAAGAAATCCCCTTTATTTTGCTTCTAAATCAACATATACAAATCAACAAAAATAAAAAGCCAAGGCACCCTTTTTGCCTAGAATAGAAGCAGGTGGGTGTGCCAGTCATACACTCATTGCTGAGGTATGCTGATAACACAGCAATGATCATGGATAATCTATTAACACACTTGAGCCATACTCAGTCTTGTTTTGCAGATAAACATAGTCTGTGATTATTTTACAACACTGTTAAGGTGCAGAGGGTTGTCCCTCATTTATTACTTGACTAATAAATACTTTAATTACACTTAATAAATAATGTAAGCAGGGCTCACTGAAGTGGTAATTCTTTAAATTAATTATTAACTGCATGCAAAAGGCTGCACTGCCAGTACCACTAAAAGAAAATTCAGGCTTTAATCTAGTGATTATTCATTATCTGGTATAAAGGCTCCATTTGCATATTATTAGGGAAATAAACTTCGGCCTCCTTGGCAATACAGATAGATCTCAAAGTCCATGCATTATGAATCTCCAAATACTAAAGCAATGATAAACAATATGTAATAAAATCCTCAGTTTATAGCTTTATAGCAGCTGGTTTTTGATTTTTCAAATATATTACAATGATAAAGTGACCAGTTAATGTATAAGCTCTTTGTGAAAGGTGGTGCCTACAGATGGTCGACTGATAGGAAACAGTAAATGTGCAAACTGCTCATTTCCCTTGAGATTGGAGTCATAAAGTGATCTCAGTAAGATATGAGAAGAAAATACCCATTTAACCCCTTTCTCTGCAGCAACCCAAACATGGTAGTGCACTGAATTGTTTTGTATGTGTCTGTTTCTCCTCTCCTCTCTGGCTTCACATCTTCACTTTGGAAAAGTGAAAGCGGAATACCTGGTTATCCGGAGGTCACTGTCTCCACACAGAGTGGTGTCCTTGATGCTAGCTTGGGGCAAAGAAGCCAGGTAAGGTTGTCATCAAAAGAGAAAGATGATTTCTAAAACCAGCAAAAGGCTAGAATTTGTGTGCCCTTGCATTTTCTAGCTTGATACTCCCTCCTTGAGTCTGGGCAGCTCCCAGGGGAGGTGACTGACTACCCCCACCCCCCATCCCTCCCACCAGGAGCTATGGCCAAAGAACAAGCACATGAAGCAGCCTCCCAACATCCCAAACTAGAAAGTGCTGAGACCAAATCAATGAATCAAAAACAGGTTTCCAGAGGAGAATGAGTCTCTCTTCCTCTGCTTCTTTTAGGACAAAGTGGAGGTGGGGATGAGAAGCAGGGTGGGGAGGGGGAGAGGGAAGGAGATAGGAAGCCGAGGGCTCATGAAAATGCTGACAGTCACAAGGAAGCAGGAATGACCTCTCTTCCCATTTCCTATTCTGTCCTATTCATCTTGCTGAGCCCCATTTTGGGACTACTTCTTTCCAGTGGTCTTCCCTAACCCCCTATTCATTTCAGTAGTCACCTATAGTGTGGACCAGTCAATACTGCACAGACCTGTGCGAGGTGGGGAAAGGGCTGCAAGAAGATGAGTTGTGTCCTTTAAAGTGGACATTTTGGGAGCTGAAGCTATTTCAATAATGCTGATACTACTCCAAATAGTATTGATAGATAGATCTGCTTTTCATGTTTGTATTGGTCAGCTTGGGCAGCTATAACAAATATCATCAATTGGATGACTTAAACAAAAGACAGTTTCTCTCACAGTTCTGGTGGCTGGAAGTCTAAGACAAGGGTGCCAGCATTGTTGGGTCTTTGGTGAGGGCTTTCTTCCTGGCTTGCAGACAGCTACTTTCTCACTGTGTTCTTATGTGGTGGAAAGAGAGAGCTCTGGTCTTTTTCTCTTCTTATAAGGACACTAATCCCATCATAGGGGCTCCACCCTAATGACCACATCTTAACCTAATCACCTCACAAGAGCTCCAAATCCAAAACCCATCATATATGGGGTTAGGGCTTCAACATATGAATGAGGAGGGCACAAACATTCTATCCATAACAATGATCTTCTGAACATATTCAATGAGAGAACAATTATATTAACAATAATCACACTCTTTAACTGAGCGTGAACCCTGTGTGCCAGGGGTTTCACTTACATTATCTCATATTATCCCCATGGTGACAGCAAGAGGTAAATATCATTAATCCTTTATAATGGAGAACACTAAGATTTTGGAGAAAATTATATAGCCTAAGTTAGAACCCAGTGACTCCAAAGCCAAGGCTTTAATGTCTTTGCTTACTGCTCTGCCTTCTGAAGGTAGAATAATCAGTGGTTATTTCCCAAAAGAACCACTTTCCTGAAAGTGTTCCTTTCCACGTGTTACTAATGTGGCTTCTCTAGGCATTTTCTTTAGCTCAAAGAGAATTCTAAGAGTAGGAATTTTAGGCACACTACAGGTTAGTGGGATAATATTTGGGAGGGAAGGGCCTCATCTGCCTCTTGATATCATGCCATAAAGGCAACTGCCTACTCCATCTGTGATATCTGCATAGGGCCAACTCTATTCTCATCTAACCTAATCTGTAGCTTGTTGGGCCACTAACTTCAATTAATGTTTGCACATATTACTCATTCAATCTTTCAATCATTCCTATGAGCTAGGTTGGTATTCTTATTATTCTTGTTTTAAAGATGAGAAAACAAGCAGAGAGAGATTGGGCAATCTCCCCAAGTTTACACAGCAAGTGAAGAAAAGACCACCACAGACTCAAATGTAGGCATCTTTGTTTTTATCACTAAAGAATAAACAGTTGGATCCTCCATCACAAATGTCTCTTACGTCCTATCAAAAATGGTGTCAGGCCAGGCTTGGTGGCTCACGCCTGTAATCCCAGCACTTTGGAAGGCTGAGGCGGGCAGATCATGAGGTCAGGAGTTCGAGATCTGCCTGGCCAACATAGTGAAACCACATATCTACTAAAAATATAAAAATTAGCCAGGCATGGTGGTGCATGCCTGTAGTCCCAGCTACTTGGGAGGCTGAGGCAAGAGAATTGCTTGAACCTGGGAGGCGGAGGTTTCGGTGAGCCAACGTTGTGCCACTGCACTTCAGCCTGGGGAACAGAGCAAGACTCCGTCTTAAAAAAAAAAAAAAAAAAAAAAAGCATGTCAATTTGCCACAAAGAGTTAAACATCTGCACATTTACTCCCTTACCTACAAGATTCCCATCATCCATTTGTTTTGCATTCCTTCATAGTTCCATTCACTCATTAATTCATTTAACAAATATTTTCGAAGCACATTACTTGGTACCAGTCATTGTATTAGATACTGGCTATCAAATCCAAGTTTACAAAAGGAAATTGAACCAATGGGCTATTAGCTGAATTGACAACGTGATCTAATGACTTTGATGTTGGTAGAGACCTCTCCACTTTCTCCACCTCTCATAGGCTCCCTGAGAGAAGTAGCTTTAAAAAGAGCTGTCGATGCACACCTACCTGTGCGGCTCGCCACTGGCTCCCACTTTTAAAGAGATGATGGCATGATTTCTGATTACAGCCATTAGATAAAATGAAATAGAGAAAGCTGGCTCACCAGTTTCATCCTGCTTAATCAAATAGCCTAATTCATCATATTCACTCACATGATAGTGCCTTTCCACACTTCAAAGACAGGCATGCACAAGCCCAGTTCAGGTTTCCATCCAACGGCAACTCACTCCTTTTTAAATATGGACAGATCATCTTTTCTTCTTTATTTTCCCCCTTCTGAAAACCTATTTCAGATCCAGCCAGGAAGAAACCTATGCTGGGGATAGCATTATCCTTCATGACAGAATTCAGCAGAATTTCTTTCTTACTGACTTTGGGGCTGGAGTGGGGTCTGAGCCAGGATCAGAATATCAAAGTATGTCAGAACTGGCAGGGTCCACAGGGAGAAGGTAGTGCATCCACTCACTTTACAGATAAGAAAACCTACAAGATTGCCACAAAGCAGGAGCAGAGCTTCAGCTTCCAGACTCCCTAGCCAGAGCTCTCAACTTGTCTTATCTCTAGGATTGCTGTTAACACCTCAGAAAACCTTAGAACAGGGCTTCCAGTTGGTTCTTCAGTACACGCACAAAAGTCTGCCTTCAGATACATTGCTGATGGTTCCACAGAGGATCCAAACTTTCTTTATGATAGAAACAAATTTGCAGCATTGGTAATGGTTACTCTACTGTGCTTCCATTTCTTCTCCCTTGTCCTCTTTACTTTTTCCAGGGACCCACTCTCCATGTGTGTTTCCAGGAATTTTGTACTGCTAATTGCACCTGTTTTCTCTCCCTAAGGCCTGGATTATGGAAAAGACTACTCTGGATAGGCTTCTTTCTCCTTCCCTTTCAAAGAGCCTCTGCACCCAGCTGACTATTATTATTTCAAATGAAGAGAGGGAATGCCTTACACCCTTATTCAAAATGAGATCTGAGTGACTGATGTAGGGTCTCAGAAAAACATACCCCAAAACAAATCCCTCAGAAGCAAAAGTCTTTCTCTGACCTGCCCTCCTCTCTCTGCCTCTCATTCTTCCCAAGGCTAGCCATAGAAACTAGAACCCCTCTGCCCTACAGAAGATCACAGAAACTAGAACTCCATTTCCCCCAATCCAGCCATAAAACCTACAAAGATTACTCTAACTCTTCCCCCACCCCCACTGCCTTTCTGTGTAAATCAAGATGGCCATCAAGAAATTATCTGACCTATCTTCTTTGACTGTAGGTCATAAGACCCCCATTCCAGAGACAGTTCTGCCACACATCCACGGAAAGATTGTGTGTTCAAAGAGGCCAAGAAGAATCTAGACAGACAGGCCTTACTGGGCATCCCCAATCAGTCCATTAGCATCAGATGATGCCTTTTTTTGTCCAGTTGTATTTCTACATAGTTATCCTTACTTTGCTGAACCTAAGCATAAAAATAGACAGTTTTCCCTGCATCTTTGGGTCTTCATTTTGAAAGCTCACAAGTCATGGAAAACTATGATCACACACATTTATATGCCTCTTCTCCTATTAGTTTGCCTCTTGTCAGTGATTTTCAGTGAATCTTCAGAATGTAAACCTTCACCTTCCCCTTCCCCTTCAGTGAACCTACACTGCCAACTAATATACTGGGGAAACTGTTAATTTGAAACAAGGATAAATCTCATGGTTAAATTTCAGTGGGTTTAGACTTTGGAGCAAGGAGACTTTCCCAAATAGTTTTCAAAACATGCACATATAAAACCATACATATGTGCACAGCTGGCCCACATATTGACATTGTGTAGACACAGTCTAAAAGCTTCAACAACCTAGCACCTGCCAATCCCCATGCACAGACACATCCTGGGCAACCTAGACAATATGGTTGATGTATACAGGAGGGAATTTTTTTCTAGCTACCTGACTTAGTTAAAGATAAATCTTTAGCAAATGAAGGCTTAGCAAACAATAACAATAGTGATAGTAGCTTCCTTTATGGAACACTTAATTTGTAATTAAGCTTTATATACATCTCACTTTTTTTTCTGACAAGCCTTTTATGAATTGATTGTATCTTCCCAAAATTCATATGTTGAAGTCCTAACTCTTAATATATTAGAGTATAATCTTATTTGGAAATAAGTTTATCCCAGATGTAATGAGTTAAGATAAGGTTATAATGGAGTAGGGTGGGCTCCTAATCCAACATAACCTGTGTCTTAATAAAAAGAGGAAATTTGGATATAGAGACATACACAAAGGGAGAATACTGTGTGAGGATGAAGGCAGAGATCTGAGTGATGCCTTGACATGCCAACGAAAGTCAAAGATTGCCAGCAAACCACCAGAAGCAAGAGGAGAGACATGGAACAGAATCTTCCTCACAGTCTCAGAAGGAATGAACTCTATCAATACCTTGATCTCTGACTTCTGGACACCAGAAGTGTGAGACAATAAATTTCTGTTATTTAAGCCATCCAGTTTGCGGCACTTTGTGATGGCAGTGCTAGCATACTACCACAAAGCCTTTGAATAGTCCTATCCTCATTTTATCAACAAGGAAACTGAGGCTCACATCAGTTAAATAACTTGCCCAAGACCACATAGCAGGTAAGGAGCAAAGCCAGTATTCAAACTTGGATCTGCATGCTCTGCTCCTTCTCAGGTACGGGAAATTGTGTTGGTAAAAGCTAGGAAAGGCTAGTTTTTCCTCCACAACAAGCCAGATATGATACATCTTCCTTGTCAGCCTGGAATAGGACAGCCAGTTCTCCCAGGTCACACTCCCATCACTAATAGCACTCCGGGGTCTGTTGTCTACTTTTTTCATGTTTCTCCTTGTTCAGCAATTAACAGAATCCCAAATCAAATGCCAAGGGATGACATTAGAAAATAAAGTTTCCCTCTTCAATCTTCTCGTTTCATTTCTTTAGCCCTGAAAATGCACTGGAGGCCCCCAAATGCAGTGCATGCTTCATATTGTTTCTGAGAGAGCAAATTCCTAAATTCATCTGGGCTGGGAAGGAAAGCCAAGATTAAACCTAAAATGCTTCCTCATTCCTGGTTTCTGTGGCCAGAGTACCTCCTTGCCCTCTGGCATCCATCCATGTAGATGTCACAAACACACATGTATGGGCATGCGTGCACGTGTGCATGCACACAAACACAGAGAAAAGTTGAACTTGGCTCTCTCACTGAAGCCAAACAGACCAGATTCCTCCTAGGCCTCCTTGTCTTACTGCCCTTCCAGCACTAAGCACTGGTGGTCCCACACTTAGGAGTGTTCTCTCACCCTGTCTCCTGAAGCCAAGATCCATGGCGGTCCTGGGTAATGGCTATGGCATTCTTCTTTTAGGGTTTTGACTGGGTGGAGAAAAGGGGAGTGTGAGGGCAGAGAAATGGCAGCCCGTTTGGATTTTATTCCATTTCCAAATCATTTGAATATCATGCCCCTCCACAAGAGGGCACATGTAGACTTATCCTTGGAATCTCTGCTTGAAAGAGCCATTTCTTAGCATTTCCCAAGCTGAAAAATTATGTAAAACTACATTTTAAAAAGGCACCTTGTTATTTTTCTGAGCAGTGAGGCTGGAACATTGGCATAAGTAGAATGCAGTCAAAGACAGCCAAAGTGGAAAAAGAGAGGGCATGGCTGTCCGAGGGAAGGGACAGTTGGGAGCAGGCAGAAGCAGTCAGATGGTTTCAAATCCACAGTTCAGCTCCAGAGATTGGGCAAAAATAGGAGACCAGAAATAGAGAAGTCAGTCAATGGCAGATCAAAACACAATGAAGCACGAACACGGCAGCCTGGATGATCCTCAGGGAGGATGCTGTTTATTGTCTTTTTATTCTCCCGGCATTTGAGTCCTAGAGCAATGCTGGACTGAGACCTAAGGACTCAAAGTGTCTCAATTCCTGGTAGGTTCTCACCTATGACTTAAGTGACAATAGCAACAGCCGTTTCCCTTTATTGCATAATGTCTCTGTGTTCTGGGTTGCTCCAAGTGCTTTATTTTTTATGTAAGTTCTATTACTCCCCTCATTACAGATGAGAAAATGGAAGCTTTGAGAGAGATCAGTTTTCCAAACGTCATGTACCTTGTAAGTGATAGTGCCAGGACTCCAGTTAGGAATGTCTCATTCTTGGAATTCTGTCTACTAAGTCAGGAACACACTTTTAAAGCTGTAGTCTTCAGCCCATGTCCTCTGGTAGGTTTGCCTCCCCCTGCCTAGGCTTACTGGGTTCACCTTCCACTAAACTGCTGATGTGGACATGTGGTCTGGCACCCAGAGACACGTTCTGATTTCCAACAAGCTGGAACAGCTCTGCTGGTGAGGAGTGAAAGGAAACCCAGACTACCCAACTTCTCATCTCTATGGTCTTGGAGTAAGTGTCTGTTGACAAACCTGGCTGAGGTGGGGGTAGTGGAGAATGGAGTGTTAGAGGACAGCCACATGGGGTTCTCTGTATATGTTGGAAAAAGTCACAGAGCAACACTGCTGGATTTAGTCCAGATGTCATGAAGAAAATTAAAAAAAAAAAAACTTGAAAAATGATTTCTCTGAAACAGTGTTTGCATAGCAAGGTTCTAGGGCTAAGTTGCCCAGAGGTGGCCCATATTCATACTCCTTTGGAAGAGCCAGCCATCCATTTTCATTAGATCATGATTTGATCAACCTACACAGGCCTCTTTTTAGCTTCCGGTGAACCACAATATTATGACTGGGCTTAAATAATGCCAGAGCAATTCATGCAAAAGGGAAACACTCAGTTAAACCAGTCACAGGGCACTGCAACTAGCTTTCCAATGCTGAATTACTCTCCTGTAAGGAAATGGTCTTACTTATGAGAAAAAAAGCATAGAGTCTCCAAGGATTGCTCTGTGCAGGGTAGAGCCTGAGGGAAGACTTTCCAGGTGTAAAAGGCCAACTGGTGTCAAGTCTTTCCCTGGAGTGGTCTCTTCTCTGTTGGGTTCTTGCAAACTGGGATTCCTGTGTCTCCCTCACCCCCAACACTGTGCTGATGTGGATGTGGTGCCATTCCCTTCCAAACTCTCCACCAAATGTGGGCAAAACTCTTTTTCGTGTTTTTCCTTAGTGCAGCAGAGCAGAGACCAGTGTATAATTATTTAGCTAATTATATGTAATTATTTCATTGGCATTTCTTCCTCACTAGACTGTGAGCATCATAAGAGCAAGAAACAGGTTGGTTGTGTTCCTCCATGAATCCTCAACACCTACCATGGTGCCAAACATATTGTAGATGTGCAATAAATAGCTGTTCATTGACAGTTTTTCAAAAAGAAAACAAAAAAAAAATCAGAATATATACATAGCATGAGAATCAGTAGAGTTTTTTTACTGAACACTTCTCTGAGAGCCAAATGCCTTAGCTAATCCTTTAGTAACCAGGTTAGTATCTAAGTTAACAACATGGTGAAATCTGACAAGCAAACCAGGCAACTTTGCCTGGCATTTTTTTTAAGAGATAGAGTCTTGCTCTGTTGCCCAGGCTGGAGTACAGTGGTGCCTCCATAGTTCACTGTAACCTCAAACTTCTGGGCTCAAGCAATCCTCCCTCCTCAGCCTCCCAAGTAGCTAGGTGTGCACCATGCCCAGCTAATTTTTTAATTTTTATTTTTATAGAGATGGCACCTGGCCATATTGCCTAGGCTGGTCTCCAACTCCGGCCCTCAAGTGATCCTCCCTTCTTGGAACTCCCAAAGTTCTGGGATTACAGGCATAATCTATCATGTCTAGCCTGTCTGGGTTTTAATACCAGGGCTGCCACTGTCTTCTCTTACTCTTGACAGGTTATAGGCCCTAGGTAACATTGGAGGTACAGAGAATCACTGGGAAAATTAAAGGAGATATTGTTCAGAAAGTGCCTAATGCCTGATATGGGGAATAATGAACTACATGTATGTCCCCCACAGCTCCTTGATGAATTCTTATATGGACAGGAATTCTTAAATGACAGGAAGATGGCCAGTATTCCTGTCCATTTTCCTATCATAGATATAGATAAGGCTTTAATTTCAACTTTCTTGCTAGATCATTAGGATATTTTTATTCCTGGTTTCCTTTCTGAGGGACACAATTCATTCACAGTTTGTTTGAGTAGAAATGGAATTGTTTAGCCTCTAGCGGGATAGGTTTGTTTTAAACAGTTGCTTTGGCTATTATAAATCATCTTAAACACAGTCTTAAACAAAGATCTCTCTCCTTCTCTCTCTCTTTTGCTCTCACTTTTGCTCTTTCTCTTGCACACACACATGTATGAACACCCAAACACACACTGAGCCTTTCTTTAACTTTCCCCTGAACCCTCTCGAACTAGTTTGTATGTGTAGATACAGATAACAGGAGGTAAATTCTGCTAGCTGTGGAATAAAAAATATTTCTTTGTATTTTTCAGGCCAGCTTGTGGTTGCAATAGGAATAGAAGAGACTTCCTTACTCCAATCCCACCCTACCCCCTCATCCTGCCTCAACCAGTCATGCAGAGAGATGCTGAATGGCTGCCTGCTCTCAGGGGAATGATTTGTGGAGGTTTAATTAAAATAATTTAATCAATCAAATCCAACAAATATTCGCTGAGTACCTACCATAGTTAAGAACTTACTACATTGTATACTTACTGAAAGTCTTTATTTTTGCCTCTCCATGTCGTTGAGATCACCATTCTGATGTTCCCTTCTACAGTTTCAGTCCAAGCACAGACCCTCATATATAGTAAGGGCTTAATAAATGTTTTGTTGGATGTATGACTGTAGATAGAAGGGCAATAGGAAGTCAAGGGGGTAAGTATATTTATAACCCAAGATTTCTAGGCCTTTGGAAGACAGCAGGGTATCGCATACATTAAGAGCATGTATTTTGCTCAGTATGAATATGAATCCTCATACTTGGAGTTATTATCTGCCAAGAAGTTAATTATCCTCTTCAGGTTTCAATTTTCTTATCAACAAAATGGGAAACAACAAGTGATTTTTGAGGGCCAAGACATCGAGGATGTGCTTAGCACAGCGTCCGACATAGTGAGCACTCAACACAACTGCCTGCTGAGATTGGAGCTTAGGCAGTGCATAGTAAGCACACAACACAACAACTGCTGGTGCGGCTGGAGGGCGGTGACCGAGTTCTTGCATGGCCACCACTTAACCACCTCCAGTGCAGGCTGGTGTGCATGGGGATGATAGACCGCATGACATGAGGGTGGCTAGCAGCTGGAGCGGATGGGCCACTCCCAGATGCGAGGCTTGAAGGAGGTGGGGCTCTGTGCAGTGATCTGGTGCTGGTTGGGCATGCCTGGCTCCAGGAGAGAGGCTCATCTGACTCTCCACAAGCAGAGAAAACAGCTTAACTTCCTTGTCTGGCAGTGGGGTCCTGGGTGCATGACTCTCTCTATGAGGCTGGTTTCCACCATCTGGAAACAAGGATGTGCCTGCACCTTGGCCCTGCTTTCTTTCCTGCTCCCTTGGGTGTACAGACAGGAGGAGTGCCTTAGTGAATTCCCTCTCTGGTAGCTTTTTACAGATTTGGGAGTCCAACCACAGGCTTCAAGCACTATGTTGAAAGGGCAATAAAAATCGGAGAGAAATGGAAAGATGAAAATAAAGGGCAAAGCAGAGGGATGCGCACTCATGCGTGCGTCCATTAGCGCGTACATCTATACGTGCCTGTGTGTGTGGGAAGTGGGGTGGGCCAGGCAGTGGGAAGAGCGCTTATTCAGAAGAGGGGCTCCAGTCTCTGGTCTCCTGTGTGGCCCAACCTAGAATCCTGAGCGGAGGACCAACATGCTTTGGGAGACAAAGTTCAAATGTGTCTTCCTTTGACATTTGAATCTCAGTTCAGTGGAATTCTATCCCCTTTCCCTTGCACCCACCTTTTGATGTGAATATGCATTGTTTTTTGGTTTTAACCTTTTCTACTCCCACAGCTTTGGTTTCGGCTTAAAAAAAAAGAAAGAAATCTCCAGCCATCCTTACTCAGCTTCTGCTTTAATTATCCAATTACTGAAGCTATCCAATCTATTTATTCAGGCAATCAAGGCTTTAAATGCGTGGATTTATCATCACCTCAAATCGCCTGTCACTGTGATGGAACAAAAATAGAAAGGTAACCAGGATGCTGTAAGAGGTTTGAATCAACATACTTTTCCTGGTCAGTTCACTGTTTTCAAGACTCGTTTATGAGGAGAAAAAAATTGTAGGGAGAGGAGATATGAGAGAAGAAAGAAGTGATAGAGGGAAAGGGAATGAAGACTGTTTGAAAGGGTTTGGTCTCTGTTCCTGTAAAGATTGACCTGCAGTGTTCTTGGGTTTTCTCTAAATTCCCTCCTTTCCAGCTCTTCCCTCTGTGGATAAATTACCATTACTGTTGCCCTAGTTAAGAAATACAAACTTGGGGGTCATCAAAGGACAGAGAAGGTGGTCTATAGATCCATGCTGTTACTGGAACTGCATCTGCTTTCTGGAATCACCCAGAATAAGTCCATTTGCACATTGACCTGATTGCCTCTAACCTATTTGAAAACAGACTGTTCTTTTTAACATAAACAACGTAATTTTTTTCAGTCACTGCTCATTCACCATTCTGGACATTTTACTCCAATTTATCAACTTCTTTATTAAAAGGTGGTACCCCCAAATGTAACACAAAACTCGAAGTGTGTTACGTTCAGTATCACCTCCCTCTGTCTGGTCATGGTCTTTGGGGCTCTATTAATAGTAATAGAGCTCCAAAGCTTTTAAAGCTCCTCTGGCATGTCATATGCTGCTGTTTAGTCACATCTTCCCTGTCCTGTGCTCTTTGATTGTGAGTTTTTGAGAAACCTAAATATAGGAATTTATATTTATCCATGTACATTTTAATAGGTTAAATCAGGCCCACTTTTGCTAGCCATGGAAACCAGTTTGGATTGCAACATACCTTCCTATATATTTACCACTTTACTTAAACTGTGGTTTTGTATACTCTGCTTTTTGTATCTTCACCCTAGTTATTAAGGCTCTTGACCAGAACAGGTTGATATAGAGTCCTGGGACAAGCCACTAGGCACTATCCAGTGGATTGCTCTTTCTCTATTAATCAGTATTTTTGGAGTTTATGTCCCAGCCAAAGGCAAACTCTTCAGCTGGGAGGTTAAAGGGACTCCATCAGTGCTATTATTCTTAGTGTAAAAATAAGAACAGCAGTCTTGCCAAAATTGTCTTAGTACCATGCCAATTTAAAAGAGAACTCAATCTAGTATAGAGCCATCCTGCAACTTAAAATTTTGGTGTGTGTGATATTATAATACTAGCTGATGAAATACTCATTTTTCATGCACAGATTTCTCAATAACACACTGTGTAATAATAAATGTAATTGACCTATTCTATTCCTTTTCCCCAAAGTAATTTAAGCTCCTCTCTCATTTCCTTTGCCTTTGAGTTGGGCTAATATCTTCCTGCTAGCATGTTTCCATCTGTGAGTTTGATCAAAGCAACTTTATCTGCGAAATTTTGAAGAATCAGCTTCATCTCCACTTGGCAGCATGTGGTAAATGAAGGTATTTCTGGTAAGATTTATTGTATCATCTTCTGGGAAACTAACTCCAGAGAGGACCTGATTGCAGAGAACTGTATATTAAAGTTTCTCTTCCTATCTCCAGGCCCAGGTGGAGGGGACAAATGGATTCCTACCTGACTGCAAAATATGATACATTATTATAAACAGAGTCTTGAATTATAGAAAATACTAGTTAGCATAATTACATTACCATATTTTTATATAGAGATTATTATTCAAATACCAAACAGGCAACCTTCCATTGGAAAAAACCAATAAACACTCTCAATCCAGCCTTCCATGGTTATGTATGTCAGAGAACAAAACAATTTTAAAGTTTAAAACCCATTACATTACAAGAGCTATTCACTTCAAGTAGGTGGCAATTTGCTTCATTTTTTCACCCCACGTTTTGATAGCTATTCACCTCTATCAATTCTTATCTTGCCCATTCTTTAGAAACCAATTGCAGTTTAAAAAGTGCCCATCTATTTCTGATTGAAATCTTCACGTGCTGGTTTTTTAAACTATTTTTCAATCTCTTAATAAAATAGATTGCCTTCAGGCTGCCAGTTAGTAAACCTGCTAACAATTCAGGGATTCCAAGGACTGCTGTGGCGCTTAGGTTTTCCCTGCTCTTGGTTCTGTGCAGGAAATCCACTGGTGCTATCCACATGTGCATAACAGTTTAATGGATGGAGCTTATTTAAAATCATGCAAACAACAACAACAACAACAAAGCTCTGCAAAATTTCCTGATGAAATTGAGTTAAACTGCCAGCCTTTTTAGTGCACAAAATATAAAATAGGTCTTACAGCTTTTCCCTTTACTTGTTAACAGTTTTTATTGTTGACATCTCAGAGTCATCAGACTGACAGTGTCTTATATCATTGAGGATAACCTCCATTTGTAAGTGGGACTCTCAACCCATCAGTCTTGGAACAAGTATTTCTTAAGGACCGGCTTTGTGGCTGGCCATGAATCAAGCAAAGGAAGGGAAAATATGGTGTCTGCCTCTGAGGGTTCATGCTTTAGAGAGAGAACAATATGGGACAATCTACAGTTAAGGGTAGGGGGATGTTCAGACCATAGGGTTCCCTGTGATTCAGAGATGGGAGAAATAAGGAGTCGAGGGAATGGTCTCCTAAACCCAGAAGAACCCTCAGAGATGGGGATGAAGTTATATTAGGTGTAAAGGACTATCTGCCATTGAGGGAAGACACAGGAGCCCTGAGTAAGTATTATGAGCATGGGATGAACTGAAGGCAGTGAGAAGTTGACCAGACTAACACTGGCCCTTCCTGTGTCTATGTGGCCACCATCCATCTTCCCCCTTCCAGGAGAGGAAAAGCCACACTTTCTTTTCTTTTTAAAACTATTGTCATCCTCAGTGTCCACTCAGGATCTCCATACCCATTCCCTAGCCTTGGTCTCATCAATAATGAGTGCTTAAATGCCCTGATCTTAAGCAACATTCACATCCTCTTAGTTTGAATCCAATTAACTTAAATGTCATTGTAGCCCCAAATAATCAGGAAGCTTTAAGATAATGCAGATCAAAACAAACTTATTGATGTCATATCATGGCTGGATATTGTGTCACCTGTTTCCAGTTTTCTAGATCTTTTTAACCCAGTAGCAGGTACAAGGCGGAGAAGTGTGATAGAATAAGGTAAGTGTCACAAGAATAGTGTGGAGTCCCCTGGTGTTTCAGAAATAAAGAAAGCATGTCCATCTGGAGGATTGGAGAAAGTTGAATGCCTTTGAGATACCTCTCACGTATGACTAAGGCTTTTTATATCCATCATAGAAGAAGGCCTAGGAAGATAAGGGAAGAGTGGACGTAGGCAAGCTGAGATTGCATTCAAAGAAAAGCTCCTGTTATTTGGTTAACAATGTTGGGAATACAATATTAATTATAAAATAATATTTGTTGCATTTAACCTTCACAACAGCATGTTGAGGGGGTACTATATTCTCCACTGTATGCATGGGAAAACTGAGGCTTAGTTAGGGAAAGGATCCTGCCTGCAGTCCCTTGGTAGTAAATGTTGGGGTCAGGACTCAAACCTATGTCTATCTAATCCATATTGAGAAGGTTATAGTTCAGAGGAGGTAGATAATTGTTTTGAGGAAGTGAAAGAGAAAAGTTGATGGAGTTCATCTACAGAGAGTGAGGGAAGGATGAGGAGAATTTAGAGGAGGACAGAAAGAGTAGAAAACAGTTAGCAAATCTGTGGTGGCAAAATAGGCCTTTGGGCTCTCATTTACCTATTTATTTATTGCACAAAAAATGTACAAAAGGATTTGCTAATACATGGAAATCAAAATCCCAGACAAACTCTTGCCCCTAAGGTTAGATTTAATGACTCAGGGTCAGGCAGTAAGTCCTTGGTGACTGAGGCTATGTCTATGTGGCCATCAAATCCTATCTTAGGATCACATGTCTACTAGACTATCCTGGCATCCACAAGACCCTGTACTGGGAAGACTCAAATGCTGGGTTGATGCGGTCCAGGTCTGTGCAGGAATCATGAACATATCAAAGTGTACTCACAAAGCCGAAATCAGGGTGGAAAATTAGTGGCTGGGTGTGAGGCTGCTGCAGAGAAATTGCAGTTGGTGACTTCTCTTGGGCTCTGTCTCCCCTAGATCACTCTGGGTATTTTCTAGCAATGTGGTCAGAACTCCTGGCCTCCTTTGTTAGGATGCACATCCCCAGGGGACTCCCTGGGTTTCAGCAATTTGTGTATCATGGGCAAGGAGCTTATTAGGGACTGAAGTATTCCTGCCCAATTGTTAATTAATCACCTATTATTTTTGTAGCTACGTTCTTTGGAGGATGGTTTCATAATGGCGAATTCCCAAAACCTATACCAGAAGCTTTATTCGGTCACCTGGGTCCCGCCTGCCCCTGTGGCCTTATCATTCTGCACAGGAGTGTCTGTCATTTTCATTCCTTCATTGTCATGCAGAACACTGTACGGGGAGGGTTCCGTGCTGGGAGTGTTGTTATCCTTTCCAACACTGCTATTTTTATTATAAAAGATGGAAAAATAGTAGGAGGTTAATGGCTGCTCAGAATAAAAACAAATAGTGACTAAGAACAAATATTCAAACGAGGCATTGTCTTGCTGGGGGAATGATATTCAACAGTGAAGCCCTGCGCTCAGTTTTCATCTCCCTCTTTGACTACATAAACCAGGGGTTGTGTGTACTCAGTTCTGCCATTGTACTGCCTTCCATTGTCAAATCACCTAACAAAAGAGACTGTTGGAAGCACAAGAACCCTCCAAAGGCCAAGGGTTCTAATCAGGGAAGTTTGTTTCTTCCTCTCCTCATCGTCACACTTCCCACTTCCTTCATTTTAGTGGATGGATTGTCACCTCCTATTGGCTACCATGGGCCCCTTGCAAAGCCCAGTTCTCTGCAAAGAGGAGTGAAATGGTCATATGGACCAAAGCTCTGACCGTATTCACTGACCTGTGGGCACTGCTTGTTTCCTGTGCCTGAAGCACATTGCACACACATTATTGTGCCCATGACCTCCAGTTTCTAACTGAGCTGTCCCTTCAGGCTGAGGTGGTGCCCTAACGTCCAGCTTTCTGTGTCCCCCTGCCCAGTGTCCCCTAAAGTGCTATTCTTTGCTAGGTGACTGTCAATAGAAAAGAGGAAAGAGAACTAACATTATTTGGGTGCATACCATATGCTAGGCACTGCACAAAGTAGTTTTTTAAAAAAATAATATTTACTTCTTTTGATAATCCTGCCAGGTAAGTGTCACTATCTTTATTTCATGGGAAAGAAACTGAGGCATAGAGAGGTTTAGTAAATTAACTAGGTAGTGAGGGGCCAGGATTCATTCATTAATCAGACAATGCACACACACACAGACACACAGACCACGCACAACACACTCATCCACTTGCTAGACGTGTAATATATTTTTAAAATATAACATCTTAATTCTTTCAAAACTGACTCCAGAAATCCCTTGAGAAGAGAGTCCAATGGTCACTTAGGCTGTAGCAGAAAGAATACCATATAGAGAACTATTCCCTCTACCTAATCAGCATTAAACCTTGTGTAATTACCCCTCCAAATGAGACATTCTATGATTGTTTCCAAATAAAAGGTAAATGATCTAAAGTAGATTATATAAGATCCAATACTTCTTATCTCATGCCTGGATCCTGAACTTCATCTTTGCACATTTCCTTCTCCTCTAAAAAGTCATCAGCACCCAACCAGGGGAGTCTCACTAAACTAGAACTCACATTGGGCAAAGGCTAAAAGGTCTCCCTGGGTGTCCATTCCAGTCATCAGCTCCATGGATCCACAGATCTCCTAGTCTTTATGGGAAGTGAGCAGACTCCCTTCTTCCCACCATGTGAAGGCCACCATCTCTGCAAGCTCTCTCTTTCTCTGTCTGGTTTTCCATCTCTACTAAAAATACAAAAAACAATTAGCCAGGCATGGTGGTGGGTGCCTGTAGTCCCAGCTACTCAGGAGGTTGAGGCAGGAGAATGGTGTGAACACAGGAGGTGGAGCTTGCACTGAGCTGAGATCACACCACTGCACTCCAGCCTGGGAAATAGAGCGAGACTCTATCTCAAAAAATAAAATAAAATAAAATAATAAAATAAAATAAAATAAAATAAAATAACTTCCCTTCCACAGAAAGAGCCAGTCCAATTATCCCAATCCACACAGATCTCTCCCTTTTCTGAAATCTTTAGTTAGTGCTACGTGAGTTATTACAAGATCCCTCTCATTTCCCTTGTGTATATTTTCTTTATTCAACTTGATTTATAGCCATGAGCATATGGGATATGTATTATACTTTTCTCTAACCATTCTTAGCAAATGTCCAACAAATATAACTACTAAAAGGAAGCTGTAGTAAGAAAGAACACTGGGTTAGTGATTTGGAAACTTGTTTTTTGTTCCAGCATTGCTACTAACCAACTATGTGATTTGGGGAAAGCTACCTAACTCTCAAAGATTATTTTCCCATCTGCCAAAATGACCATGCTTTAGCAATGGACTTCTAAGACCTTTCCCAAAGTTATAACTATACTCTCATGAATTGATTAAACATTTGAAGAAAAAGGAAGTTGCCAAGAAAGACCCACCCCAGACCTGAGTTGCTTAACATCTGAGTGTTCTGAGAATGGAGGCTGAGTGTGAAACCTATGAATGAGGATCAAGAGACAGCGCAGTCAGTTAGGGCATATTATTGAGTTTCCATAAAGCCTTAAACATCACTGGGCCAAGGAATGCCTCTGATTCCTTAGGGAAGGACTAAAACAACTTCAGGAGCAAAGGGAACCAGGTTCTTTCTGTTCCTCAACTACAGACCTTTACTGGATCAGACTACAACAGCAGGTCTTCCCACTGCTAAGATCTGAACTCAGCCACCCCAGGGGAGTCACAGAAGGAGACTTCCAGGTGCCCCAGGAGGTAACTTGGCTTCGAGGATCAAACTCACGCACTTCTGTCTTTCTTTCCCTCTGGACTCTTGTCAAAGACTAGACTCCATCAGTGAGGCTGAAATGTACATAAAAATATGATTTATGCTATTGTAAGACTGGTCAGGCTGGAGAGGCCTCTGACTCTAAATGGGGGTCCTAGGAGCTACTTGCTGTCCATATCACAGTTATTTGACAACAGGGAATCAAGTGATGGGCTAGATTTCTTCCTCAAGGCTTTCCCTGTGCTCACTGTAGAATCCCTAAAGAGTGAGTGGCATAGATGGTCCACCCTGTGCCCTGCCAATTTGCTTCTGCTCAGAGAGGTCCATGCCTCTCAAATCATTTTGCATGAAGACCAACTTCCTCTGCTTAGCCATCGCCAATTTCAGTCATAGGCAAGTCTTCCACAGACTCTCCACAGTTTCCTGGCTTGATGGATTTAGACTTAAAAAACATAACAGTATTTATTCATGTAATAAGTAGACTTTTATTTCTGCAAAGAATGAAAACATATAGTATATACTGTTTTATAAGGTAATTTAAAATTTAATAATATATTGTAATCATTTCTTTATGCCAATAAATATGGAACTCTGGCGTCAATGTCTTCTCTTCCATCCTCCACTATAACTTCATTCTTGTTCAGGGAGTATGGTCCTCCAAATATTTGAAAAAGTAAATTCTGCCGTTGGCCCCTTTACTCTCTTCCTGTCTTTGTTCAGTAATGAACCATCTAGTACTCCATCTTCTCAACCAAGCACTGGTGATGAGGTTTCATGCATTTAGGAAAAGTGCATGGATTCTTCTGATGAGAACAACAGATGCCCATCTCTTCCCAGAAATCTAGAACCAATAGTGGGGACTTATCAAAAACAATCAGAGAAGCTGAATTTGTATGTTCTCTGTACTTATTAAACAGAACTCAAATGAAAGTTTTCTTTAATGTTTCTTCTTTTGTCTTGGGTAGTAAGTGGGACAGGCTGTTTTGTAATGCAGTCTCAAGGGTTGGTCCATTCTGTCATTAAACTTGCTATTTCCTTCTGCTCACCTCTCTACCCAGATGACATGTCACTTTGACATAGTTCCCTCCTTTCTACTTTTCCAAGTACAGCCTGTGTTTTAGGACCAACTAGTGGGGTATGTGCCCTGGGGGTGCCCATGACCTCCAGCCTATAGGGGTGGCTCCTCTTCAGTCCTCAAGGATTTCCCTTCCTGAGCTTCTGTGGTGCCTGCTGTCTGCTTTATGTTCATGTTAGCACCCTCTCTCCTCCACACTTCCAATATTGTGCACAGTGTTTTTTTGTTACAATCCTGCAAAACAGGTTTTTAAAGTTATGGTCTGTAGTTGCCATTTTACAGCTTCTTAAACATGGATCATTTCTATCCAACAATTTGAAGAAGTGACACCATGCCCTTGAAAGGTATTGTTTTATTTGAGTCAGATATAATATTGCTAAAATATATGCTATCCCTAGAGACTGGCTATATTGTGAATTTTCCCTGTAAATGTCTAGCTTCCATCCTTAATTCCCAGGCTAGGGCTCCTTGGGTTCAATGACATAACTTCCAGAAGAAATGCTGGTGCAGTAGCTAGGTGATTTACATATAATCTCTCCCTCTGGGACTCTCTTTTAGGAGGGTGAGTTTGTGAGTTTCTTACATGTAATGAGTGGCCTTCAGTCCAAGCAGACTTGCTATAAACAGTGAACTCTTTCTTACTTGGATGGTGTTGTGTATTTGTCAATGCTCTTTCATGCCTATTGTTTCAGATCTTCACGACACCTTTGTGGGAAAGGCAGGGCAGTTATTTTAATCCCCATCTGACAGATGAGGAGAGCGAAGCCCTGAGAGATCTTATGGCTTTCCTAAGATCACATCATTGGCAGCCAAAGCTAGAACCTGATGCCAGGATCTCCTGCTTGCCCTGTCCTCTTGGTAACACACACAAGGATGCTCTGATAGCCACCACTGTTTCCTCACATCCGTTTCTTCCCAAATATAGTCACATTTCTGATCCCATTTAATTCTCACAAGAGCCCTGGGAGAAACTCCTGGGTTGGGGTTATCTGAGTCATTATTTCCAACCTATAGAAACAAACACTGGGACTTAAGGGACTTTCCTGGTCACACATTGATCAGTGAATGGGGTGGGACAGAACTCAGTTCCCAGACCCTCCAGCTGGAACTTTGACACCTCTGTGCACACACACACCATGTACCTCAGATGTTGGTCTGCCTGCACCCAATAATTTGAAGTAGAAAGCATGACTGTCAGGAGGAACTTCAGGGTGGTCTTCAAGGGAAACACTGGCATCCAAATGAACCCATTGCTTGGTACTTAGTGACAGGCAGGTGTGCAAATGTGTAAGTGTGTGGTCCCATGGAAAGAACCAGGTGGGGAGGCCTTGGGCACAGAGCCAGGGTGAGAGCCAGGCCTCCTGATTTCCAGGAGAGTCCTTTTTTTTTTCCCTTTCTTTTCTAACCCTACTAATAGAAGAATTCAACAGCTTTCTCCATGAAGAAAAATTAAGTGAATATCAGATCAGGGGTTTCATTTCCCTCATGACAAACACAAAGAATTATTCCACATTCTTCCAGTGAAAGGGGGTGAGGTGTCCATTTTCCTGCTACTTATGTTCCTCAGCAGGTATGTCGGAATGACTGGGTCACTGTTAACTGGGTCAAATAAGCCAGTCTCAACTCAGCCAATACAAATATTTCCCCAACTCTATGTTGAGAAAAGATGAAAAAAATTGGCATCTGAAGAGGTGAAAGGAGGTGGTGGCAATGCAATCATTCCCTGAGGGAAAAGAGCAGATGGATGTATTTCCTGCTGCAATAGGTGGTCCAGAATTGGCCGAGAAGGGGCTTCCTAACACACACTCACATGACCAATGCAGGTTCCCAGAGGCAGAACCAGGAACCTGGGACAATACTCTGCTTCTCTTACAAAATGCCCAATTTTGTTCAAGGGCTGGTTTTCCATTAAGCGTGTATGTATGTGTGTGTGTGTGTGTGTGTGTGTGTGTGTGTGTATGTATGTATATATGTATATGTGTGTATATATATGTATATGTATGTATATATGTATATAGATATATAGTATATATATGTGTATATATATAGTACATATATGTGTGTATATATATACTATATATATGTGTGTATACACACACACACACACACACATGCTGATCTCATTCGGCTCTGCTTGTGTTATCAGGGATAAAACATACAAGGGTGTGCTCTGCTTGGACATCACTTTTTAAATAAACAAACAAACAGGTACCATATGACTAGTTAATGTAAAGCACAGAGAGGACCACCGCTGAAGGAGGCATGTCTTCTGCCTTCAGGAAAACCACAATCCAGTTGAAAAATCACGATTACGCACTCGATAAGTTAGATGATTACACGCTTTGTAACTTAGCTCCAAATTCAAGGCTAACAATGACAATAAGTGGCACTCAGCAAGGAACAGAAAGTTTGACTCGGGTAGTCCAGAACAGGGAGAAGCTAAACAGAGGCGGGATAGTTCAGGAAGAATCAGAGGCAGAGGTGGAACTCAAGTTGGGTCTTGACTGCTAGATAAGAGGGGTGGCCATCGATGCCGTGCCAGGGAGATGTGGAGGAGTGAGCAGGAGAGTTGGGTTGGCTCACTTTTCAGAACATAGACTTCCCCTTTGCTCCCAGGGACTTGCTCTCTTTTAATGACAAAAAGGATGTAAGAGAGTTGTGAGTAGTTCAAACATGCCTCACTTCCAGAGAGTATCCCAGGTAATAATGGAGGAGAAGCACCTTTTCTGAAGTCGGGGACAGCACACAGCTTTTCACTCAAATGAAATCCACCCCCTCCCTTTAAAAAAAAATACCCTAGGACTGTTTACCTATCCATGGGAAAGTCATAAAGGAAAATGTAGAAATGGGAATTGCTTTGAGAATCTGTAGAAGGTTGACAGAATATGTGTAAACTAGAAAGTGCTGGACAGCTTACTATTATACCTAGGGGCCTGACTGACACTGAATTCCAGGAGAGACCACGTTACTAGAAGATATTTAAAATACTTTCAGTGAGTCTATTTCATGTGTCCTTAGCAGCAGAGTGAATCTCAGCACAAGCTAGTTCAAATCCTCTCCCAGAGCAGACATGTCTTCCACAGCCATCTCTAGGGCTTGCCATCCCATCTCTGTTTTTGTGACAGCCTGTGCCACTGATGTACTGGCAATTCATCAGGGGGACTAACAGGGACAGAACCAAGGATACAGTTCTCAGGTGGAGGAGCATGCAGAATCATGGTGCTGAGAAGATGGAGAGGAGACAGCACTGGTAGGGTGGATGGCATTCATACATGCTTTGCCTATTTCAAATCAAAACCAAAGCCTGGGACTGGTGCCCTCATCAAATGTTGTTATAGCCATGCCATGTAGAATTAACAATCTTAGAATTGTTACATATCTCTTACATTAATTCTAGGGTTGGAAGGCCATCTTAAAATAAGAGTGGGCTATGGAGGGTCAGCATTTGGATGGAATATTTATTACCATTGCCAGGACCATTTGTCCATGGCATATTTAGAAGCTTCTTATGAAAACTTTTATTCGTGCCTTGAAAATCTCAACTCCTAAAGGGAACTGGATGTGCAGTCAAGACACATTGAGATAAAAGTTAGCTTTGCCATTAGGCAGCCATGTCTGGGATGTGCTTGGTGAAACATGGGTGCTCTAAGAGGGTTTGCTGAATGATTAGGAAACTCAGGGAAAATCTCTTCAGTTTCACCATCTCTAAACCAAGAGAAATAGCCCCCAGCACTCCCAACTGACAGGCCTTCAGCAGGATAAAAATGAGGTAATGGTTTTTAAATATACTTTACAAGTAAAAATTTCTATAGAAATATAAGTGGTTGCTATAGCAAACTTGGAAGTTGGAGTTGGAAAAGGCCTGTGACTAGGAACTAGGAAATTTTGGGTCTTGTCCAGCTCAGCCCATAAACGATAAATCTTGAAAAGTCTCTTACCTTCTTGGAGCTTCAGTGACCTCATTTGTAAACACGTTATAATAGAGTCTGTTTACTTCACAGCATGTTTGAAAGTCAATGGAGATGATTATAAATGGCTCTCCTTTGATGAGCAATGAAAAAGCAAGTGTGGGTGTCCACCTACTCATGCCTGTGCACAGTTGTGATTTTAGAAACAGTTTGCTCCTGGAGAAGTGAAGCCTTGATGGGAAGCCCCTGGGCCTGCTGACCCTACCCCCTTTCTTCCTGCCTTCAGGCATCCACACCATGTGTTTCCCATTAGCTTTGCCTTAGCATCCCCCCTTCCATGTTCTTTGCAATCATTGCTCACCATCTCCCACAGGCACAGTCTCCATAGAACCCCAGAATATGAGCACTGGATGGAGTCTCACTCTACAGAACCAACCCCTTTATACATGAGGATATGGAGGCTCCGAAAAGTCATGTAGCTATTTGATGGCAAAGTTAGAACTGGATCCCAGGTCCAAGTTCATAGTTCTTTTTAGTGTCTGTGATCCCAGGCCTTTTAAACAGTGTACTTCCCAACCCCATTTTATTACAGGAAATCCCATCTTCCCAGAATTCAGCTAGGATCCAGAAGTGATGCTGTTACGTGACGTCTTCAACCTCCCTCCCTCTGCCCATCTCAGGGACCTCTCCAGAAGCCAGTCCCAAGAGTGGCATTGGTTAGCATATCTCAAATACAGTGGGAGAAGCCTCTTAGCTCAGCTCCAGTTATTTCTCTATTGTAGAAAACCAAGAGAGAGATGAATAAGGAATGAAAACATACTCCACATGGACTCAATAAATCTTGGGTGAAATGATGCTGTCTGACAAGGTAAATAAAAAATGCAGCACTCAAGCACCAGCACTGGGGATGAGATGAGGACACACCAATTACCAGCACTTCTGCCTGCTTTGCTTTGTTGACAATAAATATCAAGTTATGTCATCATCTGTGGGTTTTTGTTCCTATTAGTATAGTTGACTAGATATGCTGGATGTCATATTTATGATGTATTTAACAAAATTATTTTTTTAAAAAGATTTTTTTTTATTTGTGACTGTCAAAAAGCTTGATTTCCAGCTCAGAGGTCATCTTTGTCTATGTCCCTTGTCAGTCACATTTTTTACCCAAGCTTCATTGTCTTCACCCATAAAATAGGTGGGATAGGCCAGATGCTCACTAAGGAACCCTCTGGTTAGAATGTTCTGTTGCACCTCCTCTGTTTGTGCATGTTGTCATTAAATAGGACAGCATTTTACAACATTACTGGCCACTCTGAGCCCCTGCAGAAGCTCCTCCACACAGGGGGTCCTGAGCAAAGGGCTCTCCCCAGGACAGGACTATGAACTCGCTGTCAAACTGTCGCAGAGATTTCTCTGTACTTCAGCTACTGCTTCCTGACTATTCATATAACCACCTTTCAGAAGGATATGATAATATAGCATCTTGATTGTAAAACTGCTCATAAAACATTATGGGATTGTGGGAAGTTCGGGTCCCTGTAAGGACGGTGCTGGAATACAACTTGAGCCTGAGCGGAAAATAAATAATGAGCTATTTGAAACCGTCTTCATTCCCCAAATGGAGCAGAGAGAGTGAAAATAAATGGAAATACCATCAATTACTGTTTTTCCCAATGGCAAAGTGATAAGATATTTAAACGATGTGTGACACAATGGAGTGTGAGTTCTAATGGAGGGGCTCCTGTCCTTAACGAGGTAGAAAAGTAAGATAGTGGAAGAAGTGGAAAAGTTAGGAGGGGACAGCAAAAAGAAGCAGAAATTAGCACTGAGGGAGCCGGGCTAAGCCTACATGTGACAGCAGTGTACAAATCGCACTGATGAGGTGTAATTGCCTGTCCTCTAAATGGAGACTCAGAAAGGGAAGACAGAGGACAAGAAGGAGATGAGGAAATGAAAAGCAGAGAGGTGGCCTATAAAAGCTTAGACAGCAACAGCTCTAACTGCCTTTTCTGGGCCATGAAAAGTTCTGGCTCCATTGATGGAGCAGGGGTTCTGGCCGTGGCTCAGTCTTGACATTGGCCTTCTGTCTCTCTGTAGGATCCTCCCCAGAGGCCTCACCTGTCCATGTTTGGGGCCTCTCACAGGCTGCTCTGTGGGTGATTCCTGAATCTGCCCCTCTCCCTGGCTCAGCCGTCTTCTGTCCCTAACCTTCCACTAGTCCTCTCCACGCCTCCCCTTCCACCTCACGCTTAGCCTAAATCTGTGTTCCTCACTTCCTCATGCACCCTGGTTCCCTTTTCCATGTTTTCATACTATATGAGTGGCACCAACTATTTCTTCTAACTCCCTAGACTCAAATTTGCCTCTCTTCTTCTTACCTTCCCTGTCTTACAGCTCCCAAATCCAGTTATTTTTTGCTAGTGAAATCTCTATATTCACAGACCACACCTTTATTGGGACCTTCTCATACCTCATTTTCAAACCACTGTAATAGCTGCTGCAAACAGGCCTTGGATCCAGCTTCTTCCTGCTTGAGAGTACCCAGTGTCCTCTTGCCAGATTGACAGTCTTCCAACACCTCATTAGTCATGCTACTCCCCTGCTCAGAAACCTGCTATAGCTCCCTATTTCTAACAGACAAGACCCTCGGGCCTCTTTGGCCCTACCTTCTCTGAGAGATCACATTTTCAGCTTCTCTTCTCCATGTTGTACTTGCTATTCAACAAATACTCCTATCTTTCCCACTCATTCTCATTTCTGTGGTATAACCTCCTGTCCCATTGGATGTGTCATATTCTATTCAAGTCCAAAGTCAAGACCTCCTCCTCCAGGAAGCCTACCTTGTCTGCTGAAAATAGTGCTGATGCACTTTTGTCCAGGCATGATCATTCAGCGTTGGATTAGTGGCTGATTCACATTGACATTTTAAGGTTTGGGACCAAACATAATTAACTCTTAGGCATTCATCTCTCCATTCTTTGAGGCCTTCAGAGGTCGTGTAGGTCATCCTACATGCTTGGTGAGGAGAGCATTGTGGGTTCACTGGTAGTCTGTGATTGGTCAGCTGCATGGCCAGTGCATTCATTTGCACAGATTTGACTTTTGAGAAAAGGATACAAAGATCAGCCATTACAATGTAAATTTTTGAGGAAATTTAAATTAAGTAAAAATACGGACCAAAAACATCGCCTTAACACATGGCCACATAGCTGATGCTGCTCGTTCTATCTTCAAGATGTTCTGATGAACCCTTAGGTCTAGCACACTCCTCTCTGCTGGTACATGCCACTCATACCTGTTGAAATGCGTGCTTCCCAAGAATCAATTGTGTTTGTTCCCAAACCTTTTTATGCTGGTTGTAGTTATAATTTATTTAAATATTATGCAAAACTGTGAACTATGAATGCAAAGAGGGTTGTTGATTTGACAAAAAAACAAGTTGATTGCTTTGGAAAGAGCCAGTAAATGGGAAATTGATTAAAAAAAAAAAAAGGATCGATGTTAAATAGAATGTGGGTGGGACAACTCTAAGAGATTAGTTAAAAATAATAAAATTCTGCACGTAGATAGCTCATAAAATACATTTTAGGTTCTTGATTCACTTTAAAGAACCCAAAGCTAGATAATGTAAATAATGTATTCTTGGAATGATTTGTGGAGGGAAAGGATGCAGAACTTTAATGAGAAGAAGTTTATTTAAGAAAAAATCAGGCCGGGTGCGGTGGCTCATGTCTGTAATCCCAGCACTTTGGGAGGCTGAGGTGGGCAGATCACGAGGTCAAGAGATTGAGATCATTCTGGCCAACATGGTGAAACCCCATCTCTATTAAAAATACAAAAGTTAGCTAGGCGTGGTGGTGCATGCCTGTAGTCCCACCTACTCGGGAGGTTGAGGCGGGAGAATTTCTTGAACCCGGGAGGCGGAGGTTGCCGTGAGCCAAGATCACACAACTGCACTCCAGCCTGGCAACAGAGTGAGACTCCGTCTCAAAAAAAAAAATAATAATAATAATAAAAATAATTCCACCTGTACCAAACGATTGGCAAATAAGTGCATATTTATAAGTTTAAAATCATGTTTAAAAGAATTTGACCATCCTTTCCTATTATCAACCATTATTCCAGATTATATCAGATTAAAGGAATTCTTTACCACTCAACCTCAGCATGGGTAGAACATTTTCCAGTTTGGGGGCAGAAACAGGGTAGTATCATCTTCTGAATACCAGAACCTGACACATCCACATGTGAGCTGCAAAGATACACCTCTGTGATACTTAACCTCCAAGACATGCCCCCTTCCCACACCATCCTCGTGTGGATCTGTGGATCTTTATTTCCTGGAGTTCACACCTTGTATAATTCTCACTCTCATTGAATCAGGCTGTCCTATGTGATCAATAGAATACACTAGAAGTTATGGTATATGACTTCCAAGGCTGGTTCATAAAGACGTCTTGCTTAGTATCTTGAATAACTCACTCTGAGAGAAGCCAGCCACCATGTTTTGAGGCCACTCAAGCAACCCTGTGGAGAGATTCGGGTGGGGAACTGAGGACTCTTGCCAACAGCCAGCACTAACTTTCCAGCCATGTGAGTGAGCTGCCTTGGAAGTGCATCCTCTAGTCCTGGTCAAGTCCTCAGATGACAGCCATAGCTGACATCTCATGAGAGATCCCAAGCCAGAACTACCTGGCCAAGCTGTTCCCAGATTTGTGACCCATGGAAACTGTGAGAAATATTAAATGACTATTGTTGTTTTAAGCCATTATATTTTGGAACAATCTGTTATGCAGCTTTAGGTAACATGGAATTTCCCAAACAGAGCAGCTATTTCTAAGCAGGGAGAACCGGAGGTGAATCATATTGAGTACTATTAGCAAGAATGCCCACTCTACTGAAAGTGCAAAGGACACACTGATTTTTGTCCTCATTAATTACATAAAATAAAACTGGAGATTTTTTTTTTTTTTTTGAGTTGGAGTCTTCCTCTGTCGCCCAGGCTGGAGTGCAGTGGTGTGATCTCAGCCCACTGCAACCTCTGCCTCCTGGGATCAAGTAATTCTCCTGTCTCAGCCTCCAGAGTCACTGGGATTACAGGCGTGCGCCACCACACCTGACTAATTTTTGTATTTTTAGTACAGGTGGGGTTTCACCACATTGGCCAGGCTGGTCTCGATCTCCTGACCTCAGGTGATCCGCCTGCCTCAGCCTCCCAAAGTGCTGGGATTATAGGCATGAGCCACCACGCCCGACCTGATAAAATGTTTTAAAAGTTCATTTTGAACTGCTTCTGGGACAGAATGACAACACAAAACAAGTTTTCTCAATAGTTTGATATTCAAGAGTAAGGAAGAGTGAAGGGGCATCAGAGAGAGAATCATTTTCCTCCTGTTCATACTTTAAGCCTCACCTACACACATCATACCCCTTAGCAGAATAAAAGGGGCCTGTGAGAAACTTTGGGGATCATCCCAGTCAGGGTGTGCTTTAGGAACCCTGGGTTCCCGGCACAATTCCATGAAGATTCTCCACCACATAGAGTGAATATGTTTCTCTTGTTAGTTTCAAAGGATAGCACTCTTATAATAATAGCAGGCCTAATAGCAGCAATGCTTACTGGCAGGTTGGTCATAGCTTAGTGAGCACTGGTCAGAAACATTTATCACTTTTTTCCTCTTCACAAAACACACATTAAATCTTGAGAAATCAAATGAAGAGACTCTAGCAGTATCTTTGGTGCTTCAGCCTGAACAGCCCAAATATAACCAATTGCATTTTCCTAACCGTCCTCCCCTCTGATTGCTAAGCCATGGATCTGATGCTTGCACCAGGAGTGGACCCTCTCCCCTCCTCTGACACTGCACTTCAAAATCACTACCAAAATGGAGATGCCTTTTTTTTCCTCAGAAGGAAAATAAGAGAAAGCTAGTTGAACAGGGATTAGAGGTAAATCCACCTCCTCAGATGATGAAACAACTTCTAAAATGTCTTCGTTCGTCCTTCTCACCCCAGTCTCATTTAAATTTTCTATCACTTTGATCACATCAATATTTTGCTTAAGAACCTGAAATGACTTTCTGATGCCATCCAAATAAATGCCCAGGCATATTAGGAAGATATTCAAGACCCCTGGTAACCAAGCTTCAAATCTGACCTGAAGGTACCGTTCCAGTTTTATCTCTACTGACGACTCATGGATGTGAACCTGGGTCCTTGACAAATGCTGGCTTTTCTCAGACTCTACCAAACACTCATATGTCTCCTACTTCACTCCTGCTATCCTCTTTCCCTGGAATGCTCTCCTTCCAATCACCAGCCTTCTACACTTTCTTGTAGCTTAGTTGTTTCAACACCACATGCAACAGACGCCCTCTTATGACAATGCCAGAGATGGCTGCCACCTCTAGTGGCACTTCTGTGCCACTCACAAGACATTTGTTTCTTATTAAGAGTGCAGTAACTATCCAGGTTCTTTATGTCTCGTCTCCCTCCAAGCTTGTGAGTACCCAGAGGATAAGAATCAGATTTCTTTTATTGCTGTTCCCCCCACACACCTAGCAGTGTCCTTGGCATTTACAACTACCATAATATGATGAATAAATGAATATTGTTGCTTTTCTAAAACTTATTTTACTGACTCATATATACATTTATTTCAAAGGAAAAGCAACAAAAAGACAAGAGCAGGGATGTGACATGAGATGGATGGTGCTATTTCCCTGAATAGCTGCACCCAAGTCTTCCCACTTAGCTGTTTTTCATCTTCACATCCAATCATTTAGCTTCATTTGATTGGAATGACTACAGGTTCCTCTTATAAAAGAGTGTTAGAAGTTGGCAATATTGGTGGCTTCCTAGAAGGTATGACTAGGTGGGAACTTAAAAAAGTCCTTTCCTCCTTGAATGCATTCTTTAAAAAATATTATTTACTGATTTCTGAAATTCCTCCATTTGAGATTTTTTTTTAAGTAATTATCTTCAGGAGAGGTCACACTTAAGGCAATGACAATTATTATCAACAATAACGATGATAAAAGGTGATATGGTTTGGCTGTGTCCCCACCCAAATCTGCTCTTGAATTTTAGTCCCCATAATCTTCACATGTCATGCAAGGGACCTGGTGGGAGGTAATTGAATTGGGGGCGGTTCCCCCCATGCTGCTATTCTCCTGATAGTGAGTGAGTTCTCAGAAGATCTGATGGCTTTATAAGGAGCTTTTCCCTCTTTGCTTGGCAGTTCTCCTTCCTGCCATCATGTGAAGAAGAATGTGTTTGCTTCCTCTTCTGCCACGATTGTAAGTTTCCTGAGGCTTCCTAAGCCATGCAGAACTGTGAGTCAATTAAATCTCCTTCTTTTATAAATTACCCAGTCTTGGGCAGTTCTTTATAGCAGCGTGAGAATGGACAAATACAAATGGCCTGTAAGAAATAAGGTCTAGGGACCAAGGAAGTTGAAAAAGAAAAGGTAAAAGAAAGGATCACCAAAAAGGGGAAGTGTTAAGATGCTTAAAAAAAACCCCATAATTTGTTGAATTTGCTGAAGCCTGGCTTTATCCCTAGTAGAATTTTGTAAGGTGACTTTTCACAGATCAGAAAACCTCTCTGCTGATAAATAACCAAAATCCTGATATTTTTTAAACCCACCAACCCCTAGCTCTAACATAATTGCCTATGATAGAGAGCCAGCTGTATCCTTGTGATGTAATTATTTTCTTTCTAGGGTCCATCTTGCGGATTTGTGTGGATGTGCACAAGTACCACATGTGTGTACACACACGTGCTCCATAGGCACTGGGACCTCGCTGATCCTTTACACCCCACTCATTTTCCCTCCTCAGATGATACATCAGAAGCACATTGTGATTTCTGGGTGTGTATTAAAACATGATCTATGGAAAATAAATTAACCTAATAAAATATATTCAAATGATCAAATGTCCTATAAAGGTAATTTGAGAGAGGAAAAAACCTGCTGGTTTTGATGGCAGCTTAAAATATCTCTTATTTCTCATAAATAATACGGTAGTTAAATACCCATTTTACTTATATCATGTTAATGAGTTCTAGATGCCATTCCCAAATGCTCATCCTTCTCTCATTAAGCCTTCCCAATAATAGTGACAATAACAATAACAACAATGATCATATACAACAAAGACCAAAGATCACTGGAAAGTTTTCTTCCCCAAAGAGGAATTTTTGAATGGCTGCACTCTGCGCCTTGAATGCATTATGGTTAATTTCAGATTCCGAGGATGATTAACTCTGACTGGTGGAATAAAAGGCCACGACCAATTATTATTCAGAAAAATCCTGCTGTTTAGCCAAAGAGCGTACAGTGCAATCCAGTCCTTGATGTTCCTGTGATAAACGCTCACATGACAAGGTTATTTGGTGTAGAGCAGCCAGAGTGGTTGCTATGGCAACCTGTTCACAATGCTCATAAATCTGAGGTGTAGTTATCCTTGCTGTGTATGCAAAAAAAAAAAAAAAAAGGAAACAAAAAAGGAAACCTACAAAGCCAACTCAAGTGGTTTAATTTACAGTGCTGCCTTAAAAAAAGAAAAAAATAGGCAAATGAATTCTAAGATAATAGACCTCTCCATATTATATTCTTTCACAATACAGGCACTTAGGACTCAAACGCTCTCTTCAACGCCAAAAAGACTTTTAAGATAATCATTATGGTAGAGAATATAGGTCATCATTAGCACCAGGAGTGACAAAAATAAAAGAGGTGGTTAGAAATTCGAGTTTGCCAGCATCAATTGTTTTCCCTTGGCGCAGTTAGCAATGCAAACAGCTGTTGACAGCACATCAGGACAGGTACATCGATGGGGAACAAATGGCTTTTTCAGTCGCTGCTTCCCAGAAATGATGGGCTGTAAGTCTAACAGGCCAAAGGTCAAGCAGACAATGATGAAATATCCCCCACAGACCCAATGTCAGGTGGTTCGATGTTAAGATCGCTGTGATATGGTCTCTCAGCCTTGATTTCAGCTCCACTCAGCCCCATTAGAAATAAGGGCAGCCTATTAAACCAGCAGGTAGCAAGGCTTTTCTCATTTCGGGTATAAGCTCCCTGGCCACCTGGCTTTTTGACCCCCTGTGGTTTATTTCAACCATTATCAGTTTTCTAAATAAAAATTGGGGAACAGTTGAGCCCATTGAAGTGGTAATTCTTTAACACTTGGAAATGTGAGAGCCATTGGCTCTGCAGTCATCAAGAATGACAGAGAAGTCTAATATGATAATGGCCTGGTTCAAATTAAGACTAATATTTGACTTATGCCATCAGATAGTGAAGATGGCTCGATTACAGAGCTTTGATGGGGAAATTCATTATGTCATCAAGTCCCAGGGTATACACACATACTGGGACACTCCAAGAGTACAAGAAATGACACATTTGTTTGAGCAATACAGAAGTGCTCAGTCGTATAAAATTGGAGAGAATGAGGATAGAAACACACCCCCTGACCCCAGGTCTCAATTCTGATCCAAAGCATGTTTCTTTACTAGTCTGCAGTAAAGAGTAACTACAAGACTTGGGGGCTTCCAGCAACCTGCACGAAAGGTCAAGAATATCCTGACCAAGAAATTTTTGGTAGCTACATACCTGGCTCATGTCAGGGTTAGCAAGTATATACACAATTTATAAAAATTTGCTTCACTTAAATTTTCCAGCATGTCTAAAATTCTCAAAATAACCTTTTTGGTTTAAGATACAGCATCTCCTTTAAAAAAGCAGGCACCCTTGTAATTTGGAGAGGTTAAACATGTAGACTTTCATGCAAAGAAGCTGATCGGACTCTGCTGAAAATAAATTAACACACTGGGCACTTAGTATGTGAGGAGCTCTGAAAGGAGAGAAGGGAAGGCTGGGGAATTACAAAAGTTACTTGCCTCTGAGACTATGAGATCCTTGAGGGCATGAACTGTACTTTTCTATATATATATATATATATATATATATATATATATATATTTTTTTTTTTTTTACGCTCGGTGCCTTGCACCGCACCTGGCATGTGAAAAGGCCCACTGTATCCTAGATGAATTGATGCAATTATAAAATTATTTGAAAGAAGACTAACTTTCCTCTGAAAAAGTGGATTGCATGAATGCCCAAATATTCTTTTTTTTTTTAAGTTCTGGATTACATGTGCAGAATGTTCAGTTTTGTTACATAGGTATACACGTACCAAAATATTCTAATTCAGATTCTGTTGGATACATGGATGGATAGGTAGGAAGAGAGAAGAGACTGATGAGAGAGGGAAGAAGGACTTTTCTCCCTTTTAAATTGTTGGGTACTTCAGAAGAGTCCCCTGTTCCCAAACAGTTCATTATTCTAGAATTCCAAAAATCATGGAAGATTCTGAGTGTGCCATTATTATTTAGCTAGGGCCACTTCCCAGCTGAGAATCACCCAAGGTGAGGTTTTAGTTGAACTTCATGCACTGTACCTCAGCTCAGTCCAGCAATTGTGCATGTTGAGTGCCAGGCTTGACATCCATGCCTGGAGTGGCACACTTTTCTCTTGGCCAGGTCAAAGCTCATTCACCACCCATATGATAATAAATCAGAGTTTTCCAAGACTGACTTGCTCCATTTGCAGTAAATAATAAATTATGCAGGTCCTTATTCTCACAATACTCCACAGCAAGGAATGATTCATGTCCCTATTTGGTAATACTGATGTGGACTTTCTTTAATTGAATACTTTTTTTGTACGAGGCACAGGTCTCATTCTTCAAATATAGACCTCCACGTGATTTTCTTTTTTTTTTACGCTCTATTAGTATACCTGTGGGGGTTTTCACTCACATAATATTTACCTGTATGATCTCATTTGATCTTCACAAAACACCTAACAAGCAGGCACTATGGTTACCTTATTTTATACGTGAGATAACTGTGGCTTAGGTACCAAGTTAAGTACTTTTCCTAAAGTCATACAGCTAGCATGATAAGTTAGTAGAAATGGGATCCAAACTGTTGCTTCAGAACTCCACACATTAACTACCATGGCTCAGCACTGGCAGAAAGAGAATTTCTGATCAACTTGCCAAACAACAATGCTGGAGCTCAAGAAGCCATGTTTCGTAAGACAGTGGAATTTCAAATCTACAATGTTGCCATGACCTTATAATTCTGACTGCTCCTTCTTAAGCAGGGAGAGGAAAGAGTGCCACACTGAAAGTCAGGAACTAGGGTCTGAGTCCAGATGAGGAGAAAGAAGAAAGAAAACGGAGCTGAAGAATGCCAAAATAGTATCACTGCTTGAATATATTAGTTTTAACTCAAGCACTCTTTGATGGAACCACCTTCATTGGCCTCCTCATCATATTGCAACACAACCCTACAAGTATCTCTACAATTTTACTGTCTCAGCAGGAGGCCCTATTGCTTAAAAGAAAAAAAGTCCTTTTCTGGATGTAGAAACAATTGAGTTTCTTGTTACTAAAGGGAGGAGATTCTCCGCAACAAATTTGCTTAAGAAAACCTCCCGATGCCCTTTCTCTGTAGATCTGTAGATAACATGATAGCATTAGATAACATAAGCTACTCTGTGTAATTATCTTTTTATACATAAGCATTGGCTCCCCTCCTGGACCATAAGCTTCTTTCGGATGGACCCTAGGTTCTATTTGTCTTTATCTTCTCCCTAATGATTGACAAAAAGCATTTCAGAAAAACAACAGTAATGAAAAACGGACAACCTTAAGATGGTTTCTGATTTCAAGAAACCAGATTCTTTGAAAACAAATCTGGTCCCCGCACTTTTGCTTTCTCTTGAAAAACCAGAAGATCTGGTGACACTTGTCCCAAATTCTTGCATGGAGATGAGCAGTAGCTATTCCCTTCAGTTAGGGCTTGCCACACTTCCACCCTGTCACCTCCACTTACTTAGACCACCTGCCTGGCCATATGAGCATTTGGTTGTGAGAACCCCACAACAAAGAGGTGAGAAACAGGAAAGGGCAAGTCCCTATGACTCAGCCTTACAGCATTCTTCTACCATCTCAGGGGTGGCTGCTGTGATACAGCTCATCCACCATGATGTGTGCTAGTGACTTCTGTCCCACTTGAGTACACTTTATCTATCTTACTGTTTACCCCCAGAGAGAAGGGGTCCTCATGGCAAGAATATTTCAAGGGACTGAGGAGAAGCAGATGATTCCTCTGGGGGGTGAGGTTCTGGGCTGGCTCTAGAAGTGATGATGAAAGCAGGCACATGAGCCCTTGCTCCTGTGAAAGTCCCCAGTTTGAGCCAAGAATATCAGCCAACCTGGCAGGACCACAGGTTGCATTTAGGAATATAAGTTAGAAGACCTGAAACTTTCCTGTTTTCTCTCTTCTCAGTTCTAGTGACTGCTAATTTACTAGTTATTAGGTCAAAGAGTTAAGCAATGAAAAGCACGGTGAACAAAAATACCTATGGGAGGTACACTGATTTCCCAGGATAAAACATTGTTCACTGTGGAAAAAAATCCCCACAATACTATGACCTTGTAAAATCTCCCAGCAAAGCTGTCACCCCATGAATAAGACCTTGGCCTTACTCTGCAATCTTCATTCAGTTGTTCAGCAGCTTATGCCAGGCAAGTCTTGAGGCAGTGGGAGATGCAACAGCAAACTAACAACAACAAAATACTTGGTTCCTGCTTTTAGGGGCATATGCTTCATTTGGGGAGACAGATACTGATTAAATAAGTGCCAGGATGGAAGGAGAAAGGAATCCTATGGACGGATTCAGACTTTTTCTTGGTTGGGAGTGCATGTGTTCATGGAGGAGAGGGTGTCTCCAGGGAAAGCTTCCTTGAAATACTGGAGTTTCAGGATACTGGCTGATACTGACTCAATCATCCATGACATCTGTTCTGGTGCTCTTCACAGAGTAGGTGCTGCGGACCTTTGTACCAGGGGATCCCACCAAGACCACCATATTAACTGCTCCTCATCTCTAAGGTCAAGCATCTCATCTTCTGGTGGCTTTATCTGACATTCACTGTTCTTCCCTGGCTGAGTGGTCCTCAGTGGCCTTCCCATATTTTCCTCTCAGCTCACTACACATGTGGTAATTGTAAGCCAAGGACTTATCATCTTTATTACCTGTGCATCGGAAACTGGGTGTATGTTTTGGGTGAATGTTGAGTGGATAGCGATCTAGAAGAAAAGAGAGATGGCACGGTTTGCACTTTGGGTGGCTTGAGGGAGCTGAATCTGTGTGATATGGGGAAGACTCAAATCTGTTTTGTGCTCACAAAGGTGAAAAACGATATCCCTTCACTGTGCTTCTGTTGTATAATTTCCTTCACTAGAGTTTTTAACAAAATAAAGTTTTATTTCTAAGGCTAATTCCTTTGTGTCCTAAGACTGAGTTGATGAGATTCCATTTATCTTAATAAAAGCAAAGGAACTAATTTAAATTAGCAATTTCTGGTGAGATTACCAGGCTAAATACAAAAGCACTGGATAAATTTACACATTAAGCTCCTGTGTAGTCCATGTCTAGCACTTAATCACACACACACACATAGCACACAGAGTCAGTTCTCAATGTTTGCAATCATTATGTTTTATAAAGTTGCTGCAAACACTGAATTAGTGAATTCTGAACTATTGCTCGTAAGGGAATACAGGGTTAGGTTCCTGCAAGCTTCTTATCACATCATTGTTGCCAATCAATACATAATCTTGCTTTATGTGTGTTTCTGTTTAAAGTATAAGAGTGTAGTTAAAGTATAAGAAAAATAGAACCTAGGGTCCATCTGAAAGAAGTTTATGGTCCTGGATGGGGAGCTAATGCTTATGTATAAACAGATAATTATACACAGTAGCTTGTGTTATCTAATGCTATCACGTCATCTACAGATCTACAGAGAAAGGGCACTGGGAGGTTTTCTTAAGCGAGGAAGTCTGCCAATGCAAGAAGGCAGAGCATAGCTTTATTTATCTCAGCTGGAAATGTGCACATCAGGTGACTCAAAGTTTTCACCACTCTGCACATGTCTGTGGAAACACTGGATTATTGATTTGGGGGTCACAAATACATTTTAGGGAGTAGGCTAATTTGTAAATATGGAATCCACAAACAATGATGATCAACTGTATATATAATATAGAGAAATACACCTGTATACTTAAGTATATTCCTCAGTGCTGTAGCTGGCTGTAGTGAGTGCCCAATAAACAGTTTTTACATAAATAAGATTTGTTATTCAATATAGTAGAAAAATAAAACATTTTAAGAGAGAGTTTATATATATATCATATGAGGTTAGGCAGTAACGCATATTTAGTAGTAAATGCTACTAAACCTAATTTAATTTTTTGATAATGCACCTCATAGATTTATATTAAGACCATCCCAAATGACCTGCCCATGAAAGTTTATGAAGTTTGCTTAAAGTAAAACAAGTTATCTAGAACAAGAGTCCCTGACCCCTGGGTCATAGACTGGTACTGGTCTGTGGCCTGTTAGAAACCGGACCACACAGCAGAAGATGAGCGGCGGGCAAGTGAGTGAAGCTTCATCTGTATTGACAGCCACTCCCCATCACTTGCATTACCACCTGAGCTCCGCCTCCTGTCAGATCAGCAGCGGCATTAGATTCTCATAGGAGCGTGAGCCCTGTTGTGAACTGTGCATGGGAGGGCTCCAGGTTGTGTGCTCCTTATGAGAATCTAATTCCTGATGATCTGTCACTGTCTCCCATCACCACCCGCTGCCCCCCAGCATAGGACCAACTAGTTACAGGAAAACAAGCTTAGGGATCCCACTGATTCTACATTACGGTGAATTGTATAATTATTTCAATATATATCACAATGTAATAATAATAGAAATAAAGTACACAATAAATGTAATGTGCTTGAATCATCCTAAAACCACCCTCCAACCCCGGTCTGTGGAAAAATTATCTTCCACACAACCAGTCCCTGATGCCTAAAAGGTTGTGGACTGTTGCTCTAGAATATACTCCTCATGCTGATTTAGAATAAAACAAAAGCACAAATCATTTTTTACTTGATCTTTTTGCTTCTTCATTTTCATCTAAGGACCATCCTGTAAACTGTCTTCTGGGAAAGGGGTGGGTAGGAGGAAAGCTCCCCAGGAGGCTCAGTGGTTGGGTTGATTTTGAGAGGGGAAATGTCGTCTTGTGAAACTTTACGGTTTTCTGTTTTATTTTCACTATCAAAGTTATAAAAGGGTTTAATAATACTTTGGGGAGTGAAGAATTATGGATGCCAAAAGGTTTGCTAATAAATATCTTGCTTTATATTTAGAAAAATACAGACTCAAGAATGAAGATTACGGTAGGCAGAGAAGAAGGGAAGGAAGGTAGAGAGATGACGGAGTAGCCGTAGGCATTGACATGACCCCCAGAACCAATTTTCAGTGGCCCAGGGTGAAAATAATAAAAACAAGAATAGTAGCTCACACATACATCACACTCTCTTGCTCTCATCTAAAATATCTTGCTTAGTACTCATAACAGCTCCTTGCAGTAGATTATGTCTACATTTTAAGAATGAGAACCTGGAGACTCAGATGCATTTGTTGACTTCTAGGATCTCAATTCTAGCAGCAGAGTAGAAAGCAGGACTTGTCAGTCCAAGTCCAGGGCTCTTCTACTTCTCCTTGGGGGGCTGCAACTGGACAGCTGGAGCTCTCAGACAAATGTTTGACACACAGAAGTTAAAAGGTATGTGAACGGTCCAAGAAACTGAGCCAATCCCAGATTGCATTTTGTTAAGTTCACAGGCTCAGAGCATTGGTTAATAAAACGACTGTTGTGCTCAATGTACACCTCTCATTTTTAAGATAAGAAATTCAAGGCCCAGAGAGGTAAAGTAATATACACAAAGTCACACAGCTAGTTGGTCATAGAACCTGGTCTTGAACTCATGTATCCATATTCTGGGTCCTCTTTTTGTCAGCCTTACATTATTTCTACTCTCATCACACTCTTTTTCTCACACTTTCAACAGCTTCAACAATTTTGAATTTTCACGATGTAGTTTCAAATACATGGTGTGGGGAAATCCTCTCTGTGGTCCACAGATAAGAATTGCAGACTTCCCCGCTGTATTAATTAATGGCCTCATTAATCCACATTTAACTGTTCAATTAAATGTTTAATGTAACACTTAGAGGTGCCATCAATTACCACGTGAGAAGCAACTCTTGGAGATCCCAGGCTGGAAGCTGCTATGTACATGTGCAAAATTGCTGTCATTCAGACACACCATGTCATCTCATGGTACTCTATTCAGGGAAGGTGTGTTACAGTTCCAGCTTCACTCAGGGTGGATTAAATCAGTGTGTTGGAGAAGAATTGAATTAAATGCTTTGCTGTAATGACTCACATCCTCACAAGTACCACTCATTAATTGTAGGTGCTACATGACATGAATGTTCTAGGGGATAGCAAATATAATATTTTGAATGCTTTTCTTTCCCAGAATTACCCCAGAGAGAGAGAAAAATGATCTCAGTGGTGGTTACTGAAAACATATGCCAGCTTGATTTCCCCAGCAATGATATGAACAGTGAAGAACAAAGCATTTGTACCTCAGCTCAAAGAAAGGCGGCCCGATTTCCACCAAATGGATTTCAACCTGACTTAGGTATTACAGGCATACCTTGTTTGATTGCACTTCACAGATATTACATTGTTTGCAAATTGAAGGTTTGTGGCAACCCTGCCTTGAACAAGTCTGCTGGCACCATTTTTTTCCAACAGCATGCACTCACTTCATGTCTCTGTGTTACAGTTTGGTAATTATTACAATATTCCAGACTGTTCCATTACCATTATATCTGTTATGGTGATCTGTGATCAGTGATCTTTGATATTACTGTTGTAATTGTTTGGAAGTGCCATGAACAGCACCCAAATAGGATTGTGAACTTAATTGATAAATGTTGTGTGTGTTCTGGCTGCTCCACTGATGGCCATTTCCTCACCTCTCTCTCTCCTTGGCCTCCTTAATCCCTGAGATACAACAGTATTGAAATTAGGCCAATTAAGGACCCTACAATGGCCTCTAAGTATTCAAGTAAAATAGAGTTATATGCCTCTCACTTTAAATAAACAGCTAGACATGATTAAGTTTTTGAGGATGGCGTGTCAAAGGCCAAGACAGGCTGAAAGCTAGGATTCTTGAGCCAGTTAGCCAAGTTGTAAATGCAAAGGAAAAGTTCTTGAAGGACATTAAAGATGCTACTCCAGTGAACCCACGAATGATAAGAAAGCAAAACATTCTTATTGCTGATATGAAGAAAGTTTGAGAGGTCTAGATAGAAGATCAACCCAGCCACAACATTCCCTTAAGCTGAAGCCTAATCCAGAGAAAAGCTCTAACACTTCAATTCTATGAAAGCTGAGAAAGGTGAGGAAACTTCAGAGGAAAAGTTTGAAGCTAGAAGAGGTTAGGTCATGAGGCTTAAGAAAAACTGTCTCCATAGTATTAAAGTGCAAGGTAAAGCAGCAAGTGCTGACGCAGAAGCTGCAGCATATTTTCCAGAAGATCTAGCCAAGATCATTGATGAAGGTGGATACACTAAACAACAGATTTTCATGGTAATGAAACAGCCTTATATTGGGAGAAGATGCCATCTAGGACTTTCATAGCTCAGGAGGAGAAGTCAATGTCTGGCTTCAAAGCTTCAAAGGACAGGGTGACTCTCTTGTTAGGGGCTAATGCAGCTGATGAATTTCAATGGAAGCCAATGCTCATTTACCACTGTGAAAATCCCAGGGCCCTTAAGAATTATGCTAAATCAACTATGCCTATGCTCTATCAGTGGAACTACAAAGCCTAAATGATAGCTCATCTGTTTACGTTATGGTTGAATGAATATTTTAAGCCCACTGTTGAGACTTACTGCTCAGAAAAAAAAAAGATTACTTTCAAAATATTATTGCTTATTAACAATGTATCTAGTCACTCAAGAACTCTGATGGAGATGTACAAGGAGATTAATATTGTTTCCATGCCAACAATGGATGTTGTGTTAGTAGGGATGGATACAATATTATGGATCAAGGAGTTATGGATCAAGGAGTAATTGTGACTTTCAAGTTTTATTATTTAAGAAATATGTTTGGTAAAGCTATAGCTTCCACAGATAGTGATTCCTCTGTTGGATCTGGGCAAAGTAAAAAAAAACCTTCTGGAGAGGATTCACTGTTCTAGATGCCATTAAGAACATTTATGATTCATGGGAAGAGGCCAAAATTACAACATTAACAGGTGTTTGGAGGACATTGATTCAAACTCTTATGGATGACTTTGAGGAGTTCAAGACTTTAGTGGAGGAAGTTACTGCAGATGTGGTAGAATTGTAACAGAACTAGAATTAGAAGTGGAGACTGAAGATGTGACTGAATTGCTGCAATCTCATGATCAAATTTTAACAAATGAGGAGTTGCTTCTTATGAATGAGAAAAGAAAGTGGTTCCTTGAGATGGAATCTACTCCTAGTGGAGATACTGTGAACATAGTTGAAATGACAGTAAAGGATTTAGAATATTTCATAAACTTAGTTAATAAAGCAGTGGCAGGGTTTTAGAGAATTGGCTCCAATTTTGAAAGAAGTTCTACTGTGAGTGAAATACTATCAAATAGCATCACATACTGTAGAAAAATTCTCTTATGAGAACAACAGTCTATTGATACAGCAAAGTTCACTGTTGTCTTATTTTAAGAAACTTACATGTCCACCTCAACCTTCAGCAACCATCAACATTGAGGCAAGACCATCTACCAGTAAAAAAAATTACAACTCGCTGAAGCTTAGATGACTGTTAGCATTTTTTTTTTTTTTTTTTCGAGATGGAGTCTCCCTGTCGCACAGGCTGGAGTGCAGTGGCGAGATTTCAGCTCACTGCAACCTCCATCTTCTGGGTTCAAGCAATTCTCCTGCCTCAGCCTCCCCAGTAGCTGGGATTACAGGTGTGTGCCACAATGCCCAGCTAATTTTTTTGTATTTTTACTAGAGACAGGGTTTCACCATGAGGCTGGTCTCAAACTCCTGATCTCAAAAGATCCACCTGCCTCGGCCTCCCAAAGCGCTGGAATTACAGGCAAGAGCCACCACACCCGGCCAATTGATAGCATGATTTAGCAATAAAGTATTTTTAAATTAAGGTATGTACATCTTTTTTTAAGACACAATGCTATTGCACACTTAATAGACTACAATATAGTATAATATAACTTTCATATGCACTGGGAAACCAAGCACTTCAGGCGACTTGCTTTAATGTGATACTCACTTTATTGTGGTCACCTGGAACAATTTTGGTTCCTCTGTTCCTCCTGCTGACTTCTGTTTCAGCACTAAGCACACGGAGACTCCTGACTGAGGTACATAGTGCCTAGATTCTCCTTTTGTTTCAATCCTTTGCTACTTGAACCTCTCCTGGCTTAGTTTGCCAACTTGCTCTGTTCTTTTCCCTGTGCTTTTTGGATATCAGAACTCCAAAGATGGTCCCCAGTCTTCTTTTGTCTTTTGTTCTTGGAGCTGTTCCCTCCACATTCTCAGACGGCTCTCCTGCCCTGGGGAGTGTTCTGCAACTTCCCAGACTCTGTCTAGAAAATGACTGGAGGGCTTCTTTCAAGGTAAGCACGTTACCATGGAGTTGCAAAATGCCACAACTAGTAGGGACATGGATCTTCTAATTTAGAATTTTTCAAGTTACATGCTGGAGAGCCCTAGAAGTTCCATGTGGAAGTGCCTTGAGGACTTTGCACCTCAGGGCAGTGCTGGTGGCACTGAGAACAAGGCTGAATAAGGAGCCCTCTTCACCCTCAAACACTGCAACCCTGCTTTGTTCTGTTTTATATACTGGGCCTCTGTGCAAGATTTTGTTCCAATGCTGAGAAAACAAGATTGACAAACACCAATCCAGTTGTACTTTCTCCACACACAGAAGACTGGTTAAAGCATAAAGAGGAAAGTGACCTTCCCAAGGACACTCTGCTCATCAGTGACCAGATCAAGTGGAACTCCAGTTTCAGGCTTCTTTCCATTATACCAGTGGTTCCCACCCTGGAAGCCCTGGAGAGCATCACAGAAATATCTGGGGTCTGTCCTTGAGAGACTGACTCACTAGCGATGGGGGTATGTGCCTTGGGAAGATGTGATAATATTTTGAATCATAAGTTTCTCAGGAGATTCTGATAGATTTGAGAATTATTGCATTATGCCATCTAACCTTCAAGCTTCCCATTCTAGCAGGTATGAAGTAACATAAGGGAGACACTTCATTACTAATGGGAAGAAGGAAGGAAAGGGGGGAAGTCAGGAGTCATTCAAATTCCCTGAGCCCTCAAGACCATTAATTGTCTTACACAGGTGGGTACTGCAGTGGCGTTTGATTTATGGATCAAAAATATAGCCTTACTATTACATAATACAAAAATTTCTATCATAGTACATTAGGCTCGTTAATCCATAGTATACCTGGCATTGTGCTAGACAGTAAGAACCCAAGGATAAATGAGTTATCCCATAACTAAAGGAGGGAGACAGACAAGTTTATGGACACATATAACACTGAGGTAAGGTTCAGATGGAAAGCAATGGGAGCCCAGAAAGTGGGAGAACCTCTCAAATTGGGAAGAGGTAATAGAGTTTTAATGCCCAAACTCAGTTAACCAGCTAAAGATGGGTTCCTTCCAGGCAGTGGGAACAGTGTGATAAAAGACACAAATGCATGGAAAAGCTTTAGGTATTCTGAAAGCTGCAAGATGCTTGGTGTGGACAGAGATATAGGGAGAAAGGAGTCATTGCCAAAATGGGAGGTGCTGGAAGGGTTGAATACAGTCAAGTCACAGAAGTGCTTGTCCTTTATCTTACGGGTGATGAGGAGTCACTGAGGCATCTTAAGCAGGGGAGCTAGGTGATGCAATCTGACTCATAGAATGTCCACTCATTTATTCATTCATTCATTCATTCATTCATCACTGATTAAATTGTTACTCTGTGCCAGAACCTGTTTCTGATACTGGGGATAGAAAGAAGAATAGATACAGCATTTTTTTTTTCCCCAGAGTTACAGGGTGAATTAGGCCAAGACCATGAACTAGGCCATGGAGCATCCAATTAAGTCCTGCCTGTTGCCATGCTCCATCTGTGCCACTGCACAAGCCCTCCAGCCAGCTCACATGAGGAGGAGTGGCCAGGCAGGCAGTACACTCAGAGGCAACCCAAAGCAAAAGTCTGAGAGGCACCACTGTGTCCATGGCCCACAGCGATGGAGCACCATTGTTGTCTCTAAGCAATTATTGCTATTACTAGCTTAAAAATTTTAAATGAGGTTCTATGGTAGAATTAAATTATTATTCCATGTTATGGACTAAATTTTGTGCTCTTAAAATTCCTGTATTGAAGCCCTAATCCCCAGTGTGACTGTATCTGAAGATAGAGCCTTTAAGGAGGTAATTAATGAGGTCATAAGGGTGGACCCCTAATCTGATAGGACTGGTGTCTTTATAAGAAGAGGAAAAGCCACCAAAGATCTATCTCTCCTCATGCACAGAAGAAAGAACATACGAGGACATGGTGAGAAGGCAGCTATCTGAAAGCCGAGAAGGGAGTCTTCACCAGAAACTAACCCTGTTGGGACCTTAATCTTGGATTTCCAGCCTCAGAACTGTGAGAAAATAAAATTTTGTTGTTTAAGCCACCCAGTCTGTAATAATTTGTTAAGGCAGCTCTAGCAGATCAGTACATCCTGTTAGGTGATACTGAAGTGCCTTACTAATAATAAGATGGTATTTAACAACTGGAAGTTGAGGTAGAACATTCCTAGTAGTGTGCACAGGCATGACGAAGCTTTAGTCACCACTCTCTGAAATGATTCATACCTGTGATAGAAACTGAATTTCATTTAAGATGATTAAGTCTTGCTACAGCTTCACTATTCTAGATTCATCCAAGAGATCTGACTCTGGTCTCAACTCTGTCACTAACTAGCTGTGCCAACTCCTCCCAGTAATTCAGATTCTTTTCTTATAAACCAAAATGGCAGGTGGGGTTGGGGTGGAGGGGAGTGGCTAAATCCTCACAAAGTCCTTTAGAGTGCCAAGGCACAATGATTTTATGATTCTTTTCCTTCTAGTCTCCTGGATAGATATTTCAATGTTGACAAGATCTACTGGGACATTCGCCAGATAAACACACAAATGGTATAGTTATCTAGAAGTGGCCCACTTGCAATAAACCTGATTAGGAAAAGAAATGGACAATTAATTTCAGGCAAACAATAAAAATGTATGAAAATTAAAGATGTAGAGTAATAATGACAGCGATGAGGGCTGGCTCTGCCTTTATTAGCGTCTTTTGTGTTCTTTTATGAAACGTCTATTATCGGCGAACTGGCTGATTATTCTCTCATAATTACTTCATACGGAATAATTAAATAAAATGCAGACAATAATCTTTTATAGACAATTACAAAGAGAAACTTTTTTTTGCAGGAGGAAAGGAAGGGAGGGGTGCTGGGTGAGAAGGCTGGAATATGATTCCTCATTCCTGGACTTTCTGGGGGTTCCCCTGACAGTGCCCAGTTCTCTATTAAGACCTCCAAAGGAACTGTGGGCCTCTGTCTTACGTGCTCAGTACCCGTATCATCACTTCTTTGGCTAGAGGGGGATTTGGCTTCCTGGTAGGAGGGGAAGCTTCGGCAGATTTTACAAAGCAACTCTTAATCCAAATATTCACCTCTAAAGCCTTGTTCTTTGTCTTTGGCCATCTGGGGATGTCAACGCAGTTACCTTAACAGGGTCTGAAGCAGACAGGTCCAGATTTAACTCCCTCTTATTTAAACTATAATCTGGGAATGATTACTGACATATACCTCTTCCTCATCAAGCATATCTAATGTATCACCAGTGGTCTTAGGGAGTGTATCTCCAGAATATTTCCTACATCTTCTACCATTACGTTACTGCCACCACCATAGTTGACCCTCCTCCTCTCAGGCCCCTGAAACAACTTCTGTATAAGTATCCCTACTAAATTTTTTGCCCCAAATAATTATTTCTCCATTTAGTAAATAGTGCAATATTTGAAAAACGTAAGATAGATTAGGCCACTTTTGTGTTTGAAATCTTACAGGGACTTCCTTTTGCACTTATAATGAAATGCACCAAATTCTTTTGCTGAGCTGCAAAGCTCTGCCCTCATTTCCATCACTCTCCCATCCTCAGCCATCAGCTTCAGCCTCCTGACATTTCCAGCATGGCTGTGGCATTCTTAATCTTAGGGCCATTATGCATACTCCCCCTTTGCTTTTTCTTGGCTACTTTCTATGTTATCTTTCAGATTCATTAATGATGACAAGGATTTTCATTTGTTTTAGTCACCTAAAATAGTCCCTACCCTCATGGCACCTATTGTTTTGGGTGGGGGAGCATAATAAAGTAAATATATGAAAATATTCATAACATTATGTGCTGATAGTGATAGAAACAAATTAAAGCTGGAAAGAGAGATGTACTGTGGTGAGGGATGATGTCAGTGGTTGTAATTTTAAATAGTGTAAACAGGAAAGGCCTCATAAGGTGACATTTTAATGAAGACCTAACAGAAATGAGGAGTGAGCTCAGTCAACTGAGATCTTCCAAGCAGCAACACCCTAGAGGTTCTGAGTACACCTATCACCCAGATCTTAGCTTCTAAAGGCCCTTGCTCACTGAAAAGAACAAGGGATCCTTGGGAAATGGCTGACTACAGAGCTAAGGCAGAGAAAGTACAATTCAAATAAATTACTTAAAGAATGAGACAGCCAGATGAAAAGGACACAGGAGGAAGTTCGAAGGGGCTCCTTCTGGCCAAATCTAGGACACGTCCGAGCATCAAAGCAAATAATGATAGAAACAAGTTATGATCCATTGAATAAAAGGGAAATCCATGAGTAAGCATTGATATAAACAAACAAATGAATTAAAAACATGGGGAGAAAATAAAGCTCTTACCTACAGCAGAATGACAATAACTGTAGAAGGAATGATGGAATTAGAAAATTATCATTTGGCAACTATCATAATAATAATTAACTCAGGCAAGAAACATTGATGGATAATAAAACTAGTGGGTGACAGTGGGGTTAATGGAAGAGATCTCAAAGTATCTCCACAGAAAATATTTAGTAAGTGCAAAGGGGAAAATTAACTTTAATATAAGTGGAGAAAGTGGAAGATGCCACCTAAATCAACCGATCAAAGATACTATCAACATGAATGGGACAAACTAATATTTCTTGTCACCTTAGAGAATACCAATGAGAAGAACACAGCATTACTTCTGGAATATTTCTGACTGAAATCCATAACCTGGGTCTAATTATGAGAAAGGGTTGGGTCAACCCAAGTTGAGGGATATTCTACAAAATGACTGCCTTGTAATCGCAAAACACATCAAGAGTAGGAGACTCAAGTAAAGAGTGAAGGACTGTTTGAGATTGAGGGAAATCAGAGAGATGTGACAACTAACTATAATCCATGATTCTGAATTGGTCTCTTTTGCTGTAAAAAAACATCAATGGAGCATTTAGTGTAACTTGATTGGGGTCTCTGTGTGAGGAGTGTACGATATGTCCTTATCCTGTTCTTGCAACTTTTTTTGTAAGTTTGAACTTGTCTCAAATAATATTACACTTAAAAAAGTATACTCTAAACTTCCATGCTTTAACAATTGCCAGTGACAAGCTCCCTGGAACACAAATTGCAACTGCCTGTGATATGGCCATGAGTGGTGATAAGACAGTTCATTGCCTCACGTCTGAAGGACCTTTGGGGCCACAGCCAAGTGTGATGAGGATGAGGAAGAAGAAAAGAAGGAAGAGGGGGTTGATGGGGTGGCTTTGTCCCTTGGCTCTTGGTACTAACTCTCATTTGCAAATTCCTCTCCAGGAATAGTAGCATGATCAGAACCCTTTTAACTCCAAATGTAATCTCACCAGTTGTCTTCCTGTGTGGTTGGCAGTGTGTGGGTGGCAGCAAATAGAAGAAAGATCTGAAAAAGTAGAAAGAAATAGATACAAATGGAAAAAAACATCCCACCATAATATGTATTCTTCCTTCTCCCCCTACAACCCTAAAACAGAATAATAAAAGGGAAAAAAATCAGCCACTACCAGGAAATTTCCCAGGTTCTTGTGGGCCAAGGAGAAGGCAAGCAAAGTAGCATTTCACCCACATGACCTTCTTATCAATGGACCCCAGCTAGACTGCCTACATCCAGAATATTTATAAGGCTCTAGGAAGGTGTTCAGAACTGGAGACAAACTCAAACCCTGCCTCTTAGAGAAGTGTGGCAGTGGCTTCAAGGGCTGCATTCCTTCTGTGGGCTCAAGTGCCCACAATCTCACGCTCAGCACTGCAAGCTTGCCTCTTGAAGCACCTCAACTAAGGCCTAGGGAATGTGCCCAGTTGCCTAAAGTCCAAGGTTATCTTTAAAATCTGGAATGGTAGTTTGCTCTACCAGGTGTAGCATAAACTCAGAAGCCAGACTGCCTGGGTTCAAATTCTGACTCCAGCTCTCATCATCTGTGTGAACATGCGTTAGTTTCTTAACCTCTTTCTGCCTCAGTGTTCTCATCTCAATATTGGGGGCAATCATAGAATTTACTTCTTGAGATTGTTGTGAGGATGAAATGAGATGGAACTTAGCATCCAATAAGTGTCATTATACTATTTCTTTTTGGGCTAAGTATTTTTTATTTTGGTAAAAAACACATAATTTACCATTTTAATGTTTAAATGTTCGTTCGATGACATAAAGTATGTGTACGTTGTTGTGCAATCATTACTACCACCTATCTCCAGAACTTTTTCATCATCCTAAACTGATAGTCTGTACACATCGAACAATTACTATTTATTCTCTCTCTACACTTCCAGCTTCTGGCAACCACCATTCTACTTTCTGTCTCTGTGAGTTTGCGTGCTCTAAGTGCCCTAAGTTGGTTGGGTGGAGAGAGAATGAGAGAATGAATCATATAGCACTTATCCTTTTGGGGTTGACTGGCTTATTTCACTTAGCATAATGTCCTCAAGGTTAATCCAGGTTGCAGCGCGTGTCAGAGTTTCATTCCTTATTGTGGCTGAATACTATTTTATTATATGTATATAACCACAATTTGTTTATCCATTCATCTGTCAATTGAACATTTGGGTGGTTTCTATCCTTAAGCTATTATGAGTAATGCTGCCATAAACATTGGTGTACAAATATCTCCCTGAATCCCTGCTTTTAATTCTTTTGATTTTACTATTGTTTCATGCAAAACCTCTGCCTGCCCAATCCCTGCTGCTTTCTGATAATAACCTTGTCTGACTCCTGAGACAGCCTGGAAATAGTGCTGCCATCTTGTTTCCCTCAGGAATCTTAGCTTTCATTGTTTGATTTTGGTAGGAAATTAACAACTATCCTTGATCTCAGCCACACACTCAATGCTGAGAAAAAGGAAGAAGAGAAGTTGATGAAAAGGACAAGAGCTTTAGACTCAGAAAGAACACCATGAGAACCCTGGTTCTTTTATCTTAAGCTGTGTGGGCCTTGCCTCATTCATTTAGTCCCTCTGAGTCTCAGTTTTCCCATATATAAAGTAATTTCTATACATAAATATCGACTTTTTTTGTAAAAATTAACTGAGATTATATGTGTAAATTCCTGGCTTATAGTTGTCCCTCAATAAATATTACTTCCTAACCTCCTTGCTAGGATTAATGCAAAAAAGTGATGTAAACTGGCAGTTTCGTTATTTATTTATTTATTTATATCATAATCACATCATTACTCATACTTGAGGGCTTGTCATGGGCTGGGCACTGAACTAAGTTTTTTACATAATTTATTAAATTTTCTCGGTATCTCTTTGAAAAGGTAGGTACTATTGTTATCTCTAATGTGGAAACTATGACTTAGAGAGATTCATTATTTTGCTCAAATTTCCATAGCTAGTAAGTGGCAGAGTCAGGATTCAAATAAAGCAGGTTAACTCAAAAAGCAACTGCAACAAAAGCAAAAATTGACAAGAGGGATCTAATTAAACTTAAGAGCTTCTGCACAGCCAAAGAAACTATCAACAGCGTAAACAGACAACCTACAGAATGGGAGAAAATATTTGCAAACTATGCATCTGACAAAGGTCTAATATCCAACATCTATAAGGAACTAAACAAATTTACTAGAGAAAAACAAACAACCTCATTAAAAAGTGGGCAAAGGACATGAACAGACACTTTTCAAAGGAAGACATACATTCAGCCAACAAACATATGAAAAGAAAGTTCAACATCACTGAGCATTAGACAAATGCAAGTCAAAACCACACTGAGAAACCATCTCACACCAGTTAGAATGGTTACTATTAAAAAGTCAATAAAATCACAGATGTGGTCAAAGTTGTAGAGGAAAGGGAATACATATGGTGTTGGTGGAAGTGTAAATTACTTCAACCATTGTGGAAAGCAGTATGGCAATTCCTCAAAGAGCTACAAGCAGAACTACCATTCAACCCAGCAATCTCACTACTGGGTATATATCAGAGGAATATAAATCATTCTGCCATAAAGTCACATGCACATAAATGTTCATTGCTGCACTATTCACAATAGCAAAACACAGAATCAACCTAAATGCCCGTCAATGACAGACTGGATAAAGAAAATGTGGTACATAAACACCAAGGAATACTATGTCACCATAAAAAGAATGAGATCATGTCTTTTGTGGAAACATGGGTGGAGCTGGAGGCTAATACATTTAGCAAACTAAGGCAGGAACAGAAAACCAAATTCCACATTTATCACTTATAAGTGGGGGCTAAATGATGAGAACTCATGAACACAAAGGGAACAACAGACTCTGGGGTCTACTTGAGGGTGGAGGGTGGGAGGAAGGGGAGGAGCAGAAAAGGGAACTATTGGGTACTGGGCTTAATACCTGGGTGATGGAATAATCTATACAACAAACCCCCATGACACGAGGTTACCTATGTAACAAACCTTTGCATGTACCCCCGAACCTAAAATAAAAGTTAAAAAAAAAGAGGGAAAAAAGAGGGAAAAAAGAAAAAAAACAAAAACAAAAAAAAACCAGGTTGACTCCCAAGCTGTATTCATTACTTTCACACTCGAATACCTCTACAAATAAAGAAACAAATAAATGGAAAACCCCCCAAAATAAAAAATCATAGAAAGTGACAGAAAAGGGGAAGAATTTTGACATTTTTAAGTATGTGTTGACAAGTGGGGGAGCAATGTGGATAGTATAGTTGGGTGAATATGTATCTGAGTAAATGATTGACATAGGAGTATATGTTAACAGACCATTACAAAGATGGAGAAAAGTCTATAATAGAGTTCCATGGGACTCTGCCCTGGACATGCTCAGCAGTTTTATTTTACCAATAGCTTGTATGAAGTCATAGAAAGGATTGTGGGATCACACAGATCTGGGAAGACTAGCTATTGGATGACAAATAAGTCTCAGTATATGACAAAGATGAAGAATAAACAATATGCATTTTAATCAGGATAAACATAAAGATCTGAACTCAGGTAAAAAGAAAACTGCACAACTGGAATATGGATAAACTGATTTGCTAGAAGTTAAATGAAAAAAAGATTAAGAATGATTCATTTGACCAAAAAGGTTTTATACTCCAGTTGTGGGATATGCTAGCCAAACACCATATATTCCCTTAAGCCCTGCAATTAGTAGTATAGTGTTCAGGCAAAGATGAAGACCATTGCATTGATTTGATCACACCTGAAACGATGTGTTCAGTGCTAAGAGTCCTTCCCAAAGAAGGGCCTGAACAAACCAGTGTTTATATGGGTGAGGGCAGAGAGAATAGTTAGGGTGAAAAGAAATCTGAAAGGCACATCCCTCATGACCTGTTGTTGAGGTGGCCAAACCCCAGAGAAAAACTATTTAGCTTGGAGAGAAGATTTATAGGGACATAATGGGGTGGCAGTCCTGGCATACAGTAAGGGCAGGGCTCTGAGTGGGTGGGTAAAGTCTGTTATTTTTCTCTAACTGGCTTTGTGATTTGAGAAAGCCACCTTCTAAGTCTCATTTTTTTCATCTGTAAAACAAAACAAAAAAAAAGTTTGGATTAGATAAATGCTTTCTTTTTTATTATGTGGTAAAAACCCCACATATTAAAAAATCTACCTTCTTAACAAATTTGTCTGTGTACAGAACAGTTTTGTTAACTATATGCACCTTGTTGTGAAGCAGATCTCTAGAACTTTTTCATCTTGCATGACTGATATTCTATACCCATTGAACAGCAACTCCCATTCTACTCAGCCTCCAAATGGAGGCTTCCTCCAGACTCTGACAACCACCACTCTTCTTTCTGCTTCTCAGAGTTTGAATACTTTAGATAACTCATATAAATGGAATCACATAATGTTTGTCCTTCTGTGGCTGGCTTCTTTCATTTAGCATGTCTATAAAGCTCATCCATATTATAGCCTATGACAGGATTTTCTACTTTTTTAAAGCCAAGTAATATTCCATTGTATGTATATAACATTTTCCAAAAATCCATTCATCCATTGATGGACATTTAGGTTGTTTCCATCTCTTGGCTATTGTGAATAATGTTGCAATAAACATGAAAGCAAAAATATATTTTCAAGATCCTGATCTCAATTCTTTTTGGTCAGTACCCACCTGATTTCAATTCTTTTTGGCCAGTACCCACCTGATTTCAATTCTTTTTGGTAAGTACCCAAAAGTGTGATTGCTGGATCATATGGCAGGACTATCTTAATTTTTTTGAGGAGCCTGCATACTGATTTTCACAGTGACCGCACCATTTTACATTCCTACCAACAGTGAACAAGAGTTCCAATTTCAGCAAAGTAAACAATCAACAGAGTGAAAAAGCAACCTACAGAATGGGAGAAAATATTTGCAAACCATATATCTGATAAGAAGTTAATATCAAAAATACATAAGAAACTCCTACAACTCAACAACAACAACAAAAAACCCAAATAACTAGATTAAAAAATGGGCAAAAGCCTTGAATGGACATTTCTCTAAAGAAGACATAGAAATAGCCAACATGTATATGAAAATATACTCCATATCACTAATCATCAGGGAAACGCAAATCAAAATCACAGCACCTGACACCTGTTAGCATGGATGGCCATTATTTTTAAAAATAGACAATTTCTTAAAAGTTAATTTTTACTTTTATATTCTGTGACTCCAAAATTTAAAGTAACCAAAGCACTTCGAGTTTCAAAGAAAGCTACAAATTTCATATATATTTAATTTGTTGTGAAGCCTGATGGCTGGATTCAGAGTCTGTCTATTTTCAATTTACATACGATTTTAAGGAGCATGATTCTGTGATTTCCTGCACCCTAACAGATTATATAAAGGCAATTAAAAGGGTATAAGGATGTCCAAAGTAGTGAACTGATGACAATTCAAAGTGACTGCTGACAGCTTGATATACAAGAGAAGAATGAGAAAAACATAGAGGTGAGGATTGAAAGAATTTAATTTTGCAAACAATTGATTGGTCCCATGTAATACTTGGACTAACGAAAGTATCATTGCATCACAGTACAGCAAAGTAATCAATGTTCATAATATTTCTGGTTTCTTTAAGAGGGCAAATAAAATCCTGAGTTGCCCTAAGAGGGCAAACCTGAATGAATTCAGACCATCTGAAGGACAGAGTGGAGAGGGGTTAGGACCTTGGAGCCATTTAGACCTGAATCTGGATCCCATCTCCATCACTTACTAATGATGACGACTCAGGTGTCTGTTTCCTCTTCTGTGAAATAAGGATGATGATACCATAGAGGGATTTGGGGAGGATTTCAGAGAATCAGAGTCCCATATGTATATCCCATAGTGAGAACTCAGTGAGTGTTGGCTGCTGCTCTGAAAAGGGTAAGTCACTGGTAGAAAAATGGTAATTGTTGTGCATCCAGCCTGCAAAGCAGGCCAGAGCTATCCAAGAAGGAATGGGGAAGAGCAAGCAAGGTGCTTCCCCATATGGAGAAGGCCAATCCAGACTGGATGAACTGGGTCCACTCCTAGTGCTTGCGTTACTCTCAAGAGCTTCCAGCTCCCTCCCACCTTCTTGGGATAGTGATCTTTCAAAGGTTTTTGAGTATTTCCATGTGCCAGGCTTTGGGTTTCCATGATGCACAGGGATAATTTATGGTCACAATCCTTTCTGTAGAGAAAAATGAACTGGAACATGTTATCCTATTGAAGCAACTGAGGTGTCATGTCTCCCAGGAGTACATACACGTTATAAACTTGGGCTGGAGAGGACAAGGCTTTGATCAAGGGAATGAATCAACCACTGGCAAAAATTCAGGCATGGATTGACAGAGGGGGATGAGGCGTGTTTAGGCATTTGGGTCTTCCTGGACTCTTCTAAGTCACATCACTTCCCTATTCACACTCAGCTCCCAACATTTTATATACATATATCCTATTTTATTCATGCATCTTTTATTTTTATCTCTCTTAGATAATAAAACGTAAGCTCCTTTGGGATAAGCTTTTTGTCTTTCTGTTCACTACTGTAACAACATCCAGAACTCTACTGGAGACTTTTCTCCCTCTTTATAGTGGTCCACCAACCTATACTCTAAGGTCAATCACTTATTCAGATATAAAGTGTATAGTCATCTGAAATATTGGTTGTGATCATAGGCATAAAGTTAACTCTAAAAGCATATTAACAGATAAAACTGACATTAAACAATATGATCACATAAGGTATAAGGGGAGACGTTGAGAGTGGACAGGGAGTCCAGTCAAATTATTTTTTTGTAGAAAGAATGCTGAAGGAGCCTATGAAGAAAAACCTTTTCATGCTTTATCTTCATTTACTAAGAACTTACCACTTTGTTAAAAAGAACATAGATTAATTCACATTATTAGACAACAAATGTGCTCTTAAAACAAGTTAATTCCAACAATTTAAAGATTGAACTTCCTAGTTGTATATGTATTTTATTTCAAAGTGGGAATTTTAAATGACATATTTTTGCACTAAATATAGGTATATATGTATAGATGTTCAGATATAAAGTGTATAGTTACACAAAATGATAGCTTATTTTACCATTTTAGATAAGTGAAATCTTGATGTAAGCATGGTATATAACATCTAAAGCAAATAGCCATTTTAGCTAAAAATCTTTTAAAAATATGCTATTACATTCTGACCTGTTTTAAACAGAGCTATGGTGAAGGCTGGGTGAATATTATGTGCACTGATTACCATGCTGCACTGTGAGGGCAATGAGGCTTTCATTGGCCCAAGTATTCCATAAGCCCAGTTGACTATGTTTTAAAAATTCTCCTCCTTTCAAATATTTAGCAGTAAAAACTCACATAGATCAAACAAAATCAAACCCTTAGATACACAGTACAAAACCAGGCAAGCATAGGGGAGAAGCATGTGTGTTGGGGAGACCTCAGCAGCTGTCCTGAGGTTCTCTGGGGGGCCACAGTGGCCTTGGGTAGTTTGAGTGTCTTTCACTTTGCCCACTCCAAGGAGGTAATGCAGCACAGGGGTGAGGATTCTGAAGTGCTGATTCTGCTTTCACTACTTTCTGCGTGTCCCAGGACAAGTTATTAAACTTCTCTAGACATTGCTTACCTCATCTCTAAAACAGGTATAACAATATTGAGTGTCTCTGGACATAGGCATGGGCAAGGACTTCATGTCTAAAATACCAAAAGCAATGGCAACAAAAGCCAGAATTGACAAGTGGGATCTAATTAAACCAAAGAGCTTCTGCACAGCAAAAGAAACCACCATCAGAGTGAACAGGCAACCCACAAAATGGGAGAAAATGTTTGCAATCTACTCATCTGACAAACGGCTAGTATCCAGAATCTACAATGAACTCAAACAAATGTACAAGAAATAAACAAACAACCCCATCAAAAAGTGGGCGAAGGATATGAACAGACACTTCTCAAAAGAAGACATTTATACAGCCAAAAGACACATGAAAAAATGCTCATCATCACTGGCCATCAGAGAGATGCAAATCAAAACCACAATGAGATACCATCTCACACCAGTTAGAATGGTGATCATTAAAAAGTCAGGAAACAACAGGTGCTGGAGAGGATGTGGAGAAATAGGAACACTTTTACACTGTTGGTGGGACTGTAAACTAGTTCAACCATTGTGGAAGTCAGTGGGGCGATTCCTCAGGGATCTAGAACTAGAAATACCATTTGACCCAGCCATCCCATTACTGGGTATATACCCAAAGGATTATAAATCATGCTGCTTTAAAGACACATGCATACGTATGTTTATTGCGGCACTATTCACAATAGCAAAGACTTGGAACTAAGCCAAATGTCCAACAATGATAGACTGGATTAAGAAAGTGTGGCACATATACACCATGGAATACTATGCAGCCATAAAAAATGATGAGTTCATGTACTTTGTAGGGACATGGATGAAGCTGGAAACCATCATTCTCAGCAAACTATCTCAGGGACAAAAAACCAAACACCACATGTTCTCATAGGTGGGAATTGAACAATGAGAACACATGGACACAGGAAGGGGAACATCACACACCAGGGCCTGTTGTGGGGTGGGTGGAGGGGGGAGGGAGAGCATTAGGAGATATACCTAATGTTAAATGACGAGTTAATGGATGCAGCACACCAACATGGCACATGTATACATCTGTAACAAACCTGCACATTGTGCACATGTACCCTAAAACTTAAAGTATAATAAAAAAACATAAAACATCATAAATACTTACAGTGAAAATGATGTGTCTGTATTAAAATAAATGTGCTGATTACTAGCAACTTAAAAAGAAATAATTTTATGGCAAAACAACAACAACAATATTGAGTGTCTCACCTGGTTATTGTGAGCATTATACGATCTGGGTGAAAGGTGCGCAGCTTGGTGCCTGGCTCCAGCAGCCATTGCATGACAGGTAGCAATTGTGATCATTCCCTTTAGATTTTTCAGACCTGACCATCCCATCTGAAATTGTACCCCTTCCGTATTCACCCTCACCTCCTAACACTTTATATATACCCTCTCTTATGTGTGCATCTTTTATTATTCTCTCAGGTAATAAAATATAGGCTCCATTAGGATAAGATTTTTGTGTCTCTGTTTACTAGCAGAACAATATCTGGTACTTATTAGGTGCTCAGTGAATATTTGTTTAATGATAAATGAATAAATTCACCTACTAGGGCGTGGGGCAGACAACACTGGTAAACAGCACAGTGGAGCACCATTTCTACCATAAAGCTTAGCATATGGGAAGATCACTCAGTTTACCCTGAGTGTCCCATTCTTGGAGCCCTACAAGCACTGAGGAAGTGATTAGATACTCCTGAGATTGTTCACTGGTTGCTTCATGAAGCCCAGTGACAAGATGGTGCTCAGGACCAGAGGAAGCAGGACAAATGAAGGTCTCCTGTTGGTACCACCTGGACATATCAGAGCCAGTCTCAGAACTTGGTTTTCTCCCAGTGCTCGTGTCGATTTTTGTCCTGTCTGCAGCCTTGCGTGCAGGCAGAATAAGCATTCCCTATGTTCTGCAGTTCCAGGGCCTATGGCAAAGCCTTTTCAGCCTCTCAAATTCTCCCCCAAATACCAACGAGATTTTAACTTTATATTTTTAGGGCAGTTTTAGGTTCACTTTTCATTTTATTTATTTGGAGCAGTTTTAGGTTTCATTCTAGCAAAATTGAGAGGAAGGAGGAAGGTACAGAGATATCCCAATGGGACTTTTACGTGCTACAGTTACATTCTCGAAGATTAAAGTTTGGATATCCATCAAAATGCAAAGATCTTTTTTCAGGGTCAACGTTTTTACTCCTTACAGTGGGTGTGGGATTTAATTCACAGATATTTTGGAGTGGGGGTGAGTGTGGGACAAGAGGAGAGAAATAGGGTAGAGAGACCCATCAAGTTCATGTCAGACTTTAACTATTTTCTTATTTTGCCTAAGCCTATATTGCCTCTGGCACCTGTAAGCAAATATTCTCAAATATAAAGCACCTTTTAGCTCTTTAGTTGAACAACTCTTTAAGAACCTTTGGTAGAAAATTCCTAAAATGTCACACTTTTTAACCTATTAACTTAATCCAAGAAAGAAAGAAGGCTGGTTGAAGTTGATTTGGGATCCTGAAGTAACTATAAGAATAATGCTTTTTATACTGCAAGAATGGTCAGCTCTTGATTATGAGAAAATAGTATGACTTGATGAATAATGAGACAATCCTTTTGGAAAAGCCTCATTTGACCACTGGATTGACCATTACTTTTGGAGAGAGAGAGCTATGTTACTTGGCTCCAAAAATGATGTAGATGGATTCTGTAGTCCATATTTATGAGATAGAGAAATTATAGAGCATCAAACCAATAAGCAAATTTAGTCAGGAAAACAAGTCGCAAACTTGTCTTGCAATTAGCACATGTTCCATCCCATCACTCAAGCTGTGAGCTTCCATAGCCAGCCCAATAGCTGGTCAGAAAGGTGCTTTTTATCACCAGCACATAATCTCAAAATGGTCAGTTTTCTCTACATACCAGGGCTTGCACAGGTGTCATACATTTTATGAAAATTTACATCAAAATGATTTGAAATCAAAAGGTTTTGCCTCTCAAAGGGTTAATGCAAATTCTCATCCATGCCAGATTACTGTCTCTATTTTTATGCACATATTTATATATGAATATTTAACTTCTATTTTCCCTTATTTATTCAATATTTTAAAATCTTCACTAGATGCTAGCCCATCAATGTGCCTTCTTTGAAGAAGCCAATCCACATTTGGAAGCATAATTCCTTTGCTTTATCATCCTATCACTCACAAATGCGTATTTGTGTGCACCTGTGGCCTTCAGCGACCTCCTGTCTTCATAGGTCACATTGAGGAGCTTGTGAAGAGTTTGTACCTCTTCTTCATGCAAGTGCCAATATGCCCTTCTGTCTAGTTGGTATCTGGGATGAGAAACATGGAGTGGAATTCCTATTCTTAAGTGTTCTCTTGGGGAATATAAGGGCGGGTGGCAGAGAGAAAGGATTAGAGATTCAGCATCTCAATATATAAAAATCTTCAACCCCAGGTATTCGCAATCTTGGGGCACTGAAGAGAACAGACGAAAAATAGCCCTAGATACCAGGAAGGGTATCTAGGAATGGAAGATGCTATCCAACCAGCCTATGCCCTGTCTTTTATTATAAGAGCTCTTGCTGTCAAGAGCTGAGGAGTGAAATTGTTTTCCAGCCACAGTAAAGCAAGACTTCATTTCAGGTGCCTGGTTTATTTAAGATATGAGCAGCCGGGCGCGGTGGCTCATGCCTGTAATCCCAGCACTTTGGGAGGCCAAGGCAGGTGGATCACGAGGTCAGGAGATCGAGACTAACCTGGCTAACATGGTGAGACCCCATCTCTACTAAAAATACAAAAAATTAGCCGGGCGTGTTGGCAGGCACCTGTAGGGAGGCTGAGGCAGGAGAATGGCGTGAACCCAGGAGGCGGAGCTTGCAGTGAGCCGAGATCTCGCCACTGCACTCCAGCCTGGGCACACAGTGAGACTCCGTCTCAAAAAAAAAAAAAAAAAAAAAAAAAAAAAAGATATGAGCAAGGTGAGCTTAGGGCAATCCAGGACTTCATCCTCCTTTGAGCCTTCCCAAGCTGTATACAGCCTTTAAATAATGACCTCCTTTGCACATAACCTGACCTCAAAAATGACCTCTTTGCACATAACCTGACCTCATGAGAGATTCCCCCACTTTTCAGTCTGCCCTATGGACAAAGCCTATACCGGCTTTCATGCATTTTTGACAAATAGCCTCAATTTTCTTCCAGCTGTTTCATGTGTAAATGCTGTTTAGTGTGTGAATCAGTTTCCTGAAGGCAAATAATCCTTCTCAGTTGATTGTCATAATAGCTCATACAACTTTCTACATTCGAAGAGACATGATGTGGACATGAGAGAAATAAAGTTCGACCCTGTCCCCAAAGCCATCCCTTCTGACTTGCCCTGAGGATACCTGAAATTTCTACTAGCAGTCATTAAGAAATTTTTGATCTGGATATGTATTTCAAAATATGATATTGATTGAGAGAGATAACATAATTGTGAACTAATATATCCTATCAGTTATTCACCAAAGATTTATAGTGTGCATTTACTGCCTATGAAGCACACTGCTAGGGAGACTTAGAATTAGAGACTGCCCTTGCTTTCCAGGGTGTGGTAACCATCAGTCATTCTCATAAATATCTGTTTCTCCTTACTTGTGGGAGTGACATGGTGATGTGGGAGGGTTACATTTTCTGCCTCCTTGTTTGGGGGGCAGGGCATAGAATTAATTCTGGCTGAGGAGTTGTGGCAAGCTATGGGTTTAATACTTTGAAATACGGGGTTGCTTGACGCTGTAGCAGAACCTTGCCTATTTTGACTGATATAAGTAGCATACCCTTTTAAGACAGAAAAAAGAGATGGCCATACATGGTTGTAACATACAGAAGTTGTAAGGGAGATACAGCAAAATTCTTATGGAGAGAGATTTCCACAATGAGTAGAATATCTGTGAGGGCCCAATGGAAGTAGTAGCAACTGGGCTGAGCCCAGTTTAGAGAAAAAGAGTAACTCAGAAAAGAATACTCCAGAAACAGTTTAAGCCAAGGTCTAGAGGGAGATAAAGTTAATATTCACAGAGTGTCATAGTGAGTAATTCAGACTGAATCACAATTATTCTAATAATAACAAGCTGCCATTTACTGCCTGTGCTCACCATGTGCCTGGTTATGTGCTAAGTGGTTTACACAAATCATCAACATCATCTTCACAACAGCCCTGGGAGGTAGATACTATCAGCATCTCAATTCTACAGTTGAGGAAACTGAGTCTTTTGGAGGTTAATCAACAGTTTGAGGTCCCACAGCCAGTTGGCACTACTGCAGAGGCTCAAATTCCGGCCTGGCCCCAAAGTCTATGCTCTCAACCATGATGTTCTTCTAATTCTGAAAGCAGGGAACTTAGCAGCTGTTGAGTGGAGGAGGAGTCTGCGCTATGTGTTAGCAGGACTCAGTTAATCTGCTAATGCTGGTCTGCCCACAGCCATGGGGCAGGAAGCAAATCTTTTCGGGATGGTACCCAGCCAGGTAGCCATAGTGGAGAACAGAGAGAATCCAGGTACAGAGGGAATGCTTGGGTCCATTAGGGGGCGCCGTGTGCCTTCAGACTACAAGCTTATGGCTGGCTTTGGTTTTGCAAGACCCTCCTGCGGTCTTTGAGTTCTAGAAGATACTGCAGAAATCAGAGTTCCAGCTCCCAAAAAGCCACAAAAACTGAGTTCTTGTACTGGCCTGGCCTTCCCTATCTATGGGTTTTAGAAATGAAATTTCCATGAGACATTTGACCCTTCAGTTTGGGTTTTAAAGCCAGCCAGAAGTAGATTCCAGGTGCAATTTTTGAACCAACTCCAGCTAGACAGATGTAGCTTCTCATCTGGGACTCCTCACTTACCCCAGAATAACTCACCACCATCACTTTCACCTCCATAACTTGGCTTATGCTCTTCTCTCTGCTGATTTGAATCATCCTTGTTCGTCAAACATAGCCCTCGTCTCTGAACCCCACAGCATCTCTTATTTCTGGCCCAAACAACCTTCAAATAGACCCTAAGCTCCTGTGGGCAGTCATTGTGTTTTCTGCTTCACCCACACCCACAGTCCTTAACCCTACCCTGGGGACATGGTGGGGGCTCAGTGAAAGCTTCAGCTGCTTCAAGCCCACTTTATTTCCATCTTTTCTGATGCTATCAACTGACTTAGGTTCTTTCTCTTACTTTTCTATATAACCCCTGGAATACCCTAACATCTGTATTGCCTCATCTGATCCCCTATTCTTTCAAACCGTGTACTTTGAAGGTTTTCAAGTCAGTCCTAATCAATGTCAGTCCAATTTAAATAATACAATAATAATTTTATAGCTGAGACATCTTGAGCAAGTCACTTACACCTCAGTTCTTTCATTTGCAGAATAGGAAGATAGTGGTGGCAACCATGTACTATAATGGGAGAATTAATGAGATATAAAATATTCAGCACCTGACATATATTGAATATTATACGGGTCTTACTAATCTCCTACTCTCCCTCTATTGTGTTTTCAATCCTCTCTAGAAACAACCTGGTTTCTCCTCACTTACTAAATCCATCTCCTCTCTCCTCTGCTCAGTTCTACTTTCTGCTGATTTGAATCCCGTGTCTCAGACCCTGGGAAGAAGGGCTGAGATGTGTTTCTTAGGAAGATTTTGACCCAGAGGGAAACACCTTGCTGTGGAGCTTGCAGCAGCCCAACTCCCTTAGTGTGGGGTCCTGTGATTCCTGCACACTCGAAAGCGTTATCAACCTGCAGGGAATTTGGTAGTGCTAATCAAACATTTGCTGCACGCCACCTGGAAGTGGTGTGTACTTTAAGATAATGTCTGGCTTCGGATTGGATGCTGGTGATTAGAGCAGTAAATCAGCCCCACTTCGCGGTTGCAGGTTTTCTTGGCCCACTTAGTGCATTGGAGCAGATTTCAGTGTGCAGATGTTTTTCAGCTTCCCTTTTCATCTCTGAGGAGGACAATTACAATATCCTGATGTTCTCCCGACATCCAACTATCCCATTTTGTTTCTGCGTTTTAGCTCATCGATGATAAAAGGCAGGAGAAGCTTAAAAGCTCCCTGTTCATCTTTACTTGAAGGTGCCATCATGCTGGAAAGCTGTGTATGGTTTGCAGCTGAGTGGGACCTTGGTTAAGGTCTCACTGAAGTCATAGAGGAACTTTCACATAATTGACAGCAATTGGCTATTTGGATTTACACTCACTTCCCATCTCCCCACAACAATCACACATACACATACCCTCCTGGGTCCTCAGTTTTTTTGTGGCTTTCCACTTGCAACATGAGATGCAAGACAGGTCACCACTGTGGGGGCAATGCGAGGGCAGCCCCTGGACAGCTGGGGGTTGTCGGGGGGAGAGGCACTGAATACCTTTTGGTTGGGGGCGGGGGTAGTTGGCTACATACCATCCAGCAGAGGGCAGCAGTGCCTAACATTAGATCATAAATCCCTTCCTTTACTCAGATTCAGGCTAAGGCAGGTTGGGGGTGACTCAGGGGTGTCCCCTGCAGCCCTAAGAAATTGAGAAATATTTCCCTTATGAGGTGGGTGGGCTTATTCCTACTGAGAAACAAAGAAAATCTTAGAGCCAGGAAGCTCTTTAGGGAGCAAAGTTCTGACCTTTTCATTTTACAGCAAGAGAATTTGTTCATGGATTCCCAGACTGGTCCAGGGAGGGTGCTTTCCACAATGCCATGCTGCTATTCACTTTGAAGGTGAAATCACCAACTGCGGGAGGTGAGCCCAGTTCATAGTAACCAGAGGAGAGGGTCTGTGTGGCCCCCTCACTTGTTCTCACTCCTCCTTTTAATGCAGTGGGTTAGGTCCTAGTGGTTTAAGAGAAAGCACAAAGACTTCTAGTCCTAGCTCTCTCATTTTCACACATATGCCATTTACCTCCAATCTCTATTTTCCTGTGTAGTGCCTATGCTAGCATGTCTTGCATCTAAAAGCAACTCTTTTCCCCTCTGCCCAACCCAGGGACCTTCCTTGACTCTCTAAACTTGTTCATTTTCTGGGGATTTATCCTTGATATTGGTCTTTCTCTTCAAATCCATCCTGAAAATGAATTTCAGATTAACCTCACTCATCCTTCTCACCTCACATCACTGTCAGGGGCTTCTTGGGGGTGCAGGGAAGAGAAAGGAGGGAACCAATGCATTCAGAAGTGGAGGAAATAAAGAAGCCCAGGCAAGCAGAGCCCAGGGCAGCCATGCAAGGTTATTTTTCAGATTGCTCTCCTAGCACATGCCACTGGGATGGTGGTTTAGAAACTGACACATGGAACAACTTGGGGCAAGATTAAGCCTGGGTGGCAGGTCTAATTGGATCCAGAGCATCATGAGGATATGAACACCTGGAGGCCTGTGAGGGGAACCCCAGGAGACAAGGGAGAAGTAGAGAAGGGAAGGGAGGGGAGAGCCTAACACATGTAAATATTGCCTACATGAAAATGTTGAGGGCTATCAGAAAACCTGTAGACAAGACTTTGTACTGGTGAGTGGTTGCTCTGGGTAATCTCTAAGACCATCTAAACAGCCTCTGGGATTCTATGGGCTGAGTGGGTTACTCTGGATAATCTCTAAGACCATCTAAACTCAGCCTTTGGGATTCTATGAGCTTGGTGGAATTCTGAAATGCCTTAGGCTGAAGGAGATTCCATAGGGTCACTAAGTTTCCCACCTGGAGCTGAGCTGTTTTAGTATACAGTAGGCCAGTTGCTTCCATTTTCTGCGCATCACTGAATAGAATCTCCCTGGTGCTTCTGGGAGCTGAATGGGATTATGGGAAAAGCACTGTATTTGAATCAGGAGACCTAGGTCTTGGTCCTGCTTTTCTCGCTAACCCATTCTGTGATCTTGGGAAAGTCATTTTTCTTCTCTGGTTTTTAGTTTGCTTTTCTGTCAAATATAACAGTTGAAATACCTCAGGGCAGGCAAATGTGCAGCACAAATGAAGCCAAGCAGTCTGTTCCCATAGCACATATTGCTGTTAGATGGCAACATTCTTTCCCACTGAACAACACTTAGAATCCTTCTCAACACTGCATTGGAGACAACCAATATCAACCAAATAGAGCTTTTCTTCGAGATTAAAACTACTTACTATTGTTGGACTAGATAATTTTAAACTTGACTTGCAGTTCTAAAGTAAACTCTTCCTCTCCCATATACTGCCCATGAATGGCATGGTCATAGAAAAAAGGGATATCTACAGCTGTTTTCAAAAGAGCTACGTGAAGTAAAAAAGAGACATCTGAAGACATTGGTGTCAATTAGAAGTATTTAGCAAGTGCCTACCAAGTGTCTAGAAGTTTTCTAAGTTCTTTATAGAGAGATTCAGCCTAAGATACAGCTATTTCAGGGACTAATAACAATAGCCTTAAACTCACTTTGATTCATAAGGGCATAGAATTCTTTTCTATAATTCAGGATAGGAAATCCCTTATTCTCCAGGTAACAAAAGTGGGGTGGAGAAAGTTAAGTACTACAGAAGAGTCAGAGAGACATAACCTGGTGGCTAAATGTATTGCAGACCAAGTCATGGAGACTAATGCTAACATACAGGCCTATTTTGCATGAAGTCTTCCCCTATATTTTCAAACAGAATAAAATCCCATTGTCCTTGACCCCCATTATACTGCTCAATAGATTCTGCCATGTACTAACTTTCTGTAAAAGTCTAAGCTCTGTGAAACTAGAGCTTATATTAAGTTCCTCCCTATATGTATTCCCAACATCTAGCACAAGTATTTGTATGGTAAACACACCTGATAGCAATAACTTAAGCATACTCTGAGAATGACCCTATATGGCAGATGCACTGAATGTGTGTATTCAGAGTTCAGAGCTAGAGAATCTGGGAGTGGCCAACCATAAATCCATCCCTTGTCTATGAGTATCATCTGAGCCCCTGGCCTATCCTGTAGAACACAATTGTACAGGAGATTGAGGCCCTGAATATTGGGTTGAATGAAGGTTGCCAGGTAGAAGCTGTTAGGGGGAGGGTGCTAAGCGGAAATGTTATATAAACTGCATGTTTTTTGCAAGCAGTTGTAGTTTTTCAGCCCAGCCCATTGTCCCTGGGTGGTGCAGTTCTCCTGTCCAGCCTGCTACCACTGGACTGCATGTAAAATGGTTCTCCTGTCCAGCCCGCTGCCACTGGACTCTCGCTCCTGCCTGTATGTCCCCCACAAAACCCCATGTCTCATTTGCAGGCTGTGGATCTCTTATTTGGCCTCTCAAACCTGGTGCCACTCACCACCCTGTTCCCCTGCCCCCCAACCCCCGGAGTTGAAGGAGGTTTGGTACAACAAAAAAGTGTTATTCCCAAATGTTACTTGAATTAAGATACAAATTTTGTTCCCAGTCAGTCTATTCCTATGAGGAGCTTATAGTCCATATAATTGGATCAACAAAAACTATGCCCAAGACATCAGCAGAAGAAAGAAAGAAAATATGGACTTAAGTGTAAAAGTCCTCAACTGGCTGAGGTCAGGATCTAGAAGCAAAGGAACTGTGTCAAACCCAGTCCTGTGTCTTTGTGGTTTATGCAGTTTGGGGTGACTGTGGTGAAAAGACCACAGAAAATAAGTTCAAGAGGTCGTCCCTTCTCTGATCCTTAATTTGCTCAACTATAAAATAAGAGGTTTGGTCAAAGATATGTTTGTTTTCCAAATCTAATATCCCATGATGTTTTAATTCAGAGTCTGTAATTATTTATTAACCAAATATAAGCCAGTCATCACTATCAGACTGCATTGTGTGAGATGGTGGATTCAGACTTGCCAGATTCTGCCCTACCAGAGAGCTCAGCTCTAGCTGGTCAGGGAGATAATTCACTAACAAGTGCAGAGTACTGGCTGGCTCCATCTGTGAAGAGGTTTATCAGAAAGGTTCAAGAACAGCTTCCTTGGAGGACTCAAGCTATGAAGCTATAGGTGAGATTTCTGTTCTAAGGGGTGACAGCCTAACAGTGCCCAGGAAAATTCAAGAAAGTCCACAGATCTAGATCCTGGAGACTAGAGCTGGACAAAGGAGCTACATATTTATCAAACAACTTCAGAGTTGACAAAGCATTTCATAAGTGTTGCCACTTTGATCCCCGATAACAAGGCTAAGGGTTGTTATTTATGTTTTCTAGATGAGGTAGCTGAGATTCAAGGTCAACAAGTAGTTAAACAGATTTTTGAGAAAGAGAAAAGAGCAACTTCTAATATCCAAAAGCTGGTCTGGCACTCGCAGCTAGGCCATGTTACTCTCCTATTGGACATAAACAATCTCAAAGTATACAAACCCCCAACTAGGTTACTCTGAGACCAAGACAAAATGAGACAAAGCACAGCCAACTTCATAATTTTGTCTAAACACTGACAAAAACAAGGCCCCTGTGTCACCCTGAAACATCAAACATACCCTCTCTTGGGTAGAATGAATGCATTCCACTTTTTTTACTAGTTGCAGATTCTCATTCTCACTATAGAAATAATTTATTGAGATTGCCAATCATAGACTTGTCTCTACTTTCTGATAGCATTCAATCTTAAGTAAACCTTTATTTCCTTAGACCCTTCCCCATATCACCCATCCAGGGCCCAAATGCTATAATAGGTTCTTTCTAACATTCTCTTACTCAGATGCCCATAATTTCTCATGGTGTGTGCTCTCTATTGCTACAAAGAGTAATAAACCCACCTGGGTCGACTACAGATATTTTCCTGATGGTCTTTGGCTAGTGGGCATTGACAATTTCCATAAGGTTAACTGTGTTTTCATGGTCACACAATTAGTAATGGTTGGTCTTATGATATTTAGCCCCTGGTTCTTTCCAGGACACCAAACCACTGAAAGAAACAAGGCTCACTCTCACTACTATCATAAGACAGAGGCCCAGAAAGTGTTGTGGTGCCATCAAAAGATAGTTAAAAGGTACTAGGGTATAAGAAGAATGAGTCATCTGAAAAATTTCCATTTGAGTCACTATTTTGACTCTTCAAATCCTTTTCAAATCATATGATTCCAGTGGAGCCTTACATTACTCTGGCGAGGAAGGTGGGGTGGGCATTACTGTGCCATTTGGCAGGTGGGATGGAAAGTGATTTACATAGTGTTCCTTAGCTACTCAGGGAAGAATTCCTTTCCTTATCAACCATACCTCTACAGGTCCATGTATGAAATGAAGTACATGCATGACATTCTTTTTGGTCATGGCCAAGTTCTGGGATAACAACAAAATTAGAGGACGGGAGACTCAGTGGGGAGGATTTTATCTAAAATGGTTATGAAAGCTTAAAATAATCCCACACTTGGTGTGAGTTAACAGTGATTCAGCTTTGATAAAAGTTGATGTACTCTTAGGCTTCATTAAAAGGTGGATGGTGTTCATTCACACTGTAGAAAGTGACTATCCAGACTGAGCATTTTAAAGGTATTTCACCCAGATTTGGGAACCTTTTAGAGGATCATGGGTATGTGGAGTGCATTCAGATAAGAGTAATGACTCGGAAGGGTGGTTCTGAAACCAGGTCGAAGGAGGAATGGTTAAGGGAATGGGGGTGGGGAGAGGTAGCTTGCAGAATAGTTCCATGTGGTGCAGATCTGATAGCTGTCTTCAGACATGGGAAAGGCCACACACAGAAGAGAAAATAGACTTTCACTATGTTACATTGGAGGCAGAATTAGGACCAGTGGGCGGAATTTATAAGAAGCCAGCTTTTGGCCCAATATAGGAATTGCCTTTTTAACATAGAAAGCTGTCCAACAATGTAGATGGCAGTAAGCTTATTATTCCTGAGGGAATTTAAGTATAACCTGGAGGATGTTTTGTGAGGGACACTTGAGAGCAGATAGTGTGCCAGATGGATTGTATTCCGTGACACTTGCAGTTGTTCCATCTCTAATGTGTCCTGTTAGGTCACCCCAGGCACTGTTCGGGTTTGGGTAAAAGTAAAAGTGGGGCAGAGAATTCGAGGATTAACAAGATTCAGTCACTTTTCTATGTTGTGTTTTTTATTTGATCATTTACTACCTTGGATTTTAATTTAATTAGCTCTTTCGTCAGGTATCTTTTCACCATAAGGCTGATTTGATCAAAATGCATTGAGCGACCAGGAGCGGTGGCTCACGCCTGTAATCCCAGCACTTCGGGAGGCTGAGACGGGCAGATCACCTAAGGTCAGGGATTCTAGACCCACCTGGCCAACATGGCAAAACCCAGTCCTAAAAAACAAAACAACAACAACAACAACAACAGCAATGATCAGAAACAAAATGCATTGAGCATTTATGTGTTCCAGGACCTGTGAATACCCTGGTAAATAAAACAGACATGTCCCCTCCTCTCATAGAGTTCCACCAAAACCTTAAACATGACAGCAGGAACGGTAATACAAACTAATTTTTTAAGTCTTATGGAGTGTTAGCAAAATGTGGCCCATTAACATGATTACATATGAAAGAATAAATTAGAATTCAGGACAACTGATGTCCAACCCCAAATGCTTTCTGCTGAATCACTTGCCTCTATCATGTCATCTCACAGTTGTAAAGAAAAAACTACTTCCAGACATTTTTGAAGTCAGTTTTCAATAGAGATAGGGGATGGCCATCCAAGCTCAATTCTAAATGTTAACTGTGCTATAACAGCTCATAGATTCTTCTCAAGAAGTAGTTCTCCTAAGATTTTACTCTGGAGACCTCAATAAAAGGAGCTGTCTTCAGACATCTTTACCAGTAATTCAATTCAGTTCAGTTCAATTCAACTCAATTCAATTCTTAATAGGAGCCTTTACACTATGCTAAATACTCCAGAGAATTCAGAAATAAATAAGACCCAGTCCCAAGCCTTAGGAGCTTACTGTAGTTTGGAGCCCATAGATAAATAACTATAAATTCAAAGTAAAGTATCTAAGTGCCTTAGGGGAGAAACAAGGAGATAGAGATTACACTGGTTTCTGGGTTCGAGAAGGAAATGCGATTTCACAGGAATTTTGAAAGATGTGTGCATTTTTTTATGGTGATTGTTGGGGGTAGGATTTTCAAGGAAGATAGATAAACAAGCCACAGAAATGGGAATTTGTGAGATTTCCTTGGAGAGATCCCTGTAATTGGGTGGCTGGTAGGTAGCTGTAGCAAGTAAAGCAGGAAGATGGGACTGTAGAAGACAGAGGATTGGATGACCAGACCAAGGGTTCATTTTAAGTTTAGTAGGTAATAGAGAATCATGGAAGGCTGTCACCCAGAGAAGAGGAACAATTAGAGTTATAGGACAGAAAAAGTGCATCTGGAAGTTTGGGATGGATTGGAAGTGGGAGTGAAAATGCAGGTGTCTTAGAGGTAGAGAACAGCCAAACCAAAGTGGCCAAGTGAAATGGAAAGAAGGGGATGAATCTGAGATGTTGAGAAGCAAGGACCTGTGATGCTTAATCTTTGAAATAAGTGTGATTAGAAAAGGAGAGGGGGAAATGAGTGAAATGGGGAGGAGAAAGAGGTAGAGGTCAAATGGGAAGGACTAGGTTTTAGACTTTGGTTCTGAGGTGCTGGTAGGACTCCAGGCTGAGAGTTTATTTGGCAGTTGGAAGCCAGTGTCTAAAGTTTCAGATGAGTTGGGATTAGTACTGGGGATTTAAAAGTCATTGGAGTAGATGCCAATGTTATACAAAAAGATTTAACCATCAAGGGATTGAGTGTGGGGATCCTCAGGAGATTTGGGGAGAATATCTGTGTTTAGGGGAAAAGAAAAGAAGAAGGTAGTAAAAAAAAAAAAATCACCCCTGAGCAGACCACAGAAACCAGAAGAGACACTTCAAGAGATGTAAGCTGAGGGTTAATATAGACTAAACAGCAGTAGAGGTCACACAGGACCAGGAATGAGAAATGGCTTCTGATTTTGGCAACTGCAGATGTTTTCATCACCTTTAGAAAGTAGCATCAGGGCATAGTGGAAGAGGCAGTCAGATGGCAATGGGTTGTTCAGGCATGGGGGCAGTGATGTAAACCACACTTTAAAGGGGATAGGAAGTAAAGGAACATTTTGAGAGGACAGCAAGGTTAACAATGTGTTTTATTAAGACAGGAGAGAAAAGGACCTATTTTTAGGAAGAAATGGGTAGAAAGTAAGAGGTGAAAAGTATGAGCAAGAGAAAAGAACCAAAAATCTAGTAAGGTCTCTGTCGTTATAAAGTATCCATTGAATCAACCATCAGAAATCAAGATCTGCAGCTCCAGAGGTTGCCATTTCCCATGCCCAGATAGTTGGCTTACAAGCCTAGCTTCAAAGCATGCCTTGGCTCACAGAGTCATCTCTTTTAGGGATGTCCCCACCCTGTACTCATCTCAAAGCCATCGAGAACCATCTCTAAATGTCATATCTGGCAGTGATCTCTCTTTTCTCTGATCCGTTGTCGCATCAACAGTTAGAACCACCCAGAGTAGCCTGAAATGATTTTCTTTCCTGAGTGTGTTTGTCTTTCCAGCTAAATTCCTGGGGACTAGGAGCAGTTTTTGTACTTCCCTTAATTCTCAGTAACCCTTAGCAGAATCTGAGCACAAGCAGATATTTAATAGTATCTTAGTCATAGAATTAAGTTGACTAAGTCCATCATTTCCCTCATTCCCCTGATGTGGAAATTGGAGTCTGGAGAGGCTTATGACTTAATATACTGGTTCTGTCATTTCTCAAACACTTTCTGAGCATTTATTTGTGGCAGACACTGTGCAAGGTGCTCAGGACCTTCACAATTTAGCCTGCAAGAGAGATACAAAGAGCTCAGCAAAATACAAATTGTGCAAAGTAAAGTGGCGGCGTGCACAAACTAGAGCAGGAAGAGATGCTATTAATTGAATTTTAGAAGTGAGGTTAACTCCAGAAAAGCCTCAAGGAGAAGAAACTATGTGCCCTGTACCTTAAAGAAAAAGTAAGGACTAAGGTTGGCTAGTTAATGTCCATGTCGGGGGTGTGGCCCAACCTCCCAGATCCACATGGCTACTCTTCCAAATTGGGCAATGGTTAACTGCCTGATTGAATAACTGATTGCTCTGTACCCATCCAGAGTTTCCCAGCTTGTCCTGGCCAGTGGGTATGTGGGCATGCACTGTTGCTTGTTAGATATTTGGGGTGACACAGGGAGCCCCTGTTCCCTCTAGGGAAGGGGAGAAGGAGCATGATGAAAGTGGTGAGGCTACCTAGGATTGGCTGGAGAGATAAGGATGAAAAGGAAAGTGATGGGGGAATGTAGTCATGGATTGCTCACAGAGCCTGTCCTGCAATTCCTCAATGCTGGTGGTTCAGTAGTAGAAGTACTGTAACATTGTAACTGTCCAATGGGTTCACCTTGCCGGCTGCTTAGACAGAGCTGATTTATTAAAACAGGGGAATTGCAATAGAGAAAGAATAATTCATGCAGAGCCGGCCGTGCAGGAGACCAGAGTTTTATTATTACTCAAATCAGTCTCCCCGAGTATTCTGGAATCAGAGTTTTTAAGGACAACTTGGTGGGTGAGGGGAAGCCAGTGAGTTGAGAGTGCTGATTGGTTGGGTAGGAGATGAACTCATGGGAAGTTGAAGCTGTCCTCTTGTGCTGAGTCAGTTCCTGGGTGGAGGCCACAAGACCAGATGAGCCAGTTTATCGATCTGGGTGGTGCCAGCTGATCCATCCCATGCAGGGTCTGCAAAGTATCTCAAGCACTGATCTTAGGAGCAGTTTAGGGAGGGTCAGAATCTTTTAGCCTCCAGCTGCATGATTCCTAAACCATAATTTTTAATCTTGTGGCTAACTTGTAAGTCCTACAAAGGCAGTCTAGTCCCCAGGCAAGAAGGAGGTTTATTTTGGGAAAGGACTGTTATTGTCTTTGTTTTAAACTATAAACTATGAACTAAGTTCCTCCCAAAGTTAGTTCAGTCTACAGCCAGGAAGCAACAAGGACAGCTTAAAGGTTAGAAGCAAGATGGAGTTGGTTAGGTTAGATCTCTTTCATTGTCTCTCAGTCATAATTTTGCAAGGGCGGTTTTAGTATTACCTTTATAAATCTGAGGCTTTATTTATTCAAGTATGCATGTGCGTTCAAGAGTCTCTCTACTTCCAGAGCAAAGGGGCTCAGCTCAACCCAGGGGTTGTGTCTTAGCTTAACTCACAAATGGCCACCTTGTTTGGGATCAGATGCTTTTTGTTTGAGTTCCCTAATCCTTCTGCTTTGCAGTCCTAGAATTTGGTTCCCTAGGTTAGAAGTCCAGATGAGCAAAAGGAGTTCAGCTCTGAAGGATGGGAGGTAGAGGAGGGAGTACAAAGTACAAAGTAACTGATTTTTGTACAAAGTAAAATAATCCCACACGGATGACTGAAGTTTTCAGCAGCTGAGGCTGGGAGTCTGTAACTGGCTTGTGATCTTAGTTTTGCCTCTAATAGCACAGTAAACTTGGGAACCTCTATGCCTCTCTGGATTTCTGACTCCTTATCTTTTATCTGAGAGGTGGGGGTGGGAGTAGGGATTGAACAGTTTCTGAGGTCCCTTCCAACTCTGGTGGTCTCCAGATATTTAACTGGAACCCCAGGAAGACAGCAGCTTGTCATTCTCTCTTCTCACCTCAAGAGGAGTCAGAAAATATTTGGCTCTGGCTCTTTAGCATGGGAAGTGGTGGCCCACAGACATCACAGTTGAGATATTAATAGATTATTCCAAATGTTATATTTGCATAGATGCACCACTCATTATGCAGATTGCCAATTATGAATTATTTGTTCTTTCTTCCAGGAGAGTTGTTTATTTGCAAACTGCACAAGGGTGACTTTGGACAGCATGGAGACAAGGCTGTCACTCAGCATATCTTTTTGTGGGCCTCTCTGCAATAACCTGTACTTTGACAGGTTCTTATAAATAGCCAGGTGAAGGTCAGCAGTGGGTGCTGGGTAGGAAGGTGAGGAGAGGGAAGAAAGCAACAGGATCTTAAGAGGACTAAAATGAGAAGGTCTTGAGGTTGTCATGATCAGATGGCTAATGTGAAATAGAGATAGTTTTGCTCTAAGTTAGGCACAATCCACAATGTGTTCACTCCTTTTTAGCAACAGTATTTCTTGGGTTGAGCCATGCAATGAATCCTGTCTTCACAATTCAAAAACAACCAACTTTAATAGTTGAGCACTGACTATCTAGGGGCACTGTCTTTTAAGTCCTTCACTTGGGTTGGCTCTTTCACCTACCTATTAGGAGAACCGAAGCATAGAGGATTTACATACTTGCCCTGTGCTGAGCTGGTATGTGATCACAGGCTGTCTGATCCCAAGGCCTGTGCACTTAACCACTACACTATACTCTTCCTCAGACACTTAATACTTTGACCGTGGGCCATTTTTCTCAGGGCCATATATAAACACAAGACTGAGTTCTGTGGGCATGTAGAAACAGGAGCATCTGATATAGTGCCCCCAGTTGTCCCCTATTAGACTCTGGTGTTCCACTTAAGCCTCTAAATCTGAGAGTAGCCTGAAGTTGGCTCCAGAGGGAGCATGTAGGTGATTAATGAGTTTTTAAAAGAGGAAATGAGGGAGGGCTGTAGGAACTATTTGCTATGAAGAAAAAGAGGAAGCTGAGAAGGTATCTGGGGCAATAACTGCAGCTAGTGTTGGGATGGATAAAATCATAGACTTTTGGGAGAAGAAAGAAGCTTGGAAGTCAGCTAATCTAACATCACCCAATGCAGCAACTATGCTAGAGAGAGAGCCTGGAGCCGAATAATATAAATGTGTGAAGATAGTGGAGGAAAGGATATTTTTTCCTACTAAGAGAGAAGGAGAAGGGGAAATCAGTTGATGAGTTATAAGGAACTATCACTCTGTATATGCCCACATTTAGTGTCATGGGGCATACATAGCAATAAACCCTGTTCTTATGGAGGAGCTGGTCTAGTTGGGTTTCAAGACTTCAAAATGAAATAGACTCCATCAGATAGTCTACAAGCGACAGAAGTGTAGTCTAGAGCTGTTCTGGCCAATCTGGTCACCACTAGCCAGGTGTGGCTATTGAGCATTCGAAATGTGACTGGTCCAAATTGTGCTGAAAATTTAAAACTGCATACTGGATGTCAAAGGACTTAACATGAAAAAAGAATGTAAAATATCTAACTATATTTTATCTTGATTATATGTTGAAATAACATTATATACATATTAGATTTAATACACGATATTCTTGAAATAATCTTTTTTAAACTTTAAAAAACGTGGATACTAGAAAATTTAAAATTCCATCCATGGCTTGCATTATATTCCTATTAGATAGTGATGGTTTAGATCCTGGCTACCTTAGGTGCAGTCCATGGATTATTGGCACAAGTATCCCCTGGGAGCTTGTTGGGAATGCAGAATCTCAGGCCCTACCCTGCATCGGAACTTGCATGTTGACATTACCCCAGTTGATTTGTATGCACACGAAAGTTTGAGAAGACTTCGCCTCTACCAGCGACTCTGTGTCTCCTCTGTGGGTTAGTCTTTTCAGGTGTTCACATTTTAAACAATGCCAGCTCTGGCAGTAACTCCCTGAATGACAAGAACAAGGGCCATCCTCAGTCTGACCTTAGATTTCCCATCTAAGAAGCTATGTTAGATGTTTCCAGATCATCTCCAGCTCAATCCAGTATTCTACGACCCTATGATTATAGTGTAGAAATTTTATCTAATAGAAATTATTATTATTATTATTATTATTGTTTTTGAGACAGGGTCTCACTTGTTGTCCAGGCTGGAGTGCAGTGGCATGATCTTGACTCACTGCAACCTCCGCCTCCTGGGCTCAAGCGATTCTCCTGCCTCAGGCTCCCGAGTAGCTGGGATTACAGGCAAGTGCCACCATTCCTGGCTAATTTTTGTATTTTTAGTAGAGATGGAGTTTTGCCACGTTGGCCAGATTGGTCTTGAACTCCCAACCTCAGGTGATCTGCCCACCTCAGCCTCCCAAAGTGCTGGGGTTACAGGCGTGAGCCACTGTGTGTGGCCTAATATAAATGAATTACTTATCATAACATTTAATTTTAGAAGCTCTAGTTCCCACCCAAGGCCTTATCTAAGTAGGTAATACTATCCCAATTATTTTCAAGAACACTTAACTCTGCATCAGATAACCCTTTTCTATATCCTTTTAAAAACCTTATCCTGGTACACATACTCGTCAATGAATTTACTTGTAAAGCAAGTAGTAGAAAGTTTAGTATTTGGAAAACAGACACTGAGTAAAGAAAATAATCAGATATGAAGCCAACAAACATTTACAACTGGCTTTTGAGCTTCTTCTCTGGGCTAGATTTGCACAATGGGCATTTATCAATTCCTCCTCAGGAGAGAGTTAGTAAGCAAACATTGAGGGGGATAGAAAAGCACAAGGTTTTAGAGAATAGGCTCTAGGGTCAGAAAGACCAACGTTTGTATACAGGCTCTGCCTTTATATGTAGTCTTAGATACATGTGTAAACTTAGACTTAACTAGCTAAGTCTCAGTTTATTCCTCTGCAAAAGGATTGAATGATATCATTGTTTATTTATGCAATAGATTGTATAAGGATTAAATTAGTTTAGTATGGTGTTAGGGTTCAATACATATCAGCTATTTTTATTATTATTGTTATTAATGGAAATTAATATAGTATGGGGCTAGATATTATGTGGGTGAAAAGAGTTACAGGACAGGGCCTATTCACTTTTCAACACTGCGTGGGGAAAGTGGAATTTGAAAAGGTCTTTGAGGTTTAACAAGGTTTGGAGAACAGGAGATAGTCCAGTTTGGTGAACAGAAGGAGATCGTGGGAATTATGGCTCAAAAGGCTGGTTGGGTCCTTTTAGTGGAAACTGAGGTAGAGCGATGTCTCAGGGCTACAAGATCAAACATTTTTGACTCATGCTGAGAAAATGGGTATCTGTACCACCAAGCCAGGGTACACAGCTCCTTCACCTTTGGGGGTGTTGCTTTGTTTTGCCTTGGGGTACAACAGATTATTCCATCAGCCCGCCTCTCTGGCCTGTCTTCTCCTAACCAAGCTATTGGCAATCGGATCTTGCTCCCACGCTGACATTTCCCTGAGACTCATTTCATGCTATTTCTTCACAGGGGCATCTGGGCTGACAATGCAAAGAGACTTTTCCCACATAATTGAAAGGAATTTCTGATTATGCGCGGGGATGTCAGCCATGATGAGGTCTTGGACCGTTTCCAATTCCAGCCGCTCTGATGACAGTGTTCCAGTCGCTCTCTCTCTCCCACTCCCTGGCATTCTCCCTGTGAACTTTTTGCTCCCTTCTGGGAGTGATTTCTCAAGATAATATGTTGTTTCCAAGCTTCTCTTTCTCCCACCAGACTGATGGGTCCCGCGTGAAGTGCACTCTTTCTGGGCGCCCTGCTCCTAAGCACTGCTATTTTGCAAACCTGCAAAAATTTTCTCAGTGGTTACCCTGTCATGTCCGTATCTGGAACCCTGTGCCTGACAGGAAAAGGTTGAGTGAACACACATATATTTTGGGTCTTTCTTTAGAGAAGTTCTTTTGAATATGCAGAACAAAGTGAGGGCTGCATTTATCTCTGACCTTTTCCGGCTCTTTTCTTGCATCTGTTAAGGGAAAAACAGGCCTCTGAGCTCACCAGCCTGGTCTCCCACGGAGCAGATGATAGAGTTGCCTGGATTTACTTCTTCACCAGCCCTCATTCCGGAGGCCTGCCTGAATCTTCCCTTGTGGCTGATTCTCCTTCTGGGGTCTCTTGGGGGAAGAAAAAACTCTGAGGGGTGGTTGAAGTGGGGGCTAGACATTCGTCACCCTGGGTTCTCCCATGTGTTCAGCCTTTATACTCCTTTTCCAGGAAGGGGAGTAATCCTGTTTCTGTTTCTTTTGTGTTTTCTAGTAGGGTTGCCTCTGATATGGGGAAAGAATATTTGGCAGGAACAGGGAAAGGAAAGGTAGAGAAATACCAAAATCAACCTGACTCCTCAGTGTTGGTTAGAGAAGATGGCTTTGCCTAGAGCCTCAACAGCTCTGGCTCTCAGTCCATAGAGTTTCATAAAGGATCCAGTTTGGTCTAGGGATGCCTTTGGAGGGAAAAATATCTACCAATACACATTTCCTATAACTTCCCTGGGAAACAGCTATAACACAGTAGAAAGAGTTCTGGACTTGTTATGAGGATTTGATTCTGCTGGACAATTTAGAGGGTGTATTTGACTGTAATCTCACCAAAGAGTCCTCATGTTTGCTTGGCTTCTCGTTGTATTCTCAGAGCTTAGCACTGTGCCTGGTACACTGTAGATGTTCACTAATAAAAATATAACCTTGAGCAAGTTCATACGTAAAATATGTATTTGTGTAAATATACACACACATGAGCAAATACACCTTTCTCACAGCTTTGCTTTTACTATTAAAAGAAATTAAATGAAAGCACTATAGAATAATGATGCTAGCATAAAACATATACATATATCAAATGAATCTTAGTTTATCCTCGTTGGAACACGATTCTTCAGTCAACCCAACCATATATAATATACCCATCTTTGGTCCCTGGGATTTCACTACTAAATATATGATATTTCCTTGGATTAAGCCCTACATTTTCCTAATAACCTCTTTTAAAATGCAGATGTACCTGGGGTGGGCATCAAATTAAGTCAAACATGTGAATTAGTTGGAAAAATAACTTTCCTAAGAAAAGCAGAAGAGAACAAACACCCTTATTGTTTAACCCTAAAGAGAAGTGCATAGGTAGAAAGATATGGGAAAAGAAAGATGGATGTGGAATTTCCTTCATCGGAGACTAAACTGCCCTCATCTTTCTGCTCTAGGGAATCAAGCGGAATTTCCTTTTATATGGTGAGGATCAGGGTTAGTGAGTGGTGCATAAAGGGAAAGATGAGCAGTGTTAGTGTTTATTTGCTTTTCCCATGTTGACTGAGACCCATGCAGAATAATCACTTTCACTTCATGGAGAATCAGCCTTTTCTAGGTGGACTGGTTGAAAACACTCATTCAATTTAGGTATCCCCATTACAACATCCTAGCAGCCTGAGTTGTTGCTGAGCTTCTTCTTGGCTGAAGATGATGAGAATTCATGCTTTTTAAGGCCTGTGCTTCTACGGCTGAATGGCTGAAAAATTTTGAAAATTCCAATTTAATTGGATTACTAAGATTTTTGGTCTTTATTGGCTATTAACTTTACTCGGAACACTTCAGTGTCCAACAGGACCAATTTCTCACTGGTAGGAGAGAAGCAAACAGTTAAGCCAATCCAAAACGAAATTCAGAGCAGGTTGTGATTTGTCTTGAGCCCTTTCGTCTCCACTTGCTTTTTGTATTTCTCCCTTGCCTGCATGGCCTTTCCTCTCTGACCTCAACACTGGAGTCCCCAAACCTTTCTAGCTTTGACATTTGCGAAGTTTCATGGATTGTTAAACAGAGATGATAAATCTGACTTCCCAAATGCTTAACAAGGGAAACGACATTATAAAGTCATAAGCCCAATGTGGCAGGAAGTGTGGGTTCTTCCTTAAATCTTGCCATGGAAGCGATTGTCTACTCCAGCCACATCTCAGTCTCTGACTCCTGGTGGCTTATGCCCAGGGAAAAGCTACGAATGGATCTAAGGGACCAGAGTTTCTGAGTTCTTGGTGTGCAAGGCTATGGATGTTATCTTAAGTATTCTGTTTTCCCTCCTACACTCTCACCCTCAACTCATGCTTTTTCTATATATTCTAATATCATGAAACTCAACAGCAACAAGGCAAATTATACATTCAAAGGAAATTAACTGTAAGTGTGGGCATGTCACTCTCTTGAGAGGCCTGGCTCATAAGCACTGCTCAGGAGACCTGCAGAAAGTTTCAGGTGCCCTTTACTTAGGTAAAGGGAAAACATCAGAGTGTGTCTCTCCATCTCTCCCACATTAAATCTGCTTGGAGGATGCGTCTGTTATCTTCTGTCCTCCTGGATCCCCACAGTAGGAATTCCCACTGTGCACAGAGCAGCAAAGAGACATGAAGGATCACAGCCACCCAGATGTTCCTGTTTTCAATCCAAGGTGTCAACCAGTGAGCTCAAGATTTGCCTTTGATTAATCAAAAAGAACATTAAGCCTTCAGTGCCTCTTTCTCTAGATAAAGAGCTGCCACTTTATTCTGATTACAATTCCTGAACTCAAGAGCCAGAAGTAAGTTGAGCCAAGATAGCCTCTTATAGCAGAGTAAACAGAGCCCTGGGAAGGAAGAAAACTTACACACCAGCTCAACAACAACAACAACAACAAAAATTTGATTTGTAGCACTTGCTGGTTTCCATGGTGTAAATACTTGAATCATGGCCAATATTAAGCTACCAATGTGAGGTTACTGAAATTGGAGTTGGGGAATGATGTTCACAACTGGCTTGGTATGAGCCAGCCCTGGCACACTTCTGGACTTCTGGGAGAAAGTGACCTTTGCTAGGTCATGAGGCCATTAAAATGTTGAGTCCACAGGTTGACATGATGTTCCAGTCTGCTTGCTCACTGATTTGGTCAATGTGCCATTTAAAATGGGAAGATGAGATTCTTTACATGCACTGAATAATTTTTTTCTTTTCTTTTCCTTGTTCTTGTACATGACAGAGTCAGCTGGTTTCTGAGAACCTAAAAACCCAGGAGAAAGATATAAGGAGGCAAGGACGCTCATTCTTCCATAACCTATAGGAAACCCAGTTTCATCATAAATATATGAAATCTCGGTAGCATCCTCCAAATCCATAAGGTACCACCTTGCTTGGGACTTTGGTCAAGTCTTTTTCCCTTTCTGGCTTGCTGTTTTCATAATTGTAAAATGAAAAGGTGGACTTCAAAGTTTCTCTCATAGTTCTAACATTTCTCTTACTCCAAACTGAAAATACAAAAGCTACAGATCCAAAATATAAAACCAAACTGACAATTCCAGATCAAAGAAACACCTTTCTTCATTTACATGCTGCTGTATAACTGGTTGCCTGCCCCACAGCTAAATGGAGCTGTGATTCTGACAGATTTTACTTCTGTCTCTGTGTGTAAGGCCTCTGCATGCTGTGTGATTGAAAGGATACCAGTAAGTCCCAGCCCTGCCCTTAAACTACTCTCTCACAGGTCCGTTACTTGGCCTGATATCCTACCTTTACGCATACACTCTGTTCCATTCTGAAGGGGGTAGACTGCTCTGATGAAGCACATCCAGTCCATCAGCAGCCTGAATGCTTTTGTATCAATAAGTATTCCACCAGATACCAGCTGAGCCAGTTCCCTCAATTGTGAGAGACATACTCCAGGTAAGCATGGAGGTAAGGAAGTGGGAGAGAGGGATTCACGCATGGGTCCTGGTGGGGCAGAGGTATGTCCTAGGCAGAAGGCTGTAGCTGGTTTTTCTGGGTAGTCTGAAAGCAGCTAGCCAGCAGCTTCTGGGTGATAGGAGAGGAGAAGGCACTATAGTAAGAGAAAAGATGTTGAAAAGGGAGGTAGAAGTGATAAACAGCTCTCTAATTCACAGTATGCTGGGGATCCATCTTCCACATTGCACACTGTCTTTTTGTAGGTAGGAGTGGCCACACGGGGGTCCCCAGCATGAGAACACTGGTGCCTTTGTCTCTCTGATTGTCACATGCCTTCCCCACCTGGTAGCACCTGGCTGGACAGAGCTCAGAGTCTCTGTTTATCTCAAACCTTTCTTGAGGAGAGGAGAGCAGTTGTGGAAGGAGGCCAAGGAAGCCCCTGGGTGAAGTTGGGGATTGAGCCCAGGAAGGATGGTGTGATCGTGGTGACAGCTGTGGCTAGCCAATGCAGGGAGCTTAGAGGATTCCGCTGAGGAAGTCAAGGTGCTTGGGTCAAGCACCTGACCAGGGAGGCAGCTGTGTTGCGTTTTCTGCTCCAGGGCACACTCTGCTTCATGGTAGGTCCTTTGGAAAAGAAAAACTAAAAACTGTAGTGGTGTTCACTCTACTCATGCTGGAGGAATTTTTTGATTACAAAACTAAGTTTATTGAAGTTGATTTTTTTTTTTTTTTTGGTCCTTTTGCTTTGCTTGGGTGTACGTGCTTAGTCTGTTTATGGGATAATCTAGCCCCAGCTGCAACCCTAAACTGGCTAATTGGACAATTTATGTGTGCTAAGTGTATAAGAGACCAGCTCATTCACAGTGCTGGAAAAACAATCACTAGTAACAATACTATTAATAGTAACAATAACAATAGCTAACACAGACAGTGCTTGCTCTAAGCCAGGTGGTAGCACTGTGATTTGAACGCAGGCCTCTTGGCTCTAAAGTCTGTGATCATAACCATCAAAAGACAGACCTCTTCACCAAAAGTGTTGCCCAAGTGACATAGGGGAAGAGCACCGAGCAGGGAGGTATAGGTGATCTGGAACCTCTGCGATGCTGGGCATGATACGAAATCTCTCTAATCCTCAGTTTCTTCTCTAGCAAGGAAGACAACCAAGACCAAGAAGTCACAGAGTCTGAATGGGTTATGAATTTTCTTTGTGTTTGGCATCCTGCAAGCTCCACAGGAGCAGGCACACATGCCTGTTTTGTTCCTCTCCATGAAGTTCGTGCCTAGCACAAAGTAAGTGCTCAATAAATTATTGAGTGAATGAATTAATTGTCTAACAAGACACTTAACACACATGATCTTATTGGATTCTGCAGCAACCCTAGAGGGTACATATAGTAAGAAGTTCCTATAATGACCATTGCCTAGGCAAGATTACAAAGATTACTATGGAGGAATGATCTCACAAGGTCACAGAGCTAGAAAAAGGCAGAATTGGGACCTATACCCAGAATTTCTAACTCTAGCTCTGTAAAGCTGGGACACTGGAGAAGCAGAGGTTTTGGTGTAGTACTCCTCTGAGCTCGGGGTCTTAGAAGTCCACATGGGGCTGCTGGAGTGGTGAGGGGAGATGGAGGTGGGAAGAAGGGAGAAGACCCCTATTCCCCTATTCTCTTTCAATCAGAGAGGATTCCTCGACTTATTTACCTGCCTGTGATCTCATCTGAAGAGAATTCTATGACCCCCCAAAATCTGCGATTCACTCTGTTCCAGTTCTGTTACTCTTTATATCTGGAGCTAGAACTGGGCTTCAGATCACTGTCACAAGAGGTGACCAGAGAATGGTGCTTGAGTTACTTCTTTTTAATAAAAGTTTGCTGGCAAGTTCCTGTGAGTGAGTTCCTGCTTGTAAAAGAGAACCCATTCTTACTTCTGGAGAAAAAACTCGAGACAATATTGATAATAAAAATGAGTAAAACATATCATGCTTGCTAGGTGCCAAGCACTATTCTAAAACGTGCATTCCCCAATCCCTGCTGCTTGTAAAAACCTGTAGTTGTTTTTCTTTATAATGACATATCATGGACATCTTTCAGAAGAAAACTGTTTTCTCTCTTGCTGCAATTGCTCTGTTCAGCCACATCCACTCCTATTTCATATATACATTTTTGTGTATACACACATATACATGCACATATGTATACATAGGTGTATATATGTTCATGTATAAGTTAATTCTTATAATTTGTCTAACTTCAACATAGTACATACTACAGAGGAACAACTCCTTTTCTCTTCTACTCTCACAGTGATCAAGAGAAGTAAACCAACCAACCATCAGAAAGAGTCTTCACACCTAGTATAGTGACATTTTGAGATATTTTAAGAGTCAGAAGACATTGAATTTCAGTCTTAGCTTGGGCTAGTCATTTTTCTATTCAAATAATGCTTATTAATTGCCTTCTAAGCATAGCAAATGACAGGGAATACCAGAAGTATATGATGTAATCTATGACCCCCTGCAAGCAGCCATCTAGAGCAGGGAATAAAATGTCCAAAAAGTGTGGTAGGAGGCAAGGGCTGACGAGTTGAGGGAGTGACTCAGACAGCTACAGAGCACAGGGAAGAGTTGAGGGATGGGAGGGGGCTCAGGTGAGACGGGAAAGCTTTAAGGAGGCACTGGCATTTGAAACTGGAAGGATGGGTACAGTTATTAGGTACACATGGCCTCTTTTGGCAAAGCAATTGAGGAGACTGCATTGTAATGCTGAAGGAGGCCATTCTGGGGAGGCAGGAGGCCCAGGTCAAGGGGTACCTGCTGCAGCCCATTCCTCCTCCGAGCCTCACCTCTCATCTGTTAAAGGAGAAGTGAGGCCTGAGGAGGTGACTTTCCCCCATCCCCAGCGTGACACCCCAGGAAGTGGCTTATGCCCAGGTAGCTTCCATCCTCCACAGCTGCCCGAGGAGCACAGCCCCTCCCCATCATCACCACCTGGCAAAGACCCAATGTGTTACTTTTGTCTTAATCCATGTCATTCAGGAATAAACCTCTGAGTTTCTCCATCTTCCACTTCTAAGCACGGCCTCATTGATATTCAGCAAACTTTCCTGCCCTCTTCTTTTTTAATTCTGTGAGAAGACATTTCAATGAGTCTGAGCTGGGACAATTTAAGGCTGAGACTCCGATCTCTATTCACAGCCTGGGTACATTCTCACAAGATTTGAGTCAGGAGGCTAAGCTTTTTAGATCCCCCAGTGGCATTGTCTCCAAGTTTCTCGGGGCCAGGCTGCCAAGTTCATGCGAGGTGCTGATCTCCCTCCTTTCACAGACCTACTTATTAGCAGCTTTCTTTCTTTCTTTTTCTTTATTTTTCCCCCTTCCAGGCCCATAGATACAATTATTAGAAATTCCTGGTTTTGTGCCCATATTGAAAGAAGGCCTGAATGGGTATGCTAAGGACCCGAAAGTGAGCCACTCTCCCTAACTCCAGCTTCTGTGGTTAATTAGATTTGGATGGTTTCAGAGGAGCAGCTGGAGTTTTCAGAAAATGGAAGCGATAAAAAGGGACTATTCAAGGTATTTTGGAGGGGCTGTATAAAACAATATCGCTGTGAAATGGGGTTTGGGAAATACAACGCTCTTGATTTGGCCGAGGGTTGGGGGGGTCGTTGCACAGGGAAGGGCAGGCAGGGGCAGACAGGAATGGATATGAGCAGGCAGAAAAGTGCCAGGCCCTGGTGGATTTCGTTATGCTGGAGGTTGTCAAGCTGGTACCCCCCAGTGAGCTCCAGTCTCATGGCAGATCTGTCCCTAGCATGGGGGAGCAGCTCCATCCAGCACACACCAGAGACAGGTAAATTGGGAAAGATGAGAACTAAATATTTGTCTTGGAGTCCAAGGCCACTTACCTGTGGCTGAAACTATCAAATGTTTATCAGGATAAAAGTTTCTGCAGCAGCAGCTATGCAGTGTGAGTGATGCTATACCAGCTGCTTCTGGATATCTAGAAAAACCTATGCTTCCTGCTTTGGACAGAACGTGGGTGGCCCTACCTGGTAGCAGCTAATGCCCTAAATCCTCTGATTTTCCTGGTTTCTCTTAGTGTGATATTTTAAACTTGTAAACATGCAAAGACCCAAAGAGAATGAGTCTTTACATCCACCATCTAGTTGTGTGACTCTGGGCATGTCACTTTGTCTGTAATTTTTAGTAGATTTCTTCATCTCTAAGACCAGGGGAGTTGGGCTGGATGCGAATAGCCCTGCTGACTCTCACATTGAGTTATTCACTCCTAGGAATGAAGAACATTTATGGAAAAGTTTGGAAGTGGGGTGGGGGCACCAGAGGGTTCCTGTCAGTGGAGGAGATCAACTGGCAGCCACATTTCCCAGCTCAAATTCTACTCCCCAGTTGTGTTAGTTTGTTTTCACACTCCTGTAAAGAACTACCTGAGACTGCATAATTTATAAAGAAAACAGGCTTAATTGACTCACAGTTCTGCATGGCTGGGGAGGCCTCAGGAAACTTACAATCGTGGTGGAAGGGGAAGGAGAAACAAGTACCTTCTTCATAAGCTGGCAGGAGAGCAAGTGAGTGAAGAAGTGCTACACTTTTAAACCATGATATCTTGTGAGAACTCACTCACTACCATGGGAACAGCATAGGGGCAATTGCCCCCATAATCCAATCACCTCCCACCAGGTCCCTCCCTTGACACATGGGGATTATAATTCGATATGAGATTTGGGTGGGAACACAGAGCCCAACCATATCACCAGTGATTCATAGTCTAAAGCGGTTCTTGGAAAAGTGGTCAAGTGGTGCTCCCGGGGAAAAGATGGGCCTGAGCCGTGTCATTTTTTTCCATGCAGCAATTATCAGGAAACTTTGTTTTAACCCAGTGGTTTTCAAGATTTAAAAAAAAAAATTACTGCAAGACTTTCTTCAAGCAAAATCTTACCTGAAATCTCAGACTGTAAAACAGGGAGAAGCCGAGAAGCCGAGCAGCCCTGGCCGAGAGGGAGAGGGCTGCCAGGACTGTGCTTGAGTCAGCCTAGCTCTTATGCCCCCACAGTGTCCCTTGGGTGCAGGCACAGAGTTCTGGGGCCACTTGGGGTTGCTTCAGGGACTCTGCATACAACAAAGTGGTTTCTGCCAAGCCCAGAAGTTTTAAACTGTCCCATCTGTTTTTGATATTAGGGTTCTGTCTGGGATTCCATTCAATAAAATTGTAGAGGTGCCCTTTTCCTTGATTCTTAATTCTAATCAAGTCAATGTGTGAGACTGTCTGGTTGTGTAGGTGGGAGCTGGGTAGGACCAAAATGTGGTGATTAATGTCAATGTGTCCATGGGCTGCCAAGCCCTGGAGAGAATCATGGTTTCAAATGACAGCTCACTCATTCCTTTAGCAGAAGGCCACCCCCTTATAACAAAAAACACTGCATTCTGTCCTGTGGCTACTGGGGGATGAATGAAACCCAGTCTCTTCTATTAAGGGTTTATTACGCAAATAAGGGATAAAAATCACACACATGATGACTACAATCCAGGGTGACTTCATCTGTGCTGTATCAGAGGGACACAAAATGCTATCAGGTCTCAGAGAGAGGAGAGGGGACTTCTAGCTGGGTGGTCTGACAGGAACGACAAGATGTGCTACCCAGTTTCAGGGGAAGAGAACAAGAACTGACGGATACGGGTCCTGTCCATTGCATTTTATTTCAATGTTTTTAAAGACTTAAATATTGGAAGCGAGGGAGTGAGTAGAGAAAAAAGTGAATACATTAGGGGTGGCACAGAGGGACAAAGAGAGAGGAAAAGAGAGATGGGGGAATGTTTCAGATAAACTTTCAATGTACAACACTACAAAATCTCCCCTTCTTCTTCAGAGCCCTGATGTTTTCAAAATACTGAGCTGTTAGTTCTTGTCATTTCAATTGCCCTTTCTCTCTGTAGCATATTTTTAAAATTGTTGGCTTCTAAAAGATAAGGATCATGAGCGCCTATTTTAATAAATCAGTTTACAGTGCAAGTTATTTCCCTTCTTGGAAATCAGATCACCAGCTAGAGAGCCTTTAGGCAAATGAAACACACAATGGGCATCTTCTTTCTATGTTGTCTGGGGAAGTACACACAAGACATGTCCCATCCTTAGACATGGACTGTCTGGAGAGAAAGGACTGGCTTACCAGAAGCCTTTAGAAAATGGGATGTTGCTTATAACTGGCATTGAGGATCTGAGTGGCTTGAGATTTTGACAAGTCAGGGGAGATCCTGAGCTCTGCAGAAGATTTAGGAGGTAGGAGAGGTAGAAATTAAATGAGTAGTTATTCAGTGCCCAGACTTTACTCTTAGATACTATGGGGACACAAAGAAATAGAAGACCCTTGAGTCTCTTTCTGTTTTTCTTTGAGGAGGGATGTGTCGTAGGCCCAGAAAATCATCATTGCCCACTGAAGCGTCCATAGGGATGCACGACTGGCTTCTGTGGTTCCAACAATGCCTGGGCAGAAAAGGGAAACATCTTTGTGGGGCTGGGGCAGCCATCAGGGAAGGAAGTATATGTTGATGAAGACAGTGAATCTGGAGAAATAAAAAACCAATCAGAGGAGCTTTTACTGGGAAGGGAGGAGGTGAGGGTAGGTTGGGCAGAAGTCCGGAGCTGAGTACAGCTCGTCTGGGCTAAAATGAAGACATCTCCTGACAGGAGTGCAGGGCCTGGGCTGGAAATGAACTTGAGAAGAATCCAGGCAAAGATTTTGAGTGGAGATTGCAGTGAGTTTGGAAATCAGGGAGACTTGAATTCCAAGCTAAGAAATGTGAACTTTACCATATAGGTGAGGGAAGCTCTGTTTCTGTCCAGAAAGCTGAGCCCCTATCATTTCATCAGTTGGACAGAAGCCCTTGCCGGTGGCTGGGCAGCAGACCCGTGCCATGCCAGGACACCCTGCCCCATTTGGTGGCAGCACAGACATAATGGGCTGGAAGCAGCTTGCCATAATTTGTGCTCTCCAGGCTGCTGCCTGGTTTGAGAGGAGAGGCGATGCTCCCCCTCTGCACACAGTGATTGCTGTCCCAAAATAGCCTGGCACCTGCTCTGAGATGCCTGTGAGATAATTTCAGCTTCCAAGGAAACTGCCCTGATTGGTGTTGATTTTTCATGACCTCCCTTTAGGCGAACACCTGGAGATAAGCACCTGATCACAGAGGTGTGCCCTTGAGAGCCCAGGGCACTGAGGAATGCAGCCTGGGCCTGTCCGGGGAGGCCTACTCCTTATCTCTTCCCTGGAGAAGGAGGCACCACAGGGTTAGACATTAACTGGCTGATGCAGAGAGGCAGAGGAGGAGGAGGGGTGCTGGAGCAGGAACCATTGCCCTGGGGAGCCACTCTGGAACAAACGCTAGACGGGGGGGCCTGCTTCCCATCTCTTTTCACAGTCTGACCCCAAACTCTCTTCTCAGCTTATCTTCCACCTCAGCCCACTCTTCCATTTCAGCTCAAACCAGCCCTATAAAAAGGGGACCTGAGAGAAATCCAAACAACTGGCAGGAAAATTGGGAAGAATCCCGGATGGAACCATGAGTCAGCATCACCTTTAAGGCATTGGATTGCTGCTTGGTATACTTCAGAGACTGTAAAAAGTGACATTATCTCATCTGACTCTCCCCAAAACTCTAGGTGGCAGGTGTAGGAATCCTTGCTTCCATTTTGCAGATGTTTATTAACTTGCCCAAGGCCATGCAACTAAAAGTGTTAGAAGTCAGGTTTGGATCTGATATTCAAAGTTCACCTTCCTTTCTCTGTGCTATACCGGTTTGGTCATACATTGTACATTTAATTGTGGGGAAAGAGGCTGGGCATGGTGTCTCATGCCTGTAATCCCAGCACTTTGTGGGAGATTGAGGTGGGAGGACTGTTTGAGGTCAGGAATTCGAGACCAGCAACATAGCAAGATCACCATCTTTGCAAAAAAAATACGAAAAAGTTAGCTGGGTGCAGTAGTGTATGACTGTAATCTCTGTACTCAGGAGGCTGAGGCGGCAGGATTGCTTGAGCCTAAGAGGTAGAGGCTGCAGTGAGCTATAATTATGTCACTGCTCTTCAGTCTGGGCAACACAGCAAGACCCTGTCTCCTAAAAAAAATTATGGGGAAAGAAAGGCTACTTGAAGTAAGTCGAGTTTTATGAGTGTTTCATTGTATTCCTCTAGTGGGCCAATAGGACTCTGTGGAGTCTTTCAATATTCTCATTTTACAGAGTTTCATCTGAACCCAAGGAGGTACTGCTTCCAGAAGGAGCAGCCCGACAGAAGTGGCCTATAGGAGCAGGGAGTGGTTTTGGGGTCCTTTCTTTTTCATAGAAATGAAGCCCCAGTAGCGGGAATATAAAGTGGGCGAGGCATCATCTGTCACAACAAAGCAACCAGGCTGCTGTCCAAGCGTCATTAATCACTGGCCACCTAAGCACATTAGAGAGTGTGGCTGCAAAAGTAATCAATGCACGTGGTAAACAGGCTTCTGCCAGGGAAACCAAGCTGGTTTCTACTCTTTCCTCCCTTCCAAAGCACACCATTCACTGCAACTCAGTCTCTCTGGCAAATTTTTGAAGATTTAATGTTGAGTCCTCATTGGGCACTTCACCAAGCAAAAAGGGTAGACCACCAAACCTCTCTGCTCTGCCTCTCTCTCTCCTTCAGAGAGTTTATTTTTAATTTTTTTCTTCAACTGAAGATATGCACAATCAACTACCTTGATTGGGGAATTATATGGCCCTTGCCAGCTCATCTGTGCTGATTCACTAACTTTGTCATGTCTCCAAGGAGAGTGATTTGTGATTTATTTTTGCATTTGTGGTTACCAAAAACTCTGTGCTTCAGAGCTGGGGGCTTTCTGGAAGTCTCCTAAGATGTGGCAGGGAATGAGCCTTTTTTCAGCCTTTCTTCATCAGGGTTCCTGCAAGTCCACTGCCTGAATCTTCCTTGATGTTCCTCAGGTCATGAGCCCTGGAGGGATGGCTCATCTCAGGCCTATGCTTCTCTTCCCTCCTCTGCCTGAAGCTGCAGAGGGGCTCCACACCCTGCAGACCCACACACTGTGGGGTGGTCTTCTTTTTCCTTCCTCCCCTTCCTTCTTCTTATTTCTTTATTTTTATTTCTTTGAGACAGGGTCTTACTCTGTCACCAAGGCTGGAGCTCAGTGGTGCTATCATGTCTAACTGAAGCCTCAAATTCCTGGGCTCACGCATGTGCCACCACGCCCAGCTAACTTTTTAAAACACTTTTTTGGGAGATGGGGTCTGGCTGTGTTGTCCAGGCTAGTCTTGAACTCCTGGGCTCAAGTATCCTCCTGCCTCAGTCTCCCAAATTGCTAGGATTACAGGCGTGAGCCACCATGCCTGGCCTCTTTCTTCCAATTCCACCGTATTTCCCCCTCAAGATCTGTTTTCTCAACCTGCCCTGATAGTATTAATAGCAAAAAAAAAAAAAAAAAAAATTGTGTCCCAAGGCCACTGCCTCAGGAAAGAATGAGGGAAAGAGTGGGAAGAGAAAAGCTGTTGTCTTAGTCTTACCCTCAGCCACTCCTCCTGGTCCCCCTTCTTAGCACTGTAGCTTCCTCTCTCCTCATAGCTACAGACTGCCTCTCCAACATCCCCAATAAAAGTCCCTATGCTTCTAGAATGTATATAACCCTAATTAAACAAATAGTCAAAATCCAGTGAAGATGAGGCCAGTGAAGCCTGCTGCATCATCCTTCCTGCTGTGTTCTAGCACCTGGTGCCCCCGTGGTGGTCCAGCTAAATGCCCAGCCCCAGGTTCCCAGGCTCTTGATTCTGCAGGGCTGATGGCTTCTTGTATCTGGCTCCAAGACCTGATACAGACCTCTCATTTCCAAACCTGGCTGGTTGATCATGCCAATCATTTAGGAAACTATTGCAAACATTTGTCCCAGACACTACCCAGAGTTTCTGATTCAATAGGCCTATATTTTTGTAAAAGCTTCTGGGCTAATTCTAGTAACCGCCAGCCATGTTTGAGCACCTCTGATACAGGCCACTAAATATTATGTTGTTCCTAACCCATATCTTGATGTTTGAGTATCTAGACTGTTGGCCTACATTTTATTTATTTCCTTTCCTCCAGCTATGACCTTAAGGAAAGTCAGCTTTCTGGTCTCAGGTTCGATCACTTCCCACATCGTTTCCCGTATCTCATTAGTCCAATTTGTCACTGTCTGTGCTGATGTGACAGGTTTCTTCCATGGCATCTGTAAGTGGGATACCGTCACACTCTGGGGAAATTCCCTAAATAAGATAAAAGTCTGTTGGATGGGTTTTGCTGTTTAACCAGCACTCCTATATGATGATGATTATTGAAACTCTAAAAATCATAGTCATAATAGTAGCCTGTCATAGAAAACAAGGCTGTTCTATATCCATGATCTCATTTTGTCCCACAGAAAGCTTTAAGACCCAGCAGTGTCAGTCCTGTTGTACAGATTTATAAACTGAGACTTGGAGAAGGTATTGAACATGCTCAAGGAGCCACAGAACCCATCCTTTTGAATTTTTGGACCACCAGAGGTCACACTACACTGAGTGAAGTTTTGGTTTCAGTCAATGATAAGGTAGTCTGAAACTTGGCATGTCCACAAATCCCTCACACACCCCATCAAAGCTATCACAAAAGCTGTCACAAAACCCCTGCAATGTTCTCAGCAGTCCTGGACTGTTCCCCAACCCCTGCCCCAGTTATGTTTCAGTCTCCGTCTTCTGATTTTCTCTTTGCCTCTAGTCTCCCCAGCTCCTGTATTCAGCTCCTGCCTTATACCTTGGTTGAGATTAACCCATCTAGGTCTCTTTAACTCTTGCTTCCTGGAATGCTAAGCCTGCCTTGACTGTCCGCTCAGAAATCAAATATGACCATGCTCCCTAGTCAGCCCACCCAGTGTTCTGAGATGAGTGGGTGCATTCAGACAGTAGTGTTCAGAGGTTTCATATCCAGACATTCTGTCTGAAGCAACAGTAAGCCTTATGTAGCCTGACTGTGGGAGTGTGTGGCAGGGGTCTTTGTACTTCCTCTCCAAAAATACCTTTCCTCCCCAACTGCCCTGGCAGCTAAAAAAAATCAGGGTTTTTTTTTTTTTTTTTTTTTTTGAGACAGAGTATCACTCTGTCGCCCAGGCTGGAGTGCAATGGTGCGATCTCGGCTCACTGCAACCTCTGCTTCCTCGGTTCAAGTGATTCTCCTGCCTCAGCCTCCTGAGTAGCTGGGATTACAGGCACACACCACCATGCCTGGCTAATTTTTTAATGTATTTTTAGTAGAGACAGGGTTTCACCGTATTGGTCAGGCTGGTCTCGAACTCCTGCCCTCGTGATCCACCCACCTCGGCCTCCCAAAGTGCTGGGATTACAGGTGTGAGCCACCGCGCCAGGCCTAAGTCTCTTATATCTCTATAGGATTAGAGATATATCTCTATTAGCATCATAAAGTTTGTCATTCTTTGAGCACTTACTATGTGCCAGGCCCCGTGCACTGTATACATTGTCTCCTTGCGAAAGGTCAATTATGATTGTCCCCATTTCACAGACTAGGATATTTGGGCTCAAAGAGATTAACATGGAAATCCATGAACATCTCTCTGCCCTAGATTGTAGAACCAGGAGGTGAAGGAGCCCTGTTTCCTCATCTCAAAGGCAGGTCAGACTCAATTGTTTCTTCCATAATTTTATCTTTCCTCAGTTCTACCAATATATGCTCCATTTAAGATATCATACTTCTTAAAACAAAACAAAACAAACAAAACAAAACATAGAATTAGCAGTCATTGACATCTTTTAGTGAGTGCCCAGTCCACACAGCTGAAAGTCCTTTGGGATTTTAATAGGGGTAAACCAGAGGTCATTTGGAGGTTGAGCCACTTTGTGGAATAGTAGACCCAGTAGGCTACATGGAGAGTGAAGGTTGGGGAAGTGCAGCATATACCATGAAATTTGGAAAACTTCATCTCCTTCCTAATTTTTCCTCATCTGGCCATTTCCACAGAAATTGTCCTTTACCAGAGCAGTGGCTTTGCCAAGACATATACAAGCTGACCCCACCAGATAACCAAGCATCACCAGCTCTGGTATAGCTCCCTGACTCCACCAGACAGGGCTCCAGGTATCCCTCTGGGATGTGAGGACACGCTTGCAAGCTTGTCTGCTCCACTGAACTGGGAGCCTCCGCAAGTCAACACTGTCTCTGACATGGTTGTTCTCTTGTGTCACTCACATGGCAGACCTTACTCAAGATGGGTTGAAGTAGTGAGCGGAGGAATGGGTCACAGCCACCCCTGCTGCCACCAATCACCCAGAAGCCAGTGCATCCCAGCTCTGCCTATTTCTCAAGGTCTCTCAGAAATCAGCCTCCTCCCAGTGTCTAGGAGCTCTGCTGATTGATTCACTAGGGACCCTTGAGGCTTATTGATCTGGTAAATAGAATGCTAACAAGTTGGACTGGTGATCCCGGGAACATCAATAGCTTAGATAAGCTTGAATCAGCGACTTCTACTGGTTATAGTGTAGGTAATTTGTCTTTATATTTACGTAGTATTGATGTTATAGAGAACAATTATTCATTCACCCTATAACTTATGTCAACTCTACCCCCTGCGAAAAATTACCTCCAGCACCTTCAATATTTTACAGATGAAGGGAAGAATTTTGCCTCTTTCTCATGGTGAAGGGAGAGCACAAACACTGTCCATCATCTCCACCATCGTGCCTTTCTTGGAAGAGTCCCCATACATCTTGCTAAAAAACTTTTTAACCTCAGGAAAAAGAAAACAATTAACAACTAGTTTAATCTCCATTTAACATAAGCCTCTAAGATTTTAGAGTAAAGCAGGTCTCAAGCAGCCATAGGTAGACTAATATAAAAGGCTGGTCAATCCAGGGGTGTATATTTAGTCTTGGAAGGTGCTGAGAAGAAAACCATGAGTCACAGCCTTCATGCATGCCTGCCACACCCAGACTCTCTCAAACGCACCAGCCCTAGGGATCTTCCACACTTAGTATGCATTCTTATTGTTGTCCCATTGAGGCTTAACGATGTGGTGGGAAGGAAAGCCACATCTGGTCCCAGGTCACTAGGGATAATTTGTGCATTGATAACTAAGAGGTAAGAACAATTTTAATCTGTAAGTTATAACTGGACCTTCAGGAGAACTGTGCTATACCAGGTCACATGGATCCAGTCATAAATATTTTCTGTAACACAATTGACCTACAAGGACACTAACTTTCCCATCTTCCCAAAGAACTGTACAAAATCAGAACTGTGCTATTTATGGAAATCTCTGGTTCCCACATTTCACCAGTTTACCATCATTCTTTTCCTGTATCCCTAGTCATGAATTATGAACCTAATTCAACTGTCTTCCACCACTGTGGATATGTATAATTGTTGGCATTTCCTAGAGTTTTCTTTGAATTTCTACCATTTGTAGTCCGCCCTCTGTTAAAGCAAACTATGGCCTGAGAAGGACTCCGTACTTCTATATTTGAGTCCTTGTGGACGAACGGTAACCTAGCTTAACAGGCAGAGAAGACAGAAAACCTAACTTAGGTGTATGCTTATGTAACAATAGCTGAGTCTTGGCCAATCCCAGCAGCCACACTTCAACCACTCGTAGACTGCTGAGTGTTCAGACTGTATTCAAATGAAACAAAGGCCAACCTGTAACCAATCCAGCTGTTTCTGTACCTCACTTTTGATTTCTGTATGTCACTTTTTATTTGTCTATAAATTTGTTCTGACCATGCAGGAGGCATCCCTGGAGTCTCTCTAAATCTGCTGTGATTCTGGGGGATGCTGTTTCCTCTTCCTGGAATATTATTTAATATTTTTCCTTCTCTCCTTATCTCTTGACCCTCTTCACTGCCACCCCCTTTTACCCAGTTACTGTCCCTCAACCTTAGATCTCAGCACAACTCTCCTTTCTTCCGGGAAGCTTGCTCTGTCCCCACCACAGCCTCAATCTGGGCTTCCTCTTACCTGTTCTTACCACTTCTTTTATTTTCCTTTGGTGTCACTTGTAAACATTTATTTGTGACAGTATTTGGCTAATGTCTGTCTCTCTCGATGGGTTGTAAGCTCTACAGGGGCAAGGATCAAATCTGCCCTTACACATCATTCTATCTGTGGAATCTAGCCCGAGTGCCTAGGGCCTCAGTAAGTCATTTTGAAAGATAGAATAGGAAGAATGGGAAGACAGAAGAGAAAATAAATAAATAAAGGTATCAAATTTTAAAGTTTAGTCTACTTATGTGCCTCTTCCTCCTCTTTGGGGGATAAATGACTATGTCATGAACAATTCGTCTCTACCTAAAAGAGGAAAACTTGCCCTCTGGATGGAGAATCATAAGAAAGAATGGGTATGGGGTGGGGTACAGGGGTACAGGTTGTGTGTGTGTCATTCCCTTTCCAGAAGCCCCTTCTCCATGGTCTCTCTGAAAATTTACACAGGACTCAACTCAGTGTTTGCCTTTTCTTTGAAGTATTTCCTGGTGACTGAAGACCTCATGAATGTGCACCTTCTACAGATTCCTAAAACACATCAAGAACCTGAGGTTTGAAGGCGCCACAGTCCCATGCCCTGTCCAGTGCAGCAAGCCCCCACCACAGCCCTGTCCACGACTTCCTCATATACATCACCTGCTGTTGTCAGATGACTCTTTTTCATGGACTGAGACGTTTTCTTTACATTGACCTAATATCTGTCTCCCTGATGGTCCTATGACTTGAGCCCATTTGTGTTCCCAAAGCTCTCCTGTTTATCTACTCCTTTCCCATTACAGTCCTTCTGATATTTGAATCCAAGTGTTCCACCTGCTCCCTTTCTTGCCTCTCCAGCCCCATACTAAAACTCTGTGATGTGATTTGTAGTCCTCTGTTTCATGTCTGTCTCATCTCTCCATGTAGGTTGTAAGCTCTCAGAGGGAAACATTTCCCTTCTGCCTCTTTACTATACTTTTCAAACCCAGTAATTGGCTGGAAATATAGTATACTGTAGGTACTGAGCGTACATAAGTAGGCTGGGCATGGTGGCTCACGCCTGTAATACCAGCATTTTTGGGAGGCTCAGGTGGGAGGATCACTTGAGTCCAGGAGTTCAAGACCAGCCTGGGCAACATAGTGAGACCTTGTCTTTAAAAAAATGAACAAAATTAGCTGGGTGTGGTGGTACATGCCTGTAGTCCCAGCTACTTGGGGGGCTCAGGCAGGAGGGTTGCTTGAGCCTAGAAGGTCAAGGCTGTAGTGAGCCAGGATCACACCACTGAACACCAGTTGGAGCAACAGAAAGAGAGACTCTGTTTCAAAACAAACAAACAAAAAACGGTGCATAAGTGGAATAGAAAAGGGCTTGCATGGGAAAAAAATGAGGCTATTTGGGTTGGAGACCCAGGAAGGATAGGATTTTCTTCTTCTGCCATGGTGATAAAGTTAAACTGATCAGGGTCAAGATTTTTCTACCACCTCATATAAGGTCCCTTTCCTTCAATAATGAAATACAAATAGGTGATTATGTTTCCAGCAATTGGTACCAGAATAAAAGACTAAAGAACACCATCATCAGAAAGCACAGGAACTGAGAAGACAAAGACAATTACACACATAGAGAAAATGATCAAGAAGAAAGAAGAAAGGGAGAGACGGTGTGGAGTTAGGAACGTCAGGCCAGGAGTGCTGAGATTTCTCTGGTATCCTCTGCCCCAGTCCCAGAGGATGCATTAGGTTTAATGCAGAAAATGACTGACAAATTACTAGGTCACTGAGTGTGAAATTTATATTTTTTGCTTCTTGCCTTCTCTCATCCTATAATTGTATCGACCTAAACAGTAAAAATATTGCTATTGTCTTCTTTATTATGGTGCTTCTATAAGCGGAACTGCTGTGTCTCAGGGAGCTTTTTTTTTTTTCCTGGATAAATCTTTTCCTTGTGATAAATAAATCCCTAATAGGGTCTTATTTAAATAACACTGTGCTGGGAGTGAGGCAGAAATCAAAAGATGAACCATTAAGCCTAGTAATAGGAAAGTGGTGTGCGTCAGCGGCATTACCGCATCCCGAGAAGCCACATCAATTAGGTACCTAATGTGTGACCCGTCACATAAACTAGTCCAGCCACACACCCCTCATGCTCTCACTATTGATTGTTGCCCAGATATTTGGAATTAAACTGAGCCTCCTAATTATCCAGCATGCAGAGCTGTGCTGGTCCTGCCATCAGGAGACTGAACTGCGGCCTCTTCCCAAGGAATTTCCCTCACTGTGATGAACGTGCTGTCCCTGTGACCTTGAGCTATGAGTGTGTTTGTTTTATAATCAACTGTATCTGAGCCATGGGGGTGTTCTCAGGAATCAGAGATATCAAAAATGGTGACTGTTTAGTGTATGTTAGTAATGCATTGTGATTCTGAGGTTTTATCCAGAATGGTTTTTAACGACATTTATTCACTTTGGTGAAAACACTCTAAATCTGTTTCTCGCACGTTTCTCTGGCTTTCTGGCTACCTTCAGTCATAGGAAATGCTCCCTGCCCTGAACTCTTTTAGCAAGCTGTCAGTCTCACTCACTGGACCATGCTCAAGGGTCTGTGTTTTGTCTTTGTTGACCCAAACAGTGAGTGCAGTAATTATTTTGCTTTTGTCTTAAATCCTCTTTGGTGCCAAGCCTGGGGTTGGAGAAATAGTAGAAGCTCAATAAAAAGTTGATAATATTGATTATTTTGACTACTTCTGATTTCTTATGCTTCTTGAAGTAGTCAATGTTTCCTGCCATTGATGCATTTAGACATTGCCTTTTGCCAAATTACCTAAGCATGTAAAAACCTTGGAGATGGCTTTCAGGTTCCCTGGCATTTTCATTTAGCTAAGTTATGCCTAGTTAGTTCTCTTAATCTTCATCTACGTTCCACTTCTTGCCTTTTAATTTTTTATAATCTGGAGATGACAACACCTTGGATGATTCCAGGGAAACATTTGGGGAAATGCCCAGGAGAGGAGAGAGCTGTAACCAAGATGGGTTATGTTTGTGCAATCTGCCCATTCCTGCTGCATTCACTGCGCAACCTGTGAGAATTGAATTGCCCAGTGCAACATGGGGACCACTGTTGCTGTCTGTCTTGCTTGACCTTTGCTGTGTTCTGGAATGGATGTGCTGGTCTACTGCCTAGGAAGCCCATTGACATATATTCCATCTCTAGGAGAAGGTTGGAATGTGGCCAGCCAATCAAAACACAGGGCAGGGGAAAAGGGGATTGCTAGCAAACTTATTAAAACAACAGTATCTATTTCTATCACTGAAACATGATCAATGGGCCCCAGCATCCCACTTTTGGTATACTGCAACATTCTCATGTGGCTACAAAGGAAAATAGATCTGCCCTGGAACATTTCTATGTATTCCCGATTATGTAACATTTCTCCTATTTGATATAATTCCCAGCTTGCATCATGTGTTTTTCATCAAGTGAAGCTTTTCAGTGAACTGATAGTCCTTCCAAATATGATCTGCTGTATCCAAATGGACAAGGAACAGGAAGCACCTTTATGAACAAGAAAGCGAAATGAGCACAGAGAAATTGGGCAGAACATGGTGAAACTCCATTACACACTGTCGCAGGCTGTCATGAATTGTACTGCACGTCCAACACTTTCCTCAGAGTCAACAACGGGTTTATCACCGATACAAGAGACCAGCAGGAGCCTGAAGCAAGCTGATACCTCTGACATGAGCATTCTGGTCAACTACTGCTGATTTCAAAGTCTTTCTATGACTAGCCATGTAAAAGGAAGGCAGAGCCACACAACTGGTCTGCATGCAAAGAAAAGAATGATCCAGGAAACAGATGCTTGAGCTTGATCATTAGAGTCTGAACTATCAGTCTTTGCTTTTTCACTTTCTACAGTGTTGTCCCGGGCAAGCCACTCCAGTTCTCTGGGGCTCAGTTTCCTTATTTATTAAATAGAGAAAATCATTACTGTTCTACCCATCCAAGATTGGATATGGCACGTACAGAATTATAGCATGTTGGAACTGCAAATGATTGCATTGAGTCCAACATTCATCTGTTAAATAAGACTGTTCAGGTCCAGTGATGTCAAGGTCAAATAGTATAACTGGGGCCTTAGGAGGAATAGTAGGGACCATGAGTATAATTCCAGCCATAGGATATTTGAGCTAGAAGTCACCTGGGGACTGATATGGTGCAATATCTTTACTTTACAGTGAAGGAGTTGAGTCCCAGAGTAGCAGAGGAATTAGGGGATTAATGGGAAAACTGAGGAGGCCACTGGAGTATTTGGACCCCTTGTCACCTGGTCCAAGTGAGATGAGTTATATGCAAGGGTTTTCAGAAATCTAAACTTTGTTTTTAACACATGCGTAAATGATAAGAGGACTAAATACTGTCAAGGTCCATTTCAAATCTTGCAACTACTTTCCATAAACATCTCACAAACCAGAATTTCTCACTGAAGTCGTACTACCCGCTCTGGGCTTCCTGCAGGCTTTGAGCCAGTGCATCCAAGGCCTGGTAGAAGAGTTAAGCAGACTCCTGCAGGAGAAATTGTCCCTGTGTTCTGGATGGTGCAGCAGTACAGAAATCACTGCCATCATGATGGCAAGGAGCTTCAATTGACGAATTCCACTTCGTGCTTACCATGTGCTGTCCACCTGGTATGAGGTGCCATGGGAATGCACAGATGACACTTCTGGTTTTTTCGGGAGCTCACAGATGTGTGGACATAGATAAAGTGGGTTGGGACACCCCGGACCATGGGCTAAGACCTAAGACAGACCTTGAAAGATGCTAACATAGAGGTGTAAGCACTAAAAAAGCATGGTAGTTGAGTGCAATCATTCTGAGTGGCCTGTTCTGGAAGTGTCTGTGGCAACATGGAAGTTTATACTAAGTCTTGAAAATCCAGTAGTTGGTGAGTGGGGACTAAAGGGAGATCAAAGAAAAAGAGAAACTACAGCTTCAAGATGATGGAAGTATCAGAATAAGGTAGGAGGTACCTTCCAATATAAAGACTTAGTGTAAAGCTGTAGTTATTATAACCAGATGGTATTAGCACCAGGAGAGATGGAAAACAGAATAGAAAGCCAGAAACCAGCCCTTGTCTTCTCTGGGTTCCTGATCTATGACAGAGGTGGCCCTGCAGATTTATAGAGGAAGGATGGAATGGCCCATTCTTGTGGAGATAAGTGGTTCTCTTTATGAAAAGAAAATAAAGTCAAATATTGGATCTCTACTTCATACTATGAACATGAATCAATGTCAGGTAGGTAAAAGACCTAAATATGGAAAACAAAACATTTTGTTTTTTGAGACAGGGTCTCACTCTGTTGCCCAGGCTAGAGTGCAGTGGCACAATCTTGACTCAATGCAACCTCTGTCCCCTGGCTCAAGCCATCCTTTCACCTCAGCCTCCCAAGTAGCTGGGACTATAGGTGCATGCCACCATGCCCAGCTAATTTTTGTAATTTTAGTAGAGATGGAGTTTTGCCATGTTGCCCAGGTTGGTCTCGAACTCCTGAGCTGAAGTGATCGGCCTGCCTTGACCTGTCAAAGTGCTGGGATTACAGGCATGAGCCACCACGCAGGGCCACAAAACTTTTTAAAAAAGAAAATATAATCATGAGGTAAAGTAGGCCTGATTTGTTTGTTTGTTTATTTATTTATTTATTTATTTATTTATTTTTATTTTTATTTTTATTTTTGAGTCTCGCTGTGTTGCCCAGGCTGGAGTGCAGTGCAGTGACATGATCTTGGCTCACTGCAACCTCTGCCTCTCGGATTCAAGTGACTCTCCTGCCTCAGCCTCCCAAGTAGCTGGGATTACAGGTGCCCGCCACCACGCCAGGCTAACTGTTGTGTTTTTAGTCAAGATGGGGTTTCACCATGTTGGCTGGGTTTCACCATGTTGGCCGGGTTTCATCATGTTGGCCAGGTCTCGAACTCGTGACCTCATGTGATCCACCCATCTTGGCCTCTCAAAGTGCTAGGATTACAGGCCTGAGCTACTGCGCCCAGCCTAGGTCTGATGTTTTGATACTGATAAATTTATATTAAATTTCCAAACTCCTGCTTATCAGAAGATGCCACTAAAAAGATGAAAGAATTCAGACTTAGAGAAAATATTCACATCTCATAACAACAAAGGATCAATATTCAGAATTTGTTTTCTAAACTAGTAAATGTGAGTAAGAAGAAGACAACCCAGGGACCAGGCATGGTGGCTCACACCTGTAATCCCAGCACTTTGGGAGGCCGAGGCGGGTAGGTCCCCTGAGGTCAGGAGTTCAAGACCAGCCTGGCCAACATGGCAAAACCCTGTCTCTACTAAAAATACCAAAAATTAGCCAGATGTGGTGGTGCATGCCTGTAATCCCAGCTATTCAGGAGGCTGAGGTGGGAGAATTGCTTGAACCTGGGAGGCAGAGGTTGCAGTGAGCTGAGATTGTGCCACTGTACTCCAGCCTAGGCACCAGAGCAACTCCAACTCAAGGGGAAAAAAAAGGAGAACCCAGTAGAAAAGGAGACAAAACATTGGAATAGTCAATTCATAGAAGAGAAAATACAGATCATGAAAACATGTGCGAATAGAAGTTCATCCTTTTGTTATCAGGGAAATGCAGACTAAACTATGGTGAGATACAGTTTCTCATCCATGATACTGGCAAACATTTTAAAGCCTGACAATTCCAAGTGTTGACAGGGATACAGACTGATGGGAACTCTCATTTACTGTTAGTGGGAGTATAAATTGGTACCACCATTTCGGAGAGCAGCTGGCATTACCTAGTAAATTTAAATATGCACATTTTCTATATTCATGCAATTCTTCAGGTAAGTATTTCCTCTGGATTAAAACTCACAGGGAGTTCATTGGAGGCACATATATGAATTGTTGCATAGTATACAATTGAAAATAACTCTCAGATCTATCAAAGGAGCTTGAGTAAATAAGTACTGGATAAATTTATTTATCCAGATGTATTAAAAGAGATTGATAGATCTGGATAAATAAGCTGTGGAATGGTCTTCCAATGGAATGATATAGAGAAGTACCCATGATGCACAAGGATCATGCTTATAAATAAAGTCCAGAAGACAGACCTGGTGGGAGAGGTTTGCCTGAGGACTAAAAAGATCAGGGTAATAAACAAAAGGGATAAGACTCAGGGCCGTGCCTTTGTAGGGAAGCTTTTGCAGGACATCACGTGCATGGCATGATCTGAGAAGGCTTCACTCCTGAACACCTGTCCATCAGATATCTGAAGTGACATCATTAGAGGAAAGGGACTCTGCCTTTAAAAAATCTGTCTCTCTGGCACCTATCAGAGTTCCTAACATAAAGTAAATTCTCAATAATGTATTTTAAAATGCATGAATAACGATTAGAACCAATTCTCCCCTTCTTTGTAGAAAGAAACACAGAGTAAATACAGGATGTTCTCTGAGACTATTCTCATGGCATTCACTTCCTGGCCAGACAGCTTTCTTTATTTCTCACTGTGGGTCTTCACAAAGTGAAAGGTACTGACATGAAGCACCTTTATGAACAAGAATGCACAAGGAACACAGAGAAATTGGGCAGAACATGGTGAAACTCCATTACACACTGTCTCAGGCTATCATGGATCATACTGCACGTCCAACACTTTCTTCAGAGACACAGGGACAGCACGCTTATCACAGTGAGGGAAATTCCTTGGGAAGAGGCCACGGTTCAGTCTCCTGATGGCAGGACCAGCACAGCTCTGCATGCTGGATAATTAGGAGGCTCAGTTTAATTCCAAATATCTGGGCAACAATCAATAGTGAGAGCATGAGGGGTGTGTGGCTGGACTGGTTTACGTGACGGGTCATGCATTAGGTGCCTAATTGATGTGGCTTCTTGGGATGCAGTAATGCCACTGACGCACACCACTTTCCTATTACTAGGCTTAATGGTTCATCTTTTGATTTCTGCCTCACTCCCAGCACAGTGTTATTTAAATAAGACCCTATTAGGAGATTTATTTATCATAAGGTACCTTACTGACTCCAACCTTTTGACAACGTTTCTGGGATTTGCTTCTTCCCCCTTGCATCCAAAATATCTGCCTGTCTGAACCCTTCTAGACCCTGCTCTAAGTGTCTCTTCATCTGGTTGTTTATTTGTATTATTTATAACAAACTAGTAATTGTGAACATAGAAGTTTTCCGAGTTCTGTGAGTTGTTTTAGGGAATTATCAAAACTAAGGGTGTTATAGGAAGCTGTGAATTTGTAGCCAGCCAGCCAGCCAGCGGAACTTGGGGTTACCCTGACTTTTGGCTGGTGTTGGAAGTTGGGGCAGTCTTTCAGGATGGAACCCTTTGTTTATGTGGTCTTAGAGAACTTCAGGTAGTGTCAGAATTGAATTGAATGACATCTAAGTGGTATTGGAGGACTGGCGTTCAAACTCACAGAAATTAAGTAGTCCCCCAATGAATAGATCAGTGTATATTGATTTAGTGAAGGAGATACATGGGAGATTGTCAGGTACTATGGGGCATAGTAGGAGTGATAATAATATAATGACAATGATTGTGACAAATTCTAACTAGACAATTACACAGAGGGCTTTCACATACTTTGATGAAAGTTATTGGGCCAGCAAATTGTAGCTGCTTTTATGCACAAATTGCATCACAAATGTTGCTTTCTTGGGAGACGAGCCCTCATACAGTTTCCCTACTTCCCCTCCAGGGACTATAGTTTCAGGGTGTCTGAGGTCTCATATAATCAGATATTGCTGTCACACAAAATCTAGTCTTGTCATCACTCCACAAATTGTCCCTTCTGGATCCTTCATGTATTTGGTACAGGCGGTGATTTCAAATTTCTTTTGATCTCATGGTGCCTGCAATTTCTAAGGCCCTTTGATTACTCAAAGGAATCACAGGGCCACAATTTGATGGAGTCAGGGACTCAGGAATCCTTTCAAAGGCTTCACAAAGGCAAGAGAGAATCCTTTCAGCCAAAATTAAATCATAGCATTTTATTTTTATCAGATATTGCTATCATCTTCCCCCTCCCTTTGCTGCCATGAAAATTGAGAAACTGGGAATCCAATTACAAAGGCGAGATAAAAAGGGAAGATAGTAAAACATTTTAATTGGATGGAGAGACATGGAATCCTGTGGCTCTGGAGTGCTTCGAACTCTCCCTGTGTCACAGTAGCACGTCAGGGGGTCACAGGAGGGAGGAGTAGTGAGGTGAGAGGAGAGAAAGAGACTGTCATGGGAGCATTCAACCAACAAGGGGACCATCATGCAGCACCCCGACGCCCTAGCATTGGTTACCTCTGATCACCTGAAACTACATACTGGCAGGCACAAGGCAGCCCAAATAAAATAACACATCTCCTCTGTGGGACTCATTTCAGATGCAGAGTCTCAGAGCTGAGAGAGAGACACAATGCAACCTTCAATAAATGAAGGTAACTTTGAGGAGCTTCCCTTGGAGTTGGGTTAGGGTTTTGCTTATGAGGAAAAAAAAAAAAAAAAAAAGCAGAGAGAACAGTTTTCAGCAGCAGCATGGATAGGACTAACTCAGGTAGGTTGTGCCACCCAGATTTAGGTTCCTCTATCCAGTTTTCTGGCCTCCCGCTACTGCTAGTCTTGGCAACTCATCAGGGTTTTGGAGAACAGGGACAATGGTTCGGAGTTTGTAATCCAGGTATCAAAGAAAGACTGATTAAAGGTCTGAATAATGGTTACACAGGGATTGGTAGACCTGGAGCTTCCTGCTCTGGAAATAGTTCTATAACTAGAAGTAGATCTGGAAGTTCTATATTTCTTCCAAGGACAGAGCTCAAGTTTCAGAGAATCACCAGTCACTAGATTGCATTGTCATGGAAAGGTCTTGGACGTTAGGAATAATTCATGATTATCTTTCCATATTCAGTTCAACACCAAGTCTGGCTCAATTTACCTCCTAAGTATGTCTTGAATAGTTGAATTTCTCCATCCTAGTCATCAATATTGTGGTGCAAACAAACATTATCTTTCTGCAAGACACTAGCAATAACCTTTTCTTGGGCTCCCTGCATTCATCTGGTTGCTCTGAGTTATATTCTCCACATTTCAGCAAAAATGACCTCCTCAAAATATCAGTCTGACCATAACCCTTTTGTTCTAAATTAAAATTCTCCAAGTCCCAGCATGGACTGGCCCGTGTTCACGTCTCTGCCCTTGACTTTAAACCACACATCCTCCCTCACTCTCAAGCCCAGCTACACAGATCTGCTGTCTCTTCTTTCAAAGGAATCCCCCTGCTGTTCCTGCCTTCCAGACACTCTTCTACTTCCCTTCTTCTTATCTGCCATATCTCAGCTCAAGCCCTTATCCAGCAACGTCTCATCTGGTCACCCTAACCTCATAGTGTCAGAAACTGTTCAGAGCTGCATTCCTTTATTATTATTATTTTAGTTAACAGAGTTGATTATCATTATTCACAGTTCTGTTCAACAATGTTGCCATAAATCCTGAATTAGCGAATACCGAACCTCGTTCCTAGGGGAAATGTACAGCTACTTCATTGTAAGCCTCTGGTCACAGTATTTTTATCAACCAATCAATACATAACCTTGTCTTATGCATGCCTCTGTTTAAAGATGCTGTATTTAATACATATTTTAATTCATTAATATTAAATTTATGGTGAACAACACTATAACTCCAGGCTGAACAAAGCTTGCCTAATACATATTTTCTTTGTAAGACACATCACAGCCTTCTTGTGCTTAGAAATACTAGACAGTGGGATCAGGCGTGGTGGCTCGTGCCTGTAATCCCAGCACTTTGGGAGGCAAAGGGAGGCAGATCACTTGAGGTCAGGAGTTTGAGATCAGTCTGGCCAACATGGTGAAACCTGTCTTTATTAAAAATACAAAAATTAGCCAGGTGTGGTGGCACCTATAGTTCCAGCAACTCGGGATGCTGAGGCAGGAGAATTGCTTGAACCCAGCAGGCAGAGGTTGCAGGGAGCCGAGACCACACCACTAGGTGGCCAAGTAAAAGTCCATCTCAAAAAAAAAAAAAAAAAAAAAAAAAAAGTAATACTAGACAGTGTTTCAACACTAGGCTTGGGGGCCATTTAAAAAAGTGAATTCACCAACAAAATGTGCAAAAATGAGAACATGTGTGGCACCAAATAGAATGTGAAAGAGACATTTGTTTATAGGAGGAGAGATTAAACAAGTCAGTGTCACTCTGGTAAACCTCAGCTGGGAACTTTCTTTTCAGGCCACCGTAATTTTTCACCACTCTGTGCATGACTGCAAATGAGGTTACCAATACATTTTAGTGAGCAGGCAAATTTGCAAATATGGAACTGGCAAATAATGAAGATCAATTCTATTTTATCCTCCATCGATTATAAGGTCTTTGAGGGTTGTTTGTTAATTTTTTGCTTTACACTTGGCCCACCGGACTTAACAGTGCCTAGGAAGGAAGTGGTAGATGCTTAATAAATACGTGTTCAGAAACAAATAAATATGAGAAATGCCTGAGGCTATATATTGAAAAAATAAACCACAATCTTGGTCAGTTGTCTATTCATGCAAAGAAATGATTCAAGCCTTTCTACAGCCACCCTTGGGGCCTTGATCTGAGATGGACTTCCTGGCTGGATGACAGGAGGATGGCTCAGAATTGTTTTTCTTATCTTCTCCAATACAGCAACTCTATTGTTAAGGGACTGGCCAACCTGTGGTCTAATCCTTCATTGACTGTATTTGTTCCCAGCAGGGACCACCCTTTGGGGTTGCAGGTTGTGAAGGGTGGCTTCACCCTTACCCATGCTGTGATTTGCCCAAAGTGACACACATAAAGGGCCATCGCAGGAACCAGAACTCAAGGTTTCTTCCACACCAGTACTCTTTTCTCCATACTACAGGATCCCCTTTCTGACAAACACAGTGTTTGTGGTTACAGCTTATAGTTCATTACTCTACCAATTATTGCAGAGAAAGAATGCTTTCAATTCAGAATCTCTAGCCTACAAAAGACCAGGAAAGTTGTATTGTAATTTTTACCATTAACTTGCTTTAGGATCCAGAGCAAATATACCTTGAATTACTTACATTGGTAAGACTTTTCTGTTAGGCATTCTATGATGGACTCCGATTGAATATCAGAGATACTCTACCTTCATAATCAGGACAACAAATTCTCTGACTTTTCTGGGAATTTCTCACCTCCCTTTATCTTCACAAACTCTGGAATAAAAGTATGGCAGCTATTTGTCTCCTCCTTTGACAGATGGGCAGGGCATGTACTTCTCAGGGCGATCAGGAGGAATGAGATAACATAGAGAAAAGCCCTCCATCAGCACACAGTCATTTCTAAATCTTAGGTCCAGATAAGTAACTGCCCAAGGTTGCATAAGCAAAATGGTAAGAGAGGTAATTTTTTTCCTGTCATGTAATTGCTTCTGGACAAGCCAAAATTTGGAGATGATGAACATGTTCAGAAATGCTGCTCTGAGAAAGGTAGGGTTCCATGCTGGCCATAGATGGGTAAGTGTGAGAGAATTAATCAAAGCATAATGAAAGGGAGTTTCCTTTTCAGATAGCACATGTGACCTACCAAGCCACCCAGGACTCTTTTCTGTGCCCAGGTAAGCAGAGGCTATGCTCTAATATCTGATGGATGAGTCATCTTCAAATGCAGTTTCATCAGCTTCTTCACGTTTTCCTTATGCTTTAATCCCATGACCACAGCGAAGCTGACCATATGCCTTGTTTTCCTAGGACAGTACCAGTTTACATCAGTTGTCCTGGCACTATTAACAGTGCATCCTTTTGCTCTCTGAAGTGTCCCCCTTTGGACAATAAATTATATGGTCACCCTACCCATGGACTATGCCATCAAACCTGCTCAGCCTGGAATCCAATGCATCACCAATCTGCCAAAAACCTGCCCACACAACCTGCTCTTTCCTTTCTTCCCACCATCCATTGCTCAGCTGATGCTCTTTTCATTGTCCACAATCCAGGTCATTCTCTTCTCCATGTAGTTATATTGTTTGCGATTTACTTCAAAATGCAGATAGCATAATGAATGTGTGTGTGTGTGTGTTTGTGTGTGTGTGTGTTCATTTTAATCTATACCCTAGAGGTGATTGATGAGTATGTGTAGTTCCTTAATAAGGACTGCATACTTCAGAGGTGCATAGTTAGTATTTTAAAAACTCAAATCAGAAACTGTAGCTCCAGAGGCACCTACTGCAGGCATTCAGCTTTCTTTATTTCTCGTTATGACCAGTGGCTTTGTTAATTAGAATAACAGATGTTAGAAAGCATGTTTTCATTGATGGCTAGAATGTGGAATTGGCTTGCAGTGTTGTACAGGCAGTCTTGTCCTAGTATAAATGAGGTATAAGGAGGCCAGGTGCGGTGGCTTGTGCCTGTAATCCCAGCACTTTGGGAGGCAGAGGTGGGCAGATCACCTGAGGTTGGGAGTTTGAGACCAGCCTGGCCAACATGGCAAAACCCTATCTCTACTAAAAACAAACAAACAAATAACAACAACAGAAACAGAAAAATTAGCCCAACATGGTGGCACACACCTGTAATCCCAGCTACTTGGGAGGCTGAGGTGGGAGAATTGCTTGAACCCCGGAGGAGGAGGCTGCAGTGAGCAAAGATCACACCACTGCACTCCAGCCTAGGTGACAGAGCAAGACTCTATCTCAAGAAAAAAAAAAAAGGTATAAGAATCTAGTGAGAGCAATTTTGTTGTCACTTTGGAATGGTGTCCCTGGGGTTAGGAACCCAATCGGTCCCCTATCTTTCCTTATCAGATTAGGTCACCAGAACTGTGCCACAAGAATATTGCTGCATCTGCTTCAGTGCACGTTTTCACACGAGGACAGAGGGACAGGACCCATGTTGCTGACAGGGTTGTTGACAAAAATAAACTCTGTAAATAAAGAGTTTTTTTTTTTTTTTTTTTTTTTTTTTTTTGTGAGCCAGTGTGAGTTACTATGGCCTGGGGAACAGTCTCAAGAGGTCCTGAGAAAGTGGGCCTGTCGTGGTGAGGTTACACATTGTTTTTATACACTTTAGAGAGGCAGAAATTGTAGGTAAAATCATGAATCAATACATGAAAGGTATACATTGGTTCAGCTAAAGAGGTGGGATAACTTGGCCGGGCACAGTGGTTCACACCTGTAATCCCAACACTTTGGGAGGCAGAGGCGGGCGGATCATGAAGTCAGGAGATCGAAACCATCCTGGCTAAGAGGGTGAAACCCTGTCTCTACTAAAAAATACAAAAAATTAGCCAGGTGTGGTGGCAAGCGCCTGTAGTCCCAGCTAATCGGGAGGCTGAGGCAGGAGAATGGCATGAACCCAGGAGGCGGAGCTTGCAGTGAGCCAAGATCACGACACTGCACTCCAGCCTGGGTAACAGAGTAAGACTCAGTCTCAAAAAAAATCAAAAAACAAACAAACAAAAAAACAGGTGGAATAACTTGAATCAGGGGTAGTGGTCAGCTTACAGGTCATAGGTGGATTCAAAGATTTTCTGACTGGCAATTGGTTGAAAGAATTAAGCTTTGTCTATACACTTGAAGTCAGTAGAAGGAAATGCTTGAGGTAAGATATAAGGGGGTTGTGGAGAGCAGGGTTCTTATTATGTAGATGAAGCCTCCAGGTTACAGCCTTCAGAAAGAATAAGTGGCAAATGTCTGTTTTGGGACCTTAAAAGGTGTCATATTCTTAATCTCTCCTAGATCTGGGAAAAGCCTGGCTGCATTATTGGAGAATCTCTACAGATGCAAATTTTCCCCACTAAAGATGGCTTTGCAGGGCCATTTCAAAATACACCAAAGAAATATATTGTGGGGTTACATATTTTGATTTCTTTCAGGGTCAGCTATCTGTCATGTGATGCTATGCCAGAGTCAGGTTAGAATTTGGTATCTTATTGCCAAAAGGAATCTGTTGTCAGTCTTATGATCTCTATTTTATTTATAGAGATCATGTTAATGCTGGTCAGCTCTGCCTAAATTCCAAAGGGAGAAGGGTATAATGAGGAATAATGAGGCATGTCCCACTTGCTTTCCTGTCATGGCAGGGAATTCAGTTTTTCAGGTTTCTCTGGGGTTCTCTTGGCCCAGAATGCGTCTAGTCAGTTGGTTGAGGAAGTTTAGGATTTTATTTTTGGCTTACAGGTTGTGTGACTGTTTTCATACTTGTCTGCTAATAAACTTGTGTGCATATGGCAGAATTGAGTACTACATGGAGGGCTAACTACTTGGTAAATTATTACCTGGAAGCAAGTTAGTGGGAAAACTGGCATTTATCCCTCTTCTACCTTTTACTTCTGAGGCAACCAGTATCTACAAACCATAACTAAATAATCGGCATGGGTCAGTTTGCAAGGAATTTCATGCCTCTTTGCATGTTGGTCTCCTCTACCAAATTGACCCTCCTTCATATTCCCCATCCTAATTTATTCTCATCCTTCCAAGCCTAGTTCAAGTACTCCTCATAGCCAAAGTCTCCTGGCTACTCCAGCCCTTCTGAGTTCCTATTCTGAACTCCCATCCTGCTTAGAGCTGGAGGTATACAACCCAATACACGGTTATATAATCTAAGGGGTTTTTTTTTTCTAAATATTTTTGTATGCACACTTAAAAAAAAAAACTAGGCTATAAACATCCTGAGTGTGGAAATGTATTCCCCTTCCATTGGAGCCACTTTAACAGCCTGACCCCAAGGTAAATGCATATTGTATACTCAGTAAATACTTGCTGGTCAATCAATTGACTTAAGAACCTGAACCAATAGACCTTGAGCCTCCATGCATTTGGGCTGTGAGGAAAGACAGAGGCCAGTTGATGAAGGATGCTGAATTCCAGGCTGTAGATTTAGTTTTGGTGATGGATGAAACTAGGAGCCATCATAGGCAGTTATTGTTACATTTCCATGTGAAATATGGGACCAGAGGAACAATCCCAGAACATCTGCCCAGGGCTGGAGGCCAATACATATCCTCCAGATGTGACTCAGGGATCTATGAATGTACTCTTCCTGCTCTGTTGGCGATGAGGTAACAGGGGGACAGAGGCAAGATCCAGGGGGAAAACTGATGAAATGAGAGACATTACTAGGTGCACCACCAGAGAGCAGTTGATTTCTAGGTTCTGAATATTGTGCTGTAAATATCAGCATCTTAGGATCTCAGTGGGAGAAAGGGCCCTCCGAGATCACCTGGCCCAGCCTCCTGCCCAGTGCAGAATTATTAACTATGGCAGGCTGATGTTAATTAGGGTTCCCTGCTGCTTCCCCTGTAAAGCTCCTTTTCTCAAGGGTCTATCCCTCAACTTTTATATCCAGTTAGGCTACTGCCCAGAGGACATTTTCCCAGTTCAAATACCCTTTTGTTTTCTTTTGGATTCACTTCTTTTAAGTGTTTTCCTTATGAACAAGGCAACAAGAAAGTGGGTGTCCAGGTGGTACATGTTGCATCTCCTTTGCTACCCCTCATTTTTCTAATTAATTGGTCCATTTTCAAAGCAAAAGCTGGCAGGCACTTGCTCCTTTAGGGTCTTTCTAAACCTGCCAAAAACAGCCACGTTAAAAAACCTATTTTATGACTAGGTTTTCCAAAGTTACAGCCTCTCTCATTCCAACCAGCTTGGCGAGAAGGAGGCCAAAACACAGATTAAGCCATTTTCTCCTCGTTATCGCCCCATTAAGCTTGCAAAGATGCTGAGGAAGCCCAGCGCTTCATCTACCTGTTCTGGCCAGGGAACCAGCAAGAATTTAGCACCTTCCTCTGAAAGGAGCCATTTATCCAATGAATCAGGGAGAGGCTCCTCCTTTCCTGGCTGGAAGAGGAAACCCTACAAGTAAAATGCAGTAAAACCTTGGCAGCTCAGAACCTGTGGGGAATGAATCATTCTGGCAAGGGAAGTTTTTCAGGTTTCTTAGGGTGACTTCCTTAGCCTTCAAAATTCAAAATAATTCTAGCTATTTTGGAAATTTCTATAGGGTATATTCTGTATTTCCATGTCTTCTTAAATAGAGAATACTCACCACAAGTTGTTCTTGTCTTTATTGCTGAGAGCCATCTTTATTGACATCTATTCTTATGGCTTAAATGAATGATGTGAGGCATGAAAGACTGGTGGTTACACCCAGGATACAAAACACTTCACTTTGCATTCTCATACCTGCATATAATAGTGTTTATGCCTCCTTCCTCTACTGCAGTCAATCAATCTACCTTCAATAGATGTCCTCAAAAAAGCATCTAATTTACACATACAACAACTTAGATGTATCTCAAAGTAATCTTGCTAAGTAAAAGAAGCTAGACAAAAAGAAATAAAAGAAGGAAAGAATGAAAAAGATGCCACACTGTGTTGATTCCATTTATACGAAACTCTAGCAAGGGCAAAGTCATCTGTTGTGACAAAAAGCTGATCAGAGGCTGCTTGGAGTGGGTGGCAGGGGAGGAAAAGGAGTAGGAAGGATGGAAAGGAGGGATGACAAAGGGGCATAAGATAATTTGGGGGGAAGATAGATACTTCATTATTTTGATTGTGGTGATGGTAGCAAATTGCATACTTTAATAAGTGCAATTTATTTTATATTAATTGTACTTCTGTACAGCTGTTTAAATATATACATATGTAAATAAAAACTGCACACTCATTCACCAAAATTCTTGTGGGAGCACTTCAGTACCAAGTCAGGAGGTGAACATTTAGCGAGAAGAGGGAGGTGGAAGAGACAGGCAGAACACAGGGCTTTCTGGGTAGACCCCTCCGCCAGCAGGCGTTGGGGGGCACCTGCTCTGTGGTGTGCAGATCCCAAAGAAAAGATGAATGCCAATCACAGTCACCATTCACCTAGGGCTACCTGTGCTGCAGGCTTGCTCCCAGCATCTCACAGCTACTGACTCATTTACTCCTCAGGACAACTCCAGGACACAGAGGAGCAAAAATTTTTAACCTATTTTATGGATAAAAGAAAAGAAAGATCAAGGCAAAATGGGTTCTAAATGTGAGGGGTCATCTAGAATGTACATTCAAAAGATAATTTCCAAAGTTCTGTGATTTTACAGACCAAGATGGACCCACAGAAGTAAATACATTTATACGTTATTGTGACAAAAGTGCTTAAGAACTTTCTTTCTTATTCTTCAGGTGGTGTAATGGGAATTTGCTAACTTCTTTTACTACTGCCACTGTAGTACAGGAAGTTTCCAGAATTACAAAACAAAAAAGAGGAATATATGTGGCTGTCACATGAACTGAAACATGTGGCTACTGCATGCACATCCCCAATGTCTCCAGTGCTTCCTCATGCTACTGGTTGGGGTCTAAAGTGTTTGTAATGGAGGGTTAACAGGAAATTCTCATTCAATAGACAAAGCAAAATGCAATTGTTCTTTGGGGTCCTAATATGCAGACTTCCACTTACAATAAAGGGCAATGACTGCGATTAAATTTTTATATAATTTCTTCTATTATATCACTGATTACCTACAAATCCTGGAGCAAACCATTCAGCATTGCCCACACCTCAAGGAACAAAAGCAACACAGGCTTTTGAATAGGATGCTGAACAAATAGGATGCCAGAAATAGTCCCTTTACCTTAAATTATTAGTTTCCACAAGAAGAAACTGAGACTAATGTCAGAACCTGTTTGTATGGTATACCACCATGTACAGTAAACTATATATAGTTCTCATTATAAAATTGGGCTTCATCAATTTCAACAGACACTTTTTAAGTTAAAAAACATTCCAAAGATTATTATTAATAGGTGTCAATACTGGGTGGGCTTAGTACAGAGCTCAGTGCTTGGCACTCAATAAACACTTATTAAATTAATGAATGGAGTCAAGATCCTCTTGCCCAAAATAAGCACAAACTTTAGCTTAACCTTGCCTTCTAATTTGACAAGGCGTATTAAAGACTAGTTGGCTATAAGTGGCATAAGCTCCTTTAGACAGAGCAGGAGTTTACACCCCTTCAAACTTCCCGCCATGCCTAGCAAAAAGGTGATGTTCTTCATGAGCCTTCAGTAAAGATTCATGAGTTAACTGATTGCAATTTACTGACTCTACAATATTTCTCAAGACCAGTTCTGGTACAGATCTACTGTTATTTTCTAGGCATATTGTAGAATATAAATTATACTGTCAATACAAATTAAAGGGCATTAAACCATGCTTTGAATTTCAAGAAAATACCCTTAAAAATTTCTGTTAGATAGCTCCTACCTGTATTATGACTCTTTCCCAAGTATCTCTTTTCTAGTATAATAACTCCTACAGATTTACTCTTGGAGTCAGTCACTGGCTTTATTGCATACTGTAGCCACTATTACAAATAAGGATTTTTTTTTGCCTCTATCTAAATATTTTCATCTCTGGGTTCCAGACTCCTCTGCTTGATCCTCTGAGAAGGCAAATAACTTCTTCTGTCAATGGATATGATTCCCCAGAAGATACTGATGCATTTGGGAGTATAATTTGGCTGAGGAAGGAGATAACCTGAAACCACAAACCACCCTAAACACTCTATTATTAGCAAAGAGAAAAAAGCCAAATTGAGTTGGAGAAAAGCCTTGCTGAATGATAAATTGCCAGAGCTGTGTAGCTCAGGAGATTTCAGCCCATTTACCCCAGCTGCATTTTTATGAATTCTTCAGGAAAGAACTTTGAAATAGAAAGACTAATAGTCAGGATCTGAATGACTGCATTTGCTCCCAAAGGCGGTCTGAATCTTGAGAAAAGTGGCTGGGAAATTCACTTGCAAATGTCACCAGGACCAAGCCCTTATGTTGTTCTCCTTGTACAAAATTGTGTCACCCCAATGGTTGCCAGCACTTTTATTTCAATCTAAGCTCTGGACTTAGTTTAGGAACCATAATTCCAAAAATGTCTCTGCAGGCCAAGATAGCAGTTGTCAACCTGGATTGAGACTTTGACTCAACTTTGCAATTTTTTATTCCTCTTTGGGTTTTTAATTCTCTTTGATGTATGGTTATGTATTTGTCTTATTTCCTCTCTTCTACTATTTTGGAAGTCTCTTGAAAGAAGTTCCTACAGGAACCATCCAGGACCTGGTCCTTAATTATTAGTGGGCACAATAATATACAGTCATTCCTTAGTATTTGTGGGAGATTGGGCAAGACCTCCCACGGATACCAAAATCCATGGATACTCAACTCTCTTATATAAAATGGTGTAGTATTTTCATATAACCTATACACATCCTTCCATGTAACTTTAATTATCTTTAGATTACTTATAATACCTAATACATGTAAATTCTATATAAATAGTTATGTTGTATAGGGAATAGCGACAAGAAAAGAAGTTTGTACATGTTTAGTACAGGTTCAATTTTTTTTCAAATATTTTTGATCCACAGTTGGTTGAATCTACAGATGTATAACCCACAGATACAGAGGGCCAACTGTATTTGAAACCAGAACTGATTGCCAAGGAGAAATCCAGCAGTATGAAAACAAAGTAAATCCACCACATTAGTTGATTGGAATGTTACAGCTTCCCTTAACTTCAGAGAAGTTTTAGAAGAGAGATAAGAGTAGACATGGATTTTGAAGGGGACAGGATTTATTCTTTACAAATAGCTAAGTTTTTTAGACCCATCCAGCTGCCACTCAAGAGCAGAGATGAGGCTTCTCATTGTTAACCCCACCTGCTGTCTGCACAGAGGAAGGTCAAATATGGCCTGAACTCCAATGACAAGAAGAGGTCACTTCATATTTAGAAGTAAAATATATTTGTTTTCCTGGAATATTTCAAAGCAGGTCTGAGTGTTTTGTGTTTGTGTTTTTGGTGCAGGAAAATAGATGGAACAAGAGTGCTAGAATGTTAAGGATCATTCAAGTAATGGTACATGAGGGCATATATACTATTCTATTTTATGTATGTTTGAAGGATTAATTTTTTTTTTTTTTTTTGAGACGGAGTCTCGCTCTGTCACCCAGGCTGGAGTGCAGTGGTGCGATCTCGGCTCACTGCAACCTCCGCCTCCTGGGTTCATGCCATTCTCCTGCCTCAGCCTCCCGAGTAGCTGGGACTACAGGTGTCCGCCACCACGCCCGGCTAATTTTTTTTTATTTTTAGTACAGACAGGGTTTCACGTGTTAGCCAGGATGGTCTCGATCTCCTGACCTTGTGATCCGCCTGCCTCAGCCTCCCAAAGTGCTGGGATTACAGGCGTGAGCCACCACACCCGGCCAGGATTAAATATTTTTTAAATTATGTAAAAACTAAAAAAGAGAGGGTTACTTCTTTGCCATCTTTAGAAACTTGCTGAGGGAAGAGCAGCTCCATGCTGCTTGTCAAAATTTTTATGTAGTTTTAAAATAATTTAGTATTTGTATAAGGGGATATTACAGGAGACTTGGCTTTAGGTTTTACTTCACTGGGTTCCCAAATCTGAAGACAAAGGGAGTTAGATGTCCGTATATTCTAAAGACGGATGCCTGAACATCGATGCAGTACTTGCTAGGAATATGGCTGTTGTGGGTTGAATGGTGTCATATATGTCTCCAATTATTTTATCCAAAAGTCTTACAGAATTTGGGGCACAAAAATATCAACAATTTTACCTATGTATTTTCTTATGTTCCTTGGGTTTTATGTTATATCACCATTTGTATATTTTTTCAATCACGTATTTTTTGAAAATGCATGAAGCACTTCCATGTTTGTGTGGTATGTGTCAATTTATCCTCACAACAACCACATAAATTCAAGAAGGCAGAGATTATCCCAAACTTTTAGCTCAGGAATTGTAGACTCAGTGCAACGGCTTCTCTAGCTAGTGAGTGTCAATGAAAGACTTGATCCAGAATCTTGATCTTCTTATTTCAAGCCCAATATTCTCTTTCTCTAATACAAGACTTTCTGAATTGGAAATGGCCCGAGGGACAGCGTGTTAAGGGTCTGGCGGGAGAGTGAAGACTTGCCTGGGTGCATCACATCCATGACCTCACATCTGCATGCAGAGCTGAAAAAGGATCTATGTGTGCTAACTCATGAAGTCCATATTCCATGTTCCTGTGGGCTATTTGGGATGGGCAGGCATTCTGCCTTCTTTAGTATATCCTCTATCACTCAAAGATAGGGCATGACTAACATTCCACGTTCATCACTCCTCAGCCTCTGGCAACCATGCACCATCATCACTTACACACAAAAATGTTTTCCCAGCCTCCCATCAGAAGGCCGTGTGCTCTGAAATGCAACCTCAAGCCTAATGATAAATTTTCCCCCAGCTACCCACACTCTTTTGCCTGTGACCAATTGTCTGTGACCAATTTCAAGTCCAGCTGGACAGGCTTAGGGGTACAATTGGAAGCCAAAAAAAGAGGCTGTCTTGATGTAACACAAACACCAGAGGTCACAGTCATGGCTCTGGTCTCACTAGCTCCTTGCTTGACCCTACTGAATGAGCTGGCTGGGATATCAGTTCTGCTTGCTTTCCAGGTCTCAGCTTACACCCAAAGACTCATCAACCAAGCAGGTTCAGACCCTCCTTCAGTCACTGAAATCCAAAATTATTTAATTCTTTGAGCCTTAGTTTCCTCTTCTGTAGAACGAGATATTATTTTCTCTTTGCTGAATGGTTATGAAGGTTAAGTGAGAGTATGTATATAAAGCACTTGTCACTGCACACAACATAACCTCAATAAATGGTGCCCATGATAGCAAGGATGATAATAGGTTTACAAGTATTATTTATTATATTACAAACCATGATGACTTGGAATTTAAACTGGGTGTCTGCCTAGTTGAGTTTACCTAAGTTTTTGTTTGTTTGTTTCTTTGTGTTGGCTCCATGCATGTATAGTATCTCCTTCTATCTTTTTCCTTCCCAAATAAACATCTATTTCTGGTCAAGCACTGTGCTGGGCACTGTGGGAGTTACAAAGAAGAGAAAGATGCACTTCTAGACTTGCAGGCATTTAGAATCTCACAGCAGAGTCAAGGTATACATATTTTAAACAATTGGATAACAACACAGGCTGGTGGCAATTGAGAAAAAGTGGGGAAAAAAAACCTTTCATTCTTGCTCCACTGAGTCTTACCCCCTCCTTATAAATTACCTCAGGTGTCAATCACTAGCTTTGGCTCCAAATGCTCAAGCACATTTCTAAATGGAAGCTTCCCTGGGACACAGTCTTTTCTATTTGTAGAGGGTGTTGTAGTCTGCAAATTGATGGTTATTTGAAGATATGCTAGGGAGGAGGACAGGGATCACTCTAGAGGCAGGGTGCTGCCAGCATGCACACATACACACTCATCATCCCTAAGGCTCCCCAAGTTCAGTCTCTTTGAAATGAACTTGCCTCACCGTCTTGCAAGAAATATATAATTGTATGGCCATTTCCTCCATCATAATCTGCTCCATAATACAGAAGAAATGCTACCTTGCCAAAGGAAATAAGACATTGGCAATCAGCATCTCTCCCCAGACCTTGTCAAAGAGCCATAACCGTAACAAAATAAACAAATAGATCATCAAAACATTTCTTTTCCCTTTCCCCTCACTTGTCTCCTTTTTTTCTTTCACTTTGAATGCTCCATTAGAGTGTAGAAAATTTCACAGTTTTCTCCAGCTCTGGAAAAATCGTTAGGCCCTTCTGCTGGTCGGCTTTGGAAACATTTGGAACAAATTATCTCTACTTTTGGAATCTGAATAAAGGAATGTGAGCTTCACTGGAGAAATGTGAAATCTAGGGCGGGATTCGCAAAATGGTTTAAGGTTTGCTTTTGCACACATACTTTTTTTGAGTTTGTTTGGGTTTGGAACGTATTATAAGAAAAATAACAAGATTTGCAATGTGCTTTTCATAATTCCTTTGCTTTTCATAAAAACCAATTGGCTCCTCCTCCAGTGCTCCCCCATCACCTTGCAGAAGGAGCTCCCATCTTTAGTGTTAAGCATATGCTTCTTACATAACATGTAATCTACCAGTTAGGGTCAAGGAAGAGAAGGAAGATTTTCTGGGAACTTGTTCTTTACCAAATCACAAATTTAATCCTATTGTTATTCTATCAACTTCTTGATGTCCAAATACCCCTCCAAGAAGTTGACGCAGCCCCTGAGGGAGTTACTGAGACTTCATGAATCTCAAGACTGAGTTGTCTTATCTGAGCTCAAGAGCAGCTGTCTCAGGGCATAACCTCAGTGCAACTGAAACCCTGAAAATGCTGTGACAGAGTTGGCTTTTGTCCTGCGCTAGTATCCATGGCTTTGTCCATCATTCCTGTCTCTGGCCCTGTGGTTGATGTTCAGTGATAATAAACACAGACCTCCTACTTGAGCCACAAGCAGCATACCCTGAGATGCGTTTGCTGGGGACTCCAGGACCACACTTCCTTTTTGCTCTGCAGACACAAGCACCTTCAGGAGGAGAATGCACTTGCTTTCATATGAGAGGCAGGAATAAAGAGTCAGATAAACAGGCCTGGGAAAAGGGAGCATGAGGAGGAGAGGGAACAGAGAGCTCTAAAGCCTTTGTTCCAGGAGGAAAATCCTTATGGAACAACATTTTTTTTTCTTCCACTTTGTTTTTTCAGTTGCCAAGAGGGCTATGTTTACCAAACCTGCTTAAGTGTCTAGACAGTATATTTCCAACATTCTCTTCAGCTATCCCCATACAAACATGATATCTGTCAAGTCATGTCCTTCTCATTTTTAGTTCAGAGAAAAGTAGGCACCATAATCTTTCTATAGTTTATGAAGCCTCATTCAGAGGCTGTCTATGAATTTACCAAGCCTTATCATTCCCTTCGCTCACTCCTACCCCTATAATTTAGGTAAATATACATCACACCCAACCAATGACATAATAAAAGTGCCTGGCCTAGTCCATCAATGGATACATACATAAACAAAATGTTTTCGGCCTCAAAAAGGAAGAAAATTCTGACACATGCTACAACGTAGACGAACCTTGAAAACCTTATGCTGTGTGAAAGAAGCCAGACACAAAAGGACAAATATGTATATGATTCCACTTACATGAAGTACCTAGAGTAGTCAAATTCATAGAGACAGAGGTAGAATAGAGGGTACCAGGGACTGTAATGCAGAGGAGAAGAGATTGAGGGTTTTTGAATGGGTAAAGTGTTTCTATTTGAGTACGGTTTCTGTTTGGGATGATGAAAAAGGTCTGGAGATGGATAGTGGTGATGGTTGCATGGCATTGCGAATGTACTTAATGCCACTGAGCTGTCTCATTTAGCATGGTACACTGGGCTACATTTAGCATGGTAAAAATGGTAAAATTTATATGTAAATTTTACCAAAAAAGCACTGGGCTATTGATTTGCAGGCCCTTATTACTAGAAAAAGAGCCCAAATGCACATTCTTCAAGAGTAAAAAAAATATACTAATTACATTATGGCTCCTACCAAGTAGGTGGGATAGCTAGCTCATAATAGGGAATTGTGGTGCTTAGAACCTTGCTTAAATCAGGAACATCTTGGGTTGAGCATATTTTGTTAAGAGGAGAGCTAGGTAACTCTCCACTCCCTCCACTGCCAGGAATTTCCTAATGAGAAAGCTAGCTAGATGGCTGGCTGGCTGGCTGGATGGATGGATGGAGAGATAGACAGATAGATAGAATGACTGATTGATTGATTGATATATAGAGATATCTCAAATAGAGAAGGGAAAAGTCTGGTTCTGTGAAGTCCTAGCTGTTGTAGGAAAACTGACTTTCTATGTTCCTGCTCTCCATCCTCACCCTCATGTAAGACCCTCTACTAAAATCTAGACTAAAAAATACAGTCTAGGCATGAGGCTTCAACGAGGCTTCCTACTCCTGGACAGGAATTGGGGGAAGGAAATTTGTAGAGCCTGCCCTAAGTCCACTCATCCAACCTGTATGAGGAAAGAGGCGTGCCTGGAAAGGCCAGCCTCTGTGCCTTAGTATTTGGGTGCAGGAAGCACAAGGACAAGCACTCTGCCCTTTCACACAGTAACCCTGCTCACTAGTAAAATGGTCTGCAAAAAGGACCTTACCTCTACATAGTTCCATTAGCCTCTCTTTCTTTGAGTTCCAGGAGGGTAGGGGAGATGACTCAAAAGGAATGGTTGAAGGGGCAGAGGAGTTGGGGAGAAGCACTTTTGCTCCTCTCCTCAATATAATTTATATGCAGTCTGGAGTCCTTCCTCTTCTTCATCAGTAGCTTTCCTATACATTTTAGATATTGATAATATGATTCCCACATTCAATGGTATACTCCTGTAGTTTTGAGAAGATATAGAGAATCCAAAGGAGGTGCCACCAAGAGAAAAAGGGAATCATTTATGAGGATCCTAGCCAAATTTTGGGACTGATGAGTAAAACCTGTGAAAAACTTGCATTCAGGTGGAGAATTGTGGTGCTTGTAATTTTACTCATATGTATATTTTGGACAGACCATCTCTTACTGTTTTTCTTCTGGCTAGAAAAAAGACAGTTTAAAACAAATGGCACCATTTTGGTAATTCCCTTTTTAATTCAGAAAGATGGTAGGAAAGTGTGAAAGAGAGGCCATCCAGCTAGAAATCAGGAGGCCTGGGTGGGTGTGAATGCAACTCTGCCATTGTTTGTGGCTCTGAGTAAATCACATCTCTGCTTGAATGATCAGCCTGAATGTAGAGCAGTGGTGTAAAGCAGGATGTTCTTTGAAATCACTTGGCGTATTTTTCTCTAAAAAGTATTTATGCCTGGACTTCACCCCTCACTCACTGATCCAGACCCTGTATGTGTATTTTGGAGGGTGCAGGAAGAATTGAGGAGTTTGTTGGGGAGGGGAACACAGGCACACAGGTTTGGAAACAGTTCCCTGGATAAATTAACATGCATCCCTGGTTAGCATCCATTGATCAAGATTACAGCTTAGGTCACCTTTACTTCTAGTATTCCTATGATTCTATAAAAACAGACTGAATACTCACCAAGACCATTAAACACGGCTGTTACGAGGATCAAATAAGAAAATAATGCATATGGATGTCCTAGAAGGTAGTGCTACACAAATGTAAGCAATTACTAGGACTCCCATAATTCTGTGCATTATCCAAGTGGTTCATCAAATATTAACCAAACCCTCTTAGATTAGAAATTCTGCAATGTAATTCTGGAGAACAGGATCGACACTTGGCACTTTTGTTTGAGTTTCTCCTAGGGAGAGGATTCACCAGTGTAATAATACCCTTGCTTGTTTTCTGGTCATGTGAATGTATGTAAGTCACAAGAAGACAGTCTTATGAATATATCCATTTCCCAGCAAAGGGGCAGCTGTGAAAAAACCTGTCACCTATCTAAAATCTGCCCATTTTCCCCAGCTCAGAAGCTGTGTATCCTGAAAGTTTCTGGTCATCCGAGTGTGGGTCACTGACGTTGACACCACCCATTCCTCAGAAGCTGAGACTCACCCGTTGACTTCTAGAGGGAAGTCTTTGCCTGGAAACCTTCATTTCCATTGAGCTAATGAGAGCACTGTCACCTAAATTTTCATTGTTTTAAGAGCAAGTGGAGGCTGACAGTTTCCTTTCAAGCTTGAATGATGAAGAGAAAACATCCCACGGCCTCATCTGGCTGGCTTGCTGCGAGGTAATGAGCCCTGCACAGCACCCATCTTTGCTAGACTGGGATGACCTTATGTCTGGTAATGCATCAGGGAGGAGTGAAAAACGCACCGCAGGTCCCGCCAACAATTCCCCCAGGATGTGCTGAATGTGCCAAACAGTTTAGTAAATAGATCTCGAGTTACGGCGTTGAAACATATTCCAACATATTGCAACAGAGAATGTCTCAATCTAAAGGTCATACTTTACTTTGCAAAGACCCAGTGTGAAGGGGTTGTGTGTGTGTGTGCGGGGGTGGGGGGCGGTGGCTGAAAGGGGAATGTTATGGAGGTGAGGGTCAGGAGATAAAACATTCATAGCATTTAAAAACAAATTTCACAACCTCCCCTGGCTAATTGCATTCTAGTCTCAGTCCAGACAGGGCATTACATGTGCTGCCAGTCTTTGTTCCAAGACTTGCTGGAATTCCTTGGGATAGGGTAACAGCCCCAGGGGGTGGGGTGAGGGGGAGGAAGGGGAGCTGAGCCTATCCTGCAGAAGCTAGGAGGGTGTGAGGTGATGGGGTGAGGCCAGGATGGAGTTCAGAGGCTTCAACTTTCCTGACTTCTTGTTTTCTTTGCTTTTAGAGTCCTTGGGGGAGGAATAAAAAAGGACTTAGAGATGTGAATCTTGCTTAAAATAATCGTTGGCGATTGCTTGAGTGCAGAAAAAGAGTAAAAAGATTGAAGAAACTTGGATCAAAGCTGGTTTCACAAGTACAAGGAAACAGTGGCTGCCACCATGGCGTGGTTTAAAAAAATGCCTGGAGAAGGGACATTCTGGATCCACTGCTATGGGTTCACTACTGAGGATCCTTAACAGAGTGTTCTACTTTGACTCAGTAGATACTTACTGAACAGCTATTATGTTTCTAGTAATATATGGGGCATGGAAAGTTCAATACCTATCTTTGAGAAGCTTACTCCAATTTAATAGATGGGCATATACCCCACAAGCCACTAAAGAAAGGGTTTTTGTGCTTTCAAATTATAACGTCTCTTTCACATTTTCTCTTTTGCCTTCCTTCCCTATGGCCATTAAACTTGAACCCTCCAGTGCATGCGTGTTACATGCAGTACTAAGAGTAGTTCAACAGTCATCTCTGAGAAGGGTGATGAAAACCCAAAGAAAAACCTGCAACTTCTCAATGTCTGTTAGTGCAAATGCCCCAGAAAACAGGATGCATTTTTGGTCTTGGGAGGTGGAAGGCAGGGCTGAGACTACATACTGGTGTTTGGAATCTACCTTGGCAAACAAGTCCACTGAGATAGGAACCTTAATTCAATCGGGTGGCACACAGGAAGTGCTAGGATGCTGTGGGACATCCCTGGTCTCCCCAGAACACATTGACTCAATGTCATTAGGCTGAATCCTATTAAACTGCTAATGTTTAACTGATTTTGAACTACAAAAACGGCAATTTTAGAGGCTTCAACCTAATATAAAGCAGAATTTGAAAGAGCCATAATGAAAGCAAACACAATCAAAAGAAGGAGAGAAAAAAAATATGGTCAGATTTAGGAATTTATACTTCTTAAACCTCCATTTCTCTTTCGTCTTCCCTTTGTCCTTCCCAGACTTGTTAAATCTTTATGGGCAAATACTTTCAGGGAGGATATAGCTGGCTGAGAGAAAGACTCTAAAGAATGATGTTTAACACAATGGTGGCTCCTTGGGAGAGGCCTGACACAAGGAACAGAGATAAATAGTTGGGAAAAAGAGGAGACATTGCAAAAGACATATTTTGCTTTTTCATAGTTCTGTAAATAATCAGTTTACTGAGGTTATTGTTCCAACAGTCTCAATGTGTTTGCATTAGTTAGAATGCATCAATGAACATAGATAGTATTTACACACCAAGAGCCTAGCTTGGTTCCCATCATAATTAGTTTACTCTGAAAAAATAGCCTTGTGAGGTCCATACGGTCTGAATCACACACCTCAAGACCACTATTCATTAGGATGCAGCCAGGTAGTATTTTTGTTTGTTTTGTTTTTACATCAAACAGGACGAAAAGAATATAATTTCAACTTTGCATTCATCTCTGTTGTCTAATTTTGATTTCGAAATAATTATTAGAAAAAGTTTGTGTGATCTCCAGTTTATCAATTCAAGCATTGACAATAACAGGTTATGCTGGATGACTTCTCAGTTTCTTCCAACTCAAAGAACCTCGGTGTCTCTGATAAAGTGAAAAAAAAGTGCTGGGCTGGGAGTCACATATCTAGGTTTCAAGCTAACTCTGCAAATAGATTGCTGTGTGGGCTTGAGAAGTAGTCTTGATGAAGGGTATTTTGCTAATCCATATTAGGAGAGGAATGGACCAGATACCTCATGAGAGTTCAACACAACATTCCTGAAGAGGCTAAAAACAAAAAGAATTTCCTAATTGCAAATGGGAGAAGAGGAGGTGGTAGATCAGGAAATGACATTTGCTGACCTGATGTGTTGCGAATCTACCTGAAAGGTCAAACAAATGTGTAACATTTATCAAATCGATTGTGTTCACTTTGATGGGAAATTCCACATGTCAGAACGTTATGTAAGTCCCATTCTGTTCTTATACACGGAGTTGATGTCATTAGCCAATTGTCAATGGGCCTGTCCTTGGAAATGTTTTTTTAAGCCTTCAATTAGTGTTCACTATTATTCCTTATTTGAAAATAAGAATTGATGCACTGAGTCACAGAGCATTTAGGTATTCTGTCTAAATGGCCACAACCTCCAGGCTCCAGGCTCTAATTATGTTGACCTAACCAGTATATGTCCAACACTAAGTTATATAATTTATTCTATCTACAAATGTGAGATGTGACAATCCCATTTTTGCAGCTGGATCAAATGAATAAGATGAAAGTATTTGCCATTTATTCCTGCTTTGGGCTGCTCCAGATTAAGCCCTGGAGAACAAACTGTTCTTCTATTTTCTAGGATCAAAATAATCTAAACTTTTAAATATGTGTTCTGCCATCAAAAACGTCACTGACAGATCAGAGTAATCCTCTTTATCACCCCCTTGTTCCACACCATCCAGCATGTCTCCACCCCATTCTCAACCAAAAACCAAAGCAAAACAAAAATGTCAGACTGCCCAAGTCTTCAATGACTCAGTTGACAGGGCACTGCAGAATCAGCCAGACAGAACATGCCAAAACCTCTCCACCTTCCTACTGACTGGTGCCCTTTAGGAGCCTCTCCAAATGTCCCTCTGCTCTTTGCAGCAGCTCTAAAAATAGTGGATGACTGCTCGGTACAGGTGCTGTTTGTGCAAATGTTCTCTTTGCATTTAGCCTGCCTGCCTCCGTGATTACTGCTCTGCAGACACACAGCATCCCCCGGACTCTGCTGTGTCAGCTCTTCTTTATAATAGCACGGGCGCTGGAGGATAATTCCGGGACTGCTGTTTATAGGGACTCTGTCTTTCCCTCAGAACACAGATCCGCTTTCTTCCCTCACCCCACCATTCAGGGCTCCACGCTCCAGAACAGCCTAGAGGGAACTTCAGGATGTGTCAGTGACTACAGTTTCCCACAGAATGGACTAGCTTTTTAAAATGCATCCACTTTCCACATAGAACTGGGATGCATGGGTGAAGAATAAAAAATCAAGACGTCACAAGTATAGTTCTGTTCCTAGCTATTGTTTCTTGTGGACCTTACAGTAATGATATATTCATAAAATCGTATGACAATATTTCTGGATGGAAGTTCTGAGATCATATGGTCCCCTTGTTGTGGTTGTTGAGCCTTAGTATGCTTAATAATCCCGTAGTAATCTTGTATCAACTGCTGATTTCCATGACCTACCCCTTCATATTCCAAGTCAACAGATCTTGGGGAAGCCCAGGGATTTGCCTTTATAAACATGGATCCAGATGATTGGGATGCAGTCGATCCTTAGACCAAATAGTGAGAACCACTTCTCCCAACCAGTTCTCCTGTGTAAACACAAGAAAACAGGCCCAGAATGTGGAAGCAATTCTCTAACTAGGGCTGCAGCTAAGAACCCTGGTTCAATGTCTTGTTGCCCAGAATTTTCCCCATGTGAAATCGCATAGTTTCCACTCGGTTCAAGCCCATGAGCACTGATGATGCAATCTTTATGCAGATGATGTTGTAGTCAGAGTTCAAAGGCACTTTTAGATGAGAAGGCAGTTTTCCTTCTGGAAAAGGAGTGGGTGTTGTAGCGATGTATCCTGACCACTGAATTTTGGGGGGTTCTTGGGCCAGCCACTGTACCTCTCTAAGCACTGTATTTCAAAAATAGTATAATAAAATAGCTGTCTTTTCTTATCTGATGATAGCAAGCAATGGAATGTGGCTGAAAGTACTTGATTTGGGTCCTTAACTGAACTTCAGCTGCAAGTCCAGACCATCTCAGACTTGACACTCTCACCACTCCTGCCAGGCTCAAAAAACCTGGCACCAGGATCACAAGGCAAGGTCAGTGCAATGCACTGCAAGGTGTCAGCCCCAGTCTGCGATTTACAGGAAAGCAAGAAGACGTTCTTGCCAAAAAAGACCATCATGACTGTGGGAAATTTCTCCACCAGGGAGTCATGTCTTTGGGGAATAAGCCCCTCTGTATTTTCTTTCTTACCATTCCATGTAGACGAGTTTGGGTTTTGTGACTTATGTGATTGGACTACATGAAAGTCGTTAGCCTCACCTTGGGAAAGAGATCTCGCCTAGGGGTCAAAGGGTACAAAGCTTTAAACTCAAACCTTTTAGAAAATGAAAGATGTGCCAAAAATTAGAGATCATCCAGTCTAGACTCCTTATTAATAATAATTCCACTATCCTAGTTAGCTTACAGGTCCAGGAAACAAGAGATAAAGCACATGAATAAGCTTCATAAACACTTAAAAGGTGGTACTTGTGAAAGTACTTTTTAATTTTTGCAACAATTATTAAACAAACTGGAAAACTGAGGCAACTTCAGTGAATCTGCTGAGGTCTCACAGGAATTTAATGGTGGAGTCTGGTCTCCCAACGCCTGGGAAGAAAGCTTTTTCCAAGACATCACTCACAGATTTCTCAATTTTTTAAAGTACCAAACCTGCCACTGGATACACTATATTTATCTTCTCTCCTTGTATGTCATAGAAAAAAAGCTCATTAGTTGCTGATGTTCTGTTTGCACCAGAGCAAAGGAGAAAACCCAGCATTTCTGGAAAAAAACAATAATATACCCTACTGAAGCCATTTATCTACAACTTCTACCCCCAGCACAGTGATGTGAGGTGAGCACAGTTTCATGATGTTGGGATTCTGGACAACTGCAGATCAAGTATGTTGGGAGGGGGCCTGGATTGAGAATAAGGTGTTTACTGGAATAAAACATCTAACCCAGGCAAAGTCTATAACCTAATTGGTCTTCAGAAGCCCAGACTGTCTTGTTCATTCACTCAACAGTATTTATTGAATGCCTCCTAGAGGCTAGACATGTGCTAGGCTAATGGAAAGATGGCCATGGTCCCAGTTCTCCTGGTGCTCTGGCCTACTGGATGGTGCACACAAATACACAGACAGTCCCCATCATGTTATATGTGTGAGTAGTGTAATGCGAGGGTACAGAGATTTTATAGCTAACCAAGATAGGCAGTATGGTAGAGGTCAGGGAATTCTTCCTACAAGAGCCATTATATGCTGGCGCTATGTGAGATGCTGGGAATATAACCAATGTTGCCTTTAAGAGGCCTCCTTTCTGGAGGGAAAGGCAGATATGTATAACAAGGTGGTAAGTGCTATCACAGGAGTGGGTAACAGAAGAGGGAGGGTTGTAGGGTTATCCTCATCAAGGAGGCTGTCTTCGAGCTGAGCCTCAAAGCATGGAAGGGAATGGAGAGTCAGTGGTCCTAAAGAGGAGCTGGGGCTCATGGAGAAACTGGAGGTGAGGGTCAAAGGTGGGCAGAAATTGTATGAGTGGGAAGTCTTCACGTGGAAGCCAGCCTGAGGCTCACCTGGCAGGAGCAAGGAAACTGCTGCAGAGATAGCACGGGAGTCTCTGTACTGGGGTCTCTGAGCTGGATCTGATTCAACTCAGAATCAGATTCTCTAGTCCCTTTGACAATGTCCTCATCCCCATGAGCTCAGGCGTGGCTCCGAATCTGGTGGCGCATTTGGCCTTTCCTCACATTCACTGAGGCCTCCTTGGAAGCAAGCATGCTGACCGGGGCTGAGTGATGTCCCAGCCTGGGGAGGACCTGCGAATTTTTTTTTTTTTTTTAGACAGAGTTTTGCTCTTGTTGCCCAGGCTGGAGTGCAGTGGTGTGATCTTGGCTCATTGCAACTTCCACCTCCTGGGTTCAAGAGATTCTCCTGCCTCAGCCTCCTGAGTAACTGGGATGACAGGCACCCACCACCATGCCCAGCTAATTTTGTATTTTTAGTAGAGATGGGATTTCACCATGTTGGTCAGGCTGGTCTCGAACTCCTGACCTCAGGTGATCCGCCCACCTCAGCCTCCCAGAGTGCTGGGATTACAGGTGTGAGTCACCGCGCCTCACCCAAGAGGTCTTCCTTAACAATGATACCTATTATATATAAAGAACTTTCACACGGACTCTCTCACTTGGGCTGTACAACAGTTGTCAGCTGCCCTGAGCCTGTGGCCCTTCCTCTCAGCAGAAGCTTGTTCCTCAGGAAAGCAGGGACTGGAGCACATGACCCAGTGCTGAGAAAAGCATCCCAAACCTGGGCCTCCTCTCACATGGAAGGGAAGGAGCAGGCTGCTTTCCCTAAGTGCTTCTGGCTGGTCCTCTCCAGGTCTAGGCTGGACCCCAAGCCTCCCCACAATGTGTCTGTCCCTTGGGCCTTTGTTGCCGTCTCCCCGGTGCTTGGAGCCAGCTGCCTCCCACTCCTGGAAGCCTGCCAGCATCACCCTCCAAAGAGGCGCGTCTCAATCAAGTTATTTATTCACCTAATCAAAAAGGAAATAATGTATACAGTTTACAGTCTTTCCCAGGTCCTAGCTCCCGCTGAGGCTGGGAAGAAGTAGACACAAGGAAAGAGCTCTTGAGGTGGGGCTCCAAAGGAAAGGTGGGGCTCCAAAGGTGGGGCTCCAAAGCTCTTGAGGTGGGGCTCATGAAGCATGAGCCTCATCATCCATGTGGCTCAGAAGCCCCCACTGCGATCCAAAGGAGGAAATGGACAAAGCAAGAGGCTGAGCTCAGATTGAAGCTGTGGATAACATCATCAGAAATAAACCAGTGGAGGAGACAGAAGGGGAGGAGACATCTGTCAAGCCCAGGGCATTCAGAGTGTGGGGTCCTGGGGCTCCAGAAACCCAAAAAGGATGGCAAAAGCTGGGGAACACAGCTGGCTGCCTGGGCTAGAGGTGATTTTCGAGTTTCATGTTTCTTCCTGCCTCGGGGCTCTGACCGGAAATCATCCCTCCCCATATTACAACCTCCTTATATTTTGCCAGCTCTTATTCATCTTTCAAATCTTAGCTAAAATGACACTTTAGAAGGGAGGCCTTCTCTGACCTTCCCATCTAAAACAGGCTCCTGTTATTCTCTCTCATGGATCTTTCTCTCCCTGCCTAACATTTTATACTGTAAATTACATAGCTAGTTGCAAACGTTTTCCTTAAGGACTAATTTCCACAGTGGACTACAAGCTTCACTGGGGCATAGACTGAGATCTCCCTTAAGCTCTTTGAGAACATAGCATGATGTCTGGCACATAGTAGATGCTCAGTGACTATGGGCTGATGTCATGATATAATGTGCGTGTGTGCACCCCATGTCTTCACTATCTATTTCTATGCTTGATCTATCTATTAGACTCTAAGTTTCCTGAACAAAAGGGGATGTGTATCTTACAGTGCTTCATCTTCCCACTGAGCCTAGCAAGGTAAGTTATAATCTAAGGTGGTTTTAATATCAACACCACAATGCACACAGGGCTAGAGGAGGTATTAGAAAGCTGTGGTACACAGCTCAGAATTTGGAATCAGCTGGACCTAAGTTCTAATGCCTTAGTTTTTCTGTGTCTCAGTTTTCCCATCAGTGAACAGAAGAATGCCCAGTTCATAGGTTTGCTGTGAACATAAATGAGGTAAGCCATGATTACTGCAGGGCCTATGGAGTGAACACTCTTTAGCTGGGTGCTTTCACTAGCTCACCCTTGGGAGGAGAGCACAGAGATTAGTGTTGGCTATTTGCAGATGCCTTCATGGAGCACTGTCCTTGAACTGATTCCTGAAGGATGGAAAAGGTTTGGGAGCTGGAGGTGAAGGGAAGGGTAGTTCTGTCCATGGAAGCTTCCTGTGCGAAGAGTCCTTCAGGTCATGTGTGTAGTTGGTGACTGCAAAGGCCAGAGCACCCAGAGTACTGCTATACTCTCCTCGAAACCTCACTTCAGAATTCTCACACTTGTAAATTTTTGAAGCTCCAGGTAGGTCCACGCATCATGAGAAGTCTAAATGCAGGATCTCTAAACCTTTATATCGGGTCCTCAGATGCCCTCAAAAGTCAGTTTCTTTGGAACATATGACAAATCCAATTTCCTATGTTAGATTTCAAATGCCAGACATGCTGATGCATTTACTGAAACAAATGGCTATGTGCCTTGGACAAGCCCTTCACCTTCCCCTCTGGGTCACTTAACCTCTGAGATCCCACACTCCGACCTCCTCTTCCCTTTATCTCAACCTCTGATGCACTGCAGTGCAGGCAGCCTCCTGGTGGCCATCATTTGCTCTGCCTCCGAGGGTCTTTTCGGACTGAGACCTTGGGTCCTTCCTAGGGCTTTCTCAGGAAGGAAAGCTGAAGACAGAGCCCACATTAGCCTGCTGAGAGATTGTGAAGCTGCAGAAATTTCTGTGGGGACTCTGCTGGCCTCTGCTTTGTACTTTTCTCCTCTGGGCTCTCCTTTGGTTCAACAGCTCCCCAAGCCGGGAGGGAGGCACAAATGGCATAGGGTGTGGGGTACTTGCTCCCTCTGGGGTCCCTGAGAATAGCCCCCTACTTCTTCCACAAGAGTCAGCTCTCAGAGAGGAGGCACAGAGAAAAGTCTAACAAGCAAATTCTCTCCTAAATGCAGATGGCAATTCATGGGGTCCCCCTCCCAGCGGTATTTATATTCTCACTGTGGTAACATCTCATTCAAAAGGAGCAATGGAATATGGCTTCTGAAGGCACTGTGTGCTACCTTTTCCACGCCAACCTCTTCTCCTTTAGCTCCACATATTTCCTTCTAGGGAAAACCAGCTACAAATGAACTTCAGGAGAACCTTGAAGGAGAGAACTACTATGTGATGCCTGCTTGAGGATAGTGGAGGGTTTGTGGACCACTTGAATCTCATCTCATTCCCTTCTCTTCTTACGGCCAAAATACAAGCATTTAGGGAACCCTCAAGCCCCCAGTCAGGAGTACTCATGTATTACTGGGCCATGGGATGGGATGGGATGGTTCTGAGACACAACATATAATTAGGGATGGGGGTTGCTCAGGTTCCTCCAAGCCAGGAAAATTCTCAGCCTCTTGTTTACCTGTCTAATCAGGCTCCACTTGCTCACTGTCTAACCTGTGAGCACTGGCCAAACAGGGAAGTCATGTAGAATATTCAGATGGTAGTGTTCTTATCCCAAACATTCCTTCTTTTCTCCCCCACCCTCCTTCTGCTGGGTAAGGCACTAAACAATCATCTTCCCCATGCTAGAGTGTTAGAATCTGCCTGTCATCACAGCCAAATGACCTTTCCAATTAGACCACAACTGGAATCAGATCTGATGCACCCTGCCTTTTCTGGTGCCTTTGATCTTGACACTCCTGTCTGAAATCCCTTGTCCCACTACTCCAATGATTCAACTTCTCCCTTCTGGAGGCCCCTGTAGGTTCCCCTGCCTCCTGAAGCTTCCTCTGATGACTCCTACCTGCAGTGAGATACAGTTCTTCTTATTGTCAGGGAGCCATTGAAGTGCCTTCTGGGGTCATCTCTTACCTGGTTCTGTTTTTGTATGCTTAACTCCAGCCCAGCATTTGTAGACTAACCTCCTCTCAAACTCGAAGCCACATTCAGTCCACGCAACCCAGGTAGTCAGCTACCACATGCTAACATGAGGTTTGCTTCTGTGGACACTCTTATTATCTTCTTAATTTGTGATGCATCAGAAGGCAGGGACAGTATCTTCCTTATCTCTGCGCCCCCTTTTATAACTCTACTCCAGTGTCTCACATGCAGTAAATGCTCCTTAGCTTGTGGTTGCTTTATTGCTAGTACTATTAATTTTCCCCAGACTTCCAAGGACATTACAACATTGTTGAAGGATTTTTGTTCTTTTATCTCCAGGTTACACAGCCTCACCTAGTACATCAAAAAATGTGCCTATTCTCTGCAATTGCCAAGAGTCAGTGGGGCAAGTTTGTCAGGACAGATACCCCTTATTTCATGGAGATATAGATCGGTGCAGTGGAGAGAGGAGAGGACCTCAAGGCAACAGACATAGGGTCATATCCCAACTGTGTGACCTTGGGCAAGTCCCTCAACCTTTCATTATCCTGGTGTCCTAATCTGCAGTATAGAAACTGTCCACACAGTGCTTTACAAACCTCAGAGTGCTGTTTCAATGTGAGGTTGCATTATCATGGTTAGGATGACTACTTATGAGGATTATGGCTTCCCTGAGGACAGGCACAATCTCTGTATCTTCAGTATTTTGTATTTTAACTAGGAGGGGTTTACTACTTATTTATGGAGATTCCACTGAGAACATATGCAGTGGTGTATCTTGGACACGGGCAAGGTTGCTCTACCCTATGCTTTAATGGATTAAAATAAGATTGATATTGTTTCCCTAAGAAGAAACACCAGTCACCCTCATGATCAAGGGCAAGAAGATTTTCTTTTCACTTTGTTCTTTGGCCTCTGTGGCCATGAAGACCACATCTGGCCTCTTCTGCTGTGCTTTCTGGTGCTCCGGCACATATTCAAGACACACTGTGTCAGGCCTGTGCTTGTCACTGGAAAGACAGAGACAAATAAGGCAAGCTTCCTGCCATTGCACGGATGGGCATCCATGACTTCAAATCTGCTCTTCTCTCAATTAGAAAGGAACCCAGGCCTTTCTGAAGACTGAAATTTCCCTCTTAGATTTTCAACAATAAAAACAGGAGGGATGGCATAGTGAAGGTAAGGGAACAGAAAGCCCTTTTCTAGGGGAACAGAAATATCTGATTACACAGAGACAAAAATCTTCTGATAAGAACAGGTAAGATGTTGAAAAATCCTAAATGGTAACACTAATAATAATTAATGTTTACTGAGCACTTAGTTATGCCAGGCACTGTTCTAAGCACTTTACATGTATTAACTAGTTTGATGGTCATAATAACCCTATAGACTATATGCTCTTTTTACAGGTAAGGAAACTGAGGCACTGTAGCTTGTGAAATATTACTGAGCTAGAACTAGGATTTGAATTCAGGCCGCCTTACTTCAGGATCCCTGCTCACAATTAATTATCAAGGAGAAGATATTTAATTCTCTCATTAGGTCTATATAATTTTGCTCATTATATAGACTGAATGAGAGACGGTATAGCAGAAAGTACTGGGAGGGGAATGAGGTCTTTGTGAGTTTGAGGCCTAGTCAAGAGTCTAGTTGCTCTATGACTCTGAGCAAATGACTTCTCTTGGGTCTCAGGCCCTGCAGTCATGGAGAAAGAAGGTGGGGATGACTTAGCTCCCATTCCTCATATTCCTAGTGTGGAGCAGGAAGGGAGGCCAGCCCAGCCTTCCTCCAATCCCATCCTAGAAGTGGGCATCTAGTCCCCCTCTTGATGAAGATATGTATTCTTCCCTCACCAGAGGAAAATCCCCTCAGCTCATCAAATTAGTCTGTTCAGTATGGATGCCATCCGGTTTGGTGGCTCTCCATTTGCCCCAGTGAAAGCTCCATAGGGGACCAAGGACATCATTAAACTTGAGAGGATAAAGCCAGCTGCATTGCATCAGCAGGTGCCCATTTGTCTTAGAAGAAAGATCTGGAGCACCAACCCTGGGCGTGTGGTGGTGGAGGGTGTGCACCATGTATGTCCTCCATCAGCATCACTGACGAGGCCAACCGGCTTCCCTGAGCCTTTGGTCTTGGGGCAAGAACCCTGCACCTGCAGTCAGCACATACCCCGCCCCTCTGTGGTCTGCAACTCTGGGATGCGAAGCTGGGGAGGGGGTGGGGTGAGGCCTGAGAGGAGCCTGAGCTCTCTCTTTGGCTAAGTAGACTGGAAAACGTGAAATTAACACACATTGTTTATTTCACGCTCTCAGCCTTGCCTGCACAATAGCACAAATTAAATTCTGCACTAACCAGACGAGCAATTAGCCCACAGCGAAGATCAGGCTTTCAGCTGATTGCAGAGGCATTCCATTCACACTATTTATGAAGGGAACAAACTTACTGAAAATATTTTTGTAGCAATAATTTTTTCTGATCCACATTTTCCCCCCATTTGCTTCATTACCCCACACTTCCTGGTATTTGAGATGATTTGGCTAGGTTTTCTGAAGAGCAGTATGGAGTTCATCAAAGAGAAATTCATCTTAGGTCAATACCCAGTAATTAGCATCATTTTCATTGAAAACGAAGCTGCTGTCATTTTGAAAAAAGCAGGCTTTTTTTTTTTCTAGTCTGAAGGTAGCCTGTAGAAGGATCAGAGATCTTGCCACATCTAAGACCAAAATCTCGAAATCTTAGCTGATTGTCTCTCATATTGCTCACATAACAAATTTACCTTTCCTACCAATAAAAATAATAAGAGCTAACATTTATTGATAATGTATTGTGAGAAAAACACCACGTTAAGTGCTATGTATGTGTAATCACCCAGTGATGGAGGGCCTATCATTATTTTCATTTTATAAATGAGCCAAACGAAGTCCAGAAATGTTAGATAACTTCCCCATAGTCACACAGCTTGTAAGGGATGGAGCAAGGATTTGAACCAGAGCTCATGTGTCACCCACTATGGTGGACTCAATGGCATGAGGACTTGGTCACTCACTAAGACTTCTTCACTTGAAGGTATCCATGACTATTTTTAGATAGTCATAGCTTGTCTCCAGCATCAATGGCTTATTTCATTTCTGTTCTCCCATTCTGACACAGCTCTCATCTCCCACGTCTTGGCCTCTGCATAATCTGCCACTATCTCCCCATCTCCATTCTCTTGACTTCCTTAGTCCCTGTCAAGAATCACACAGATCAGTCCTCCTAAATCACTACTTTGGTTCCAACACCCCCTTTCTCAACTACTCAACTTTGAGGATGTTGGCTTATCAGAACCCAAGTGGCTACCAACAGCTGATGCAGTGGCTGTCAATCAAGAATGCATGCACATCAGAATTACCGAAGGAGTTTTTCAGTCTTTCAGAAATGTCAAATCTGAATGTCCAGTGGTGGGGCCAGGCATTTGAATATTTTTTAAATAAGCCATATGTCTTTAACTCACCTCTGCTTAGAAGCTCCAAGATCTTATAGTTGCGGAGTAGAGTATGGTGGTCAGGAGCCCAGATCATATAGTTACCCTGCCTTGGTCCAAAGATTGGCTCTGCCATGGGAAAACTGAGATTTTGGGCAAGTCTTTTAACCTTTCTGTGCTCAGTTCCCTCCTCTATAAGTGTGGATAGGAGTATACATATCTCATATAGTGACTGAGAGGATTAAATGTGATTATGTGTTTAGAGTGTGTAGAGACTAGACTATAGCAGGGGCTAAGTATGCTGATATGATTACTGGGTGATATTTCAGTGATGTCGCTCAGCATTCAAAGCTCCCTACCACAGCCTTCTGACTTTTCCCTTCAGCTTTAGTGCTGCTACTCCCCACCATGAACTCTTTCATCATGTTCATTTCTTTTTAGTATGTGCTGTGTATGCAAAGCCTAAAATGCTTTTTTCTTCCTTGTTCTTGCTGGCTGACTGGATACCAAGCCCGAAGCAAGAATTGGGTCTTATACCTATTATCTCAGTACCTGCCCATGTCTGAAGCTGGCAGGCACACAGCAGAAGTTTGTACAGGCCTCAGCTTCTGGATCTGATTAGTAGCCATTGTCCCAGGCCCCTCTAGGCCAACAAAGAGTGCCAAGGGAATTTCCACTGCCATCTCTGTGCTATTTGTCTATAAACCCTCTCTAAGGAACTGCTCTAGTAACCCCGCTGGCATTTGGCCTGCTGTACCCCACCATCCTGCTTGCTTCTTCCTACAGTCAATGACCTGCTTTGGCTTTAATATCTGCCTGAGCATATGCACATCAATAGAACCCCATGATTACATATCTTGCTGTTATAGAGACCGACATAGTGTGCATGTCACTTACATCTCCGAAAGCAGCACAGGTCCAAACTGTAAACCCACTTTTTCTGTCCCTTGCCTCCATTAACACATGCAAATACATTTCCTAGCAATGCCCCATGGCACCTAGGATAGTGTTCCTTTTAAACCAATATCTAGGAAATATTGGTAATGGCTGATATCAGTGGACCAAATTCTAACTCCTGCCAAAGAGTTTGTATTCTTGTCTGAACTGTGTAGCTTGTTCAAGCCAGTTAACTTTAATTAAATTTAGTTTTCTACATGCTAATATAAATTAGCAATAATGATGCCTGTTTTGCCCAAAACAATGATGATCATACCTATCAGGCTGGCGAAGTATGATACAACTAAGTGTGGGTGAAGAGGTAGCACCATGGAACCCTTCAGTGACTGCTGGTGGGCATAACATGCAAAAGCAATATGGTAATATCCGATAAAATTGCTAAAGTTGAAGATCCACATACCTTATGACCTTGCAGTTTTACTTTTAGGCAAACCCTAGAGAAATAAGAACTTAGAAGTACAATGTTCGTTGAAGCATCATTAGGATGGCAAATATGAGAAAGAACCTAAATGTCCATCGACAGTAAGTTGAGTAAATAAATGATATATCCATTGACAGGAATAACATAGGCCATAGAAAAGCATGAATTATGGTCCTACGCATCGATATGGATGAATCTCAAAACCAATCTGTTGAGTGAAAAAAAAAATCAGGATACCTATAGACAGCTATGAAATTTAATAAAATGCAGACCGATATTGTTGCGTAGGGCTATATATATATATATAAATGGAGAATGATGATCATCAAATTTAGAATAACGATTACTTCTGAGGCAAAAGGAGGGACATGGGATAGGAGTTATTATACAAGGATATGCAAGCTGATATCTGTAATGTTTTATTTCTGAAGTTGGGTAGTGGCTACAAAAATGTTCCTCATACAATTAATCAAACTCTTGTAATGTATCTGAGGTAGTTCACTTAAAAATTAGCAACAAAACCAATTTTTTTTAAAAAAGAAAACTAATGCTCTGAGCACTTTTTATCACAAAGTCGTATACCATGAGCAGGTAACGGTCTACAGAGAAAAGAACAGTGGACAAGGAGTGACTTTCCACCGGACTGTAAAAAAGTCAGGGGTTGATTTTGAACACATTGTTTCATCCACCTTTGAGTCAGTTTTTTAATCTGTACAATGGGAATCATCCATCTGTACAATGGGAATCATCCATCTGTACAATGGGAATCAAGGAAAGAGGATTGCTTGAGCCCAGGAATTGGAGGCTGTAGTTGGCTATGATTGCACCACTCCAGCCTAGGTGACAGAGAAAGACCCTTTCAGAAAAAAAAAAAAAAGTGCTTCTGAGAATTATAGTTACCCATATTAAGAGAAGTCCTGGAGTCCGATGGGAGGGGAAAGATTAGGAAAGTGAGGACAAGAAATGAAAAACCCTCACTGTGGAATAAGGGTGTCTTCCAAATGACATGATGGTGGTTTTATAATTTTGGAGCATCTGACCATGTGAAGCCCCTTATACTGTGTAGTTCCAGAGGATAGAACCTTGGCATAGAGAAAGGCAGAACTTCTTAAAAACCAAATCTCTCAATGACTGGATCAGAAATCTCCAAAACTGAGGGTGAACTCTACCTGTCAGATATTCTGTAGAAATAATGCCAGGAGAACAGGGAAGGGAGAAGTACGGACGCCTGGGTCCCTCCTAAGTCTGAGTTCCTGTTCAGTAGTCCCAGTACTTTCCAAAATGCCTCCTGTGCTATCCCAGTCATGGAAACCCCAAAATAAACAAGCCACTCAAATGATGTCAAGAACTGATAGGCAACAACCAGATGGTCATGGTGACATTTTAAAGCATTGTGTTTTTGTTATGTTCAGACCAGGAGGAAAGAAAATCCTGAATCAAATAATAAATATTAGCTTTAGTTAAGCAATTATCTTTATAATGGGGTTATGATTTGGCCATCTGGATGGAATCACACTGTAAGGGATGGCAAGGCAACCTGAGAGGAAGGGAGGGAGGCGGCACTGACAGCTCCAAGGAGAATCACCTCCCAGATGCCAGGACACAGGCATCCTCCCTCCGGGCAAATTGTGAACGAGGGGAGGAAAGCGAGTGGCTGGAGAGGTAACCTCATGCAGAGATAAAGGAGGGGCAGCTACACACGATGTTCAGCGATTAATATGGCAGTTCAGGCGAGGTCTTTAAAATACGTTTCTTCTACTTACTAATTCTCCAAATTTCACTATTCAGTATGATATAAGTGGGAGTCCTAGAGTTAGACCACATGGGTTTAAATTTCAGCCATGCCACTTAATAGGTGATGACCTTGAACAAGTTACTTAGATTTCTTAGATCTTGACTTCTTCAGCTGCAAAATGAGAATTTTTAGGTGGAAAAATATGCACATACACAGATAAACATGCACACAGAGCTTAGCACATAGTAAGCAACTTACATGGTTTGGGTGTATGATCCCTCCAAATCTCATATTGAAATGTGATCCCCAGTGTTAGAGGTGGGACATACCGGGAGGTGTTTGGGTCATGGGGGCAGATCCCTCATGAATGGCTTGGTGCCCTCCTCGTGGTAATGAGTGATTCTCATTCTAAATTCACGAGTTCTAGCTATTTAAAACAGCGTGGCCCCTCTCTCATCTCTCTCGGGCTCCCATTCTTGCCATGTGATGTGTCTGCTACCTCTTCACCTTCAGCCGTGATTGGAAGCTCCCTGAGGTCCTCACCAGAAGCAGATGTCGGCACCATGTTTCTTGCACAGCTTGCAGAACCATAAGCCAGTTCAACCCTTTTTCTTTATAAATTACTCAGCTGCAGGTATTTGTGGCAACACAAACTAACTAATATAGCATTCAATAAATGTTGGCTCTTATAGTTATCAAGGCTGAGTTTCTCTTGCTTTCTCTAGTGTTACAAGTTTTCAACAATTGCTTTCATCTTGACATTAATGATGAGATTATGTCCTTATTATGAGGATAGGTTTTTTACAGAAAGTAGAAGAGTATGAAGGGAGAGGCCTGGCTGTGGAAGGATAGAGAGCCACGATGGGGTGCTGGAGGGAGATCAGCCTCATTTCAGTCTTGAAAACATAGCTGAGGGCCAGCCTTTGGGAGGAGATATATGTTCTCCACTCCACAGCAGGCCATTCGCCTCTGAATTCTTTGTGCTTCCCCTAGAGGTTAGTCTTTTCTTTTTTGTTGTTGTTGGTTTTTTGGTTTTTTGGTTTTTTTTTTTTTTTTTTGAGATGGAGTCTCACTCTGTCACCCAGGCTGGAGTGCAATGGTGTGATCTCGGCTCACTGCAACCTCCACCTCCCGGGTTCAAGCGATTCTCCTGTCTCAGCTTCCCAAGTAGCTGGGATTACAGGCATCCACCACCACACCCAGCTAATTTTTTGTATTTTCAGTAGAGACGAGGTTTTACCATGTTGGCCAGGCTGGTTTTGAACTCCTGATCTCAAGTGATCTGCCCGCCTTGGCCTCCCAAAGTGCTAGGATTACAGGTGTGAGCCACCACGCCCGGCCAAGGTTAGTCTTTTCTAGGTGGGTTTTCTGAATGAAGACTGATGCCCTCAAGAAGATGGAGGTTCCAGAGAGCAGAGGAAGAAGTCTTTCCTATGATAACCGAGGCAAGAGTAAAGCTTTTAACTCCTGCACTGCAGATCGTGAGCCATGAGCATTCCTGAGCTGGCCTGGCTGCCTTTGCCCTAGTTCCAGTTTGTCTTCTGATGGTGGAGGTGAGGGATTAAGAGGAGAGAAAAAAATGAGAACAGATGGTTCTTGTGGCCTCCAGAAAGAGTGCCCGAACAAGTGAGTTACGCACAAAGAATCACTTGTCTTTAGAACAAGATCTTAGCTGCCACCCAGCTGAAAACTTTATCTTACAATTGAAGAAGCGGGTTCCCGAGATAATGCTGTGGCTTTCCTCAGCGACATAGTGGCAGAGCAGGAACGAGACCCCAGGTCTACTGACCTCGGCTCTGGACTCTTCTACTCAAGCTGCAGTTGGCAGACTATGACCGTTGGCCAAATCATGAGAATGGTTTTTACATTTTTAAATGGTGGGAAAAGATCAAATGAGGAATAGTATTTCATCACATGTGAAAATTATATGAAATTAAAATTTCAGTGCCTATGAAGTGTTATTGGAATACTATCAGTCTCATTCATTTCCATATTAGCTATGGCTGCTTTCATGCTACGAGGGCAGGGTCCGGTAGCTATGACAGAGACTGAATGGCTCCTGCACCCTCAGACCTTTTCTCTCTGGACCTTTACAGAAAAATGTTGAAGATATTTGCACTAAAGCATTTTACTCCTATGCATGGGGAAATAGATTTGAGGTGAAAAGATGATATGAGGTACCTTTATGGCCCTTAGTTTTAAAAATCCTTTCTGTGCTTTGAATGGGCTTGTTCAGAAAATCTGAGCTGTGCATCTTGCATACCCAGTGGCCCAACATTCCCTCTCACTGCAGTGGGGAAGCTAATAATGAGAGCTTTAATTGTGTTCCTGCCCAATATCTCATAATGGGCTTCTACTCTACTGATAAGGGAGTAGACGGAAAGGAAGACGCGGCTGTTCTATCCATCAGTGAGAACCAAGGAACCTGTGCCTCAGTCCCTCCCTCTCTGAAAGGATCCTGATCAAATGTTATTAGATATTAAATATGCATTACTGCAAGCATTAATTGAAGATTTAATATGCTCCCTAATTAAAGTTTGGTGGCGAGAAGTTCATCATATTTAGAAACACAGTATTAAAAATCCTCAGAAACTTAATAAAATTGTAAATCGAAATATCTTCTCTGAAATTAATGAGCCAAAATATTATAGCCAAGCAGGATCAGCCATGTCTGGAATTCTGAAGGTCATTTGGAGTCATAAAAATGCAGTTTTCAGTTTTATGGTTTCCGAACAATAATAAGGCTGAGAAGAAATCTGGCAGGGGAAAAAAAAACCATCTTCGCTACACACAGCAATTAATAAAAGAAGAAGCTGTGCGCTAGTGACTTAGGCAGAGATGCCAGGTCTAATTGAGAGTTCACGTGATGGGTGGAAGTGGAATGGGTGGTGGGTCAGGGAGACCTGGGGAGGGTTGGTGACAAAGAGGAGAAGAAAACAGGAGAAGAGAAGTGTCAGAGATGCAGAGGGAGAAAAGCCTAATATTAATAATAAAACCCATCCAAAAGGAGCAAGAACCTTCAGCAGAGGATTCTGTCCAGGATCCTGGAGTAGAGTCCCACTCTAAGTGAATGCTAAACTAGATGGCATCCCAGTGCACATCAGTAGTAAGACTTTGAAATCCAGTGACCACTGATGGACACATTCAGCCAGAAAGTGGTAATAACATTAAACAGTTGTATTGGTTTGACTCACCCTTGGGTGCCCCCTAAATAGGCTCAGGGACCTCAGACTGCTTCCTTAACCCACAGGCCATTTTGTGCCTTATCCTGTCTCCCAAACAAGCAGGTTCTCTGCCCTACCTCTCACCTAGACCTTGCTGTTGCTCCTGAAATGCTTTGGCCTTCCCAGCCCCATCCCATTAGTTTTCTACATCTGGATCAGCACTTTCCCAACCCAGGTCACAAGTCAGGCTAGAGGCACTCATTTGTATTTGACCACAGACACTGTGGAATGATTCTCAGGGGGTAGTTTCTGCCTCTCCAACACTCTCTTACAAGCCCTGCAAGGGCAAGGAAACATGTATGTATTCTCTAACAAAGCATTATTTGAGCCATGTTAGACATGATTCATGTGCCAAAGAAGAGTTGCCCCTCATTCCTCAATGAAACAGGGAGCCAGGCTTTCACTCGGAGAGGGTTCATGAACTTCTTGGGCCTCTGAGTCCTCTTTTCCAGCTGTTGAATCCAGACTGGGGCTATATCCTGACTGTTATCTACATCTCAGGGTCCCTGGGGTAGGACTGTGTAGTTAGGCTGCTCTCTCCTCAGCACTCAGAGTCTTGTCTTGTCTTTTGCTCCCAACACCAGCTATAGATATTCTATTCATTGCTTAAAGAATGATCACTCCCTTCCCAATACACAGACCACCCTTCACCTGGGCTTTGCATTTTAACAAGTTACAATGCCTTCTGCTAAGTTCTAACCATGAAGTGGCAGAAAAGTCTGAAGGGCCTTAGAACTTTCTTTATACCACTCAAAATATCTCATTTCAGCATCTATTTAAGTGCAGACTTGCCTATCCCTTCTTGAAAACAGCTTAGAAACAGAGACAAAAACAAAACCGCATTGCTGGCCACAGCACAAAGCAGAATCCTTGTCCATGAAGGAGAACCAGTGGGCTTGTGGCTTATTTAGTCTCACCATTTCCATCCCCTATGCCATGAGAAACCCACAAGGAATAGTCTCACATTGTTCTTACATTTTTCTACATTGATTCTTAATATTTTTAGTGGAAAAATCCTTATTAAAAAGTAAAATACATTTTTGCATACTCCCGGTTGCCTTTTGCTATGTGTTTGTGAGGAAAATATATATGTACATGTGCAATTAAAATTCCCTTGCAATGGCTCCTTGGTCTTCCTGGGGAATGGTGGCCCATAGGTTAGAAAACTCTGCTCTACATCATTAAGCTTCTTTTGTAGAAAAATAATATAAACCCTGAATATTGTAAGCTCTGAGTCATCTCTTCCATCAGTTGGGTTGTCGAATAATTAGAAAAACACTTCAGTTGTTAATTCATCACCACATCTTGTTAAAGCTTCTGCCATTTGCAAGACTCTGTGCTAGATGCTGGAGGAGCAGTGGGAGCATTGACTGGTGGGAACAGGTGAACCTCACTCTAATATTAGTGTTCCATGGACCATCTTGATCTTTTAGCTGGAACCTTGATCTTTTGCTCAAATGGAAGGAAAAAAATAATAACATATTGATAACAGACACATTTACAAAAGTAGCACAGTATGATCCACCTGTTCAACTGGCCTATCACTGATTTGCCAAGGTGTTTCTGTAATAAATATTATTAAGGTATTGCAGACCCATGAATATCAAAAATACAAGTCACTGTGGAAGAAGCAGAGATGCCTCCCCTTATGGCACATCTTGGACACATGTCAAGCCTGTGTATGTGCCACCAGGACGAGAGCAGCAGCCAGCATTGGGGACTATTCCCAGCAATGTCCACATGAGGCCCTGTCTTGCCTGAGCTCCCCATCCCTGGACACTTTAGTGTGTTAAAGCAAACTGAATATGGCCTGAGGACTCTGTATTTCTATATTCGAGTCCTTGTGGACGAACTGTAACCTAGCTTAATAGTCAGACAAGACTGAAAACCTAACTTAGCAGTATGTGGCTGCAACAATAACTGAGTCTTGGCCAATCCCAGCAGCCATACTTCAACCACTCATAGACTGCTAAGTGTTCAAACTATGTTCAAATAAGGCAAACGCCAGCTGGTAACCAAGCCAGCTGTTTCTGTACCTCACTGTCGATTTCTGTACGTCATTTCCCTTTTGTCTATAAATCTTCCTCCACCACGTGGCTGTGCTGGAGTCTCTGTGAATCTGCTGTGATTATGGGGGCTGCCCAATTTGCAAATCGTTTCAATGCTCAATTAAACTCCTTTAAATTTAATTCAGCTGAAGTTTTCTTTTTCTTTTTCTTTTCTTTTCTTTTTTTTAAATCAAGTGAAATTTCCTTGATCAACCACAACCTAAGACCCTGGCTTTGTCATCTGTCATGCAAGACTGGCTTTTACCCACAGTTACCCAGCACTGCCTGCTACAGGAGAGCTCTTCCTGAGGAATTGTTTTGGTAGCTTGGCTGGTTAATGCAATTTGGATATTCATCACTTACTACTTTATATTTTTGTTAACATTTTATGTAAACATGTCCTATCTCCTTACATATTATTCCACATGTATTTTATAAGTAAAGATGGCATCTAATATATTCTGGATTTCCCATAGTGCATTGCTGTACACCAGGCATATGAGACTATAATGAATATTATTTTTCTTTCAATAATAGAACCCGAGTGTCTGTTGGCTATAGAAAGAAGACCCGAACTCAGGATTGACAAATACAAAGAATAGATGACTAAAGAAGAAATAAAGACCTCTGTTCCTAGAGAATGTCAAGAGGGCAGACATTGTGGAAAGATTAGATATTGAGATGGGAAAATAGACAAAGGGCCCAGACAAGGAATCTTGAGGCCTCTGTCCATAACTTTCTGAGAGAATTTGGACAAAGTTATTTTCCCTCTGGGCTTCAGTGACCACATCTACAGAATGAAGTCATTGGAAAAGCTATTCTGTAGGGCTCCTGCTAGTGCTGACATCTGATAATTCTTATGGCTCCCACCTGCCTGCAAGCAGCAGTATAGACTAACTCTTATTCCACTTATTCCAACCCACAGCAGCCAGAGACATTATCATCTAAAAACTGACCCATTAAAGATCCAACCTCAAGCCATTTTTCACCAGTTGTAACAAATATTGCCCAAGAGCCTTGAATGATGCTATATTTTTGAAAGGAGTACTGAGCATCAGGCATGGCCTCTTCCTCTTTGAGGTTTCCAGTATAAATGATGAGACAGGAGACTTCAACACAGATGATGATTGTTATGGTGCAGAAAGGATAAATACCAAACAAGGTGGCCTTGCAAGACCTGCAGGAACCCAACAGAGGGAGTGAGACTTCAGGGCTGGCATTGTAGAGAAAGTTTCAAAGACAGGTGACTCTAGGGTGGAATTTCAGAGAAGGGTCTGACCTAAAAAAGAGGAGGATAGACTTAGGAGAGAATCATAAGTAAAAGCATGATGGTGAGAATGTTTATGGCACACTCAAGGACAAATAAATGGGCCAGACTGGTTGGGACAAAGATTTCCAGGGAGAAGTCACAGAAGACTGTTCAGGATACAAAATCATTCCAACAGAGCAATTGATGTTATGGAGACAAAACAACCTGGTCAATGGATTGCATTTTCTTTTTTCGAAGCTGTTACTTTGGCTTATAGCTTCACCATACACACAAGCCAGTTTGATTGAATTGCACAAAAACAAATCTCTGATATCAGTCACAAATTCTCTAAGCCAAATGCAGGCACAAATGTGGGTGTCTGTGATGCCAATAACCAGTTTTTCTTAGTTTTTATCAGTTACACCATCTATGGCAAAAGGGTAAGACAGAGAGGTGGGGCCTCAGGACACAGGCCTGACATGGTTCTGTAAATGGAGGTAGCCTCTAGCTAGGGTGGGTGGGACTCCACGGACTACTTCTGCTGCCTCTGAAAGTCTAAGTTGTCTTTTTCCACTGGAAGTGGTCATCTCCCACCCCAGCGTGGAGGCTCAGTGGGGCTGAAACAGGAGACCGATGCAGCAAATCATTTGCTTGAGATGGCAGAGTTGAGAACCACAGTGTCGGGGTTCTAGTCCTGACTCAACTACTAAATCCATTACATGACCTTGGGCGAGTTCCTCGTCCTCACTGAGCCTCAATTTCCTGATCTCTAAAGTGGAATGCTGTTAATCACCCTGCCCACATTACTAGTGAAGATGCTTTATAAAATGGCAAAATGTGTTAAGAAGAGTGGTGAGCACTGTGCCTCTGGCCCAGCCATCAGGCAGACGATCTGCTTATATAGGAAGTCGCATCATCATCTACTTGTTTTCGGCCCCAAATCCTCCCCATGCTTCAATGCCAAAGTCACAATCTCCCCTTCCTGTCAGTCAGGCAGTGTCTCCTGTGGTATAGCAGAGATATTCATGCACACATCTGCCTCCTTTATCAGGCTGCCAGCTCCCGGGGAGAGGAGACTGGAGGATGCAGAGCATAGGTTCCCATCAGACATCACTGGGTTGAAATCCAAGGTCTAACTCACACTAGCTGTGTGATCTTAGGCAAGGAATGCACTTCCCATCTATGTTTCTACTTCTTCATCTGTAAAATGAGGATAAAGTAGAACCTACCTCAGAGATGCTCAGAGGATTAATCATGTATGTAAAATGCTTAAAAGAGTGCCTGGTTTATAAGATTAAAGTAAGTCAACATTAGCTATCAATTATTTTTATTTATGGAAAAAAAAGTGCTTTTTAAAAAACTTCACATCCCCTGCATCATCTATCCCAGTGACCTGCACATAATGGGTAATGAACTTTTTCTGATAAAGCAGATAAATGACTACAAGTCAGGATTGTCATTAGTTTCACGTGAAATGGAAAAGAAATTCTGCAACTTCTTAGGACTTTTTTTTTTTTGGGGAGGGTTCAGCAGAACAGCATATTGGTTAATTACAAGAACTTGAGATAGAGCAGGCTCTGTCATTTAACTGGCTGTGCAAACTTGAGCCAGTTACTTAACCTCTCTAAGCCTTAGTGCCTTCCACTGTAAAATGAAGATACAGCAGTCCCTAACTCATTAGTCCTGTTGAAAAATGGGAAGAGATGATAAACATACAACACATAGGAGCCTGCAGCCCCTCAGAGAGGGCTCAACACTGACCAGAAGGATAACTGTGATGAAGAACAGAGTGAGGCCAGACAGGATGGTCAGTCTTGTTTTTTTCCTTTCTCGTGATAGCCTTGTCTTTTGAAATATACCCAGGTCAAACCTAGACCTTGCCCTGAGACGGACACTTAAGGATGTCTGATCAAGATGTCTGAGAGGCTCCTTCTCTTGCTGCCCAAGATGCCTAAGGTGAAACCACAAACCTAATTACCAGCCAAATAACTAAAATATCACCCCCTTGCATGTCTTCACCCCAGCCACAAGCATCAGCACCAATGGGGACAGTCTCAGAGAACAGGCCAAGACACGACAAGTACTAGAAACTTTCTGCCTCTCTCAGGCCAGGACTTGAGACAAGAAATGGGGAGTGGAGAGGACTTGGTGTTGCTGCCTTTTCCTCAACTGCATTTTAAAGTAAGACGGATGTGCCGGGCACGGTGGGTCACACCTGTAATCCCAGCACTTTGGGAGGCCAAGGCAGGTGGATCACCTGAGGTCAGGAGTTCAAGACCAGCCTGGCCAACATGGCAAAACCCTGTCTCTACTAAAAATACAAAAATTAGCCAGGTATGGTGATGTGTGCCTGCAGTCCCAGCTACTTGGGAGACTGAGGCAGGAGAATCACTTGAACCCGGGAGGCAGAGGTTGAAGTAAGCTGAGATTGTGCCACTGCACTCCAGCCTGGGTGACAAAGAAAGACTCCATCTCGAAAAAATAAAAAAACAAAAACAAAAACAAAACCGATAAAGAGGGATGTTTGTGTGTGTGCATGCGCACATGTGTGTGTGCACCCCTGGCTTTTCCTGGGAGCTAATCTGTGTCGAAGGACAACCAAAAAGATGGCAAGAAGACAACAGGCAACCTGGCATGCAAAGCATTGCTCTCTAATTCTCAGTCTTTACATAGAACATTAGAAACTTGCTAATGTGCAGGATGCTGGAACTCTCTAAAAAGAAAGGGATTCTCATTTACCAGGGACAGCTTGGCCTCATCAGCAGTTACTGTGGAGCTTGAATGTACCCTACTGCTTTATGTATTAGGAGCTGAGCTATCTTCCGGTGAACATTGCCTATTCAGAACCCAGGCTGAATGCTGTATCTTTCTTACCGAATTCCTAATGTGTCAAAGAATCTAATTTGCAAAACAAAACTACCTTTTAGCCAGAAGGCTTGTGTTTGGCTTTATCAGTTACTCTGCATTTTTTTTTTTTAACAGTTAAATAATGGCTTTTCAACCAATGGGTCAAGTAACTCAACTCCAGACTATGTCTTTAAAAACACAAAAATTTTGAGAATTGTTTCTTCCTTGAGAATGAGAAAGATGTCATTGTCATATTCAAAAAGGAATAAAACCAGGTCTTTGGGGGCACAAGGTCCCCCACTCCTCCCATTGAATTAGGTCAGAGAATCCTCTTTCCTTCTCTCCCAGAGAATCATAGAGAAGGCTGAGTATAGGAGAGATTTAAATTGGGTATCTTTATTTAACTTTCCATTTTCATAATTAGAATGATATTAATATACAATCAAACGTTAATCACATTCTGATGTGTGCTAACCTCAGTTGAAAGCCAGTAGACAGATGGTCTTTGATCAGGTTTACTAATCTAAACAGGAGGCAGGAAAATTAAGTGATTAGGGCCATGGGCTGGAGAATGGAAAGTGGGCTAAAGGGGCCTCAAGGAAAGAAAATTCTATGTTGAAATGATCTGATCAGAAGAGAGTAAACAGGTCTTCACACCATACCTCTTGCTACGCCCTTGGATTGGTGTATCCTGGACTCCCAGTAGATTTTTGCATGCTACATGGTTATATCCGCATCAAAGGGGAAACAAGCAAGCAAACCACTTAAAATAAATGGGTATTTCATGAGCCTTTTCTCTAAGTAACGGCAACACACCTGTTCCTGGATCACTGGCTTTTCCCATGTTGCTCCACCAATTACTGGGATGTCTCCTAGAACAAATGATTCTGGAACACATTTTCCTAAATCTTAAATGATCTCTCCTGCTATTTTATAGGGAATGGTGTTAGGAATATTTTTTTAAAAAGATGCTTATGTGCAGTTAAAGGTAATAAATATTCAGAAGATATTATATTATGATTATAGGTTTTCATTGCTCTGTGGCTTGATGAAGTAAATTTGTCTTTGAAGGATTGTTCCATTTACTTTTAAAATGGAGACACAGGCATAAAGTTTAAAATGCCTCTTTGTCTTTAAAGTGAACTTCTTTTGACCTTTTGAGTGAGTGGCTTGTCACATTTTATCTGTCTCCTAAATAGGATTGTAAAGTCTCTCCTTCAGAGTGATGCCCATACCCAGCAGCCAAACCATGTGGTCAGTTCCGTGGGTTGGTTGGGTGCCTGCTATTTGCAGAAACACCTGACCTGGACCCTGAAAAAGACTGGTCAAGATGTCTCTATTTGTCCAGCCGGGAATGGTGTCTCTGGTCATTCAGGAACTGACTCTAACATGTTTAACAATTTAAAGTTTAGAACATGCGCCTTCACGTACATTTTTTTTTTCCAGTGAGCCATCCCAGCAATCCTGTTGGATCAACCGAGTGGATATATTTACTTCTATTTTGTAGATTAAGCAATTGAGACCCAGGAAGATCAAGTGATTTGTCCTAAATCCATAGCTAGCAGGTAATGGAGTAGGGATTAGGACTGGGTAACTTCCAGTGCGGAGCACCCAGGCTGACATGCTACCCACTCATCTTTACCAGCCAAACACTCTCATCTGCATTAGTTCTTAGAAGACACAGTCTTCAAAATGCCATCCTGGATAAGAATCCTGTCGAAGGATGCTAACCAAATCTGGCCTGATTTGATGCCAGCTCTGTCATTCATCTCTATTGTTAAACTAAGCTGTAATTAATACATAAAAGATGATGATTACACTGAATTAGACAACATATCAAGAGAAACCACAGTTTTAAACTGTCTTTCAATAGTTGCTGTACCCTCAAGAAATATCACCTTCTAACAAGGCATTATTGGGTGAACAGACTATCTACACATCACCCATGATCTCTTATATTGATTGTTAATGTCCAATATCTTTCTTCTTTCATTTGCCAATGATACAGCTTCTTATTCATCTTCCAACCTTCTTTCCTTCTTCCAGCATTGTACTTTTATTGTTTTCTTCCATAGGGCAGCATGTAACTTTAAATCAAAATAAGAGGCAGAATAATAGAGGGTCTCACATCTGGCTTCTTGATTCAGTATCAAAATACCTTACAAGGCCTCAAAAAGAAGCTATCAAAGAGGCATAAAGGAAACAATAAACATGAAAAGAACAATAGGATATTTGAAAAGGAGAAAAATATCTCAGCCAGCAGAGACTGACATTTTTATGACGGCTACCCTGGGAAAAATACATTCAGAAAGGAAGTTGTCATACACTTTTCTCCCTAAACTGGGGAAGTCGAGACTACTGCTCTTCCGAAACAAGCCTCCATCACTTTCCCTGAAAACAGAGCCTAGGGACTATCTTACTTCTACCAGTGGGCCTACAGAGCTGTCTGGGGTGCCTAGCAGGGGAATACAGTTACTTATAATTAATGCCCAACAGCAACATTCCAGAGGGAAGACTGACTCCCTAATCCAGCATGTAGTTTGAGGTGGTCACCGGGAAGATGGAAAGGACCAGGAGATTGGCTTAGCTAATCCTAAAATACTTCATTAACTCCTGGGTGCCAGATGTTCTAACCAGGTTAGCTTCACATCTTGGCTCTCTATTTAATGCTAGAGAAACATTCCTGTCAATCTGGCATTCAATTATATCCCAACTTACCTTACTCCCTGAATAAAAAGCTGATGTCTCTGACTAGCAGAGAAGTTTTAGGGTCTTTGGAAGGCAAGAACTGTTCTTTCCTACATTTATACCTATCCCACCCCATGCCAGGACCCGGCACAGGAATGAACTCGGAGGTTCCCCTCTCCTTTACTTCATTTTGGAGGCAGGGTTCTTAATCTGTTTACCTTTGTTTCCCCAGAGCCCAGTGCAAAGCCTTGAACATTATGGGTGGTTATCAAATATTTGCTGAATTGCATGTCTGGTGCTCAATTAAGCCTTGTTTAATGCAAATAGAAGGTGAGGCTTCAAAAATTACTTCCAAACCTGCCTCTGACAAAAACAGCTAAGAAATAGTAAGAGTAAAAATATAGCTCATACTCACTACCTACCGGATTGAGTACTCACTACCTACTAGATTCCTCACTAAGAATCTTCCTTTCCTTATAGTATTTATGCTCACAACAGCCTCTTGAGGTCAGTATTAGTTATCATTCCCATTTTGCAGATGGGCAAATTTAGTGGTTAATGCAGTCGTATAGCTAAAGTCAGGATCTAAAAATGTGTTTCTTTGATAAAAGAGACCAGAAAGGAAAAGTGTAAATCTAGTCTTTCACTCACTTCTGGGGTCCTTCAGATAGTTCCCATAGCCAATGTGATTGGTGGTGCAGAAATCAGTTATCAAGGTGAAAAGGCAGGCTTCAGATAGATAAGGCCTGTAAAAATGGACTGAACATGACACGCCTCGCTGGGAGGACTGATGGAAAGGATTGGGATTGCTTCCGAGAAATGTGCTGATTCTTATCCGGCAGTGACTGTGCCCTGACCTCTTCTAAGGAAACACATCTAGGAAAATGTTTGTAATGGGCTCTTTACTAGTTCTCCTCTTCAGCGGTGGAAAGCTGCAGACTGGGAAGAGAATGGACAGCTACTTAATGATGACCTTGGGCAGCCATATGACAACCCATAATAATGCTCGTCATGGTCACAGTCACAACTGCAACTGCAAGTGGAGGGTCCAGGGACTTAGAGGACTGTGAACAGCTGCATTTTCCATGAGTATTCCCCTATTCCTAAAAAAAAAAAATGCTTTAAAAATGTATATTAATTACATGTTAAGGGGATGCTGTGTGAACGGACAATGGGGAACAAGTTTGAGAAAATAACCCATCATTGGTCTATATCACAGTCTCCCAGTTGTCCAAAACAGAATGGGAAAGGCCTGCCCCTCTGTGCCAGGAGTGGCCTGGGGACTCAACTCCAGCCCCACTTACCACTTTGCTCTGCAAGAGCAGGCTTTCTTATTAGCTGCTGCCCTTGAAGTGTGGCTCGCAGCACATTACGTGTCCACTGGAGGTAATCGATGTATGTAAATGAGTAAAGGAATGAAACAATAAGTATCATGGTTCATTAAGGATTCACTTTAGAGAATGTTGTATGCTTTCAAAAAGTGAAAAACAAATATACATATTTCAAATGTGTTTTAGAAAAGCTTTAAAATGAACTGGGTTCCCCAAACTGCATTTCACAGATACTGCCATGTGTTTGTCAAAAACTGAGTGAGGATGGAGGAAGGTCCAAGATCAACTGAGCTTGAAAATGTAGTTAAATCAAGACAAGTCTGATCTTTAAAGAAGGATTCCAGGTTTGTAAGATGCCACTGTGCGGTGTGTTTCTTTCTGAAGAGGTTGTATTGTGCAGCCAAATATATTTGATCGTGGAAAATCATTTTCAAGTTATACCTATTAACATTTGCAAAACTCCTCTGCAGAAGACAACATAGCTTAGTAAGCACTTAAAAAATGTATGGGGCCCAAGCATGCCACATTGCATATTAGTTATCTTTTATACATTCCTTCCAGAAATTCTACAATATCTGTATAGTTCTAGAAGATAACTGAGTGAGATGCAAAACAAATAACAGTTTGTTTTTGTCCTTAAATGTCTTACAGTTGAACAGGAACAGGTAATCTAACATTAATACTAGCTAATATTCACACCTTAAATTGACAAAGGATATATAAAATACAGGATGTTTTCAGTAGAAAAAACTGTATTTAGAAGTTAAGAGAAGTAAATAAATTAGTTTAGGCCCTATGGCATAGCTGAGAATTTACTTTCTTCAGTAAAAATGTAATACTTGCTTAATCACTCTTTCTATATATATATATTCCCACACAAGGGAAAAGCACAAATAAAAATATCTGCCTATTTGATATTTTAATACATATTTACATTTCTGAAGAATGTGAAGACTCTCATTCTATGTGGAGGCATCCTTTGATAACTCACCACTCACATGAATGGTAAAAGAAATGACTCTTTTAAGACAGTATCTATTTTTCCCCAAAAGTGATGGATACCGTGAACTCTTCCCTTGATCCCACCCACTTTCTTTAAATTCTGTTTAAATTCTGCAAAACAAGCTGTTATTTGTTTCGCATCTCGCTCAGTTATCTTCTAGAACTATATGGATATTGTAGAATTTCTGGAAGGAATGTATAAAAGATAACTAATATGAAACATGGCATACTTTGGCCCCATACATTTTTTAAGTGCTTACTAAGCTATGTTGTCTTCTGCAGAGGAGTTTTGCAAATGTTAATAGGTAGAACTTGAAAATGATTTTCCACAGTCAAATATATTTGGCTGCACAATACAACCTCTTCGTAAAGAAACACACTGCACACTGGCATCTTACAAACCTGGAATCCCGCTTTAAAGATCAAACTTGCCTTGATTTAACTACACTTTCAAGCTCAGTAAACTTGTGTGGCCTGAATAGGACAAAGTTAATGTTGTGAAATACAATTCTACTTTTCCCTCACTGCCCCCTCTTCTCCTAATTCTCAGCTTAAATGGCACTTCTCGGGGGGACCTTGCCTGACACCTCTAATAAAAATAGGCATTTGCCTTTAGTCTCTCTCATTGTCTCTGGTTCTTATAATTGCATATATATATTTTAATATATGTCTTCCCCTATTAAATTGAACTTCATGAAGACAAGTGTTGTGTCCATTACATTCACCACTTTTCCCCCAGTACCTGCAACTCTTTCTGGCATGGGCTTTATGGATACTCAATAAGTGTTTATGAATGAATACATGAATGAATGAATGAATGAAATAACACCAGACTTAAAACTGAAATGTGGCTATAAACTCATACACCTAAGCACACACACTGGAGTGTTTTGCACGTCAAAAAAGGTTCTCCATGGGACATTTTCTGCTTACTCTAATAATGTAATTACTGCCTTAAATATGTTTAGAGTTCTCCTTTTGGAAGGATCTTTAGAGCTTGATTCAGGGTGTTCTGATTTCATGAAACAGCCAGAAATCATGCAGACCTGAATCTGGAAAGCATGGACGGAGTCACTTTTTTTTTGCGGGGGGGCAGGGGCGGTGTCAAGCAACAAAGCTTATCATTTAACTTGGAGGACAAGTTTTGAACTTGCACATCACATATCATCTTGAAGATCATTAAGGAGCCATTGGGAGTGTACATGAAAGAGGGTGACACTTACCTGAATATTGATTAAAAATGAGTGTCTTGACTTGAAAGTTTTATTTCCTAACTTACAAGGTTAATGAAACATCAGAACAAAAGTAACTAATGAATCCCAAACTTGTCAATGGTTTCTAATTGTTCAGGCAATATATACGCCAATGTAGCCGGTCCCACCACCAACAGGGTTTCAAAGTCATTGTTTGCAGGGAGTTATCAATTTCCCATAAGACTTATTTGGGGGACCCTATTTAAGGAGAAAGAATAGTAAGTGAATGGTGTAATGGAGATTCATCTGGTCTGGGTACAACTGCCCCCACAACCCACTCCTTTCTTGCACCATAATGAGATCATGCGTGAAAGCCTAAATTATGTAAATGAAAAGGCTCCACTAATACCACTGAAATATTCCCGGAGTGTTACACTTGACAACCTCAAAGTACATTTCACACTGCTAATGACTTCGTCACTAACACAACTGCCATGAGTCAAGCAGTTTCCATGGCAACGCCCTAGTACAGCTGTTTACCCATATAAAGTATTGCACCTACTTAGTTACATATACAGACAGATCACTAGATTCCTAGGTACTGAAATTGAAATAATTCAATTTTCAATGTCTCTCTTTATGAAGTGATTCTGCCAGCTATAGGGATTAGCATATCAATGTGACTTTGACAGGGGTTGCCGCAAAAGACATATTTTGCAGGCACTTCATGTCAATTAGAGCCCTAACTGTTTCATGGAATAATCATTCCTGCCAGATTAAGGTCGGGCTGCAAGGTAATTTAATTGGTGCCATTATATGGAGGAAAAAAATGCTCTAATACAGTGCATACACTGTCTCCGCCAGGAAAGGGGAGGGCTGCACAAAGCAAATGGCTGAAAAGAATTGCCTTCTTAGCCATTTAGAAAGGATTTAAAAACACCACACATGCCAAGATGGGAACCTCTGAGATGCTATTTCCTGAATTATCTGGGAGGAGAACTTTGAAGGAGAGAGAGGATGTTGGCCAGTTTGTGGTTTTCTCCAAAGCGTTCCCCACCCCCCCAACCGCCCCCGGAGAAACCCAGAATAGCACAACGACAATTCGATTGATTCGTCACCGTGACTCCTATGTAGGCTTGAAATGTGCTGAGGGGGGATTCATTCTTGTGGCAGGGGGAGGAACGTCCACAAAGCAGACGGGAAGATCCCTAACATGCCAACGAGTGGTGTTCAACCACTACTTTATTCTTCTCCTGAAGAGTGACTGATGCCTTTACTGCCCTTTGCTGTCAGGATTTTCTAATATCGTCCCCTCTTGCCTCTGAGGACACTGGCATGGTTCCTGGGTTCCCACACTGGGAGGTTAGGAGAAAACGGCTGAGCTTCTGCGTAACCAGGGGCAATAAGTAGCACCACCCAAATTTCCTCATCTCAATGGGGAAAAAGTTGGGAAAATATTCTTGGAGGGAAAGGTAATGGATCTGCAGGCATGTTCTGTTCCCAATAACATGTTTAGTTCCTTCATGCTCACTCATCATTCCTCATTATTACCACGCAACCTTTATGGGAGAGAAAGAAAGAATTGTCTCTTTTTTTTTTCTTACTCTTACTCGCTCTGAGAAGTAGTCTCCCAATTTGAATTGCTCTGAACCTGTTAAAGCCTTATGTATCCTATACTGTGAGAAAAACTAATTTGACAATTAATCACACATGACTATATATCAGTAGTAATTGTTTTGTGTTTTCATGTCTATATTTTCACCCCTAGCATTTGTGACTCGAAGGCAGGAACTGTGGTTTTCATGTCTGTATAGTGCCTGGTTGCCAACACTCAACCCACATGACACAACTTTCTAACATTCAAAATTCTCTAACATTTATTGATGACGCTGGGAACCATTTCTAAAATATCAAAGAAGCCAATGAATCTTGGAGGACATATTTCATGCAAGGAAATTACTGATTGTCAGAGATGGTCTCTAATGCCCCTAATTTTCCAAATTAGAGAAGTTGTACAGCTTCGTCTCAGGCAGCACTGTGTTCTATTTTCCATAGAAATATAATGCAACCCACATATGAAATTTTAAATTTTCTAGTAGCCACATTAAATAACTAAAAATAAACAGATGAAATTAATATTTTGTTTAACCAAACATATCGAAAATATCAATGACAACATGTAGCCAATAGGAAAATCATTAGCGAGATAGTTTACATGCTTTCTCACGTCAAGCCTTCGAAACCCAGTGTGTGTTTCACACTTACAGCAGATCTCAGTTGGGAGTAGCCACATTTCAAGTTCTTAGTCACATGGGGCTGGTACCTACTGTGTTGAACAGCACAGCCCTAAAGTCTCATTGCCAGTTAGTAGCCAAGCCAGGAATAGAACCCACATCTCCTAACCCTCTGGGTAATATTCTTTTCTCTCCCTGTTGCATGCCAACCTCAGCCATAAGCCCAACCCATCAAATGCCTCTGAAAAGACCTTAGTCACATAAAGCCTCTAAGAAGTCTCAGGAGAAATCTAGTTTGTCTTGCTTTTAACAATGTGGGCACAAAAAATTTTGCAATGACATGGGCATAAAGAATGGAACAAAAGACTGCTGGGGACTACTAGTGGGAGCAGGGAGGTGGGTGGGAAGCAAGTGTTGACAAACTACCTATTGGGTACCATATTCATTACCTGGGGGACAGAATCAGTCATACCCCAAAACCTCAGTGTCACGCAATATACTTGTGTAACAAACCTGCACATATGCCCCCGAAATCTAAAATAAACGTTTTTTTTACAAAAGAACTTTGAAACAAAAAAACAGTGCAATGAAAACTTTTAAAGGCCAATGAGAGAGGGAAGATGAGCCACAGATGGGATCTTGGCAATTGAAGGTCTGTCAAAGTTATTATCAATAACTCATTTAATCTGTCCATTTTGTCATTGAGGGAGGCCTCATCCCAGGTACTATATTTCTCTTTTTCAGTGTAAACAACTCATCTATCAGGCCACTGAGTGATCTTCTCGAGTTGTTCAGGTCTTGCATCTGACTTTGACAGTAACCATTTAAGTGATGTTCAAAGGAAGCAAAAACCCTTCCTTGCATGACACATTGGCACTTCTTATAGGACAGTCTTTGGGACTTAACATTTCATCCAGGGGAACAGACACCACCTCCTTTCTGCTCAGCCCAGGGAGAAGGATGTTTTTAGGGGAAACACACATGCTTGGGATAGACAAGGAGACACATAGGATGCCAAAGGAGTTTTTCATTTGGGGACATATATTTTATTCCAGAAATTTAGTCAAAATGCACCTAAAGCAAGACTCCTCGCTGCCCTGGCTAAAGGATGGGGAGACAGTAAGGAACATTGGCCTGTGCTTCATTAGAGTTTATCAGCTTTGTGAGCTTTTAAAAAAGTAGGATTGTCACCCTTTCATATTGATAGGTAGATTTTTGTTTCATGGAAATCCCCAGAAGATTTAATTAAGGGATTTTCATTAAATTCCAGCCTCAAGGGGACTCAAAGAACCACTATGGAGGTGACTGAAGTTGAGGGTAAGGTGCCAGCTCTCCTTTGCTTGAGTTGTTCAGCAGCCCCCTCACTGCCTCCCACCTTGGGCTGGTGGGGATCATCCACCAGGCTAAAATAAAATGGTAAAAAAGAAGATTAAAAATGTGATAAGAAAATAAGCAATAAAATGTAATGAAAGAGACATGGATATAATAATTAAAGCAAATGATGGGCAGCATACCCAGCCCCTGCCAGCACTCGTCCACCTTTCCTGTAGAAAAGAAAGGTGGCTGTTCTTGTTGAGGTGGCTGAGAATGAACAGCAAGCGTCCCAGGCCCCAGCTTGCTCAGGACTTGGGATTACTCTTGAAGGTTCCCAGCATCTGCTCAGGCAATGATATCCTGGGTTAGTGAGCAGCAGGCAAAGAGCCGTGGGGCTCCTTCATTTACGTTTAACATGAGTTTGTAGAGTATGCTCTGACTGCATTAAGGCGGGATGAATCCCCACAGGAACTACAAGTAGGATTAGGGACACCTCTAGCCCTGTCTCCATATACCTTCCTGGAAGTGAGAGCAGGGAGGCAGGCGGGGACTGGGCATGGCATGATCAATTGTGTAGAAGAGGAAAAGTGCAGGTTGTCTGCACTTGCAGAATGACGCTCTGTCAGTCACTGAAGAATTATCTCAGTTGACCCTCAGAATTGGGATGAGGAAGGAACTATGATTCTTCCCATTTCTGCAGCTCCCTAATGGCCATAGGTTTTAGCCTCCTGAATCTTCTGATCTGTTTTGGGGTGTCTGGCAACTTAGACCACATAGAGAAGCTAGAGATTGTAGGAAAGCATATTCACGCTTGTCCCACCTCTATCCAGAAGCTGCCAGGGCACCAGAACAGGGGTACCTGTAGGGGAAGGGCCTTTCCTCAGACAAGGAAAGTCAACTACACCCCAAAGTGCAAACCATTATTGTCACCATCGTTGCTCCTGCCCCACTGAGGGTGCAGTGTGGAGCCTTGCATGACATTTGTTTGCTCATGAGTCTAGGGTGAGGCAGCTCACTTGTCAAGCTCACATGTCAACATATAGAACTGATCCTGAAGCACAGGATTAATCACTGGGAGGATATGAGGTTTGCTTGAGTTTTTGGTGATGAACCCTTGTAAACCTATCAGAAACACAAGGAAGCATTCCTAAGAAGGAGGAGGGTCAGTATCAACAAAAGCTACCATTTGCCCCAGTGAAGAGCTTTGTAGCACTCACTTTCTTCATCTCATTTTAAGCTTGCAGAAACCCTATGAAATAAATATTTCTGGATCTAAGATGGTTACTCCCATATTGCTCCTGTGTAGGGAGGAGAAATGGAGGCACACAGAATTAAAGCAACTTGCTCAAAGCCACTGGGCAGGAGACAAAAGGAGCTAGGACTGCAGGCGAGTTACTCTGCTCTTAGGATGGCATATTAGGACTGTCCAGTATCCTCTGGGGTCAAGGATGGCCATGGCTGGCTGTGCTAGTGTAGGTCCTGCGGGGCTGGGGAAGACCACGTTTCATCCACAGCCGCTGGTATCAGCAGAGGGAGAGGACTCGGTGGTATCTGAAAGAACGTCAAAGCAGAGAATGCTGCCCGAATGGCTCGAGAAGCAGGAAGCCCGGGCAGCGATCCAAAGGCCCTGGAAGCCAGAGAAGGTGGAAGTTCACAACAGCCAGCAAGGTAGGCAGGCAGGAGGATGGGGCAGAATGAGGAGTGATCATTTAGTTTTCATGCCCACTCTGTGGCCTCTGCTTCCATCCTTGAATTCCACAGAATTTTCATAGTGTCAGAACTTGAGAGAGGAAAGCCACAGGCAGCAAAGTCCAGTAGAGTCCCCACTCCTACCCTGTCCCCATGAACTCCCCCAGTCTCACAATTCACCCGCTTGCTGTGGGCCACGAGTTGCTGCTCTTCACATGAAGGCCTGCCCTGCAGGGCCTTGACCAGCACACTAGGTTCACAACACTTGCACTCCAAATCCAATCAGTCCATTTGTTTCTCTGAGCTGACGTGGGTGACAATCAATATGCTGTTATTGCAAGTTGTAGTAATTTCTCCCAAAAACATTTACCAGATTCTACCTCTTTCTAATTAATGCTAGCAGGTAATCCCTCCTCCCACAAGGAAACAATTCCCTCTTCTAAGCAGGTGTGCAGCTATCCTTCATCCATGACAGCTTAGACACAGGCAAACAGGAACAACACACAACACCTTCCAGAGGCTATTTAGGAAAAGGTCTTTCTGTTTTCTTTTGAGTCTCTGTGGGGTTGGTTGGTTTGTTTTAAATGAGACAATGTGCAAATGGCTCTCCTTTGGAGAAGGGAGCTCTAATGAACAAGGCTGGCCCATTTTCCACTGGGTAATGAGTGCACACAGGTAGCTGCTGGGAACAGTGATGTATTCAGTTGTCACCCTGATTTTACACTGGGGCTGGGTGGCCTGTTTAATGTATGAACATAAATCTATCACCTGTTTTTACAGGTTCACATATGGGGAGCCAAAGTCTTAGAATAATGCATGCTTGGTGTTTGAGATTTGCATAGCCCTTCCGTCATTTCCATAACATCTATGAGCATTTAGGGGTACTGTATATTACAGACCCTAACACAGAGACACACAGACACACACACACACACACAAGTTGGGGGGAGTGAGAGAGAGTGTGTGTGTTATGCATGCATTAAAACTGTGAATGTCAATTATAAAAGAGGAATTTGGGAACATTGGGAAATCCCCTCAGTTTCTCAGCTTCTTAGAGGTAGAAGTATGAGATGAGAAAAGGCAATATTCGATCTAAAATTAATGCAGCCACCTTTAGTCCTCTATAAAATGAGAGTAGATATGGTCTTAGTTTTATCCATCACCAACATTCTTGGATTCTAAAATTTGGAACTTGGTGTAAATGAGAAATTACAAATCGAGTTTTAGTAAAGGAGAGAAGAAAGGCCACCATAAAATGAGAGCTTTGGGCATGTGCAGACCTGGGACGTAAAAAGTGGCACTGAGTGAGGATGCTGAAGGTGGCAGAGACTACATTTGACACATTGCTGAATCCAAGCATCTCTGAGGATTGAATCAAGGCCATGTGATTATATGAACAAAGATGGAAATAATGAACCATGGTAAAGAGGATGCTAACAGTAATAAAGGTGGCTGGGCAGTTCCCAGGTGAGAGCTTGAGTGTTTCCTAGGAAGTTTGGAAGACCAGTCTTGGAAGAGCACCTGATCAATACACTGTGAAAATGAAGATTTTTCACTCAGATCAGTATTCAGCTCCCCAGAATAGCTACAGGAATTGTTAAGCCAGAAAGTGCCAACTTCTAGTTGTGCTACTGTACCCTCTAGGGCAGTGGTAGGGAGCTTTTTAAAATTAGCAATGTCCAGGCTCCAAACCAGACCAATTAGGTGAGAAGAAGCTGGGCCTGGGCACAGGCATCTTGCAAGCCTCCCAGGTGACTATAATGGGAAGCCATGGCTGAGAACCACTGTTCTGAGGAAATGTAGTGCAGAGTCCTCCAATCAGTGGCCAAACTGTGCCCCAAAGAGGAGACCACACAGGCCTCGCCCTGAGACATGTCATGCATGAAACTCTGACTATGGCTCCCTTTGTCAGCAGATAAATTCATCTGCTCCGGCTGGGCGCAGTGGCTCACGTCTGTAATCCCAGCACTTTGGGAGGCCGAGGGGGGGGGGGGGCAGATCACCTGAGGTCAGGAGTTCGAGACCAGCCTGGCCAATATGAGGAAACCTCATCTCTGCTAAAAATACAAAAATAAGCTGAGTGTGGTGACGCGTGCCTGTAATCCCAGCTACTCGGAAGGCTGAGGCAGGAGAATTGCTCCAACCTGGAGGGCAGAGGTTGCGGTGAGCCGAGATTGCACCACTGCATTCCAGACTAGGCGACAGATGAGACTCCGTCTCAAAAAAAAAATTTAATCTGTTCCAAGTATAGTGCAGTGACTGATGGAACAATCCCTGGCGTGCAAACTGTTCTCCACTGTAGTCCAGTACCTAGATTGTAATTCATATACAGTAAATGAATAAAAGTCACGTAGCTTCTTTGAGCATTAGGTTTTTTATATCAAAAAATAAGTAAAATTTAAAGGATTAGACCATACAATCTCCAAGACCCCTTCAAATTCTAAAATTTGGAAACCAATATAGATCCTCTATAGTCTGTCTCTATTCTACCAATAGAATGTATCACCCTCCACATTTAAAATAAACCTTCTGAGGAACAATAGTTACATAAGGTGTTAATGTTAGAGGAAGCTAGGTCAGATGACTATGGGAAATCTCTATACTAATTTTGCAATTTTTTTTTTTTGTGCAAACCTGGGATGCCCCAAATTATTCCAGAATTAAAAGTTTATTTAAAAAAGAGCCTTTCTATCCCATCAGGTGGTTTATTCCCTCTCTTCTGAACAGGCCATGCAAATCACCATATTTGAGTCTTTCCTGGGCTAGCCTCCTCTTCTGAATGTTTCTTTCCCTTTCCCTCTGTCTCTTCCCTCATCATTCCCATTTGCATTCCATACTTCTAGTTCATCGATGCACTAACTCAGCTTTGAGATTCTTTCAGCCCCCAGACCCTCGTTTTGTATTTCACCATCTCCTCCAGCCCTTTCTGTTCTTTCCCTTCATTCAGGTTTTTTCATCAGTCAACATCCAACCAGGAAAAAAGAAACAGAGGGAATCTGTGACAGAAGTAATGCAAAAGATGAAAAGTGAAATGGGGAGATGAGAGTGAGACTGCAATGAAAACAGCAGGAAGTCACTCCCTGTAGGCTGGAAGGATGAATGGAGGAGGTAGAGCTACTAGAGCCCAGGGTCTAGCAGCCACTTTACCTGGTGGGAGTTGGAGCCCAGGGCAGGGTGGAGGGGGCATGGAGTAGAGACCTAGAGCATGAAGGAGACAGCGCCTGCCAAAACATTGCCAAACACAGAGAGGGGAGAAACATACTACTTCCTCCTTTCTTCCTGCCCTCCAATCTCCCAACAGTGCCTCCCATTGGCCAAACCAAGTCAAAAGCCAGATGTCATGGAAATCTGGGAAACAAGGTATTACAGGAGTCAGCCCCCATGTCATACAAAGCAAAGTAAGGAGAATACAAGGACTGGTTCTGCAGGCAGAAGGCCAGGAACCTACAGTGTTCCGTGTGTTAGCTGTATAACACACTGTAATGCCTGATTGTATGTTTTGTCCAATAGAAATATAATGCAAGCCATGAAACATGAACCACATATACTACTTTAAATTTTTTACAGTCACATTTAAAAATAAAAGTTCATGCAATAAATTTTAATAATACATTTTATTTCATCCAGTATATCCAAAATACTGTCATTTGAATGTGTAATCAATATTACCAGGTTAAATGAGAGCTTTTCCATTTTTTTCATACTAAGTCTTTCAAATCCAGTACATGTTTTACACTTAAAGCACACTTCAATTTAGACATTTCTCTGTAGTCACAGAGGGCTAGTGGCTTCCTACCAGAAAGCACAGCTTTAAGGGCTTCCAGTGATCTCTCATGGTTTCAGGCTCTGGGAGAGTGTAAGACCCTCGAGGTAAGACAAGAACCCACGAGGGGGCATATCTCTATATCTAAAAAAAAGACCTTGTCTAAGTGAAAGTTTCAACAAATTCTTACTGAACTCAGAATTGAAAGAGGAAGAAGCAAACACAATGGAGACCTGTTGAATACACAGTGTAGAAGTCTGAGAAAAACAGTGCTATGTATACCTGATTTAATAACATTTAAAGCTGTTTCACACATCATATTAATGAGCTTCAGCATTATAAGCTGTGCTAGTGACTGCAGCATTTTTTTGGTTGATGTTGGATGATGATATATTAGTTTTTAATAGCTTCCACTTTTATCAATTAGGAGACTCAACGTGTTCAGAAATTTCTCTCATGTGCCCTGCTCAGAGTCAGAGGGAAATTTTCCTTAGAGCGGGTATTAAGTCAGTGTCTGGGCACTTTGGGCTTATAGAAGTCTCAGTAAGTCAGGAGGGTCACAGCATTATAAGCTGTGCTAGTGACTGCAGCATTTTTTTGGTTGATGTTGGATGATGATATATTAGTTTTTAATAGCTTCCACTTTTATCAATTAGGAGACTCGACGTGTTCAGAAATTTCTCTCATGTGCCCTGCTCAGAGTCAGAGGGAAATTTTCCTTAGAGCGGGTATTAAGTCAGTGTCTGGGCACTTTGGGCTTATAGAAGTCTCAGTAAGTCAGGAGGGTCACAGTCAGATACACACAATGTGGGGTAATGATTCGTTCTCACGGAGGAGGGAAAAGGATGAGGCAGGGGCTTAAAGCTGTGACCATGTCATGTGTCTTTAACCGGGCCGGAGGTCCATCACTGTTGATGGTATTTCTAGTCTTCACACCCTACGCATATTTTACAAATGATTTTGTATTCTTTTGAAACTCAGTACAATCACAAAGGGGACTTGCACAAATGCACAAGTTAATGAGAAAGATACAAGGAAAGAAGGAAGAGAAGAAAAGAAAGGAAGGGAGGGAGGTAGGGAGGGAGGTAGGGAAGAAATAAATTAGAGCAAACCAAACAAAAGCAGAATATACAACTAGTATAAGTTGACCCCACACAGAGCACAATAACCAAAGATATGCCCTGCTGTATTTCGAAATCCCATCTTTATGGTTTGCCCACTGTCCAGCCTCACACAGCGAGGGTGGTGTCTCCTAGATGTGCAGATGTGCTCCAGGGTAGATAAGCCTGGCCCCAGCATTGCCCTCTACCGTCTGGCACAGGATCTACTTTTGACAGTCCTGTGTCCTCCATGAGATCATTCTTTGAAGGCAGACCTTTGGGCTGGCTTTTATAAGAGGTAAGGACAAGCACACAGTTTCAAAAGTAGGGGGCAATGTTGGTGCGGTGGAAAAGTAGAACCCAGTCTCCAAGGCCAGCTGAGCCCATCATAGATCAGGGACAGTCCCCCAATTCTTAGAATAACTCCAGGCTTGAGAAAAACAATCCAGAGAACTAAGTTGGGGTCCAAATAGCTCTTGAGCACCCTATGACTCGTAACTAAAGCACCCCAGCTGCTGGTCTTCTCTCACTCACAGTTGACTCTTTAGGTCATTTCAAGCCAGCCTGGACTAAGAAGGGCCTGATGGACTTCTCTTCTGAAGGTGTCACCAGTTCTCAAACCCTTCTCTGGACTCAGACCTGGGGTGCAATGGCTCAGCATGTCATTTTTGTCTGCATTAGCCCAGTGATGTCACCTCCATGACCAAAGGCTCCCACTGCCACAGGGAAGTGAGCTACACCAAGACTCAGCATTCCAGGCACAGATTCAGGAAAAAAGAAGTCAAGGTAGGTAGGAGATCAGCTTCATGGGAAAGGAGGAGGCTGCAAGTAGGAACCAGGTCAGAGAGATGCCAGGGGAGGCAGCCAGGTGCCAGGGCTCAGGCAGGTGAGAGACTGAGCCACTGAGCTCTGGTGAACAAGGCTGACCTCTGATCCTGTTTCCCCTTCCTATTTTACACTCTCAGCTGCATGGCAGTGGTATGATTAGACCTAGAAGTGTTTCACATTAACAGAAAGGTGTCAGATTTGTTAAGAGACTCCTACTCCTGACCCAGGCAGGATGACTTCACCCTCCTTAGCCATTAAGTGGCCTTGTTCTACTAAGCATAGAAAGTGATAGGCATGTTTTATTTACCAAGAGATACTTCTAAATTGCACCCCCCAGCCCTCAAGAGAGGAGAGAGAGAATGATGACAACCGTTCTCAACATATTTCAACTGACAGAGTCAGAAAATGAAATTTGGATTGGAAAGAGCCTGAAGAAACAAACAAAAAATATCTAAACTTATTCCATATTTTGTTTTTCTTCCCAATAATCCAAATGGCCTTTGAAAGCAGGAATGATCTCCGACATTTTGTTGTTCATGTAACATGCAGACCAATGATAATCCTGCCTGGTGCTTATGGCAGTGATGGTGTGGCGGAGTCATTGCTGATGTGTCTGTCCACGTGCACGTGTGTGTGTATGGTATGAACGTGTGTGTGTGTAAGTGTGTATATATATGATATAGCAGCATACAAATAAGGTTGCTGAGTTGGAGATGTAGTGAGTAAACTCCAAGAATAGCAGGGACACTGTTAACCCCCAGAAAAATGATTTGGAATTTAAATAGCAAGTGTTCAGACGTGATAGGCAAAATAAACCTGGAAGACTGCTTGTGATACAGATGGGATCTGATGCTCTCCGAGCAGGGAGAAGCGCTGTCAGTATTTTGACAGACACGGAATGACTGTTTAGACTGATGTTCAAGGGACAGCGCCAAAGAGGGGCTGCTTGGTGGGGCTTGGCACGTTGGGAGGGGAGGAGGCTGGAGACCTCGGTGACAGATTGACAAGCCTGCACAGGAATTCTTTTCGAAGTGGAGGGAGGAGAGAGAAAGGAAGGAAAGATAAAGGCACAGCGATGCTGGGATGGTGGGATGCTGGTGGCAGGGTTAGGTGAGAAGGGCAGAATTGCATTTCCCAGGTCTACCTCTTCAGAGATGATTCAAGAGGAAAAGGCAGGGGTCAAAAGCCAGACCACAGGGGGATAAACATCACTTCTCAGCACTTTTATTTCTCTTCAAAGCTTGTGGCACCTTGAGCTTAGCTTGCTTAGTGCTCCAGGCAGGAAAACCCCAATGACAAATGCCTCCAGGAGGGCTGAGAGTCAGGGAGCAGAGCTCAACCAGAGGCAGCCATCCAGAAAGAAAGAGTCCTTCTCCCAGGACCTGTAGACACATCACCCAGAATGGAGACTAGAGCCTGGACTGGTATCAAAATGGACTGGACCACACTTCAATCTGTGGCCTTCGAGGCTGGAGACCCCAGTATGGTGGTGGAAGTATCACTCCCACAATTGTGTAACCTCAATCGACCAAAATCAAACCATTCCCTGCCGCTTCCAACCTGCTTGTGGCCCCTTAACACCCTTATATGCCTTTGAACCTGGGCTGTCTGCCTCCCTCCCTGATCTCTCCTGTCTGAACTGAGGCCCCTTTTCCTCCCACCATGCCCAGACTCCTCAGGGGTCTTTGTTGTGATTCCTGTTGTGCACATCAGCGGCGCCCTTAGCTCCTGGCAGGCAGTGGGGCTACAACCCCATTGAGGTCAGGAAGGTTCCTTTCAAATCTTACCTCTGCCTCTCATTAGTTGTGTGCTCTGGAACAAGGTTTTTACCGTCTTGGAGCCTCAGTTTCCTGGTTTGAGGAGTGAACAGTACGCAGCACAAATAGCAGGTTTGTTAGAAATAGATCAGCACTTTCCCACCAGGGGACATTTGGCAATGTGTAGAGATATTTTTTGGTTGTGACAACCACAGGGGTGGGGGTGTGGATTCTGGCACCGAGTGAGTAGAGACCAGGGAAGCTGCTAAATATCCCAAAGGCACAGGACACCCTCCAACCACCACATCAAAGAACTATGCAGCCTAGAATGTGAACAGTGCTGAGGTTACTTATTAAATGTCTTGCAGAGTGGATTCTTCACTGATGGCAGCTTCTGTTCTCATGGGTCGCTTTGTGTTTTTTATGTATGTGAGCCTTGGATGGTTGTAAGTTTCTTAAGGGTAGGCAGAGGCTGTGTCTAAAGCCTCTTTGTTTCTCATTTGGGGCTTTGCACAATAAAAAGCCTCAAAAGTCATCACCTGCTTGGTAAAAGGAATCACAGAAGAGACTGACTCTCCTGGCAAAAAGATCTTCTGCTTTGGTACCACTGGTTCATCTGCTCAAGGCATGAGATGGAAGTAAACTACACACTCTGTGTCCCCACCCCCCAACAAAACCCAATAGTAGTAGATGATCACATGGAAACCACATTCAGATCACTTGAAAACAGTTCAGAAGAGAAAAATACTGTCAAGTCCCTGCTTTCCAACAGGTTGTCAACAAAGGAAAGGGTATTTGACTCCATCCATCCCTTTTTACTGCAAGCCCTCAAAGTGATATATGAGGAAGACCTGAGCAGTACGAGGAAACTTCACCTTTGCCCGTAAATTCATCAGAAATGCTTCAAGTGACCTGTTTTTGCTAGAAAATATTGTACATAAATTTCAGGGTCTTCCTATTTCTCCTTCATAATTATCCTAAAATATCTCAGACAACCTGTTACTGCTGTCGGCATGTTCCCTTTAATCCCTTGACATCACGCATAGAACCTGGCCCACTGGACAGTCAGTAGTTGTCTGCTGAGGGGGAGCTGAACCCTCCATGTGGCCTGCAGAACTGATCAGAACCAGGCCCTGGGCCAGCATGCCTGGGCAGGATTCAACTCCCCAATTTACTGCATGTGGCCTTGGTCAAGTTACTTATTATCTCTCTCGTACTTGTTTCTATCTATGGATAGATAGAAACTTTTGGGACTGTTGTGAGATCATGTATACAAAGTGTTTTACATCACGCCTCCCATACAGTGGCTGTGCAGTGGTAAGCACCAGTTAGCAACCACGCTGTTTAGAAAAGTAAACCAAACCCTTCAGGTTTTGGGTGGAAAATTATAATCGATAATACAGCTTACCCTTGAACAACACGGGTTTGAACTGTGCAGGTTCATTTATATGTGGATTTTTTTCAACTAGACACTATTGAAAATATAGTATTTGTGGATGTGAAATCCAAGTATATACAGGTTTCACAGGGCTGACTATGGGACTACAGTATGCATGGATTTTGGTATACTTAGGGGTCCTGGAACCAGTCCCCTTTGTATACTGAGGAATGACTGTATTGGCACAGCACTTCATAAGCTCCTTCCCTTTTGCCCATCACAGTGATCCTGTGATATGGGTGAGCCAAGTTTATTATTTCCTGCCCAACTCAGGTGCTCAGCCAGGGTCAGTGAGAATTACTGCATCTGATGCTCTAACACAGTGATTCTTAATTGGGCAAATTTATTACCCCCAGGGGATATTTGACAACCGGTGGGTGCTATTGGCATCTGGTAGCCAGAGCCAAGCATTCTGCTGAACATCATAAAATGCACAGGACAGATTCTCACAACAAAAAATTATCCGACCCCAAATATCAGTAGTGTCGATATTGAGAAACCCTGTCTTAACAGGGAATCTTATATTCCTTCCACCAAAAGCACAAGAATGTCACACTGAATAAATATCAGAAAACCCCACCCTCTATGAGGAAGTCATTGATTCATCTCAAGGGCTGTGAGTTACAATGGAAAGCTCCTGGAAATAGCTCTTTGTCAATACCATATGTTCACTAAACCTCAGAGTCACAATGTTTATTACAGAATTTAGGAGTGTTTGGGGAACGCCCTAACTATACATGAGTTTGACCTCATAGGTAAAGTCCTCCTGCATGAGTTCAGTTATAAGGAGTCAGTCTGGCATGGAGGGGGAGGTGGAGTAAAAGCAGCGTGTACTTACTGGGAGAAATCCACAATGTGAGACTGTTCATATAAATGTTAAATGTGTTCAGAAGGTAGGAAAAAGGAAACCCCTTTAGAACAGAAAATAAAGTACAGAAACTTTTTGTTCTCTGCACATTTTTGTGTGCTTCTTGTATATCATATCCTGTGTTACATATGTTTTCTCATTTATCTTCAAAACAACTTTATAAGGTAGAAACTGAGGCTTAGACAAACTAGGTAGGCCGGTCACGGTGGCTCATGCCTGTAAGCCCAACACTTTGGGAGGCCAAGGTGGGTGGATTGCTTGAGTCCAGGAGTTTAAGACCAGCCTGAGCAACATGGCAAGACCCTGTCTCTACAAAAAATTAAAATATTAGCTGGGTGTGGTGGCATATGCCTATAGTACCAGCTACTCAGGAGGCTGAGGTAGGAGGATCGCTTGAGCCCAGGAGTTGGTGGATGCAGTGAGCTATGATCGCACCACTGCGCTTCAGCCTTCAATACCCTGTTTCTAAAAAAAAGAAAAAAAGAAAAACTAACTACTATGTATTTTTCAGATTTTAAACAAATATAGTTTCACATTTTAACATTCTGGAATAGATATGCATTATAAAGTTGTGGCATCTTATAATGTGTTGGGCTTTTTTTCTTTTTATATTTTAATGTGTCTGAATTAAGGATGCATCTGACAATCTTTGGATTTTTAAATTCATAAAATATGGTTACTTGTCCGAGGTCATACAGCTAATATGTAGCAGAACTGGAAACCATAAGATGCTATATGTAGGTTATTTATTTCTTATCCGCCAAGGAAATTCAAGTGCTAAGTGTCAATCTTCTGGGAAAGTCAGCTAAGAAGTGTTTCTTCCTGAGATGACTGATTGGCTCCCATGACAGGCTAAGGAAAATGGTACATTCGTATTATTCTCTGTTTTCAGGACAATTTTAACTAATAGGAGAGAATAAAGAAGATAAAGGCCAAAGGCCCAGGATCACTATTATTAACATCAATAAAGAGAGATTGGTTTTAAGTCTACCAGAGAAGACAAGCAATTAAAGCAAAGTGGTATCACTGGTCGAAGCAGCCAGGGCTACAGTGGAAAGTCGGGTCTAAACATCAACCTTTACGGTGTAGCTTGTCCTGGGCACCGGTACAGTAATTCAGTTTTGCATTGGAGGTTGCAGACCAATAAAATAAAATGTAACTTAGGAGTACTTGATGATAATTCAGTTATTTCTATGTCACCAATCTGTGCTTAGGAATACAATTTACTTTAAGCTTGTTCCAAATTGTATTCTAACTCAATGTTAACATAGGTAATGTCTAATAAATTTTTGTTCAATATAACTTAAAAAAATTAAATCACATGCAGTATTGCAGGCTTTTTCTATCAGATATCAATGATGTTCCTGAACACACCACACTCTCCAATTTCTGACTGCTATTATCTGTAGTTTTATCCTACCTTCCTTGCTTTCTACCTCTTTGTTGGCTTAGAAAACTCCTATTCAACATTCACTTCTCAAAGCTGATATTCTAAGTCTTTCTTGACTTCCTTAGATTTCAAAGCCTCTTCTATGTCCCCTTTACACTTTGTACACACCTCTGTTATAGTAACCAGGCACCTGCACTGAAAATTCTGTATTTCTATTGGGTCCCTATTAGCATAGCATCTGATTCACACATGAGTGAACTTGCTAAAGGAATAAATAAATGAAATATGCCGCCTGTGAAATATTTTCTTACCACAACCTACAGGGCTCTAGATGATCTGCCCCAGGTACCCCACAGACTACATTTACCTATACTCTCTGCCTCACACACTTCTATTGAAACCCACTGCCCACAAGCAGCCAGCCTCAGGGCCTTTGCACTTGCTGTTGCAGCTGTCTGCAGCACTTTTCCCTCAGTTATCTGTCATGGCTCATTTCGTCTTTTGACTTAGATCTCTGCTCAAATGCCATCTTCGCAAACAGGTTTTCCTGACCATATAGTCAAAAACAGCACCTTTATTCTTTAATTCTCTGTTTTAACCTGCTTTTTCTTCTTAGCATTTCTCAATGACCTGCATATTTTGCATTGATTTATTTTTTAAAAAAGTTATCTATCTCCCTCATTGAAATGTAAGCTCAGTGAAGACAGGGATTTTGATCTCCAAATAGTAAACAACTGATCACTTTATTAGTAAAAAAAGAGATGAAATCTATTACTCTCTTTAATGAGACTACTTCCACCTAGTGGTAGAGAACAGAACTGCAGGCATAGTACTTTCAGGGGAAGTCACTTTTTTGGAGCACCTTAAATAAGCATGCACAATTTTAAGTTCTTTACATATACTGTCTAATTCATTGATCACAATAGCTCTGGCATATGGGTACCTTCATCCCCGACTTAAAAAGAGGAAACCGCTATCTTCCTTCCAAATCCTATGCACTTTCTTTTATACCCTGCTGTCTTTGCACCATCTCATTGTTGCAGGACAGAGAGGAGCAGTGTATGGAAAAGAGGAAGGTGAGTAACACTGGTTTGCAAAACTACTCCATCATCTTTAGTCAACAATTCGTTCAGTACTTATTGAGTTTATCTTATATATTTTCTTTGTGAGAGATGAATACAACCATTGGTCTTACATGAATTGAACAAATATGACACTTTTTCCAATGTAGTGGAGATATAGTTTTTCAAAACCCTGTAAGAAAATTTTGAAGTATTTGTTCCATCTTTTTATTCTTTGCACATACTTTTTCATTATTACTCATTTTTGTCGAATAATAAGGTCACTGCAAATGTGAAACTACCACATGTTCCCTGAAATGTGAAAAACAGTGCTTTACTTGCCTCCACCCCCAACCCCTTTCCAAGCTCTATGTTCTATAATGTTTTGATTTAAATAAAGTATTACAGAGAAATATAATCATAAATTGGAAAAAGGAAAAATCATAACTAAGGATAAATCTTAAGAAAGATAATTCAGTCAACGCATCTCTACAGCTTCTCCCTGGAAGAGACCTTCAAATGCATCTATCAAAACAGGGAATCAAGTCTAGAAAAACTGTTCTGGAAGAGCTCTGCTTGAGAAACACACACCAAAAATCACGTTCTCTAGGGAGACTTGGATGTGTTCAATAAGGAGCAAATGATGTTCAAGAGGACAAATGAATTGAGTTATCAAGGAAGTCACAGAGAATTAAGTGGGCCAGACTCCCTTGGGCAAGGCCCAAACTACTACCACAGAATTAATTATATATTTGGATCTGAGGATATTGCTGTAAATCTTGGGTTGTGGTAGTCCCAACCCAGACATCTGTTGACTGGCAGTATCCTGCCTTGAGAAAGTAAGAATTTGTTAGAGCTTGGATTTCCTACCCTGTGAGTAACTCAAAGAACAAAGGCAGCGTAACAAGATGTTGCATCCATAACCGTGGAGTAATCAGAGATTTGGAAAACCTGGACCTTGTGAAAGCTTGGACTACAACTATAAGGAAAGATTAAAAAAAGATCTATAGCTGAGTCTTGGCCTTGGCAAACAATGGTCAAGGCATCATTTAACCCCAAAGACTTCCAAAAATAAAGTAGAAGAAAAAAACCCTTCAGCTTAGTAGATTGTTTAGATTTTGCTATTTAAGCAAGTAGCAGACTAAAATTTTCTCATTCAGCCAGATGTTTAGCCTCGTTAACAAGAACAACACACATCTTGCATGAATTGACCCAGGAAAAGTCAACATGGGTGAGAGAACCCAGCCAAATCACAGCTGATTCATGTACTTTGGCCTCCCCTACCCCCACACACTAACAGAAGATCTCAGAGTTGTGGGTGTCATTGTTGGTCAAGTTAGGTTGTGCTATCACCAATACAAGGGATTCCTGGTAAGCCTGTTATCACATAGATGGAATCAAAGATATGAGGAAGCAGTGTGCATTGTATTGCATTTTTTCTTGCACCTAATTCTCATTAGTTCTGTCTTAGAATTAAAACTCAAATTAAATAAAATGCATTAAATGTTAAATATAACACATTTACAGCATAATGGAATCTTAGTATTCAGTTGATCTAAATTTTCTTCACCCTTCAATACTGTTCTATAGATGCTCACACAGAGTCCAGAGAAGAAAAAATGCCTTGCAGATGTCACAGTTAAGCTTTAATTTCCAAACGAGAAGAGAATTTTGTGTCACCCAAAGTACAATCTGTGCTAACACATTGGATTCAGCTTGTTTTTCAAGCTGTTGGCCTACATCTTGCCTCCTAGCTCCTGGTTAATGCTTTTTTAAAAAGACTATTGGACTTCATTTGCACACCCAATTACTCTGCTCACCTGTTTGTGCTTCCTCCTTCTCCTCTTGGCCACTCCTTTCCACAAATACACACACATTATCAGAAAAAAGTCAAGTCTAGAGTGTAGAAGTATTTGATGGTTGTATTGCACACTACCTGTTCCCTCTTCATCTGTAGGACAACGCTTTTCTCCTGGGAAATTCTTACCTACCCATTTAAAGGCTCTATGGTTTGAACGTTATCTTGATTTTACCTCCAGAGAAGATAACTCAAGCCTAACCAATCATAGCATCCCATTTTCCTGTCTACAGTGAATGGTTCAGGGATGAGAATGTGACCCAATCAGAGCCAACAAGGCAGTTACAAGACTTCTGGGACTATTTTGAGAAAATTATTCTCTCTTTACTGCTGAGCTTACAGCTATGAGGATGTAATCTTGGAACTGTTGGATGGTCATTTTACTTCTTCAATGGATAAAACCACTGAAAATAAAACCAGTACATAGCAAAGCGAGAGTCGAGTAATAGAGCAAAAACCCCGATCTGATGATATCGGGACACCTCGATCCATCTGAGCTTGAAACTCTTAGACATTTCAGATAGATGAGTGAAAAAAAATCATGCTTTAGTTTAAGTCAGTCAAGTCCATTATTCCGATATTTGCAATTGCACGATTCCTGATGGATATAGCAGTGTAGGGTTTACTTAATGACTAGGCTCCCTATAAGGGATTCAGTTGCTGGCTTAGGTAGCTTTTATTTTAAAAAAATTTTTGTGTGTGCACAGTAGGTGCATATATTTGTGGGGTACATGAGATATTTTGATACAGGCATGCAATGTGAAATAAGCACAACAAGGAGAATGGGGTATCCATCCCCTCAAGCATTTATCCTTTGATTTACAAACAACCCAATTATATTCTTTAAGTTACTTTAAAATATACAACTAAGTTATTATTGACTAAAGTCACCCTATTGTGCTTCCAAATAGTAGGTCTTATTCATTCATTCTATTTTTTGTACCCATTAACCATCCTCATCTACCCCTCAACCTCCCATTACCCTTCCCAGCCTCTGGTAATCATCATTTTACTTTCTATGTCCACGAAACTAGAAGGGTACTACTACTAAAAATCAATTGATTTGAATTTTAGATCCCACAAATAAGTGAGAACATGTGATGTTTCTCTTTCTGTGTCTGGCTTATTTCACTTAACATAGTAAAATGTTGTTGCAACATTTGCAACAACATGGATGGAATATATTGATCTCCAGTTCCATCCATGTTGATGTACCATATTTTCTTTATCCATTCATCTGTTGATGGACACTTAGGTTGCTTTCAAATCTTGGCTATTGTAAACAGTGCTGCAACAAACAGGAGTACAGACATCTCTTCAATATGATGATTTCCTTTCTTTTGGATATATACCCAGCAGTGGGATTGCTGGATGATATGGTAGCTGAATTTTCAGTTTTTTGAGGAACCTCCAAACTATTCTTCATAGTGGTTGTACTAATTTACATTCCCACCAAGAGTGTAAAAGGATTCCCTTTTCTCCACATCCTTATCAGCATATGGCTATTCAGTTTTCCCAGCACCACTTATTGAAAAGACTCTCTTTTCCCTAGTGTATGTTTTTGGTATCCTTGTCAAAGATGAGTTTACTATACATGTATGGATTTGTTTCTGGGTTCTCTATTCTGTTCCATTAGTTTATGTGCCTATTTTTATGCCAGTACCATGCTGTTCTGGATACTATAGCTCTGTAGTATAATTTGAAGTCAGGCAATGTGGTTCCTCCAGTTTTGTTCTTTTTGCTTAAGACAGCTTTGGCTATTCTGGGTCTTTTGCGGTTCGATATAAATTTTAGGATTTTTTTTCTATTTCTGTGAAGAATGTCATTGATATTTTGATAGGGATTGCATTGAATCTGTAGATTGCTTTGGGTAGTAAGGACATTTTAACAATATTGATTCTTCCAATCCATGAACATAGAATATTTCTCCATTTTTTGGTGTTCTTTTCAATTTCTTTCATCAGTGTTTTATAGTTTTCATTATAGAATTCTTTCACTTCTTTTTAATTTCTAGGTATTCAATTTGTGGCTATTGTAAAAGGGATTACTTTTTGATTTGTGTTTCAGATTGTTCACTGTAGGTAGCATTTTATCATTGCATGTTTTGCTGATACTTTTAAAGTTGCTTTCCAGCTGCTATCTTCTTTTGCATAATGTCATGAATTACAGTTAATCATCAGTCTGTATTTCCATTCAAGTCATAAATTTCCTGATTTTTCTACAATCTGTGCTAACATGATCTTTTAGCTCCTAGAATCACCTCCCAAGGGAAAAGGAAAAAATAACCATTGCTAGAAAGAACTAAAACTGGACTGGCCCAGCCACTAAGATGTCTACACAACAGAGGGCATTTCCTTTGGGGAAGAGCTGACAAGCATTACTTGCTCAGATAAGAATTACTTTTTCCTTTGTTCTTCTAACTTGGTTAGGCTCTGCAAATGTCACTTGATTTTCAAGTGGATGCATCACCAATGTTCTTTATCTGAAAGTGGGATCCACCATCTAAGCTTCAGGGGAAGCAAGTGTGTGGGAAGCAGAGAAGGGAAGTTGCTGCAGAATTGTTTTACCTTACACACATAAAGGAAGGCATTTTCCTGCTATATTTACTGATATCCTGCTGAAAGCTAAATTTGTATCTGCTTAAAATCAACAAGGCTTTCTTTCAGGCTTTCTCACTTTTTTAGAGTATTTTTGCATTTGCTGGTTTTGGTGAGTGAAGCCCAAGATCTAGTTGTAGACTTAGGCTGAGCTAGAGTCCAGTAACTCCATCTCTTAGCCAATTGCATTCCATTATTAGCTACATCTTTACCTGAATCTGATTTTTCTTGGCAGGCTCTGGACTTGAATACTTCTTAAGATCTCATAGAAATATCCAAAGATGGATGGGATGTAGAGACAAAACAAATATCAGTTTTCTTTATCAGTGCCAGTTATTGTTATGATAGAGATCCAATGAGCACATACTTTTTGCACAAGCTAACAGCTTATTGCAGGAACTAAGCACAACTGGGTTCTGGTCCCAGTTTTGCCACTAGCTGTCTAAGTAATCTAGAATGAGTCATTTAGCCTCTCAGACTTGGTCTATAAAATAAAGTTTTAGAACCAAATGATTTATAGTTTTATGGCTCTCATCAGAGTAGCAAGCATGCAGCACCAGGAAGAAGTTGGGGCAGACCTCAACAACATTAGGAAGGTAGCAGAAAGTGGCTTCTCTTCCCTCTAGTTCTTTCCTGCCTTCCTGTCTTGGGTTGAGTTTTCCCAGGAGAATATCTTAACTAAAAAAACTGGGTGCAAATTGTTTATTTGGGATGTGAACAACAGAAGAACCAGTAGAAAAGTGGGAAAAGGTGATGAGAAGGAAAGGAAACCCACACAGAGTACATTAGTGAGTAGCTGCTTGCTAAGGGCAAGTAGGGTCCAACTCTGCTGTGGACACTGGGAAGAGTGTATGGTTTAGGCTTTGACGTTGTCCTATCAAATGATGAGGAAGCTCCATCCACCAACCCCTCCATCATCAGTCAAAGGCAGTTTATTTAATGCAAATATCTGTTAAAGCCCTACATTAGGATCTGGGGAATGTAAATATGTTTTTCTCCTCAAACTATAGGAGAAGTAGAAGAAAGGCCACAAGTAGTTAAATGTTCATATAAAAGTTAAATAGAAATGCTGAGAACTAATTCTCACATATAGAAAAAAAGAGACCAAAAACACTCTCTAATACATGATAAATAAATGGTACGATATGATCTATGCAACTGCCTTGACAGCTTTGTTTCATACAGTTGGACTCAAACTGACACAAGATTTTATCTCAGCTGAAGTGAAAAAGAATGCTCTGATGTTCCCCCCTTTATCCTGGTGTCTCTTTGGGATAGCAACACAGTTACATGAAGTCTAAATATGTGGCTTGTGAGAGATTGGGAAGCACATAGTACGCGCAATTATGAGCAGCTATGGTCTTGTCTCGAAGGTAGTGCAGAGGTGGTAAAAAGTCTGGACTGCAGGCATTTCATCTATTTCATCATCAGTCAAAGGCAGTTTGACTGATGATGGAGGGGTTGGTGGCTGGAGCTTAGGCATTAACCCCTGGCACTCAGGCAGTCTCAGTGAATTGTGGTAAGACGTCATATGGGAGACAGTGACGCTGGGGGCTGTGGACATTAGCACTATTAGCTACACTCCCCATCTATCAATGCCTGCCCTCTACTTCTTGCCCTAAATGGAAGGATTTGAAGAACAGCCTCAGTAATGTACAAATGACAGCTAAAACCTTATCATGTTTTTCTACATGGCATATACTCACTTTAAAACAAAGTCTTATACCAGAGGAATGTCCTTTAGGCACCAACCACGTGAGAAGAATCTTCCTAGCACAACTGAAATCCAGCCTATCCACTCTGCTTTTGAGTGAAGAGGGCCCTAGCAGTGAAAATGAAAGGGGAGAGCCTTGAGAGGTCCAGGTCATTCTCATTGTTTTATCTTGATTTGGCCTATAAAGCTTGGATCATTCAGGTTTCTTTTGGGAAGAAGGAATCCCCCTCAGGATTTCCCTCCTTCTGTCAATGATCATTGTTAGTGACCCATGCCTCCTCCCATCCCGTTTTGTACACACACACACACACACACACAAACACACCAACAGCATAAAGGAGGCAAAGTGATGCTGAAGACTCTTTCCACCCAGATCAGAACTCCCCTTGGTGCCTCCACTTCAATTCCTCCACCTTTGCTGCTCTAACCTGCTGGACAATAGACTTTCTCAATAACTCTCATAGTTCATGCTTGACTGTCCAGCCTTATCTGTCATATAAGGCTCAACCTTTGGCCAGTCTGAGCCATGGTGTATACCAGCTCTCTACCCTTCTCCATTCAACAGATGAAATGCCTGCAGTCCAGACTTTTTACCACCTGTCCACTACCTTTGAGTCAAGACCATAGCTGTTCATAATTGCTTATACTAGGTGCTTCCAAATCTCTCACATACCACACATTTAGACTTCATGTAACCGTGTTGCTATCCCAAAGAGACACCAGGACAAAGGGGGAAAAATCAGAGCATTCTTTTTCACTTCAGCTGAGACAAAATCTTCTGTCAGTTTGAGTCCAACTGTTTATGAAACAAAGCACTCAAGGTGGTTGCATAGATCATATCGTACCATTTATTTATCCTGTATTAGAGACTGTTTTTGATCTCTTTTTTGCTATATGTATTAGTTCTCAGCATTTCTATTTAACTTTTATACGAACATTTAACTACTTGTGGTCTTTCTTCTACTTCTCCTATAGTTTGAGGAAGGAACATATTTAAATTCTCCAGATCCTAGTGTAGGGCTTAGACATATATTTGTGTTAAATAAACCCATAGTTTATCAACACATATTTATCGGGTACTTGGTATTTGCTTCAACTTTGTTCTAGTTACTGTGGGATTTACAGAATAAAATTTTATGATGCTTTCCCTTCCCTGGAGATTACAATTTTTTTGCAAGGGAGAGGGTGGACATGATTAATGGGCATGAAACAAATGGAGATGAATGCACAACATTTTACGGTCAAGTGCTGAATTGTGGGCATTGAACTATGTTTGCTATAGAGGCATAAAAACAAACAAAAATCCCTGAGAAAATAAAATTTTTACAGTCATGGATTTGAGATGAAAGAACACAAAACAGGCACATCCTTTAGTCCACGCCAAACTGTTCTCTACAATTTATCTCTTTATAATTCTGTTTAGTCTAGTCTTGAATGCTGCTAAGGATCCAGTTTCCATCACAGTCATTGGGAAACACCTTTGCAATCTAAGTGTCCTCAGTGTCAGGATGTTTGGTTTCTTGCCTTTATATTTCCCATAACAATAATGGTCATATTTCTTTCCAGGAATGTCCTCCACATTACATAAATGGCAAGTAAGGGTGTGATTCACAGGATCCAGAGAACTCCAGAAACAACAGGTCTGATGTTCTTTGACATCTGAACATTTGTAGTTCTTGATATCTTAGTGCCTGGCACTGGCACATAGTAGACATTCATTAATGATTGCATTATTCATAATGATCAAATGTTTGAAAATGATTGCCTATTGATGTGTAGGCTAGCTCACACTCCTAAAAATATCCAGTTTCCCCAACAATGGATGCCATGAGTCTAAAAGGGTTGACAGCACAGTGGAATAGAGTGTGGTATCATCATGATGCTGGGGCCAGAAAGAGTGTGGTAAGGATAACCAGAAGGGTGGGAGCTCAGAAAATGTTGTGGAGTTATCAAATGAGGCCGCAGAGCATGGAGACTAAGAGGTCTGAACTTGGGGAGCAAAGTCAGGCTCTCAGCTCCATCTCCTATCAGCTGCATGAGGAGGATCAGATCTCAGTAGACTGCTGTGACATACCCACCTACCTCATGTTTGAAAACGTGACTCTACAGGACAGGCCTGTGTCCGGATGTGTTGTCAGAATTTTTTGAATTGAATAATTGGAATTTTTGGCAGAACCCTGAACACTAAATGTTCCTAAACAAGCTGTCCATGAGGAGAATGCATTACTAGTATGATTGGAGAACCTCCCAGTGCCCATAAAAGCTTCCACATTAATGTACACATGGTTTGCCTGGTTTCCCTTCAGATCTATGTCATGTTTGAGGAGACGTGTCACTGCCCTGACTCCATTCTGTTATTAACTCAAAAGGCAGTGTTCTCACATGTTATTAAAAATACAGGATGTTAGGCTGGTAGTTGTTTGATCACACACTATATTCCTTACCCCTGACCTATAGCAAGAAGTACTCATATCACCCAGCTCAGCATTCGGCCAGACAGCCATAGCTATACAATTATGGGTCCTCAGTTGTAATGAAGTTATTGTACACACAGTTGTATATATGATTTGGCAATGTGTCTGCAAAGGGTGATTGGCACCCAGAGAACTGCCACATACCAACTGATAATCACCAGTTTGTAGTGAGATTTTCACAGCATTATGGCCATAAAAGGCTATAAAGAAAGTATCAACAACTTGATTTTTTTTAAGGGAGTTTAGGTTGAATTTTCCATGAAAATAAAGCCTTGGCTAATAATTATGAAGAGGCCATGCACTCAGTAAAGTGTAGTTAACTCTGTCTCGATGGAAGTTTGGAGAATGTAAATGAAAAGATCCCAGATTTGTGAATAAAACCAATGGCTTGAAAGAGCCCTACAGTTAGCATGACATGGCCAAGACCTCCTGCCCTTCTCAGGCTTTAGTGCAATGTGAGTGGGAGAGGAACCCGTCAGAATTGAAATTCCAAACTCCCCAAATTCAGTGTCATTAGATGCACCAGCACAGGTGGAATATACCCACTTCCTCTCTTAGCTCATTAGTCGGGACTGATGGCGTGGCCTTACTGAAGCAGTAGGGAACCAGGAAGTGCAGTTCTAGCACACTCCTCAGGATGCACAGCAGGCATCAATGACCTCCATCCTTCCTGTAGGTCTCAAGTCAAGATCACCTTCAGGAGATTCACCCTGAACTCCACTTCATTTTACACCACAACTTCCTACCCTGGTGAGCCTGATTCTCCTTACCTGTTTTTTGTTGTTGTTTTTGTTGTTAATCAATTTTATGCATCAACTTTAACCTACGATATACTTTAATTAACTACTGTTTGTCTCTGCCTAGTGGAAGGTACACTCCATGATGGCAAGGATTTTTGTTTATTTTGGTAACTGTTCTCTCCCTAGCACGTAAAATGATACCCAGCACACATTAGGTGCTTAACAAATATTTGTTGACCTGAAATAAATTCTAAAAACAGTAACAACAGGGCAACTCACTCTCTGCTTATAAATTACCTTTGTCTCCACTTCTTTCCCAAATGATGGGCTTGCCCTCTCCTCAGGCTTATTCCTGAAGCACCTTTTACTCAGCCAGTGAATACTAAATGATGGCCAAATCATCCGTTTTTAAATGTCCAGGTTATAATTTTCTCTCCCTCTTAATATGACAGAATCTGTTATTCATGTGCAGGTTTTGCAGTCTCTGATGGTGCTCTCTCAAGCCAAGTGCCTTTTACAAGAGTCCAAATAAAATGAAAGGGTGGGCAGACACAAAGCAAATGAATATCTGGTTATGAAGGGATGTGTTATAGAACCAGATAAAATCATATTTCAAAAGGACCTTAGAGGACCTTGTTTCCAACTTCCTAGCCTCTGACAGAGATTTCCAGTAATGAGGATCATAACTCTACAAGATGGCCCATTTAATTGTTGGGCCATTCTAAGAATTATTCTTTCTTACCGAAATTTGCTTCACTCTAAATTCTGCCCGTTGGTCTTGGTTTGGCTCTTTGGAGCTAGTTAGGAAAAAGTCTAATTCCTATTCTACATAAGAGCTCTTCATAAGCTTGAAGAAAATTGTCATAGCCTTACTCTGACTTCTGATCCAACCTCAACAATCCCACTATTTTGTTGCTAATAGGATATGTTGTTTTATATACCCCAAATAAATGATTTTTAATGGGTGAGTGGACCAGTGATAACTGAGTGAATGTATAGGTGCATACAAAGACATGGCCCACTCACTGGGTTAATGAATGTCTTGCTCCTGAACTTCTCACCATCTTAACCATCCTTTTCTGGATATTCTCTACTTTGCTGGTGTCCCTCTTAAAGTGAAATTTCTAGAACATAACCCTCCAGGAGAGATATGGCCAGCACAGAGAACAGTACAGCTGAAAGCTCAAGGTAAGTTTCTGTTTTTCAAAACTCAAAAATCATATACTAAGTGAAATGGTTTGGCTGTGTACTCATCCAAATCTCATCTTGAATTGTGGCCCCCATAACTCTCATGTGTTATGGGACGGACCCCGTGGGAGATAATTGAATCATGGAGGCCGTTTCCTCCATATTTTTCTCGTGTAGTGAATAAGTCTCACGAGATCTGTTGATTTTATAAGGGGCTTCCCCTTCCGGTTGTCTCTCATTCTCCCAGGCCTGTCCCCACGAAAGACATGATTTTGCTCCTCCTTTGCCTTTCACTGTGATTGTGAGGCCACTCCAGCCATGTGGAACTGTGAGTCCATTAAACCTCTTTTTATAAATTACCCAGTCTCAGATATGTCTTTATCAGCAGCAAAAAAAACGGACTAATACACTAAGGCTCAAGATAAAACGAACTACGTAAAAATACTGTGATATAGTTAGTAAATTTATTTCTCAAAAGAGTATGGGTTAATAATTCTGAAAATACTTTATGTGCCTTATAGTTTTGAGGGAGCAATATATTGTAGAAAATGAGAGTCAGGTTGGAAAAAGCTAAAGTCCTGTTGGTAAAAACTGTTCCTTTTCACTGTTGGTAAATGAATGAATAAATAAATAAATAATGAGCAATAAAAACAAAAAAGGAAAATAGGAAGGCTCAAATGAACTCTGTGGTATTGGGTTAGAATCAGAGGAGTCAGTATGAACTGATATCTGATAGTTAGACAGAAGATAGATGGATCTGACACATTTGATTCATACTCTTCATAATGACACCTTTGATTCTAATAGATAGAGATAGATGGATAGATAGAAAAGATAGTGCACATGCTTGTGTTAATAGCCATTAGTATATATTTTAAGCTCTGTCTGCTGAGGGGACTTAGGAGTAATGTCATAATAGTAGCAATGGGTATACCTAATGCCCAGATCTTGGTTTCTAAATGCCATTCTCCAATAAAAGGAGACCTCGTTCATTGGTGTCCTTGGAGACCTGGTTGATTCCACAGCTGTAGTAAGGAAAATACAAAATGATCCTGGAACATATTGCAGTGGCTAAAAGCAAGAAAGTGCTTTAAACGGAATGTGGGCAGATCAAAAGGGCAGAAAAACCAACCTGAAGGAGCTCTCAATGACCTGATCTGTAACAGCAGAATACAATAAATATCCATGAGTCTAAACCGATATACATAAACACTTAAAAAACATAGGAGAAACAACAGCTCTTCCTTCCAGAAGAATTTTGCTTAGTAAATGTAGAAAAATGAGGGAAATAAGGAATCATCATTAAAACTCTACATTAGAATTGGTACAGGCAAGATCCACCAATGTGTGCTAAAATTTGTAGATGAAAGTTTGAACAGAAACAGGATATTTGTATAATCTCAAAGTATCTCCTCTAAGATATCTATAAATTTCAAAGGGAGAAGAAAAGGAACTTTGCAGTGGAGCAACTCGGCAAACACCAATTTAACCAAGTGATAAAGGTTAATATCACCAGTAAATGGCTCTATCAATATCACTAACCCCTGATCTTATACGCTGAGAAGAACACATCACTTCCTTGGTAAATTTCTTAGTAAAAATGCATAACCACAATCCAATCACGAGAAAACATCAGACGCCCTCACATTGAGGAATATTCTACAAAATTAATGACCAAGACTCTTCAAAAGTATCAAGGTCATGAAAGACGAGGAAACACTGAGGACTTGACACAGATTGGAGGAGATTTAGGACCAATGAGATCTCAATGTGACGTAGGTCCCTGGATTAGATTCTGAAACAGAAAACAAACACTGGAAAAACTGATGAAATTCAAATAAAATCTTGAATTTGTGAATAATATTGTACCAACATTAATCTCTCAGTTTTGATATTTGTGTTATGTGTGTGCAAGATGTTAGCAGTCAAAGCTGGAGGAAGTGTGCATGGGAATTTTCTGTACTACTTTTCCAGCTTTTCTGTAAGTCCAAAATTCTTTCAAAATACAAAGTTTAAAGCCATGATCAAGGTCTCAGGGGTCTGTCACTGTTTCTGGCTCATGCTGGAGTTGCCTTTGTTCCATCCTCTCCTTGATGTTCAGTCTGTAGCAGTGTGCTCAATTAATGTTGTCGAATGAAGGAATGACAGTAAGACAGCGGGTACTCAGGACCGGGCCTTGTGCCTGGACTACAAAGTGGCTCCCCCATCCAGGGTGGGAGGCTCTGATTACCAGGAAGGGGATCTTATTTTTATCGGGTTCTAGCTTCACCAGATTGTTGTTTAGAGTGGTATGACCTTGAAAAAGTTGGTCAATCCTTTCTATTGTAGGTGTGGGCATTAATTAATAGGGGCCTACCCTCTCACCCTGGCAGGGCTATGGTTAGGCTCAAAGCACACAATGAGAGTCCGGACCAGAATGATGACTGCAGCATCCCCTTCCTCAGAATCCCTGCGGTGTGATTGCCTGGCTAACTCCCCTTTTGCTGGACATCACAGTGTTTCCCAAGGGGCAGCATGTACAGTGGTGGAGGGCCCAGGCTCTAGGTTTATGTTGCTGGTTCCCATCCTATTCCACTGCTGACCAGCTGTGTCATAATTTCCTAATCTATAAAATGAGGGTAGAATTGACCTCATAAGGCTGTCTTAAATATAAAAGGAGGCAATTTATGAAGTTTTTATGTTTTGTTTTTATTAATTTTTAAAATTTATTTTGGATTCATCACTGGCCATCAGAGAAATGCAAATCAAAACCACAATGAGATACCATCTCACATCAGTTAGAATGGCAATCATTAAAAAGTCAGGAAACAACAGGTGCTGGAGAGGATGTGGAGAAATAGGAATGCTTTTACACTGTTGGTGGGACTGTAAACTAGTTCAACCATTGTGGAAGTCAGTGGGGCGATTCCTCAGGGATCTAGAACTAGAAATACCATTTGACCCAGCCATCCCATTACTGGGTATATACCCAAAGGATTATAAATCATGCTGCTATAAAGACACATGCACATGTACGTTTATTGCGGCACTATTCACAATAGCAAAGACTTGGAACCAACCCAAATGTCCAACAATGATAGACTGGATTAAGAAAATGTGTCACATATACACAATGGAATACTATGCAGCCATAAAAATGATGAGTTCATGTCCTTTGTAGGGACATGGATGAAATTGGAAATTATCATTCTCAGTAAACTACCACAAGGACAAAAAACCAAACACCGCATGTTCTCACTTATAGGTGGGAATTGAACAATGAGAACACATGGACACAGGAAGGGGAACATCACACTCTGGGGACTGTTGTGGGGTTGGGGGAGAGGGGAGGGATAGCATTAGGAGATATACCTAATGCTAAATGACGAGTTAATGGGTGCAGCACACGAGCATGGCACATATATACATATGTAACTAACCTGCACATTGTGCATATGTACCCTAAAACTTAAAGTATAATAATAAAATTAAAAGAACAAAAAAAGAAAATGTGGCACATATACACCATAGAATACTATGCAGCCATAAAAAATAATGAGTTCATGTCCTTTGTAGGGACATGGATGAAGCTGGAAACCATCATTCTCAGCAAACTATCGCAAGGACAAAAAACCAAACCCCGCATGTTCTCACTCATAGATGGGAATTGAACAATGAGAACACATGGACACAGGAAGGCGAACATCACACACCGGGGCCTGTTGTGGGGTGGGGGCAGGGGGGAGGAATATCATTAGGAGATATACCTAATGTTAAATGACGAGTTAATGGGTGCAGCACACCAACATGGCACACGTATACGTATGTAACTAACCTGAACATTGTGCACATGTACCCTAAAACTTAAATTAAAAAAAAAAAGAAATTAAGAGAATAGAAAATAAAATTTATTTTGGATTCAGAGGGTACACGTGCAGGTTTGTTACATGGGTATATTGCACGATGCTGAGGTTTGGGGTACGGATGGTCCTGTTACCCTGGTGGTGATCATCATACCCAATGCATAGTTTTTTAGCCCTTTCCCCACTCCCTTCCTCCCCTCTCTAGTAGTCCCCAGTATCTGTTGTTACCATCATTATGACCATGTGTATTCAATGTTTAGCTCCCAGTAAATGCCAGTACATTGTTGATTCTACAACAAATGCCAGTAAAAATACATGGCATTTGGCTGTTTCTGCATTGTTAATTCAAGGATAATGCCCTCCAGCTGCATCCATGTTGCTGCAAAGGACATGATTTCATTATTTTTTATGGCTGAGTAGTATGCCATTGTATATATGTACCTTATTTTCTTTATCCAGTCCACTCTTGATGAGCACCTAGGTTGATTCCATGTCTTTTCTATTGTGAATAGTGCTGCAATGAACATATGAGTGCATATGTCTTTTGACAGAACCATTTATTTTCCTTTGGGTATGTACCCAGTAGTAGGGTTACTGAGTGTGAAGTTTTTAAAAGTTGACTTGCAACATGGTAAATGCTACATAGTGTTTGCTCTTCAAATTTAAAGATCTCTGTAAGATCTTTCTTCCTGTTACTTCATGATGTGACTCAGAATACTATTTAATTCTTCTGGGTATAGCAACTTGTGACTTCCTAACTAAACTGTAGGTTGTTCAAGGGCAAGGACACATGTGCCTTGTGTTTATGCCTTCCCTAGTATGATCCATTGCACAGAGGAGCTGCTCAATAAATATCTAATGATGGATTGATTCATAAGGTCCTAAAGCCAATGTTCTCCTATTTCGTGATTTTGCTTCAGGCTAACTTGTCATCTGTGTATATTTTAACAAACTTGGAAAATAGAAAATTCTCTAGTGCTAGAACTGGTCTTCCCTGAACTCTGTCAGAGTTTGCTAAGGGAGTAGTTAGCTTTTTGACATCCCTCCCTCCCATTCCCCCTCTACCAAAAAAATCATTCCATTAGCACCATATCTGAGAAGACAAATTCAGAAATACTGAGCCCAATGCTCAAGCTTTGTGCTCTACCGTTATTTTTTCTCTTGTCTGAGGGACAAAACAAATCCTGCCATCTACTTCCCCAGATTACTCCTTTATATTCTTTTCTTCCAAGAATATACCTTCAGAGTAAACTTGGGCTTCAGTGCTTGGCAATTACTAAAGAAATAAAATATTACCCTTCTCGTTAAGCATTTTGGCCACATTCTTCTTGGTTCCATTTTCAATATCTAAAGTGCAGTGCTCCTTCAGTGCCCTTGAAGACATACTTGTTTCCTTACTGAATGCATTATTCCATAGGAAAAAAAATCTTCATTCAATTTATGAATCACTCTTATCTTTACTCTTCACCTTTCCTTCTCTTTGTATTTCTCTCACTTACATACTTCTAAATTATTTCTGGCCAAACATAAGGCAGCCAACTTGGAATCCTGAGTCTGTAGCTATCTTTATGATCATTCTTTTGGTGCCATTTATGTGAAATGAATTCCCATAGATTTGGGGCACACTGCAAACTCCTTTCATTTTTCCAGACAGCAGCAATTGTGCTGTGGCGAATTATCCAAATGCTGTTTCTTTCCCCTGCCCTGGGTTGTCATTTCTCTCCAACATATTATTTCTTCCTGTTTTGCCTCTATGACCCTACAGTGGACATAATTCATGATTCCAAGGAACTTTATTGCTGTCCTAACCCTAAAAATTATTCCAGAGTGATAGGGATCTTTCTCCACCCTCTGAGCAGGAGAGAGGAGATAAGAGTGTACCACTGAAGTTTTCCAAACCTCCCTTTCTTTTCTGCCTGATGTCTTACAGGCCAAAACCACTGCCTTCTATTTGAAAAGCAACTGTAGGGGTTAGAAGGCAGTGTAGCTCCAGAGCTCAGGGAAATCCACGTGTGAGTGTGCCAGTGTCAGCATATGAAGGGACACACTCCAATGAGAATGGTAGTTCCTGGATGAGACGCTGCACTTCTCTGAGGTGATGTAGAGATCAAGGCAGCTGAGAGAAGTGCAAGGCCTGGATTTGAAGAAACTACATTGAGTTCCAGTTCTTCCACCTTCAAATTCTCCTCTAGGAGCCTGATCAAGTCACACCCCTAGTCATCTTTGGAAAGGGGAGAGACAACTTCCATCTCCCTCACTGAGCTGTCATGGGGATCAATGATCTCAGTACTGGTCAAAGCATTTACAAACTGCAAAGGACCACGTGGATGACGTTACTGGAAAATAAGATACTATAACAAAGAATAAAAGGATGATTATTAAAATGGTCATCCAAATCAATTGATCAATATAATTTGCACTTATTATGTCAGGAAGAAGCAATAAGAAAGGTCCTTGCCTACAAGAAGCTTAAAGTTCAGTTGAGAAGACAAAAGTACCTAGCTTATCCAGACTTACACAGCTGGAACCCTAAGAAAGCAGATCAAATCAGGTGCTAAATTCTGGGCTGTAGCATATTGCAATGGTTCTAAGATTTCAGAGGTTTAAATATTTCAGATAGGAAATAATAATATTGATCAAATGTTCCTACTCCTGATACTGGTAATGTTTTCACTGTTGCAACAGGGGTGGTCTGTGAGATTCGGGCACTTCTGGGCATCTGTGCTCCTGGGTTATGGTAGGCTCCTGGGCACTATGTCCTACCATTGTCAACCTCCCATCACAGAAAGGAGGGATGGGAGCCCAGTGTGAGCGTGCAGAGTCCAGGCTTTAGTGTCAGTCAGCCTCGTTCAAATCACATCTCCAAAAGTAACAACAGGTGACCTTGGAAAAGTGATTTATGCCTTTTATGCCTTGGGGGTTATAACTGTAGCTCGCTCATAGGATGGTGGTGAGAATGAAACGGGGGTCTAGGATATGCCAAATATGAAGAACAGTGCTTGGCATATACTAAGTGCTCAGTAAATGCTCATGACAGTTGTGACTACTGTAGTTGTTATTATTACAAGTGTTTTCCAAAGTGCTTCATTTGGGAGCAATAGTCCTTGTGCGTACTAGTTGTGCCTGATATTTCTCCCAGAGGATGTTCTGTGGCTCAAATATGTGATAATTGCCACCTTTTACATGAAAAACAATGCACATACGTTTTGAAACTTGGGAGAAATCCTTAAAGAGATTGAACTTTAGCCAACCTAGGTAATATAAACATACTTGACTATGGGGCCCTTGGGTCCTACTTAACACCAGTGATTTTATACCTTCTCCGCAGGGCACACTTTGGGGAACCTCCTCTATGAGGTTGGAGAAATGGAGGAAATCTCCAATATACTGATATTTTAAGATTGCCAAGAGCTACATAGAAATAAAGAAATCAATTGGAAACAATATTAACCATATTGTAATTTCTAAAAACTCATGACTTGCATATTTTAATTACTAGCTCATTATTTGATTAAAATTGATTGAAATATTAACTTTTCTTCTTGCTGGCCAATAGCTGACCTGCCATTTTATTAAAAGAAGAGAGGAAGAACTTAAGAATTAGCATACAAAGTCTCAATAATGGCAGAAGGGCCATAAGGTATGCATTAGGATTACATGTGTCTCATGCACTGGTAAATACAAAAGTTAGGAATAACTTCCTAGACAACTTAGTCTATTACGTGTGAATTTATCTAAAACTCCTCAGTGTCCATCATCCCTGGAACAACTAATTTCCAAAGTCAAATTGCCACTTTATAGAGTCAATGGATCCAAATGCAGTGATCAGTTTAATGTTCACTTCCATCTCTTTGAAAATGTGTCACTAAAACCAACTTCTACACAAGCCCATCTTGAAAACACTGTCACTCTTTCACATGGGTCCTTCAGAAGAACATGGTAGAGGCATCAGGAAAGAAGGTAAGGGTAGCAGGATGTGACAAAATTTAATGTCTGGCATTGTCTATAGAAATGTAAACAAATACAATTTATCCACATTAGAGCATACAATCTGCAGACAAGAGCAACACTGGTCCATGTAAAGGGGTAATATACGGCCATTTCATGGCCTTGACCATGAGCCCCAGCCTAAGGGACATCACAGGGTACTTATGATGTTTGGTTGACCTTTCAAGGTCTTTCCAGAGCTGATATTCCAAAATCCTAATTTAGGTTATACCTGAGATTTGCCCCTTTTCCCTTTCTTTCCCAACACAGTCAAGAAAAATAGTTTTGAGAAGTAAAAACTGTAAACCATTAGGTTCTGATTTTGGTCATCAATTGGTGATAGCAAGTTTCCTGTTGGATTTGAACCTTCCAGAATCTGTCTTAATGATAGTTCTATCATTGGTAACTAACCCTTTGTTAAAATGAAATTATCACATCAGAGAAGCAACACAAAAGTATGATCCATTAAGATGCCTTCCACCGAATTGAGTTTAACTGTTCCTTAGCACAGGATTAGCTAAGAGGGAATGAGGCATTGGAGTTGTAAGAATCACAGAGAAGGAGAGGCAGGACACAGAAGGCCATTCTTGGCCCTGCACAACACACCTATCAGGAGTTCTCCAGGCAGTTGAACTATCATAAAGAAGTGCCAGGTTTCAGTGGAATTCAAAGAGATGGAAGGGGGTGATTGAAATGAAGATGATGTCAACTTATTTTTTTCCCCACAATTTAGCTTTGGGCTGGCCCTGTTGCTGACACCTCATTCTTCTGTAGCAGCCATAGTTTATCTATTTCTGTTCCTTTAACTCCCAGTGAGAAACAACAATCCAAATACTTCAGTAAGAGTTTTCTCCTCTTTCCTCTACCGTCTGAGATCTAACTAGGGAATGTTAGATAAAAGGTACCACCAGTCTCTTCACCAGGAAATATCAAGTACCCTGGGGATAGGGGTGGACATTTGTTCCGGCACCTCCAGAACGCTGAGTCCCATAACCCAGCTTGTCAGTGGGCGAGACAAAGGCAGGTGTCAGGAATCAAAAGTACAATGACTGCCCCAATTATGAAAGGCTGAAGTCAATTCAAAAGGCTTAGTCTTTTAAGATCTCTAGAAAGCATACATCCGGGCCTTTCTATGCTCTCTGGGATCCCTCTGCCTGGAGGTTTCTGAGAGGTAAAGGGCGGAGGAGCTGCCCACAAAACTCTGCCAAGGACACCATTGAAGGGGGTGCAGGGGGTGCAGGGGCTGGTGGCTTATGCTTTTCCTTTTTAAATATATATATATTTTCCCCCTGCTAGTTAAAACCACAAGTATTTGAAATAATCCCAGAGGAATGAAATCTCAGACCTGTGGAATGTCAGTCGTGGAAATTAAATGGACACCACGTGACCTAGCACATGCCACTGTGGAAAATAAACATGTGGTCCTGAGCAGACCTGCTGTTGACTCTAACATCTTGAGATGACAGGCAATCACTTTCTGAAACCACGGCCAAAGGTAGAGTTCTCCAAAGGTTTCAATCAAGGGTCTTTTAAAGCAAATTGACTATTTGTCTGTGATTCTCTGGCAAAGTAGGGATCTGCTCTTGAATGCTGGACAATGGAGCCCCGGACAAAGCTGCTAAACACACACAAATGCGCTCTCCCTTTTTGGCCACAAAAGACCATGCTGTAAAGAGCCATCTTGCTCAATCCTGCTTGCAGCTGTGCAAAATCAACATCTCTCTCTCTCTCTATTTAAAAGGAGCAATGAGGATGGCTTAACTCTGGTGTGACACTAGAGGTGATGTGAGCCAGCAGTAGGAAGAGAAAACAGCAGGGTGCTACAGCAAGCCCCTGGGAGAGGGAGAAAGTCTGGGTGGATATAAATGCAGAGCCGGAAAAGATGCAGAGAAAGAGAAAGGGTAGCACAGTGTGTTCGGGGGGAATGGGAAAAGAAGAGAGAGAAGGAAAGAAGCAGGAAATGGAAGTGAGTATGGTGAGAGAATTGGCAAGATGGCCATGTGGAGGTAAAGGGGATGGGTAGGGGAGCAAGTGTGCTGGTATTCCTTTCCCTTCACACAGCATTACTAATGCAGAAGGCCAGGCCAGCCAGGCACTGTGCAGCTGGAATCAATCGGAGTAAATGTGGGCGGCTGCCCAGGCCTGCCCCAGGGAAGGGTTGGGAAGTCCTTCCCTCTGGTTTGGCAAAGCCCAGCTTGAGCCTGCCAGCATCATTGGCCTCCTTGGGGCAGCTATGGGGCGCAGGAAGAACGTGGCCCCCTCCAGGCTGCTGCAAACGGAAACCCAGGTCAGGCCCCTGAGGATGGCTTACGGTCCCCCACACCCCACTCCTTGGTGACCTCTTATTTTCACCGAGATTGCTGAAATAAAGAAGATTCAAATAGAGGATTTCTCTCCTCAAACATAGAGACAAGGGAGTGTGGATTCTTCCCAGAGAAAAAGCAAAATCCAGTCAGCTGCCTGCAGGCCTTCAAAGCATGAAAATTGAGGTTGTTTCACAGTCTATGGAAGCAAAAATCTTCACCAAATTGTGCAGTTGGATGGTTTATATTTGCACTTCTCTCCTCTTCCCCTGAGGACCCCTTTCCAAATTTTCAGCATCTCAGCTCATGTGATGGAAATATGTGTGTGGCCTCTAATATGTTAGCTCACTTGCTCTGGGCTGAAGATGCCTAGTGGCTGACATGTGTCCAGGACTTGTCTTCAAGGCTGCTTTCAAGATCCTCTAGGTTCCTGTGTCTCTCCCCAGGGTGCCAGGACTTGGAGTCAAAACCAAATACAGGACATGACAATTTACCCAGTTAACAGACCATTTACCCAGTTAGTAGAGCTGGAGCTCTATTGGTTCTTTGAGGAGGCACATGGCCAGCTGGCAAGAGTGTCGACTGAATGAGAGGAGCTGGTTGACAGTCCCAGGATGGACACTGCCTGGCTGTGTGATGATCGGCACAGGGATCGTCCCAGGACCTGGGACTCCCCACCTATAAAATAAAGCTATGTGCCTGGATGACCCCTAGGGCCCCTTCTAGCGTTCGGTCCTTTGGTTCTGCTATGAAACTTCCTCATGTCCCCCTCATGTCCACTTTCACCAATTTCCAGCAAGCCTTGGATTCAAATAAGATATAATTTGCCCAGATTTCTTTCTAGATATAGAATAGAATCTCCTCACCCACTCAGGCACATGAGAACACTATAGTAAAAACAAAACAAACTATTATTTTCTATAAAAATTTAATTTAGAAAATAGGAATTAAATCAAATATTTCTTAAATCACTTTAATAAGTTCACAAAATTGAAGAAATCTATTTGTTCTCTGAAGATAAGACTTGGAGCCAGAGGTTCAGTTCCATTTTTCAAATGGCTTGGGTTGGGGTGAAGGAGAGGGAAGTATATTCATATATAAAAATGATTAAATGAAAATTTAATCCTTGATTATCCTCCTAACAGCTGCTGATGGAAAATCATGCATGCTCACCAAATTTTAAAGTGCCTGGGCTCTGTGCTTTCAAATTAAGATTTTTTTTTTTTTTTGCAGTCATTTGACTTTTAAAGTTGTAATGAATGTCTGTTTTTCAAAGCATCCAGCATAATGCAGAGAGCAACTATTTTAAGAAGCATTGTGTAGAAGTAATCTGCTCATATCCCCAAATCCCTGGATCTCTCTGCACTCTCTTGGAGCTGCTTCTTGGTCTGCATTCCGTCCTTCGTCCACCGTGTTTTCTATTTTCCCATTTGCTCTTTCCTGCCTCTCAGTACTGGGTGGTCAGGATGCTCCACTTCTCAGCCTGTGTTGGAGCAAGTGTTCTCAAAGTGTTACCCTCCAGCCAGCAACAACAGCATCACCTGGGAAATCATTGCAATGCGAAATATTGGGCCCTACCCTGACCTGTGGAATCAGAAACTCTGGATATACTTCGGCCAAACAATCTGGTTTTAACATATCCTCTGGGTGATTCGGATGCAGAAGGGATTAAGAATTGGAGCAGGAAAAGACTGTAGGGTGGATGGATGCAGCCTTTTTTATTTCATCAGTCATGGCTTTGTTTCCTGAGCACCCCAACATCCATCTTTTTTGAATAGCTGTCCTTATGTTAAATTATCTTATCTGTAGAAATGTTCAAATCTTATATTTAAAAACATGATGGGAGGAAACAGGCATCTTTTGTGACTTTTGTTCTATCCCAGCCTAATCATGCTTTTTAATTCCTATGACCTCTCTCCATTAGGCTCTCTCATTTGCCAAAAAAAAAAAAAAAAAGTCAATATTGCTATGAGTATGTTGCACCAAAGTAAAATTAGAAGTGAAACATCTAACTTTGATTTTAATGTCTCTCAAATTGAGTTTGTAGAGAGTCTGAGCTTTCTCAAGTTTGAACATCATTGATCTAGAACCGTGAGGGTTTCAAATGTGAGTCAGCAGACAGCTCCTGATCCACGCTGAAGTTCTTGTCAGAATAAGGCAAGATGTTTAAGTGAAGAGAGTTTTGTTTTTGTCTTGTTTGCATTTGTTTGCCTGCTTGTTAGGACAAATGACTCCATTTAAATATCTGTTTATGTTCTGGATTATATCCATCTAACTTTTTGTTAATATGTTCTTTACATTCATTGATGTCTATCTATATTTAACAAAGCAAACACTGGGGAACCCTGAGGGACACCCCTCTTAAAAATTGCTGGTGGCAAAATGCAAAAAGTCCAGGAAACACAGATACAGATAATTTCTGAGGTTTTTGTGTGCTTTCAAAATTCTAGCATCTCATCCTCATCTTTCTACTTTCTCAATCTCAGGTGAAAATAGATTTCAAATCTTCTCATGATAGAATTGATTCCTGGGCTTTTTCATGAAGAAAATAAGTCTATGGTTCTGTTACAGATGTTCAGAGGGCAGGGTCTGTCCAGGCCAGAGCTCAACATGAAACTCAGCACACCCTTGGTAGGATTCTCATTGCTGGTCACAATGAAGACCAAGGGCTTTCTATTGCAGAAATAGCTTTCATCAGTAACACAGCCTCTGAGGCAAGCTGTTGCACTAAAGCAAAGATTCGAGGGATGTGTTTCCTCCATGATGATTTTAATGTTCTACAAGCTAATGCGTCTCAGATTCTCCAGACTCTACACCAGGAGAGACTCTGTCATCATCATTAACTGGAGGCTGCTGTATTTGCATAGATACTCTATTTGCTACATGTTATGGGCTTACTGTGTGCTCCCAAAATTCATATGTTGAAGCCTTACCCCAGGACCTTAGAATGTGGCTGTATTTGGAGATAGAGTCTTTAAAGAAGTAATTAAGATAAATCAAGGTCATTAGCATAGGCCTTAATCCACTATGACTGGTGTCGTTATAAGAGGAGGAAATTAGGACACAGATACATACCTTACAGAGGGAAGGCCACGTGAAGACACAGGGAGATGGTCTTCTGCAAGCCTAGGAGACAGGCCTCAAAAGAAACAACGCTGCAGACAACTAGGTCTTACACTTTTAGTCTCCAGGATTGGTGCTTTAAATATCTGTTGTTTAAGCCATTCAGTATGTGTTTTTTTGTTATGACAATCCTAGGAAACAATACACTACCGAGGTTGTGAATCATGATGCATGTGCAGGAGAAGAGTACTTTTCTGACCAAGAGGGTAGTTTGGGCCTCTCGAATATAGTGGAAAGTATTTCCGAGTAAGATTCTTTTCTAAGAATGAATTAATGGCATTTGCAGCAACCTGGACAGAATTGAAGACTATTATTCTAAGTGAAGTAACTCAGGAATGAAAAAGCAAACATAGTATGTTCTCACTCATAAGTGAGAGCTAAACTATGAGGATGCAAAGGCATAAGAATGATACAATGGACTTTGGGGACTCAGAGGGAAAGGGCAGGAAGAGGGTGAGGGATAAAAGACTACAAATTGGGTTCAGTGTATACTGCTTGGGTGATGGGTACACCAAAATCTCACAAATCACCACAAAAGAACTTATGTAACCAAATACTTTAACTGTTCCCCAAAACCTATGGAAATAAAAAATTAATAAAAAGATTCTTTTTCTAATGTCTATGGCTGAATTATGAAGTTTTCTCAACCTGATTTCTCTGCAGCCTTCTGCTAACTCTTTCAGAGGAGCAGTGAATATTATTTCTGGTAGGACCTACACACTTTTCCAGTTAACTTGCCTCAGGCATCTCATCTTCAAAGTTTCCCATAATGTTCACAACTGGCTTTCTATTCAGGAAAACATTCCTATAAAGATAACCTTCTTTCTCACCCGAAGATGTCTCAAAGCCAAAAAAAAAAAAAAAAAAAAAGGAAGAAGCCACTAGCCAGAGGATTCAGTTGTAAGACAAGTACAGGAACATTCAGCCCTTTTGACCTCCTGGGTCTTTCTCAATCCCGGGGCAGCACCATTCAGTGGGTTTCCCATGGAAAATCCTGATCTAATACTACCCATCCCCAGATAGAGCTCTGGAGACAAGGGCAATGGGAAGGATGTTTAGAAAGTAGAAAGAACAGGAAGTGAGTACAGCAACGATGGAAAGGAAAAACTCAAAGTGAGAGAGAAAACAAGAGTCATAAAAATTAGCACAAAGGAAGGAGAGAAAAAAGAGAACAAAGAGGAGAAAATAAGAATAAAATTAATAAGGGGGGGAAGAATTAGGCTATGTATGACAATCACGTGTTATAAAGTAGTCATGGAATAAAACGAGATTAAAATACCAAAGAGGACTAGTTAAAAATGTGGCCCCAAATGTGTGCATGCGTGTGTGTTTGTAAATGGTACTCATGATCTAAAGCCAAAAAGTCAAACTGGACCTAATGCTGTGAGCAGAAAAACATGATATAGATGCTCATTAGTACTGCTTTAAGTGCCTTTTGTTGATTTTAGTCACTTGTTTCTTTAAAGTGACCATATTTTCAGTAGTGTTATCAATGTTTGTTAGTAAATCATATCACATGTGTGAGTTTCCACATGTGGGTTCACATTCCACTTTCATTTCAAATCCAAGATCTGGCCTTAGTGAGGGTCCATCTTTTCTTCTGGTGGCTATTAGGTTGATAATTTAGTCAATGACTCTGATTCATAGAATGAATTCAACATTTTTTTTTTCTTTTTAGAGACAGAATCTTGCTCTGTCACCCAAGCTGGAGTACAGCAGCACAATCATAGCTCACTGCACCCTTGAACTCCTGGGCACAAGGGATCCTCCCATCTCAGCCTCCTTAGTAGCTAGGACTACAGGTGTACACTACCATGCCCAGCTAATTTTTTAATTTTAGTAGAGACAGAGCCTTGCTATGTTGCCCAAGCTAGTCTTGAACTCCTGGACTCAAGCGATCCTCCTGCCTTAGCCTCTCAAAGTGCTGGGATTGCAAGTGTAAGCCACCATGCCTGGCCAAATAGATATTTTCTAAAGGAATTATACCATTCATTGCTGTCAAGGGTTGTGCCTGGATGTAAGGAGAGAGACTATTCATCAGACAGAAGAGGAGATAAAATCAGAGAGGCCAGATGTTTCTTAAAAGACCACACATTCATTGAAATTCAGACCAGTTACTCAACCTCTCTGAGATCAGTTATGTCTTTTCTCAAATGAATGTTTTATAATAGTTGTTTCAAGAATTTTTGAGAATATTAAAAAAAAAACAATGCTTAGAAAGTAAATAGCACAAACCCAGAGCAGCTGCTCAACGCATGTTCAGCACACACACAGGCACACACACACAGTTAGCAATACTCCACCCTTTGCATGTACATACAGGGCAGATAAAAAAAAAAAAAAGGCTGGAGCATGACTATGCAAAAAAAATTTTATAATAGTTTTTAATGAAGGAAACATCTCCAAAAATGTACTTATATAAAATATATTTCCTTCTCTATTGATACTGAGGCAAACACGCTTATAAATGGAGTTATCGGTTGCTCCCAAGTGAAGCTGCTTACACACATGAACAGACACATGTGTATATGTAGTCCTGTGCTGTGCTTGCTATCTTAGAGGTAACCCCCAAAGGACGCTGGCTCCTTTCTTCTATTTCCTTGAAAAGGCACTAAAGGGAATTTAAAAGAGAAAAATTATGGAACGTGGACAGCAATGAAAATATCATTTCACTCAGGTTCATAAATCATTTAAAAATTTCTTCTCTCATTTCCCTCCACCCCGCAGATTTATTGAAAATTTATCACCAGTCCTTTCAGGGAAGCTTTTCCCTGTTTAGAAGAGAGAGGAGAATTTTGACCTAAATTGCCTAAGAGCTAAGCCAGAATACCGTTGAAGTTCTGTGGCTCCATTTCAAAACTAGCTTGTGTTTTACAGAATTTCAAACATCCAAGTCACTTCCAGTCACAGGAGCTAAAATTGGCCAGGGTGGAACTTGTGGCTGTCAGAACTGATAAACATTTCCTGAATGCCAATTGGTTGGAGAGCCATGTCTCTGCATGCCATTAAAATAGTCTGAAGTCTACCTCAACATGTAACCCCAAGTTCCAACTGCTTGTCGGGAAATTGAGACTTTGTTTGAACAAGCTCAACCAACTTTTTTAGTCCCACATTCTGTGGTCCAGGGGTCTTATGAGGGCTGAGATCTCGGGGGGAACAGGCCAAGTCCTCCTGTTTCATGCTGGGATAAGAATAATCAAGCTCAAATCCCTTCTGCCCAGGGATCAGGAACTGTCTGCATGCACTAGTGCCTTTCATGAACCTCAGACAGGCCCTCATGTCTCAAGAACAGAAGAAATAACAATCAAATCAAAGCATCCGGTATTTGCTATGGGACGATAAAATGGGTTTGACAATGACTATGACTTTTTTCTGTGTTGGAGGATCTTTCTTCTCTAAGGCACAGTTTTTCCTTGGCAAAACTGAGAGAGGGTGTTGCTTTTTTGCCACCTCCCTACATTTCCTTCCTCTTCCAATCAGTGACTCTTGCCAGCTAAGCATTTACTGCACAAATCTAAATTATCCTGCTACCATCTTCTCAATGGATTATTGACATATACTCTCAGAACCTCACTGATAGAAAGGGGTTTTTTTGCTCCCTACTGACAAATTCAACCAGAGCCAGTTTAGGCACAAGGAGAACTTAAGAGCTCAACTGGATGCTGGAAGGGCATGGATGTTATGGGCCCCAGGGACACCAGGAATCAGGAATTGTAATTCCACCACCTTCCTCTCTCATCAATGCTTCTGTCTGTGTCAGCTCCATTCTCTCCTACATAGATGAGCTTCTTTGGTCATGAGAGACATGGTTGCTTACAACTCCAGTGCCTCGTATCACAGCACCAGAGAATTTCTTTTGGAGCCTGAGTTCAAAAATGCTGAAGAAGTGCTTTGACTGTGTTAATATGAAAAAAAAAAAAAAAAGGCCTACATTAACAGAATAACCAACTGATGTCAGCAGGCTAAGATTCTATAATTGGTCCAGTTTGTTCAGGGGGTGAGATCTGTTAGAGCATGACAGATCTCACTTGAACTACTGAATGAGAAGGGGAGTACTGTATTTCTAGAAGAACGAATAGACAGAGTTATATATGTTTATCAGAGAAATCAACAAATGCTTGTAAAACAAATCTCTCTCCCACATCTAAATCTGAATACAGATAAGTAACTGAGGCCAGAACCCAAGGATGTTTAGGTCATAGGTCCAGGCCTCCACAATCCGTTGAAGGAAGCCACACACCATTACTCTCCTTATCAGCATTTCTTCAACATTACTTGCTCAATTCTCGCAAACTTATATAACTTTTTATACAATAGATGTGTTTATGGAAAATGTGTATAAATCAATTTTTCTAAAGAAAGAATCAAATTTTGACTGTACCGGGGAGTTTGGTGTTGAAACAACCTTTAAAACAAAGTAGTAATTCTGCTAACAGTGCCGAAATAGCCTTAGAATTTACCTTGTGTTTGAATACAGATTTTATATTGGGTGTGCTGAAATTCTAGAGGGTGTCAGGGTGGGAAGAACCTACACATTAAACTTGATGTTCTGTTAATCTGACACTCTGAAAAACATCTTTGGTTGTATCATGGGTGTTTTCCTGTCACTGCAGGCAAGGCAGTCCTTTGGGGTATATAGAGTTGAGTTTCTAGTTTCTTCTTTTTCAAACTGGATGGTCTGAACAAGCTATCTTATCTCTGTTAAGTCTTATTCCCCTCCTCTGAAAAAATGGGGATTACAATAGGTGTTTTGTTTTTGTTTTTGTTTTTGTATTTTTAGTAGAGACGGGGTTTCACTATATTTGGCCAGGCTGGTCTCGAACTCCTGACCTCGTGATCTGCCTGCCTCGGCCTCCCAAAGTGCTGGGATTATAGGCGTGAGCCACCGTGCCCAGTGTGGCGGCACACACCTGTAATCCCAGCTACTTGGGAGGCTGAGGCAAGAGAATTGTTTGAACCCGGGAGGCGGAGGTTGCAGTGAGCCAAGATCACACCACTGCACTCCAGCCTGGGCGACAGAGTGAGAGTCTGTCTCAAAAACAACAACAACAACAACAACAAAAGTTATTTCTACTCTGCAATGTTAGTGAGAGGTTTGAAATGAGGTAAGCCTATGAAAAGACAGTTTAAATTTAACATCACTGTAAGATACTAATACTAACAATACACTATATAAAATATGTATTATTTAATATTGTAAGTTTTTTATTACCTAGGACTATGCTACATTATCCCTTCTTACCATCTGTATTAGTCTACTCAGGCTGTCCTAACAAAATACCACAGATTGGGTGGCTTAGACTACAGAAATTTACTTCCTCACAGTTCTGAAGGCTGGAAGTCCAGGATTAAGGTGTTTGTAGGTTTTGTCCCGAGGCCTCCCTTCTTGGCTTGCAGACAGCACCTTCTCATTGTGTTCTCACGTGGCCTTTCCTCTCTATGTGAATATATTCCTGGTGTCTCTTCCTCTTTTTGTAAGGATACAAGTCCTACTAGATTAGGACCCCTCCTTTATGACCTCATTGAACTTTAATTGTCTCCTTAAAGACTCTACCAAATAAAATCACACTGGGAATTGTGGGTTTAAAGTGAATTTTGTGACCAGGAGGAAACACAATTCAGTCCATAACCCCATTCAATAAGAATCTACACAGAAGCTGCTCTAGAAACATGACTTACTTTTCAAAGCATCTTTTAAAAGAGCAAAACAATAGTATATGCTCTTGAAGAAAATATACCAAGAATGGGAGCTTGAAAATTCCACCAGCTTTTAGTCTGGTAGAAGAGGTGTTCAACAGAACTCAATACATGAATACAAAAATGAATGAATAATTAGAAATGGATGATTGGTGACTGAGTGAGTGGATAGTATTTTATGAAGGAATGATGAGTTAAATTGTGTGGAAATGATCTCTTCTGCATACAGTTTCCAGAGCAAACTGGCAGCACTTACTGAAAACACCTTCCCTTCATCTACACTCTACTTGGCCACTTGGTGGCTGGTTGTGACCAGAAAGTAAAGGCCAAGTCAGAGTGTGCACAGCAATCAAAAGGCATGAAGACAGGATGCTCAGAGAGCTTTCTAAATTCCCAAATGGCCAACAGGTTTTGTTTTTCTGACATTGCCTCTGATGAAATTACACTGCATAGAGCTCTGTTAAATTCAAGAGATCAGATAATTATGGGGTCTGAGGGAGAAATGGTAAGACAAAGGTCACAGCGATGGTGATAAGAGACAAGAATGAGCAGATGCTGCAACACAGAGAACACAGTGGAGACCTCACAGACTCCAGCTGCCATGAAGTCCTAGGGAAAATCTCCAGCTACATTCTTAAAAGTATTCACACATAAGGCAAGCCAGGGTTATAAAATGATTCAAGGGCTACAGGAATCCCCAGGGCCTAAACCTCAAACCCCTTTCCCACTTCTAACTGGAAACCTCAATTAGAAGTTTGCTCCATTGCCTGTTATACACTCCTTGATCCTCCTGCAGAAAGGAGGTGCAGGAAAAGGTTAGGATGGAAGGAATCACAGGAATTTGAGAGAGGCACCCTTCATTTCATTGTGTGATGAGTATGTCTGAGTATGGCACATGGCATAAAGTATTTAGCCAGAAGAGTTGGATTGCCCTGCCGACAGAATCACCACCTTCCACTTACATTCTTAGGCTCAACAGTGTTTGTTTGGCACATGACACTTTATTGGTAGGTATTGGCTGGAATGAATGAATGGATGGATGAATAGACAGATGGATGAATGAATAGATGTGAGACAATTGGGTCTTCCTTTGGCAAAAATTTTAGAGAGTTTAAAACTGTCTTTCTTATTTTTTCTGCCTCTTTCTACCATAACTTCCCTGTACCTTATTCCTTCAGTACCCTGATCAGAGCGGGATGCCATATAATCTTTCTTGCTGATTTGGGCTTTCCTCATACAGGCATGTCTATTTTAAAGCACCACCTGCCACCTGCTCCCCCACCCCCCCACTCCTTTTTCTTTTGAGACAGAGTCTTGCCCTGTCACTCAGGCTGGAGTGCAGTAGGACAATCTCAGCTCATTGCAACCTCTGCCTCCTGGGTTCAAGTGATTCTCCTGCCTCAGCCTCCCAAGTAACTGGGATTACAGGGTGTGCCACCACGCCCGGCTAATTTTTGCATTTTTAGCAGAGATGGGGTTTCACTATGTTGGCCAGGTTGGTCTCAAACTCCTGACCTCACGTGATCCGCCCGCCTTGGCTTCCCAAAGTGCTGGGATTACAGGCATGAGCCACTGCGCCCAGCACCACCCCCCTCCCCCCGGCTTTTTTAAAAAGAGTTTGAAATAACTATTCATAGACATGTCTAAAACTGAACAAATAAAATAGTGACCAGCAGACTCAGAATCATTGTTAAAGAAAGCAGAGCATAATAATTTATAAAGTAATTTGTAAAAATTTGAATAAATGTGAAGTTATATATTGAGGAAGGGCTAGATTGGTGGGCTGCCCAGGGGGCTCGGAGACTTGCCTTCTAAGCTTCCGGAACTTGGCAGTCCAGGATTTGACTCTCAGCCTTGCAGTCTCAGAAACCCGGTTTGGTAAGCTCCCATGAATGAGTACGCTGGCCAGGAATGGTCTCCAATTAACCCCAGAGACATTATATAAATCAGACACCTCATTAATTAATCTACCCCGAATACCATAACTCTTGTGCCAATCAGATTGGGTATAGCCAGTACATGTCTGCCTGTAGACAGACATACCTGGGATGCCAAAACCAAACCGGAAGGCTTCTTGGTGAGCACAGTAACAGAACAGGGGAATTCTGACAATTAATGAACGTATATTCAGATGCCAACAGAACTGTGATGTGCAAGGCCCAGCTATGACACCCAGTCTCTCAGCCACAACTGGGTGGCTACTTCCCACACCAGCCTCCTTGATTTCCAGTGGGTCTGTGCTTCTCTTGCTGAACAACATTCCTTCTTGATCCATTTTTCCTAAAGATGACTCAAAACTCGGAATACATTTACAGTCAAAACCTTCTTGTTTGGAAACTTTTCTCTCTACAAGGAACAGCTAATCTCTGTTCAGATATGTGATGTTTTTCTAAATAACTCTCAGGGTAACCCTAGTTTCCCCATTTTAAGTCCTTGTGAGCATCCATGTGATCATTCTTTGGGGTGGGAGCTGTGACTGCTGGTTCTGAGGTCATAGAGGTCTGATTTCAAATCCAAGCTGGGTGAACATGGACCAGTCTCTTAACTTCTACAAGCCTGCTTCTTTATCTGTAAAATGGTCATGAAAATGGCTGAGAAGACTATTGTTAGGATTAATTATGGTAACTTTTGTGAAGCACTTGGCACACATGCAAGCTCTCACTCACAGTAAGCAATAATAATCGTGACTATTATTCATTATCTCTCATGCCTCTATTCAGCCTTCCCTCACTGAGCACCCACTGAATGTGCCTGGCCTTATGCTAGGCCAGGAATCCATTGCAGGGTAATTACTACAACTGAATATTAAATTTAGCTCTTAGCTTCCCGGCTGCCAAGGCCCAAAAGGCCAAATTAATTATTGCTAAGGTTTTTTCTGAGCCCCAGTTTTTTCAATCCTATGATACTTATACAAGGAGCTCAGTACAAAAAGGTTTAAGCTCTAAAGGAATGGCTATCTCATTATGGACTTTCAGATACTGAGATAATCAGATGAGGTTGACATTTCAATACTTAGCTCAATAGGCCAAACCTGGGAGTAGCACAAACCAGCTCATGTAAACACCACCCCATGCTTCCCTGCACTTCCAACATAGGCTAAAAATATATAAACTAAATATACAGGTGACTTGTTGCAACATCTCACTCTTTGAAAATAGGGTTTCTACTCCTGGCAGAGAAGAACCTGCAGGTTTAGGCTAATAGAGATATGACCCTAAGTATAAATTATTTCTTTACAATTTTAGATACGGTGCTTAAGAAGTGAATTCACATGGCTCAGACGCATGTATGTATTCATTTAGCCTGATCTTGAGTAATTCACATTAATAAGAAAGACACAGGGCCCCATCTCACCATATGCTGGCAGTCGCTTTACTGGACTCAAGATAGAATCAAAGTAATTGCTCCATAAAGTAAAGCAGTTAGTAATAACCTAAACTCCAAAAGCCCTTTAATTTTCTGATTCATATCTTTAATCAATTTGCAACATGGAGCAATCGAGTTTTCCCTCTAGTTTCCCAATTGTTTGCTCAAAAGGGCTGCTCTGCCGCCTTTGACTGACGTGACATTATTGAATTTATATTGACTTTTACGGCAGTTTTTACAACATTTGAGGTGCATAAGTTACATGAAAATGTAGCACGGGAACATTTCAAGATGAAAGTAAGCCATAAAGAGAGTGCCCAGCTACAATGTCTACAATTTACAGTGTGAGGAAATTACAAACGGAGTAGAGCAAACTGGGCCTGGGCTTAGCGTCATCTGCTCCCAAACCCCCAGGAATTATTCAAGCCACCTCCCCCAGGACCTGGACCAGAAAAAGCCAAAATCATGCCAGCTGCTTTTGGCTTTGTTGTGCAGTAAAGTGCTCTGAAACACTGTCCTAGGCATGTAGAATGCAGAAGTTTTTAGTTTCAAGGTTGGGAAAAGGAGAGTTTTGGGAGAAGGTGCTGATGGGGGAAGATTGTTTTGAAAATCAGGTAAGTTGCCGGGCACTGTGGTTCACACCTGTAATCCCAGCACTTTGGGAGGCCGAGGCAGGTGAATCACCTGAGGTCGGGAGTTCGAGACCAGTCTGACCAACATGGAGAAACCCCATCTCTACTAAAAATACAAAATTAACTGGGCGTGGTGGTACATGCCTGTAATCCCAGCTACTCAGGAAGCTGAGGCAGGAGAGTCGTTTGAATCCAAGAGAAATAGGTTGCTGTGAGCCGAGATTGTGCCATTGCATTCCAGCCTGGGCAACAAGAGTGAAACTCCATTTCAAAAAAAAAAAAAAAAAAAAAGAGAAAAGAAAAGAAAAGAAAATCAAATAAGTCAGCAAAGGCTGAGAAGAGGCCAGAGGACTGCCTGGAGATGGTAGCCTCTGCTGGCTGTTGCCTGTTTTCAGGCTGCACCTCTGTCTTCACCATTCACTTCCTACCAGGGACCCAGTGGCCAAGCGGAAGCAGATAGAAAGTGGTTTCTTATCTACAAAGGGCCTTTTGTTTCCATTGTCTTCTCTCACTCAGATGACTCCACCTGATTCAGGCCCTCAGCATCTCTTACCTAACTGGCCTCCTAAATCTTCATTCTCGCTCCTCTCACATTCAGCCTTCCTGTCCTCAGCAGAGACATTTTCCCAAGACAGCAGCCAGAGCACGTCACCCCTTTTCTGAAAACATGTCCAGTGGCTTCCTGATTCTTCAAATAAAGTTCCTAGCCTTTTACTCAGTGGCCGAGGACCACCCCATTGCAGTGCCAGCTCATCACCCAAGGGCTGCTGTCTCTATTGCAGCCATGCCAGGGGAGTTGCTGCTCTGCACTTTTCACCTTGGGTGCTCCATGCTGTTCCTTTTCCTGTCTCACTCATTATTCTTCCTGGAGCTCATTATTCTTCCACTTAAAGGTTCTCAGAGGGTAGGAGCAAGTCTCTAGAGCCAGGTTCCCTGGGTTGAAGCTTAGTGTTACCACTTTCTTCCTCCATGAAGCTGGGCGCGGTGGCTCACGACTGTAATCCCAGCACTTTGGGAGGCTGAGGCAGGCGAATCACCAGGTCAGGTGTTCGAGACCAGCCTGGACAACGTGGTGAAACCCCATCTCTACTAAAAATAGAAAAAAATGAGCCGGGCATAGTGGCGGGCACCTGTCATCTCAGCTACTCGGCAGGCTGAGGCAGGAGAATAGCTTGAACCTGGGATGCAGAGGTTGCAGTGAGCCAAGATCACTCCACTGCACTCCAGCCTGGGCAACAGAACAAGACTCCGTCTCAAAAAGGCAAAACCAAAAACAAAAACAAAAAAAACAAAAAAAAAACACTTTCTCCCTCCAAGACCCTAGGAAAATTGCTTAACTTTTCTGTGCCTCAGTTTCCTCATCTGTAAAATGGGTATAATAGCAGTATTTAGAACATAGAAGATCTAAAAGGGGATGTTTCGGTATAGAGGTTTCTCAGAAAACTAAAGATAGAATTACCATGTAATCCAGCAATCACATATATACTGGGCATCCTATCCAGAGGAAAGGAAATCAGTATATTAAAGAGATATTTGGGCCGGGCGTGGTGGCTCATGCCTGTAATCCCAGAGCTTTGGGGGGCCGAGGTGGGCTGATCACGAGGTCAGGAGATCAAGACCATCCTGTCTAACATGGTGAAACCCCATCTCTACTAAAATAGAAAAAATTAGCCGGGTGTGGTGGCACATGCCTGTAGTCCCAGCCACTCGGGACGCTGAGACAGGAGAATCGCTTGAACCCAGGAGGCAGAGGTTGCAGTGAGCCGAGATTGCACCACTGTACTCCAGCCTGGGCAACAGAGTGAGACTCGGTCAAAAAAAAAAAAAAAAAAAAAAAAAGAGATATTTGCACTCTCATGTTTATTACAGCACTATTCACAATACCCAAGACATGAAATCAACCTAATTGTCCACTGATGAATGAGTAAAGAAAATGCGGTATAGATACACAATTAAACATTATTCAGCCATAAAAAAAGAATCAAATTCTGTCATTTGTGACATTGATGTGCCTGGAGGACATGATGGTAAGTAAAATAATCCTCATTGAATTGTTACAAGGATTCATTCATTCACTCTATATGAAGATCTTTGGTTAGTACCTGGCAGGGTAAGGGCTATTTAAATGTTAGCTCCTATTGGAATGTTAAATTTTGCATTTTGTTTTTCTAGAATACCCTTCCCATGTTCGTTACTAATTAAAACTCAGTCCTTCAATGATTAGCACAAGAATTTCCTCCCCAGTGAAGCCATCGTAGATTTTTCGGTCAGAATGAGGCACTCTTCATTGCCCTCTCCACCCTCCGCATGTGTTTTTGTCTATGATCTTTTACTGTTGCTGTACAACATGTGTCTCTGCCCTGATGGGCATGATTTTCAGCAGCATCAAGAGCACAGCAGGCACCTTGCAAGGAGAATCAGCCTAGCTTGCCCTCCTCACCCTCAAGGTGTGCCACCTCAGGGATCCTGCCCGGGGTTGCATACACACATGGTAAAAAGTTCATTTATGTTACCTTATCTCTAGTTAGCCTTGACACATGGCAAGCAAAGCTCAACATCCCTGGGAAAATTCATATCAACAAAGCTACCAAAATCTTCCCCTAGATCAGCTCTAATACACCTACAGGTCTCTGTTCCAACAGTGGACAGTGGCAGTGGGATTGGAATGGGAGCCTAGAAAGAGTTGGTTCATCTTTGACACTTTACTTGGTACTTGGGGGGATTTGGGACTGGCTTGTAGTTTCCTCCTTAGGTGAGTGGATCTGGGAGGAGCCGCCCTAGAACCTAAAGAGTGGATTCACTAGCAGGTATTACTCTAGAAAAGGAAGAAAGAAGTCATTGGCCAACATTCCCGGTAGGAAACTTTCTTTCAACATATGCACCTTTTTCTTATATACACCTTTTCTTTTTATCTTATATACACTTATTAAAGACATCCTTCATATGCTAATAGTGTCTTTGTTTTATTCTTTCTGATAGTGTAGTTAATGCTTCTTTGTCTTCTGTCCTAGGCTATAAGGTCCTTGAGGTTGGGGACAACGCCTTCTAGGTATTAATTTTTGAGTATTTTATTTTTAAAATAAAAAACAAACAAAATCACCTCTAACTTGACTGTTAAAATACAATGTGAAATTAGAAACAACAATGTGCCTCTATCCCTGCCAACATTGCCGTTAGTTGTACGTATACGCTTCCTGAAATTCCTTAATTTTCTAGTTACCTCTCTTTCTTACTTATCTTTTATTATCTATCTACCTATCTATGCCCACCTATTTATCTACATGCATAATATATGCATACAATCCCAAACATTTACACATGCAGTTTATAAAAATAAAATCATTGGTCTGAAGATTTTTTTCCCCATTAAATGTTACATAATGGTCATCTTTTCCAAGTCACCTGTGTCTAACTCATTTTTGTTCCTGGCTATATTTCTAGAAGTAGAGTTTTTGGGCCAAGGAGCATGAGCATGTGGGAGTAGCAATCCCTCAAAGTCTTCAACAGTGTGCTGCCATCTTACCTTTTGGATCTTGCTTTCTACACTCTAACCGCTCTCTCAGGTTTGCAGAGACCGGACTGTTTCTTAAATAGAGTCTGCCCTTTCATTTTGTGTCTTATTAGTCTTGTATTCACCTTCCTTCACACTCAGTGTCCTATATAGTGCTGTGCACATGGCAAGTGCTCAATAAAAGCCTGTTATAAGAATGAATGGACATGCCGGAAACCTGATATAATACTACCCAATCAAGACCATAACCATCTGCTAGGCAGACAGCACATGTAGCTTGGGGACTTTCTGTGTTGCTTTTAGGAAGTTACTGAGCTTTTTTTGTTTCCTCAGTTTCCAATTCATCCAATAAGTCTAGAGATATTGGCTTGTCTCCCCGGAGACCTTGGGTGGAATCTGGTATTTCAAAGTGCTTAATGGTGCTGCTCAGTAAATAAAAGATGTCATTAATATGCATGAAGCTATTTCATCAAGAGGCCAACAGAGCACATTTAAAAGCTATCTTCAAGGGAAAAGAACTAAACTACCATTATCATGCATACTACCAACCACAATGGAAGTCTGTGGGAGCCAGGACAAGGCACTCCCAGGGGCCCTGCAGACTCTGCTGAAACCTTAAGGTGCCCCTGGTCTTACTGTCAGCCTCTCAGGAAGGCTCTGGAGAAGGAGAATCATCTTTTGCCTCCAGACTCCCACAAGCAAGACAAGAGTTCTCAGCATTTCAGAACTGTGCCTAAGGGCTCTTAGATGATACATCTAATGGTTTCTGAGAACTGTCCCTAACAATATGAAAAATTAGATGGGAACCAGCCAATGCTTGGGCAGCAGAAAGGCTCAGGAGGATTTACGATTCGCCACCACTCCAAGGTCACATTTCCACTCAGAGGCATGAGAATGGGGAGCGTAGTTAAAGCAGAGTCATTAGCAGTGAATCGAGCATGCTGTGCCGACTAGAGAACTAGCAAGGGGCTGGAAAGGAAGGCTGAGTGCTGGGATCTGTCCAGCCATGTGACCTTGGGCAAAATCCTTCAACTCCTTACCTAGAATCTATATCTCACCTCATCTTTATACGTAACCAGGGACACTCTCCTGGGCATCCTGGATGTTCATAAAAACAAGGGGTCTAGTGTTTTCCTCTTGAGGCTTCTTTAGTTATCCAAGAACTTCTGTCAAATGGGCTAATTTTCATTTCAAATGTCAGAAGAGAGAGAATTTGGGGCCCTCATGTGTTTATTGGCGAGCCCCAGTTGAGCTGCCTTTGTTTCTATTGCCACCAAATGAAAACAGCCATATACCACACAGTCCTCTATGTTCTTTCTATGGCTGAGCTGGTGTCTCTTCTGGTCTCCATTCTGCTGTTGGCTATAGTGGGTCTCCTCACTTGTGACCTCCGAGTTACAGTTGTCAGTGGTTACACTCATATGCCTAGCAGCACAAGTTCTGGGCTCTCCCCCAAGACTTCCAGGCCCCAGGGTTGAGACTAGACCAACAGTTTCAGATGTTTAAAGTGATTTCCCACCAACAGACATTGGTTGACTCTGCTAAGCTATCACAGAAGATCTAAAAGGGGATGTTTCAGCATACAGCTTCCTCAGAAAACTAAAAATAAAGCTGCCATGTCATCCAGCAATCCCACTACTGCATATATAGCCAAAGGAAAGGAAATCACAATGTTTAAGAGAGATATGTACTCTTATGTTTATTGTAGCACTATTCATAATAGCTAAGATATGGAATCAAGATCAGTGTCCATTGATGAAAGAAAGAAAAAGAAAAAGTGTGTGTATACACCCACACATATATACACACACATGAATATATACTTTTTCCCATATATATATGTATATATACATATATACACATATATACACACATACATGTATATATACATATATACACATATATACACACATACATGTATATATACACATATATACACACATACATGTATATATACACATATATACACACATACATGTATATATACACATATATACACACATACATGTATATATACACATATATACACACATACATGTATATATACACATATATACACACATACATGTATATATACACATATATACACACATACATGTATATATACACATATACACACATACATGTATATATACACATATACACACATACATGTATATATACACATATATACACACATATATGTATATATACACATATATACACACATATATGTATATATACACATATATACACACATATATGTATATATACACATATATACACACATATATGTATATATACATATATACACACATATATGTATATATACACATATATACACACATATATGTATATATACACATATATACACACATATATGTATATATACACATATATACACACATATATGTATATATACACATATATACACACATATATGTATATATACACATATATACACACATATATGTATATATACATATATACACACATATATGTATATATACATATATACACACATATATGTATATATACATACATACACACATATATGTATATATACATATATACACACATATATGTATATATACATATATATATACACGTATATATATATATATATACACACACACACACACACGCGCATACACATTGGAATGCTACTCACCCATAAAAATGAATGAAATCTTGTCATTTGCAGCAACATGGATGAGGCCGAAGAACATTGTATTAAGTGAAATAAATCAGGGACAGAAACACAAACATCACACGTTCTCAGTCATACAATGGGGACCAAACAAATTGATCTCACAGAAAGTAGAGAGTAGAATAGTAGCTACTGGAGGCTAAGAAAGGTAGAGAGGAGAGGGGAATATACAGAGGTTGGTTAAAAGATACAAAATTACAGCTAGATAGGAGGAATAAATTCTAGCGTTCTATAGTACTGTAGGGTGACTGTAGTTAACAACAATTTACTATATATTTTCAAATAGCTAGAAAAGAAGATTTTTAATTTTTCCAACACTAAGAAATAAATGTTTGAAGTGATGGATATTCTAATTACCTTGGTTTGATCATTACACATAATATACATACTTTGAAATATCACACTGGATCCCATAAATATGCACAATTATTGTGTGTCAAAATAATAAAAATAAAGCATTTTAATGAAAAGAAAAGGAGAATCTGTTTAGAATCTGAGTGTCCCTTGTCTGCCAGGGGACCCCTTGGCACCTATGCAAATTTCCTCATCTCTTTTCCAGGTAAGCATACTATAAGATGCTGAAAGTATATAAAGGCTTAGCCCCTCACATCTTACATTTGCCTGATTAGAAGAATTACTTGTTTGTTCAGAAAAGAGGCAGATTTGAAGATTCCAAAGTGACTTTCTATGCCCGTCTACACAATGAAATAGCAGAAAATGTCTCTTGTTTTTTTAAAAAAGAAAAACACCTAAAGTTCTACCTGCACAGTCACTTTGCTATTTGTGTGATGTACTTTACTAACACCTGCTTCATCTGTCTCACTGGGATGTTGTGAGGACTAAATAAGGTATTGGATAAAGAAACATGTATTTTGAAAAGAAAAAAAAAGGCGCTAAATAATAAAAACAAAATGCTGCTATATAAATAATTCATCCCATTAGAAATAGAGTTTGGTTCTAGAAACTCCAGGGCAACTTCTAGGCAGATACGGTTTCCCAACAAGGCAGTAGAGAATTAAAACGGGTTCCCCACAGAAGATTAAGGACAAAGCATGCTTGATTTGTGGTGTGAACACAGAAGGGAAGCCAAAAGAATGAAATGACTGAAGTGAAAACAGAAGGAAAGTGTTACTAATTTACACCTAGTCTATGCGTCTCCACTTAAATAATTGCTGGTCTTTAGCTTTACCTCCAAAATTTTGAGTGATGTTTTGGAAGCCTCTTAGCCACTTTGGGATCTATTTCCCAAATGTCAACTAAAGGAGTTCACTAAAATCAGTTGACTAAAATCAGTAGTTTTAAAATGTTCTTAGTCATAGAATGCTTGTGTAAGTAAAGACTTAACAGATGCCCAATAGGTAAATACACTGGAATGGAGTACTTGAACACTCTAAGACTATATGCATTGAAAGATAAATAGTAATTTTCCAAAATGAGTTCCTACCTTGCAGATCACCTAACAACCCCTACATGAGCCCTTTGGAGATATCTTAGGGCAATCATCTTTGGTAGCCAAAGCTCCATATTCTTAGCCCAGGAGTGTATCTGCAATTCCAGTGAGCTTCTTGAATGATCTTCTGGTGCTGGGCAGGTTAAGGAATTTAGTTATCAGCACTTAATTTTTCTTAATTTTTCAAACAGGAAGAATAATTGATTCTGGCTGGAGGTATAGTGTGCAGAAATTACCTCTGATAATACCTGGAAGGCTGTAAGTAGTCTAGACAATAAATAGTCTTGGTGGTCTTTCTTTATCTATTATTAAGCTTGCATTCTGCTAATGAGCTAATTTCTCACTTTTCTGATAGGTAGCTCTAAACTCACTCCTTGCCCAAAAAAACACAGAGGCAAATGAGTGGAAGTGAGAAGGTAAGAAGCAACTCCACTTTTTTACATAAAGGACCCATGACCACTGGCAAATGCTTTTAGGTGGGGGCACTGTGGGTGGGGGAAGGGGGAGTCGGGGCGGGGGAAGCGGGGGGTGGGGCGGGAAAGTGATGAGCACTTTGGAATAAATCCAGAAACATAGAGACCACCTCGGGAGGCAATAAGGCTAAGAGACACTTAGAAAGATCAGCCCAGCAAGCCCAAGGAAACTAGGAATTTAATGAGGATGTTAAGCACTTGTCCAATCGCAACTTAACTTTTTGTTCAGAGCCACAGAGATTACTTTTTCTGCCTAAACATTTTCGTGATACGCAGGAGGGAGCCCGGGCAAGACCATGAAATAGGGGACTTTTTTGTTTGGTTTCTTCCAGTGCTTCTAGGTGTCCAATACTCCTGTGATACACTTTCACCCATATCAAGAGAAAAAGACAACACATTCATCAGGGTCAAAGAGTCACATAATTTGTATAACCAGAGCTGATTTTGGGGAGGGGATAGTTTATCTTGAACAAGTAACATTTCAACAATACATTTTTGTTAGTTATGTGAGCACAGATCAGGAGAATGCTGACCTTAAGAGGTCAACTTGTGAAATCTCCTAAACAACACAGGAATCCCTTCTTCAGTGTTGCAGGAAGATGTTCACTCAGGTTCTGTGTGAGCCTCTCCAGCAACAGGAACTCACTACCACTCCGATATGTGGATTCCATTGTTGAACCATTCACAATGTTAGAAAGTTGTTACCTAGAGTGAAACTAAAGGAATCTAACACTTCTCTCAGGTTCAAAGACAACTGCAAGAGGGGGAAATTGTTTCACCCAAAAGGAATGAGATTCAAGTGGTAAAAATCTCCTACAGACAATTAAGTTAGAGAAAAATTGGGGTGCAAGAAGTCAACCTATACCTTCTCGTCTCATGGCCCACCTGAACCAACACAGCACCGGTAGCCAGTTACACACAGGTTGGAACTTGATTCTAAGTTTTTAGTCACATTACCCTTTTGTGGTTTCACGAATGTGCCTCAAAATGGGCCTATAAGCTGCTTAATAGCATCTCCCATGACATCCAGCCTTGAGCTGGCTACACAGGAGGAGCTCTTAAAGCCCTTGTGACTTAACCAATTAAGCTGAACTTATGACAGATTTATTAAAAGTAACAATCCAAAATGTATTTATATACAGTCTCTTGAGTTGGTTCACAAACAGATTGTCTATGGTGACAGCCTCCTGTACCCTGGTTTGACAAATGAATCTTCAAAGTTGGAACCAAGTTGGTTAATTCTTCCATATGTCTAAATGATCACTAGAATGCCAGAGAATTAGAACAATGGGTATAGACAAGTTACTATTTTCACCTAGTTGATTCTTCCTGATATGGCTTGTCTCTGTGTCCCCACTGAAATCCCATGTTGAATTGTAATTCCCAATGTTGGGGGCGGGACCTGGTGGGAGGAGACTGGATCATGGGGATGGACTTCCTCTTCATTGTTCTCATGATAGTGAGTTCTCATAAGATCTGACTGGCTGAAAGTGTGTGGCACTTCTCCCTTCACTCTCTCTCTCCTGATCTGCCACATAAGATGTGCTTGCTTCCCCTTTACCTTCCACCATAATTGTAAGTTTCCTGATGCCTCACAGCCATGCTTCCTGTACAGCCTGTGGAACTCTGAGTCAATTAAACCTCTCTTCTCATAAATGGCCCAGTCTCGGGTAGTTCTTGCTAGCAGTGTGAGAATAAACAATACACTTCCCTTTCTGCTCCCATAGCTTCAACTCTGGTTCATTCACTCATCATTTTGTTTTTTTTTTTTACTATTGCAATGGACTCTTAGTTGAAATCCTTTAGCTTGGTTCTCAAGGCATCATATGAAAGTCTTCCAGCTTCATCAGTTGCTTCTTCCCAGAGCAGCCTGTGTTTCTTCTTTGTTAACACTTTTCACACACATACTTATTTATTTGAAGAATTGCTTTCATCACCACACTATAAACACTCCATAAGGACAGCAGGGGAACTCATAACACTTACAGATGCTCAGTAACTACTCACTGAATGAACTACCAAATTCCTCATACGCACCCCATAGCATAGCATAACTGAAGTGTGTGTCATTCTCCAAACATGCCCCTCACTTGCCAGCACTATTATTGATCATGCCATTTGCATATGGCCATATTAAAGGACTATGTAATGGATGGCATGAAGACAATGAATTGGGCATAATTTGAGTGTTTAATGATGAGAAAGGAATGGTCAGAGTATCCTGACTGGAGACAACGAAGGGTTTTTAGTGTCACAAGCTGTGAGAAAGCACTAGCTTAATCATCAAGATACCATAATGGGAGGGGTGTAGTGGCTCACACCTGTAATCACAGTACTTCCCATTTGGGAGGCCAAGGCAGGAAGATCGCTTGAGGCCAGGGGTTCAAGACCTGCCTGGACTACACAGCAAGAGCTTGTCTCTACAAAAAAATAAAAAATTAGCCAGGCATGGTGATGCATGCTAGTAGTCTCAGGTACTCAGGAGGCTGAGGTAAGAGGATAGCTTGAGCCCAGGAGGTCAAGGCTGCAGTAAGCTATGATTTCATCACCACTCTCTAGCCTGGGTGATACAACAAGACTCCACCTCAAAAAAATAAATAAAAATAAAAAATAAAAAAAGTATCAAGATGTTAATATTTCAGCTTTTGCCTCTGGGTTGTCCACTGTGACTTTGGACAAGTTACTTAACTTCTCTGTGCGTCAATTTCTTACCCTGTAAAGCATGGATAGTAATGCCCTTCTATTCCTTGACATTTCCAGGAGGCTGGTAGGCTAATGTAAAACACCCTAGCCTTTGGCGCTCTTGCCAATACACTTTTGTTGTTGTTGTTCTTGTTAAAGATTTAACATAATTGAAACCTGGGCTCAAAAAATATTTTTCCTGCCTGAGGTATTAACTCAAAATAGCATAATTATTCATTCCAATAATTTGTACAAATAATACTAAGAAACTACGTTCCAGAAGACAACAACCAGCTCTTTGGAACTCTCCTGGAGTCTTCCTTTCCTGACACTCTGAGAACTGGATTCAGTTCAACATTTCTTAAAAGCATTTTTATGCCAACCCTTACAAGGAATACTTAAGGGGAAAAAGAAGATCTGCCTTCAAGGACCTTGTGGTAGGCAGAATAATGGCCCCCAAAGACATTCACATTTGAATCTCCAGAACCTATTAATATGTTGCATTACATGGATAAAGAAACCTGCAGATGTGATTAAATTAAGGGCCTTGAGTTGGGGGGATTTTTTTGGATTAACTTGTCTGGGTGGCACAATCTGATCCCACAGCTCCTTCACAGAAATCTTTCCTGGCTGTGACCAGAGAGGGAGGTATGACAATGGAAGAATAGACAGATGCAATGTCACTGTCCTTGAAAATGAAAGATAGGGCCCACAGGCCGAGAAATGCAGGTGGTCTAGAACCTGGAAAAAGCAAGATAATGGATTCTCCCCTAGAAGCCCCCCAAAACACTGCCGTTACCTTGATATTAGCCCATGCAAGGCCCATGTTCGACTTCTGCCTTACAGGACTTTACAATAATACATTTGGGGTGTTTAAGCCACCAAGCTTGTGGTTATTTTTTATTGTCAGCAATAGAAAAGTAATACAGACCTCACGAAGTAACAAAGGAGGAACAAGGAGAGAAGTCACAATTGAAAGGCACCTGGCAGTAACTCTGCAAGAGTGGGATCAGCCAATAATATTAATGACAATGATGATGATTACAATAACCCTCAAATAGTGTTTACCATATGTCAGACCCCATCATAAGCAATATACAAATAAATTATGTAATGTTTGAGATATGTTTTATTGTTGACCCTATTTTACAGATGGAAACAGAGGCCTGAGAATATTAACTGACTTGCCCAAGGCTGTGTAGCAAGCACATACCGATCCAGGATTTGAATCCAAGCAGTCTGGCTTTAGAACTTACACTTTTAATCATGTTCATTCCATAGGGTGAAGAGTTGCACCTGGGAACGCAGAAGCAACTTTCCAGATTAAATAAGGTTGCTTGACCTTGAACTGGTAAGCAGGATTTTGAGTAAAGAGACCATTGAGACCACTATGTGGCTCAAGTAACATGAACTATGTCATAGGAACACCTCTGTGCTTGGGGAAAGATGAAGAGTTTGAGCTGACACCAGGTAGAGTGCAGGAGGGTATACCAGTAGATACAAGTAGGAAAAGTAGCTTCAAAAACAATCGTGTAGGTATGGCTGTGCTAGGCACTCAGGTTCTAATTTTAGGTAGATGGAAGCTATAGTAGGTTTCTGAGTGAAGGAGTGACACGGCAGAACTTGTTTAGCTCTCGCCTGACCTATCAAGAAAGCAAGAGTGGGAAGGCAGTGGGAGAGGGCTTTTTTTTTAAACAAACAAACAAACAAACAAACAAACAAAAAACCTACGGGGATCATTGCTGTCTTAACTCCCAGGTGATCTATATCTATTATCTACTTTTCAAATTCTGATTCTTTTCCTTAATATTTAACCTCTTAATTATTAGCGTCTGACTTCTGGCCCTCTGGAAGGCAGGACCTGGCTTCAATCTGCGTGTATCTCCAGCATCTACTACAGAACCTAAATCAGCACAGGGGCTTACAAGAAAAGAATTCAGTAAGTGCATTAAGACTTGAGTCATGTGTCCTTGAACGTATTTTATTGAGGATGTGTGCTTGTCTGCTTTTGAAAAGACTACAGGCCAATAATTCACAGTGCAAAAGCAGGGAAACATACACATGGTAAACGAAACAGTCTTTCTAAAAGTTGGAGAGGGCCTTTGGATACCAGATTTGGGCAGTTTCCAGGATTTCTGCGACAGATGGCAATGGTTGTAGGGGAAAACACTGGAGGTGGAACCGGGCCAATGTTTAATCACATGACAGAGGTATAGATGTTAAAGGAGAGGGGCTTGAGAGGCATGAGGTTCAGGTGAGACAGCCAGAGCCTTCGCCATATGCACTGGAGCCTCCCAAAGCCTCTGTCAAGGTCCTAAGCTTACAGAGTGTTGAACACGATTAGCTTTCTTAAGGAAAATGGTGACGAGCGGCATTTTACATCAGGATATGATGAGGGTGAAAGACTATCTGATGCCAGGGAAGAGTTCAAGAGAGGACCTTGTGGAGACACCCTAAACTTTTAGTTTCCCTGCAGGTTAGTGAAGGATGTCTTTCCACCCCCTAACTAAGAAGAGAAGGGGGAAGGTCCAGAAATCCCTCTGAAGAAATCTCCTATAAAGAGGGATACTGAGGACCTGTGTCCCGAGTTTGTGGCAGTCACCTGGACATGAACTCTGTGTCACCCAGAGACTACAATAGCCCTACAGAGTCCAGTCTGGAAGAACCCCAGAGACAAAGCAGGCCTCCCATGGTGGCAGTGGGCTCACCTGGGGAGAAGGGCATCCACACATCAAGGAACACCTAAGGGAGGACTCCCACAGTCCACCCCTAAGCCTGTGGTAACAGCTCCCCTTCCAGAAAAGTTTCTGACCATTATATTAAGACTCATCCTTCTCTTCTAGAACCACTGTCACAGTAATTTGACCAAATATTCTTTTCCAATGACCTTAAATATTTCCTCCTTGTTTTAACCAAAATAAAATTCAACTTTCATGAAAATGTTGTAATAATACTAAATCATCCCACATCCTGTCACCTAACACAACAGCTACTGTCATTGTCTCTTACCCTTAATCCCTTTAATCAATGGAAGATTCTCTCTTGTCTTACAGAATGAACATTGCCAATGGCAATGAGAAAATGGAAGCAGAAAAGGAAGAATTAATCTATTATCGATTTAAAGTGATACAATCCACTTTAAATGAAACACAAAGTACCTCTTTATATATGAATTTAGAACCTTTTTTTCCTGCAATGAAATCCAGCTCCAAGCCCTGGGATAAATACTTTAGCAAATTAAAGAAACTAACACATGTATCTTGTTAAAGAAAGGAGCAAGAGAATGGGGCTGACAGGAGTGTGGAAACAATACATGCCTGTAAAGATGAAGCTTGGCTTTCTGGATTGGTACTTACATTGCACCACAATCTAAGCCCCACTTGGTTTTCCAATTTTTTCTCCCACCAGTTCTCCACATTAACCCCAGATCCAGACCTAGAAGTGCTTCGTCATCTGCCACAGTTTCAATGTGGCCTCTCCAAAAGTCAGGCTTTGCTAATGTGGTGGTATTAAAAGGTGGGGCCTTTAAGAGGTGATCAGGCCAGGAGGGCTCCTCCCTCATTAATGGGATTAAGGCCCAAATAAAAGAGGCTGCTTTTGGCTAGCTTGCCCTCTGCCTTCTGCTATGTGATAATGAAGCAAGAAGGATCTCACCAGACCAAATGCTGGTGCCTTGATCTTGGACTTCCCAGCCTTCAGAACTGTGAGAAACAAATTCCTGTTCTTTATAAATTACCAAGTCTGTGGTATTCTGTTATAACAGCACAAATGGACTGAGATACTCTCATCATTCTTGCAACTTTCTCCTTTAGCATTTTGTCCTTCTTTTTGACCATCCAATGCCCAGCTCACATTTTTGCTGTGAAGTAGTTGCAAAAAGCCATTCCTGTCCTTTCACTGCAGGGTGTGGAGAGATAAATTCCTGCATTCCTCAGCCTGTCTTTCAGCTGGGGAGGCTAGTGTGACTCTTTCTCACCAATATCACATAGAAGTCTGCTTTTGCTGGGGAGAGAAAGGCATTTACTTTCCTGCTAAATGATGATGAATAGTGCTGGCACCAACTTTTTCTCCTTTCCTTCTTCCTGCCTTGAATACAGATGTAATGTCTGGAGGTGCACAGCCTTCTTGTGACAAGAAGGTGCTGAGCATGAGCAAAAGGGCACAAGAACAGCCTCTGTCACTGAGCTGTTGAGTGTGTGCCAGCTGCTGCCCACCTCCGGACTCTAATTAGGAGAGGAAAATAAACTTCTATCTATTTAAGTGACAATTAGTCCAGTTTTCATTACTTGCAATCAAAACTATTATTTTATTATTATTATTATTTAAGTTCTAGGGTACATGTGCACAACATGCAGGCTACATATGTATACATGTGCCATGTTGGTGTGCTGCACCCATTAACTCGTCATTTACATTAGGTATATCTCCTAATGCTATCCCTCCCCCCTCCCCCCACCCAACAGGCCCCGTTGTGTGATGTTCCCCACCCTGTGTTCAAATGTTTTCATTGTTCAATTCCCACCTATGAGTGAGAACATGCAGTGTTTGGTTTTCTGTCCTTGTGATAGTTTGCTCAGAATGATGGTTTCCAGCTTCATCCATGTCCCAACAAAGGACATGAACTCATCCTTTTTTATGGCTGCATAGTATTCCATGGTGTATATATGCCACATTTTCTTAATCCAATTTGTCATTGATGGACATTTGGGTTGGTTCCAAGTCTTTGCTATTGTGAATAGTGCCACAATAAACATATGTGTGCATGAGTCTTTACAGCAGCATGATTTATAATCCTTTGGGTATATACCCAGTAATGGGATGGCTGGGTCAAATGGTATTTCTAGTTCTAGATCCTTGAGGAATCACCACACTGTCTTCCACAGCAGTTGAACTAGTTTACAGTCCCACCAACAGTGTAAAAGTGTTCCTATTTCTCCACATCCTCTCCAGCACCTGTTGTTTCCTGACTTTTTAATGATTGCCATTCTAACTGGTGTGAGATGGTATCTCATTGTGGTTTTGATTGCATTTCTCTGATGGCCAGTGATGATGAGCATTTTTTCATGTGTCTTTTGGCTGCATAAATGTCTTCTTTTGAGAAGTGTCTGTTCATATCCTTTGCCCACTTTTTGATGGGGTTGTTTCATTTTTTCTTGTAAATTTGTTTAAGTTCTTTGTAGATTCTGGATGTTTGCAGATGACAGGACTGTATATGTAGAAAACCCCATTGTCTCAGCCCAAAATCTCCTTAAGCTGATAAGCAACTTCAGCAAAGTCTCAGGATACAAAGTCAGTGTGCAAAAATCACAAGAATTCCTATACACCAATAACAGACAAACAGAGAGCCAAATCATGAGTGAACTCCCATTCACAATTGCTTCAAAGAGAATAAAATACCTAGGAATCCAACTTACAAGGGATGTGAAGGACCTCTTCAAGAACTACAAACCACTGCTCAACGAAATAAAAGAGGACACAAACAAATGGAAGAACATTCCATGCTCATGGATAGGAAGAATCAATATCATGAGAATGGCCATACTGCCCAAGGTAATTTATAGATTCAATGCCATCCCCATCCAGCTACCAATGACTTTCTTCACAGAATTGGAAAAAACTACCTTAAAGTTCATATGGAACCAAAAATGAGCCCACATTGCCAAGACAATCCTAAGCCAAAAGAACAAAGCTGGAGGCATCATGCTACCTGACTTCAAACTATACTGCATGGCTACAGTAACCAAAACAGCATGGTACTGGTAACAAAACAGAGATATAGACCAATGGAACAGAACAGAGCCCTCAGAAATAATACCACACATCTACAACCATCTGATCTTTGACAAACCTGACAAAAACAAGAAATGGGGAAAGGATTCCCTATTTAATAAATGGTGCTGGGAAAACTGGCTAGCCACATGTAGAAAGCTGAAACTGGATCCCTTCCTTACACCTTATACAAAAATTAATTCAAGATGGATTAAAGACTTAAACATAAGACCTAGAACCATAAAAACCCTAGAAGAAAACCTAGGCAATAGCATTCAGGACATAGGCATGGTCAAGAACTTCATGACTAAAACACCAAAAGCAATGGCAACAAAAGCCAAAATTGACAAATGGGATCTAATTAAACTAAAGAGCTTCTGCATAGCAAAAGAAACTACCATCAGAGTGAATAGGCAACCTACAGAATGGGAGAAAATTTTTACAATCTACCCATCTGACAAAACTATTCTTAACTGATAGAACTACCCTCATTAGCCTTCCCTAACCAGTTCAAACCAAGAGGCAATGTCTATAATGGATACAAACCTGAGTTCTTCAAGCCAGTCAGGTTTGAATCCCAGGTCTGTCACTTACTAGCTGTATGAACTTGGACAAGCTAACTAATTTCCACAACTTTGTTTTCCTTATCCAAAATATAGGAACAACAGTGTTCTATGCTCATATAAATACTAAATGAGATAATGAACATACAATGCTTAACACACTGGCTGGCAGATAAGTGTCAAATAGCACTGGTTTTCCTGTTAGAGGTGGTTCTATCATCCTGCAGCACTCATTGAAGACCAAGATTTCTGAAGGTTTCCTGTCTCCCATAGTTGGGCCCATTCACCCAGCCCTCAGAGCCCCATGTTCTGACTCCATAGTGTGAATGTGAATTCAGAGCCATCATCTCACCCATCTGCCCTGACCTGCTTCTTGTGGGCCTCCAACCTGGCACCTGATTGGTCGTGATAAGCTTTCAAGGTTGCTGTTCTTACTCCCACAGCTGATCCAGGGCTTCATCCCATTCTGTCCATCAGTTTCTTAAAGGGAGGACTTGTAGCAGAGAGAGGGGAAGAAGAGTGTTATGAGACCATTTCGCATCTCTCTGCCTCCCAGCAGCCTACGGCTGGGCAGCCAAGAGGCTTTGGCTGCTGCCATGGCAGTGGGCTCTAGGACACTGCACAGCAGCCTCTTGGTCTCCCTCGCACTTCAAGAATGGGAAAAATAAATTGTTCAAAGAGTCTCTTTACCGCTTGGGAACTAAGGATTATGCTGAAACTTTATTATTACTTTGAATAAATAAATTACTCTCTTGAGGCCAGATGAAAACATGCTCTTATTAATTTTTTTAAAGAAGGAAAGGAATTGGAGGGGAATAAAATCAAAGGTGCCCAAATGGATTGAAGTGGCTTCTCAGAAGCTGACATAATAGCAATTTGTATGTATATTATGTTTCTCATCAAAGGAGCACCTCACAAAGGGCCTGTTTCCCTGGAGTTGCCCCAGAGAGCTCAACTTCAGCTCAGAAGAGTCTAGAGCCTTGAAGGTCTCTGGGTTTCCAAAGCCCCACCTCAGGGCTCTGGCCCAGGCAATTGATCTCCTGCCTCTGGACCTCAGGGCTGGCTGAGTCTTAGAGTCCTTAAGGGAGCTAGGAGAGGGCACCTGTGTCCCCACTGGTCAGTGGGAAAGAGTGCTACCTCCCACATAAGTACTCCTTGGGGAGATTAGCCATGGAAGCCTAGCCAGGGGAGGGGGTGTGTGTACCTCCCACCAACACACACATCATGAAAACTAACCATTGGAAAGAAGACCCTGTCTGAGAGTGAGTTTCCTCTCTGACTATCCATTAGTAGAGACCAGGATTTCTGACTGTGTTTGGTTTTCCCTAATTATTTCTGACATTCAGGCAAGTAATAAATTTTTTTCCCTTGTGTTCTAGGTAGGAGACCACACACACAGAGACACACACACATATGCATCTATCAAAAGATCCTCTTTTGTCTCTCTCTGCTTTTCTCCATGGTGCTTAATGCATGACCCACGGTGGGCTGTTTGCCTTCCTGAACTTCCGTCATTGTGACCTCTCACACGCAGTGATTGTGAGCTCCCAGCGACCAGAGACAAGAGCCTAAGTCCCAGTTCCATCAGTTACCATCTTGTGACTTTGGGTGGGTCACTGAACCTCTCTAAGCAATATTCTCCTCATTTGAGATAATACAGATTCCATCTTATAGGGCTGCTGGAAGGATTGAATGAAATAATAACTATAATGCCTTAGCATAGAGTACGTGGCATATAGTTCTGTTGGCCATGATGGTCCATGGTGATAAGGATGAAGGTCAAGATGGCAGCCCTCACACCCTCCTTGTTTAGTGTTAGTCTTGATGGGGTGCCTGAGGCCCTGCACAGGACTGAGTGGGAAGTAAAGGGTTTTCTGCGGCCTCAGCTGAGTATCACTGGGGAATGCAGGCACTGAGAAAGGGAGAGACCATCTTACACTATCCAAGCCCCATAAATGGCTGCTTTATATGAGTAGGACCAACTTTCTAGGGAAGTCGATCCAAGCAAGTGGATAAGAAGTATTAAACAAAGGAATAAAAATGGCCTGGAATATTTAAAATAGATAGTGTGCAGTGATATCCAAAGGGTAGTTGGTGATCTTTTGCAGACCTGAATGACTCTTCCTTGAATAAGCTTTTCTCTTTCTCACCTCTGCCTTCTTGTTCACACCCCATCCAGCTGGTACCCAACCCCCATTCTCTCTGACCTCCCTCCTTATCTTTGCCTATGTAAATCACAACCATCCTCAAAGTCCAGTTGAAATCCCACTTCTCTGTCAAGCTTTTCTCACCACTGTTCTCCTTCCTCTGAGCCCTTAGAACAGAACTGTCTGTACTTCTCACATGTCAGTCTCAGTATGGTGACCTGGCACTAATACTCCATTGTTCACATTTAAGCCCTGATGATTAGTCTGCAGTTCTTCATGGACAGGACTCACGCCAAATGCAGATTTTTGCATTCCAAAAACGAGGTCAGTACTGAGACCAGATGGAGCTGATAACCAACATTCAAGCAACATACTTATACTTTTTTTGGCAGAAAGATAAGTAGCAACTAATTGACCTGGCAGGATCCTAAACATTCATACGGTCCAATTTATTTGAAATAAACAAGTAAACTGAGAACCAAAGAAAAGGTTTATAGCCCAAAGTCACAGTTAATGTCAAATCCCAGACTAGTAGTTCTGTACTCAAGCTATGGGAAATGTTAAACTCTATTAAGAGAACCAAACCAAATTACGTTCTCCATCTTCTCTCTTTGTATCTTAATGGACTTCTGAGCTTTGTTGTTTCATTGAGAAAATAGCCAAAAATGTATGCTCATTTTTGATCCACCATGGGTCTTCCAACCTTGCTTATTTTGAGGATGTGTACTCTCCATCCTCAACTTTTATGTAAGCCTTTGTCTATCTTTCCCATGCCTTACTTTATGTGGCTAGCCTTCTTCTCCTTGGGCTAGGTTGAAGACCCTTTCCTATGTGAAGTCTTTGCTGACCTCTACACACTCTAAGACATTGTTGGTGCCCACCAAGTGCCGTCCTAAAACCCTTTGCATGTTTTCTGTTGAAGGTTACATGAGATCCCTATTCAGGGTACTTCTCACGTTGCACTGAAACTTTCCTGCTGACTTGACAGTCTTTGACTCCCAAATGACACATTGAGTATCTGTATGGGTCACACTTTTTCTGGTGGTAAGCTTCTCTGGGAGAACACCTCCTCCTCCCATCCCACTCATTCTTGAAATATGTTCCAGATGAGGGCTGCTATTTTGATTACACCCTGCCTCCCCGGCTGCAGTGACTGATCTGGTAGTGAGCACCGGCTGATTCTGGACCAATCAAAGTGTCTCACTCCCATGCCACACTGGCCCGTAGGAGACCACAGGATGCAAGATAGGCCAATTAGAGGCTTTCCCCTGGATTTTTCAAACACAAACTGGGAGGAGGGCACTTCTTTTTATCTTTAATAATGCAATAAGGATGTGAGGCTAGAGGTGCTAGAAGCCATGAGCTATTCCAGAACAATGGAGCAGACTGAAAGACAAGAGCAAAGACAACATTTAGAAGAAGAAAATCTTGACCATGAGTGATTTCTCTTTTTCCTAGTCCAGCTGTACCCCTGGCAGTTAGATGGTTTGATTAAATGACCCTGTTATGGGCTGAACTGTGCCCTCATCTTACAAATTCATATGTTGAAGCCTGAACCCCCAAAATCTCAGAATGTGACTGTAGTTGGAGATAGGGCTCTTAAAGTGGTGATTCAATTGAAATGAGACTCTTGTGATGGTCCCTAATCCAATATGACTGGTGTCCTTAACAGAAGAAGAAGTTTGGGCACAGAAAAGAGACACCAGGAATGTACATACACAGAGAAAAGGCTGTGTGAGGACATTGTGAGGAGGTAGCCCTCTGTAAACCAAAAAGAGAGGCCTCAGGAGAAACCAATTTTGCCAACATCTTAATTTTGGCCTTCCAGCCTCGAGAACCACAAGAAAATAAATTTCTGTTGCTTAAGCCACCTAGTCTATGGTACTTTGTTATGGCAGCTCTAGCAAATTAATACATATCCTAACATTTCCCTTTTTGGTTCAAATTAGTTCATGTTCAGTCTCTAAGTCTTGCAATTAAAGGGCACGAGTGCAGGATGTCAAATGCCTTCAGCAAATATAATGGTGACTTGTATCCCAAATGGCTTCTTACCCTGTCCCAAGGCCCAATGCCTGTGACAACAGAAAGACAGACAGGTTCACTGTAGACTCATTTAGGGACACAGGTCAAGCTTAAGACAGGCAAGTTTAAAACCCTGCCTCAGTTTGATGAATTAGTGGCTGCCCAACATTTTTTGTTTGCTAAACACCTTTTCCCCTTAAAAGAATCCAGAAACCTAGGACTAAGTAATGACAAAACTGACTTTTAGTCTGTGCGTAGTAAGGGCCTGATAACTGATTGCAAAAACCACTTGGCATTTCCTTCTAGATGGTGTTTACCTCAGACAGACTCTCCTGCAAGATAAACCCAGTGAAGGTGGTCACTTGGCTAAGACCAGGTGATTTGGTTTAAACAGGACGGGATGACACTTCCAGGGGCATTTTTCCAACTTCCAAATCAGCTGCTTGCTTACTATCAGGAATGGGTACTTCCTAGCTCTATTAGGAATGACTTCAGCTGATAGAGAGCAATATCAGATCTAAGTCTAAGGTGGACACTCATTCATTTACCAGATAGCTACTGCATGCCTACTGTCTGTCAGAAAACAAAGTAGCATGGTCACCTTAACTTCCGACAGAAAATCTATCATTGAGCTAAGATTCAAAGTCTTAACCCTCTGCAAGTATCGGCCATGTGGACTACTTCTTAAACCTTAAATAACTTCGTGGTCTATTTACATTTGATTTTGTTTGTTGATTGTTTTTCCTTCTCTGCAGTCTTTTTCTATCACTGCCCACTCATTCATTCTATTGCAGGGATTCTCCCCTTCCTAAAACATAGTTTCTGCATGTATTTTCCTGCCTCTCTGTCCCTCAATAACACTGGTGCTTGTTTAAAAGTAAACTAAAGGTATTTACTTAGGAAAGTTTAAAAACGCAGGTTAAAGACAAACAATAAGAAATTTACTAAGTTATGAAAAGTCCTTTGTAACTGATATTTCAGGTTTTCAGAGGCACGAAAACAAGGAACTGTTTTTCTTTTAGCTCTCTTTGCTATTTTGCAAATGCATCTTTCTCCATGAGTCTCATATAGCCCCCACTGAATATTTTACTCATGGCTTTGATAACCGTTCGCCTTTCACCTCCTCTTACTCTCTAGATTCTACCACCTGAGGACCGACCCCATGGTTAATAATCAGTTTCCTTTGTGGTGAATATGCTTCTAACAAAGGACTTAACTGCCTTCACTTATTACTTGCTCCATACAGCAAAAGACTGTAGAAGAAATTTTATTTACACAGCATTTTATTTAAACAAATTTATATAAATAACATTGCTATATGCCTTTCACAAAAATGCAGACAAGAGTATTAAAAGGGTTTACTACATTGATTTTTCCATGTTATTTATGCAGGCAAGAAAAATTCTTCAGTTTAGCTAAAGGATTTTAAAACGAATAATATGAATTATCTGACTATGAATCTAAGTGACTTTGTCCTAATGATGGGAAAATTGAGGCAAATTTATTTGTCTATGGATCACAATCCACTGAGGTCAGCGCTTTGAGAGGACTCACTTATACATTTTTTGTTTTTCAGATGCCCTGACTTTTGTTATCTTCTTAAAGATTTTACCTTGTTTTAATCCAGCATATTTCAAAGTATTACCAAAATAACAACTAAAAATTAATTCTGAATTCAGATGTGTTTGGAAAATGCTGAGTAAAATCAATGAAGCTTTTTTTTTTTTTAAAGCAGCAAGACTTCTCAGAGATTTAGTGCATGTGGACCAAGAGGACCTGCAAGGGGTGCTACTGAAAGCTACACTCACAAATCGATTTGACCTTCCATACTGCTTTCGTGCGGGGCATCTTTTTAGGATGAGCAGTCCGAGGAACTAGTGTTCCTCCAGTTAGTGGTTTGATGTCTCTAGCCACTTCAAAGACTTGCAGAAGAAAGAGAGCTTAAAGACATAAAATTTAAAAAGTTTGTTTTTCTTTTAAAAGTCCAAGCTATTACTCGACTTGACCTCAGAATTACTATTTACTGCCTCAGAGGAAATGCTATTTCTGGTGGGTACCACATGGCATATATTTTTAGGAAGGTCTGTATTCAAGCTCTGAAGTCAAACAGTCACATATTTCACAATATAAAGGGAATCAAGTTACCAAAAATACTAGCATGCATATAGATGCCGATTGGACAGTAACAAGCATTTTATCTTCTTCATCAACTTGAGGTGAGAGAGAAACAAAATGTGGCCTATGCATACAATAGAATATTATTCAGCCTTGAAAAGGAAGTAAATTCTGATATATGCTACAATATGGATGAAATTTAAAGATGTTTTGCTAAGCCAAATAAGCTAGAACAAAAGAACAAATATTTTGTGATTCTACTTATATAAGGTACTTAGAATCAAATTTATAGAGACATAAATAATGGTGGTTGCCATGGGCTAAGGAAGGGGTGAGGAGTTATTATCTAATGATTAAAGAGTTTCACTTCGGGGGGATGAAGTTCTGGACGTAGATGGGCAATGGCTGTACAACAATGTGAATGTGCTTAATGCCCATGAACTGTACACTTAAAGATCGTTAAAATGGTAAATTTTATGTTATTTATGTTTTACTACAATAAAACAAGTAACTGGAGGTGACCACCTTATGGAAATCCCACAGATCAGAAGGGTGAAGAGAAAGGAGACTCTGAATAACTGGTATTTGAAGAACATTCAAGGCAAATCTCTCCCTGGATATCTTTTTGAAAATATTCTTCTGTGATATAGGAGGTAAAGCAACACAGCAGCTTTGAAATGGAAAGCTAAGAGAAAAATAATTTTAACATCCTAAGTTTTTAAGCATGTTAACTTTTGAATATATAGAAGGACCAACCATATGTAAGCACAGGGCCAGAAAATATTACAGACAGAAATATAAAACACAAAATGCTGTTATCCCAATCCTCAGGTAATTTATAAATCTTACAAGAAAACATGTCTATGAGTAACTTGGTGATAACAAAGACTGTGCTAAATGTGCATGAGTTATAAATACAGATCTCTAGGGATGTGGGGGAGGAAGATATGAAATCTGATTGAGAACCCTTTCCCTCTTCTTCTCACCTATGCTATTTCTTCCTTCTTTTAGGCCCAGATCAAGACCCCCTGCCTAAAAGAAAGCCATTCCTCACTGTTCTAACCCACTGTGGCTACTATAATCACACTCATAACTATGTGGAGACTTGTTCTTCTTTTTGGTAGATGTTGTAACTTGGCATATATATATTACATATTATAGAATATGTAATATATGTACATTATATATACATATGTATATATGATGATGTATATATACATGTAATACATATCTATGTAATATATGTATATTATATATAATAGATATATAACTTGGCTTATATATAAAAACATATATAAATATTTATATTTATATAGTTTAATGTGTTCTCCATATTTGGTTAGAGAAATCTGTTGCTTTGGGGATGATAAGGATTATTAAAATAGAAGTGCAAGGAAAGGAGGAAAATTGGGTTTTGAATCTACAGAGACATAAAGGTTATGAAAGTCAAGCTTGGTCAAGAGAGAAGGGCTTTTTGAAATTCCAAAATCTCCTCTTTCCAGATGAGAAGCCAAGCCTGGCAACTCAATGTTAGACTATTACCCTAACTTAGAGTGTGGAGAATAGACAAGAAGGGAAGTTCTCACCAGATAGGAAGAGGAGAGTGCTTTTCCAGATAAGGAGGAGGAGGATTTTGTGTGGATGTCCCCAGGATAAGAATATAGTTTGATTCTCTGAGAATCAAAGGCCCTAACCTTCTTGGGCCTTGGCCAAAGGTGGGAAATAAGTTGACCGAAACATCGGACTAGACAAAATGAGTTCTTCCAGAACACCCAGGACTGCTGCTCGGCCCCCCTATGTCCAAGATGGCAGGAAGTCTCAAATAGGTGGTTCTCAGAGCTCTGAGTACACATGATGTGTGCATTGCATGCAGCGGTACTGTGAGTTCCCATATACCGCAGAAAGTGGGGTGGGGGACAGAGGAGTGCTGAGATTCTGTAACACTGGGTTAGATGAGAAGAATAAAAAATACACGGCCTCTCCAACACCGATATATTTCAATGACTATGGGCTTCAGCTGTGAGCACCAACATAACACCCCCAGAAAACAGATGAGATTAGCCATAGCAGGCAGATGCCAGCACAAAGTATTCAGGAATCAGACTAGACCAGCCTCACTCTGTTGGCCAGCAGGGAGGACAGGCCACAGGCACCCCCTTGTCCCAGAAGACATAGCTTTCCCTGCACACATCGACGTCTTGGGAAGGGACACAGAGGTGCTTCTTGTGAAAGGGAAAATAGCCCTGATTGAGCATTTATACTTGAAATTCACTAAATATTTGCCCAAATTAGACCAAACCACACTTAAAAAACTATTTTAAAATAAAGAAGATTGAATTGGCCTTGATTGGAATACTTAAATCTACCCCACTACTATTGGTAGAAGTGAGGATAGAAGTTATAGGGAAAAAAAGTTTATTCTTTTATTTTCTGACCCATTAACTCAAGAGTGTGTGAATGTTCACTCCTTTTTACATGTTTGACACAACAAGCAGGCTAGAGTTTCCTGGAGATCTGTGGAATGTTTCATGTTATGTACTCAATAGGTGTCCCTAAATGTACACTGTATGAAGAAACAAAAAGAAGAAAACATGGATTTCGTTTCTTCCCTGCCTCTCATTCCACCAAAGCCAAAATAAATTACAAAACAGAGAGACCAAAAAAAAATACCATTATAGAAATCACAGAGAGAATTCTGTAAAAAGAACCGGTACTGGGAAAGTCATAGGGCTTAGTCCTTAGAATATTAATAATCGTAACCACAGACAGTCTTCCTGCAAAGCTTTCTGTCAATAAGCTGCGGCAAATATCTATCTAGACCAGTGAAGTCCCACAGAAGTAATAAGTGAAGTTTTCAATCTTCAAAAATGTTTGAGCATCTCTCTCCTATGGAAGAAAACCCCTAGAACTTCTCATAAATGGATATTTCCCTTGGGGGACTAATATCCTCTCCAGAGTCAGACTTGACTTCTTATGATGTGATGAAGCAACATTCACAAGGAAGTCATGATTTTTTTTCCCTTTCCTATTTTCTTAAAATTCATTTAACCTTAAGAAGTCATTGAACATCCATTTCTTTTTTTTTCTGACTAGGGCTTTCAATAAGGGAAAAACTAGGGCAAATTTTAGACAAAGCAAAAGACAATCTTAAAAGTTGACTAGGCCACAGAAATCTAAATGACAAACTTAACAGGGCTGACTTTTCCTTGGTGTGTAAGACAGGCGTGTAAGGCTATTAACAATAGAACTCAGCACAAAGCCCTGTGGAAAGCAGGTGAATATTGATTCTTAATCTTAAACTCATGAATAATGTATAAGGCAATTTTAGTTTAAAGATACAGGCATTTTTTTCCTGGCACAATGGTTTTTAGAAACTCACTGTATTCAGTAACCCATAAAGAGAGTCTTCTCATCTTTTAAGAAGCCTTTCAAATTTCATCTCATTCCTACAGCCTTCCCTGACCATCCAGTCCTCACCAATCACTCCCTTCTCTAAACTCCAAGAGTACTTACTGCCTGTAGCACTCACTGGATATAAGCTATTAGGTATCTTTTTTTTCTTTTATTTCTTTTCTTTTTTTTTTTTTTTTTTTTTAAAGACATGGTCCGATAGATACTAAAACCCTGCAGGGTAGGGGTCACATTACCTTTCTCTTATTATTCCCAGTACCTAGTCTGGAGCCTGATCCACAGACCGTAAGTGTTCAATAAATGTTTGTTGTTAATGATGACATGTTATAGACACATCTGAAACATAATCTGGATAAACATAATACTGGAAAAGTGCAAATCATCATTTAACAAACATGCAAGCCAAGAAATCAATATGAGAGAGCTGTCTGAGTACCAAGTGAAAGACAAAGTAATACCCTCTTCCCTGCCCCAACATCTAACATGGTGATGGATTATGCTACATAAAATTATCGATAAAGACCAATGTAGTCACAATGATTTCTAAGCAGTAACAAGAAATATTAGATACAAAATGTAACATTACAACAAAGGCAGCAGAACTGAGAGGCCATTGTGGAATAATAGATACATTCATCTGATGAAGAACCTCTTTGCAAATAAGCAACTTCAAGCATAATGAAAGCACAGGGCTTTCCTTTCCTCCCTCTCTATCTCCCCAACCCAGAGACCGAGATTCTGATTTCCCTCAAGATACACAGAATGCACGTCACTTGCCCCTTAAACAGAGGAGGAGGAAGGCAAACTTGAGCATTCAACTGTTGCCAAAACAAACCCAAGCCTTTCAAATGAGTTAAGTTCTCATGATATGAGTCGGGTTGAGTAAATTTATACAATTCTCATTTACATACACACAAAGAGTAAAACAATCTACTTATTTCTTGTCTGAATTCCTATCTTCTTCAATAAGATTTGGCTTATTAACGTAGCAGCAGAAGTTTGGGCCAAATCTATCTAGCAATGAACCTCATCTCACCTATCTCTGTCACTCTTGCATACCCTTTTCCTACCTATACCCTTCCTTTTATCCTGGCAGGTGGGGAATGCTTAGGCAGAAAGCTCGGCCATTTCTATTGATCATATAGGTAACATCTTCAGCACTATTATTGGTCTGACGACTGTGAAACAATAATAAAAGTGGTCAGTCCAAACGTCCCTGGGCCCTGGCAGAGATCTGGGGCAGATGATGGGAAAGCGAGAATCATGGGTTGATACTTTCCCCCAAATTGTATATGCCTTACTGTGACATAAGCAGCCTGAACAGGATCATTAATTTGACTGGTCACTTCATTGGAACATTGATAAGGATTTGACTGGTTTTTAATAGCATGTACTAGTTATGTGGACTAATTAACCAATCAATAAGATTTAAACCAGTACATTTACTCCTCACCTCATCCTCTTCCATGTTACTCAGTCACCTTTAACGTTTTGAATGGGATAAAGAACTTACAAAACTAATTAGCTATATAGACAGAGCCATAATGGCCTGCATTTTCTCCACTATTATTAATGCTTTTGGTATATAAAATCTACTAGTTAAAAAAATGAAAATTGAATACCATGGGTTAATCTAGGTATAGTAGTAACAATTCCCTATAACCAGCTTGGCTTCCTTCATAGCTAAAGGATGACCAGTACCATCTCATCTCTTTGAAACAATTGACTGGTGGTGTCTTTTTGTGGGTCAATATTCTCATTGAAAGAAAGAATATATTTTCTCCTGAAAAAAATATATAAAATATTCCTAAATTTAGTGAATTCAGAAAGCCATATAATTACAGCATACAGAGTTTTCCTTCTAGATCCTGAAGACATGGACTTATAAATGATGCAGGGCAACTCACGGTCATTCAGGTCCTGTTGGCACAATGAATGGAGGTGCTCCAAGCCTTTTCCTTGTCTGTAGGTAGAGGTGCAAATACTTCAATGAGATATGTTCCTGTTCAGAAACACCCAGGATGAAAACTGGAAAGGGTCTGCCAAGAAATACAGAGGAGCTCTTTCAGCATGGTCGTTTTTTAGGATGATGGAGGCAGCTTACAAAATGGTGAGTTGGAGCAATGGCTGGAGCCAGCCTAAGGAGGCACTATGGAGCAGAAAGTTGGATCCCCCACTAGATGGCGCCAGGACACATCTATGGCATACGTGGGTACTGTTAACCATGGCACAACAGAGGGATCGGATCAGTTTTCACAATTCTGTATAGGCCAGGTCCTAATACAGTACCAACGGACTAAAGTGAGTGTATGTGGGTGTTTTATACGTCTTTAAGTTTGACCCTACATTGAAGGGTACACCTGGGGTGGCATACGTGTGTGTTCTTTGGAGTATGATTACCTATGCGGTTGTGAGTGTATCTCATGTATCACATGTGCACACACATACAATATAATAATACACATGTGCGTTAGATTATATAGATAAGGGATCAATATAGGTGTAGCTAAAGATTAGGGGCCATTATTACAATAAATAAGGATCACGTTGGAGGAGGGGGATTAGCTTCTCTTGCGCGTACTGTATGCCAGACCTTTTCATGTGCTTTCTCATGTAACCTTCACAACAGCTGCAAGAGGTGCCTACTATTGCCCCATTTTCACCAAAGGAAATTTGATGGACTTTGTATAGGTTAAGGAACTTGTCCAAGGTCACATAGCTAAGGAATTACAGGGCTTGGATTAAAATCCAGTTCTGCTAAGCTTCAAAACCATAATACAGTTATACCTCATACCACATTGACTTGCTACAGTTTCTTACAATGTGCAAATTAACTCCAGGGAATATGGTTTGTGGTATGTTTGCACAAATATACTCACATGTGCACTATACGAAATGAAAATACCTTCTATGCAAAAGTTTGATCTATGTTGGACTACAAATATACATAAAAAGTTGAATAAATATGGCATTCCACTTTTCCCTCTTCACCCCAGGATAATTATTAAATAACCCTATCACAGAAAAATATATAAGAATTAATTCCAATATATGATTCAATTAAAATGGGAGTCATTTAAAAGAATATTAACTAATTTTAAAGTAGATATATCAAATCCACATGTATACCTAAATGAAGCCATTCACTATTTACCTAAAAATACATTAGCATTAAGGTAACAATACAAGTTCCATTTATGTTGTAGGAAAAGCCTTTTCTATTGAGATGGTTGGCTCTCATCTTAACTCAGCCCACTCAGGTATGGTTTTTGTCATTGGAGATTTTGTAGCCTTTGGGCATCAGCCTTTTAATTTTCTTTTTGTACAGAAAATGTATTGTTCTGTACATTGTGTTTTGACAGACTAAAGAATGTAGTGTACATTGAGTGTTTAGCACAGTGTCTGGCAAAGAGTAAGTGCTGAATAAAAGTCAACACTAGTGATTACAATGGCTATAAAGAAGGAGAAAAAAGCAGAGGAGGGAGAGAGCAGAAAGAAGAGAAGGAGAGTAAGAAGGAGGAAAGAGAAGGCAAGAAGGTAAGAAGAAAGAAGAGAAGAGGGTAGAATGGTGGAGAGATCAACATGACAATTAATTTGAATTAATTTGTAATTTTTTTCTTCTCCCTAAAAGTTAAAGAAGTCATCTGAAACAATGTGGAATTTGAAATACCTGCCTTGCACACTGCAGATCATTCTATTTTTCACCTTAAATTTTGTGCAGTTTTCTGTTTGGTCTAAGATTGGTTAGTTTTCCTATAGGCTAAAGAATAATGTGCTAAGAACTGAGCCCCCGGCTGAGACTGTGGGATTTAAAAGGGGGAGAAAGGTAAACAGCATTCCATCAAGTTGTACTTTGGGCACTGGGAAAATATGTTGGTTGTGCTGTCAAGAAATTGACTTTTTGGCTGCATGATAAAGGTGAACTCTGGCACTCCAAAACTGGATGGAAATCACAATAGCTCCTTCTAGAAAAGTCAAAGCAAAATAGAGACATTTTCTCTGGTGCTTCAGATCCGTAAGAACATTATCTGAAAAGAGAGATCACAACTCGGGAAAAGGGGAAAATAGGAAAACATTGCCTGTTGCCTTTAGTAATAAAATTTCACTTAGCAAATTTCCTAAGATTTTTGTCATTCTGGGCCTCAGTCTTTGTTTCTTTCATTTGTGTTAGAGAATATTTGAAGTTGTACTGAGAAAAAAATAGTAGTAGTGTTAATAAAGCCTAACATGAATGAATCACAGAATGCACAACAACACATTCCATATTCTATATCACGTTATGCTCAATACAACCCTATACATTGGTACCATATTACAGATGAGAAAACCAGGCTCAGAAATTTGAATGGTTTGGTTAAAGTTACACTAGCAGATGGCAGAGCAAAAACTCAAAACCAAGGGCAAGCTGAGGCCAATACCAATCTTGTGGTCCATGATGCTGTACTTAGATGACATTCAAAATGCCTGTGGCAGTGCCTGGCACACAGTAGGCATATGACAATACTCAGCTTTACTTTCTTTCAAAACAGCATTACGCTCTTGCCTAGGTTAGAGTGCAGTGGAGCAATCATCGCTCACTGCAGCCTCGAACTCCTGGGTTCAAGCAATCCTCCTGCCTCAGCCTACTGAATAGCTGGAACTACAGGTGCACACCCCCATGCCCATCTAAGTTTTAAATATTCATAGAGGCAGGGTCTCACTATGCTGTCCAGGCTGCTCTCAAACCCTTGGCTTCAGGCAGTCCTCCCAAAGTGCTGGGATTATAGGAATGAGCCAGCATGCCAGGCCACCTTTGTTTTATTTAAAGGAGTACTGCTTTTGGAGGGTTATCTCTTTCAGTAAAGTTCCATTTCAATCTGTACACAGTGTTGGAGAATATCAGGTGCAGAAAGTGATACCAACTTCAATCTATGGGTATGAAATACTCATTCTATCCTGGATGTTTCTGTCTTGCAGACCCTAGATCTTGGCATAAAAGCCTAGCATCCTTCCCTGGGCTCGAGCGACCATGATCTGGAGACAACAGTAGGGGTTGCCTACATGGATATTTGAGGAGGTAAGACATGCATTGGTGAGAAGGAACACTTCTGATGCTATCGGGCTTTCTCCATCCCATTTGTGGGCATTCATACTGACATAATCACATGGTATGCATAAAGTTGTAAAACTAGAGGAAAATTCTAAAGCTTGACCTTGTTTCCAGTAGATAATTTCCTGAGATATTAGAGGACTATATCAAGTGGAATCAGGAGCACTGGGCATGGTTGTGACCAATTAATTATTGCCTCAATAAGAGAGCATGTCCATCAGCTATACTTGCTGTTGAATAAATAGCTGTCTCGATTCTTTCCCTGCAGTCTCTTTTTATCTTCTTAATCTCGAAAAATAGGTTAGCAAGATGAATGAAGAAATCAAGGTCCACAGCAGTCCAAGGTTACACATTAGATTCTAACTAACTTGAAACCTAGGTTTCTGATTTCCCAGTCAAGAATAATCTTTAAGACATTTCTACAAATTCTAAAAGATTCTTTACTTGTTAAAAAAAAAAAGAAAAAGGAAGGGGTGATTCTAGTTACTTTAAAATGTTCAGAAAATGCAGCATTCTCTATCATCCTTTCAGAAATTAAAAATGTATATTTTACATAATAAAGTCTCATAAATCCTGCTGTAAATTTTTAAAACCTGATTTTACCTGTAATTTCTATACATTTTGACCACAGTTGTTGTTGTTGTTGTTGTTGTTGTTGTTTTGTTTTGAGACGGAGTCTCACTCTGTTGCCCAGGCTGGAGAGGAGGGGTGTGATCTCGGCTCACTGCAAGCTCCGCCTCCCGGGTTCATGCCATTCTGCTGCCTCAGCCTCCCGAGTAGCTAGGACTACAGGCGCCTGCCACCACCTGATTTTTTTTTTTTTTTTTTTGTATTTTTAATAGAGATGGGGTTTCACCGTGTTGGCCAGTGTGGTCTCGATCTACTGACCTCATGATCCGCCCGCCTCAGCCTCCCAAAGTGCTGGGATTACAGACGTGAGCCACCGTGCTCGGCCACAGTTGTTGTTGTTTTTTTTTTTTTTAAATGCCTGTTAATTTCCAGAGGCACCAGCATTCCTCAAAATCCATTTTTGATCATACATCTCAAAATGATTCAAAGCCAGTTCTGACAATGTTCCTTATTAATAATGATAGTAGAAATAATAATAATTTCTTTTTACTGGTATTTCTATGTTCATGCTACCTCATTCCATAATACTACCATATCTTTGCAACAGGTCTCCCAAACCCCTAACTTTTTCTATCTGATTGATTCTCCATGCTCCTACTAGATTTGTCTTCCCTAAGTACACTCACTCTGCCCTGTTTCTACTCTGTCATCCATCATGACACCCCACTCTTCTCAGTATAAAACCCAGCTTCTCAGTCTGCCATTTCAGTCTCTTTCTTTCTCTAGGTTCTCACTCCACTGCTCTGTAAGGCGGGCTCTTCAGTTTAACTAACGAGGCTTACTCTGATCCCTAGCCAGGGCACACACATTCCTGAGTCCCCTGCCTTTAACGTCTCTCCTTCTCCCTTCTTTCCACATGTGCAGGTGTGTTTCTCAACATATTGCACGTTCCTATGAAAGCAGAGGTGGACCCAGAGATGTTGTAACCACTATAGTTGGCCACCTGCGTTAACTCATAAGCTTGTCGTTAGCTCTTATGTCTCTCAGAAATGAACGTCCGCAAGCAGGGTCACTGTTGATGACTCAGCAACTCATATGGTTTTATTTCTTAACTTTATCACGACAAAGCTTTATTATTATAGAAGTTAGGCATACTTCAAAGAATTGTATTTGAGAAAAAAATATATATTTTAGTTCTGTATTTTAAACAATTTTATTGCAATTCTAGATCTCCAAGCCCAAATTTTTGTGTTGGTTATAGAAGTAGCTTTAGGTGCCCATGGGCTTGTGAGAAGTGCATATCTGTTCTCTAGGTGGTTACAGCTTTGTCATATAGAGGTAACTGCAGAAGCCTCAATGGATGTGAAGGCAGAGAGGCTGAGAGGACAATTCATAGTGAAAAGGTTTGGCTTTGGGTCCCAGTTTTATGGCTGACTCCTGAGTGATTTTGAGAAAATCCCCTTAACTTCCTGAGTAGCAGTTCCATCAGCTGTAAAATAGGAAGTCTAATATTTAAACTCATAGGGTTACTGTGGGAATTAACTTTGGTAATTGCTGTAAAAGCCTTGTCAATTATAAGGGGCTCTGCAAATGTTAGTTATTATTAAGAAAACATTCTGGGCATCTCTAGCTTTTTTTTAAAAAAAATGCAATACTAGAAGTATTTCTAACCACCCTAAACTAATTTCTATCGTGAAACGTGATTCCCCTATGTCTGTGTGTTTGCTCTATGACCCATCTCTAACTCTCTTCACATTACATTCGGCAGAGTCAACTTCTTAACAAAAAATTATTCTCTTTATTGTTTGAAGGCTGATGGTCAAGCTGTTGTTAGCAACCCAGTTAAGTATTATGACTGAAATTTCCATTTTAGATTCTGATTCCAACCTTAGATTTTCAACTGCTCACATGCCACACACCCATATGCACACACATTATTAGGTTTATTTTTCCCCTCCCCTTTTCTTCACTTTCCTTCCCCTCTTCCATCCCCTACGCTTTCTCTTTCTCTTTTTTCTTTCTCTCTTTCTCTCTCTTTTCCTCCCCCCTCCCTTTCCTTCCTTCCTTCTTTTCCCCTCCCTCTCCCTTTTCCTTCCTTTTCTCCCTTTCTTCCCCCTTTTTCCCTTCCTTCCTTCTCTCCCTCCTACCTTTCTCTTCTTTCCTTCATGTCTCCATCTCTCCCTTTCCTCCAACAAGAATCTATAAACATTCAAATAAGAAAATGCCACATGAATTTTTGACTAAAGTGTGATATTTTACTTCTACCCTGCCCTTGTCTACTTAAAATGCTTGCAAAGCCTCACCATTTTTTCTAGAGCACACAGATATGCTCTAGTAGTTAAAAAATGTACCTAAATGCATGTTGTTTACTATTAGGTACCAGAGTAAATGATATAGTTAATACATTATCTACTATGCAGAAAACTTGGATACTGATGAACATTCCCAGGCATTCCATGTCCTACTGGGGCAATACACATTCTCTGATAGGATGAGAATTATTGCCTCACTGGACCAGAATACTCTTGGAGTCCATATAAAGGCCCTTATTTCCACAATGGATTGAAAGACAACAGGTTCTGATTTTTGGGATATTTAGTTTGTAGACTGCTGATCTGTTAATGGATCAAGTCAGCACCCTGTAGGTATCCTTAGCTCTTGGTGTATGTAACCCCCTGTCCAGAGGCCTGAGTTGCAGAACTCCCCAAACTAGTACCTGCCTACCAGCCTTGTATGGCACTCAACTGCTCAGATTATTTTGTCTTTAAAATGTAGTTTCCTTAGAACATACACAGGGAAAGTAATATACCCTAGGAAATAATAAGAGATTTGCAATAGATGCTCAATTATAAAGGAGAAAGGCATACAAAAATATAATCATAGAATTTTCAAACTGGATGAAATGTAATAAAGTTATTTGCAAGTTATTGCACAGTAAGGCTAACCTCGCTGAATACCTTTAGGCAGTACTCGTTTTTAGGCCAAGTATCTCTGTGTGTGTGTGTGTGTACGTGTGTGTGTATGTGTATGTGTGTGTACTGAAATTTCTGGAGGGTCACTGTTAGGGCTTCTTTAATCAAATACCCTCATGTCACAAATGAAAAAGGAACCAGGAGAGGTGGGAAAGGTGAGCCAAGAATCTGATCTTTCAGATTTTCAGGATTACAGCCTTTCCACTACACCAACCTCAGGAAAGTATGTTCTCCAGTGACTGAGCTACAGGGGCTACATGGAACACTACGTGAAAAGGCCAAAAACTTGATTTCATCACCATCTGGTCTACTAGAACAATTATCTTGTAAATTTCAGTGTAAAGATCAACTCTGTTTTCAGTGACCACTATCTCACATAAACAGATGAAACAACACACTTTGCTCCTCTATTTTCATGGCCTATCCATCTCCACCGGCCTCTTCAAATCATCTTTTGGATTCACAGTACATTGAGAGCCTTATGCTAAATGCAGAGCTCTAGGCTGGAACTGGTGGACTGAATCATTACTCTCCTCTTTTCTTTGGGATCCCCCTCCCTCTTTCCATGCTGCTGTCCTCCTGCACTAGCATGGAAGGGGAGAGCAACAGATTCCTTTGTTGAAATCACAGGGATTCACATAGGGTAAATGCTCACTCTATATTTGTTGAATAAAAGAATGAATGGATTCCTGGATAGGTCCAGCCAGGGACCATTCTGTAAGGCCTTGTACTCTGAAGGATCCACAGAATCTTCAAGTTTATAATATGTGAAAAACAGAAAAGATTTCTAAAACCCACTAGGTTGGTTTGCTAGTGACAGGATTTTAGCTTCAATGCAAGCAGTGAAGTCTTGAGTGGTGTGTCTTTGAATTGCATCTACCCGATCTATTTTTCCATCAAGGGCTCTTAAGCACCACAACAACAATGACCTTTTCCCTACTACTGTGTTTAACCCCCAATGGTCCTCATTATACGGCTCGCTTCAACAAATGCTGATGTCCAGCTTTGTCTGCTCCTTCTATCCCCAGATAATTTAGAGTCGACTCTAATAAAATGTTTTGCAACTTACAGCATGAAGTCATTAAAGATCCTCTGTCAGGTAACTGATAAAATAACAGTCCAGCCCATCCTTCCCACACTGGCTTAAAGTTCATGCAACCTGTACTTGTATAAATTATACCTAAACCACCTTTGGCCTGCTGATTTGAGAATATCATCCATCATCCCTCAGTGGATGAATGGTGATACTAATCCCTGGCCCTGTATGCTGCCTGAAAGCTGGTGCTGCTAGGGGAAGGTCTGGGCCCCCATGCCATTAGGAGGCCCGCATGCTGGGGAAAAGAGTCTCAACACAGAGAGGTCCCTATGTCCAGCACCAAGTGGAAGCTCCAAGTTCTCACCTAGTTCCATACCATGGCCAGGCACATAATTGTGCCTTAATACTTACATTTCCTATGGAGGTGTTCTGAGCAAAGCTGAGGGAGCTGATACCCAAGGCAGGTATTTCCTCACTCAGCCAACTCTCCTCCTCCCTCTTTCTTCATACAAACTTCTCTCTTCATGCAACATTAGCATAGGTGGAGTGTGAGGCAGAGGAAAGTTTCTGGCAAGCAATGAGGTAAGTACCTTCTCTGGGAAAGTTTTTTTTTTTTTTTTTATCTCAGTGATAGGTTTAAAATTGGAAGCTGCTTTTAATTCGTGAAAATGCATTGGTTGAATTTGGCTCACTGATATAAAACCATGGCTTATATGTCCAATAAATCTTCCCTTGACATCAGCCAGTTAACCTGAATATAAGGCCATAAATTGTTAACTATCATTCTTTTATTGCTAATGCCAATGAGCACTTGGCTTTTTAGCCACAATGAATTTACAATACATGCATTACTCTTGAGAGTGTTATTTATAAGACAAAATAAGAATACATAGTCTCCATCATTGACTTTAAACCCACACTTATACTGAGTCTACATGCACTGATAAGCAATGTTCTCAGAGGTCATCAAATACCAACTCTCCATCAGACCAGTCAAAAGTTTCCACAGTCCACAGGGATCGCACAAGCCAGCTCTACAATCACACACGGTGATGTTGGAACAGACAATCAAGTAGACCCGAAGGTTTCCATTTAACGGCCATTCAGTACACCTAAGTGGCTGGAGTAGATGTTTGAGCTTTCTCCCATGTGAACAGATAGAGCTGTAAATATGTCCTCTTGTTCTCCTGACGGGAGCCTCAAGAGGTTGATTTTCATCTGTCCCAAATAAACTTGTTGGAACTCTTGGGGGATTCCTCTTAGATTTTTTTATTACCACTCTGGAATAATGTGCAAGTAATTATGCAACAGCCTACCCTTTGTTTGAATGAACATTATTAAATATACCACAATTATCACATATCATATATTCTATGTGCATACAAGCCCCTTAGGATAATGCATATTCCCAACCCCTACAGAAAAAAATGTGAATTATTAATATTCACTCTTCAAGCTCCGTAAAACTGACTCTCAGATCGTGGTACTAAACACTCACTGCTCTGGCACCTACACAGGCTGGTTGGAGAATTCATGCACTATAGTGTTTGACACACTCATTCTGTCAGGTGAAATACTGTAGGCAAGACTGCATAATTCATTAGGCTGATACAGCAAGGCTGAATAATTAGATCATCTCTTTGTACAAGGCTACATTTTATGATGATATTTTTAACACTATAATCTAAATTGGTGTTGGATTAGGGTATGGGGGTGCTGTTGAAAGTAAACTAATTAGAAATTGAAAGATGCCATATGTGAAATCACAGCTGTATTTCTCCATGCCACCAAAAGTAGGATCCCATCTTCAAAAGGCTTGCAAATTATCTATACTATTGGCTAACAAGCATGTCAGATATTTTAATAATAGGAAAATGATGATGTACATACACACACACAGTGTTGTATTTTTATTTCGGTAGGTGGGAAGGGAGATGAAAAGAAACTTAGAAACCGATAATTTCTCTCATGAGCAGGTGGAAAAGAAGGATTTCCAAACGTTAGCAAGAAGAAACAACATTAAAGAAAGAGCTAGGCCTTACCCCACAGTTCCGCCTGAACCTTGAAGTGATGGTTTTGAGAAGAGTAGTCAATATCACCTAGGAGATCACACTGGGTAAGAATGTGGAGTCCTTCTCAGGTGATCAAGGCAAAGAAGACAGCCGACTTTGAAGGCACATAGGTGTCCAGGGGCTTGTTTTCCTGGCTCACTCTCCTGGCTCACTCAGTCCTTCCCCACTCCTTAGTCCCTCAGCACTAACGTGGGTCTGTCATTTCAGGAGATTTGCTTTTGAAGTGCCTCTCCTCGGACTACTCTCATTAGCATCCCGTTCTCTTTCAATGGCCAAGTGATATGTGAGGACCTGATTATTTTGCCATTGGAGAATTTGCTTCTTAAGTAGCCAGACAACCCAACTCAGCGGCCCCAGCCAGAACCACTGGAACGGTGATTCTTCCTGTGACCACTCTGGTTCTGCTTGGTCTCCCCTCTGCCATATGGTTTCCTCCTTTTTTTTCTTTACACATTACTGAGAGGTTAAATTTTTACAAATCTTATTGTCTTTGAGCTGATGGAAGATAAGGAGGACTTGTACACCTGGCCTTCTCCAGGTGGAAAACTCCATTTGAGAAACTAATTGGCTATGTTAAATGTTGGTACATGAGCATACTTTATGATGAAACTCAGGTGGGAGAGGCAGGTTCAAAGAAGAGGTCAAGAGAACCACTTCCCATAGAATCTGATCCCCTTCTCTTTGAGAGAGAACCAGGCTGTAGTCCAGTTACACCACTATAGTAATTTCCAAACTGAAGTAACTTAAAACTAGAAGACTAGAACCCCAGACTTAATCATCCTCATTTCATTCTCCTCCTCTTTGCTATGATTATCACAAAACGAAACAAAAATAATATTTTACTCCCCAATGTTATGTTTGATAACATTGAGCAGAACGACTTGCATATATTTGCCTCAAACATTGGGTAAAAACTCAGACTCACTTGTATTCACTGTTTCCTTTGAACATCACATAATTGGTCCCTAGATTTCTCTGAAATCTTAGATTTTATTCTGAAAACCTTACATTAGCTATGACTTTATCCTAAGGATCAACTCCCTTTAAGCCTCAATATCTATTCCTTGCCTTTGGAAATGAAACTGTTTTTCCAAAGGCTCAGCATGCTGTCCTTTGGGCTTTTGCTATATCTATAGCAACCACTCTGTTGGGGAACCTTACAAATAAAACCAGACTTTGGAGTCTGGGCACACATAAAAGATAGGTTGCAACAATAAACATTTAAGTTTCTTTGTTTAAACCAGCAACAATAGCTTATTAATACCTGCTGAAGTATTGCCCTTAGTTCTGATTAAAGAAAAATAATTTTGTTTCTTGAAATTTAGTATATCTCCAAGTTAATTTGCTCTTGCATTTAAGAAATGTTCACTTGATAATTCATTATTAGACCCATTCTTAGAAGAGATGGGTGGTCTGAATTGCCAATTAAGGGTGAAATTCTGTGTTATCTCAGCTGAATTTCTTAATTTTCTTCAGGAGTTACATTTCTTCATTTTGAAAGTCTCCCCTTTCAAATAAATCTAATGATTTTATAAGGTCATTCACCCTATTCCTGTGAAACTGACAGGAGAAAAAGTACCAAATCTTTCATAAGTGAGAGTGAGTAAAGAAAATAATGTCCAGTCATGTTAGATTCAATGCCATATTTCCTTTTAGTCAATAATCTACTCACTAAAACAAACAAAGACTCCTTGGAGAAATGGCTGATTCTAAGGCTGAAACAGGAAATATACAAAATGAGCATAGAGAACCTTTCAATCCCAGAAAGCAAGAAGTATTTAATCACACACACACACACACACACACACTACACACATACATACATGGAGGTGTTAGATATGTCAAAGGAACACAAGAGCCAAGAGCTTCCAATGACCAAAGTTGAAACAACTTGAAAAATAAAGAAGTGAAGTAAAATAAATATCCATGAGTCCATACCGATATAAATGAGTTATTAAATAGATAAATGGGTAGAATAGTCAAATCTCCCATTCAGAACAATTCCAAATAATTGATGTGGATACTCAGCCCTCAAGAAGATAGAACATAACTCCCCACTCTTTAAGTGGGCTGGCTAAAATGACTACTTTCCAAAGAGTGCATACAGCATGCTCAGGGGAAAGGGGAGATTTCCTGACTAACACTACCTCAGACATCACAAATGATATCACCTTTTTGTATCCTTGATAGGAAATGATGAGAATAGCACTTTTTCTCTGTGGTCTTCCTTTAAAAAACCATAACACCACTCTACTCAGAATTAAAACATGAGACAAATTTACAGAATACCTCACCCATAATCCTAAAAACTGTTACGGTCATGGTCATCAAAAAATGGAAAGTCTGAGAAACTGTCATAGCCAAGAGAAGCCTAAAGAGACATAATGACTAAATGTAATGTGGTACCCTGGATAGGATCCTAGAAGAGAAGAGGTAAACACTAATAAAAGTATAATAATGAATCAAGATTTGTTTATTGATTATAATAAATATACCATACTGATAAAAGTTGTTAATAGAGGCAAGCAGGCATTGGGTATTTTGGAGGTCTAACTTTGCAATATTTCTATAAGTATAAAACTATTCTTTAAAAGTTTCTTTTTAAAAAAAGAAATCTACATATTGCATCCCAGGCAAAGCCTAAGTGCATGAAAACAATGGCATTCAACAGGTGTTTATTGAATGTGAAAAACTAAAATTTGTTCCTTAGTCTCTGTGAGTTTACCCAAAGTAACTTTCTACCCAAGGGTTCTTTAATACTAAAAATGACTTTGAGGGTAGAAATGGCATATGAAAAAAACAAATTCTATGGTAGAAAAATCAGAAATAATTTCTCAGCAATGAAAATATTGACATTACTTATACACACAGCAGAACTTTAAAATGGTGATGCTCATAAGAGACTAAACTTTATTTCAAAATACTTTCACATTTATTTGCCATTTCAAATTACTGCACTAATGTATTGATAAAGGTAAGGAAGGCATTAGTTTCTCCATTTTGAACATCAAAATCCTGGGGCAAAGAGACTCATGTTGAATGTATTTAAGGCAGAGAAGTGTTTCCTAATCTACATATTGACCACAATTAGGTTGTGGCTTAGGCAAGCTTATTCCATTTTCTTGGGTTTAGTTTTCCTGTCTGAAAAACGAAGGGTACTTCCACAGCAGAGAAAAGTTCATGTATAATCTTTCCCCCAACTCCAAACACAAAGAATGTAATACATTTATTTATATTTTAAAATAAAAAACTGCACGAAGTATTAAGAAAAAAATTCAAGGATCCCCAAAGAAAGAAAACCTATAGATATAGGCAGAGGTTAAAGCCCCATGGCCACCAGGGAGTTGAGACTAGCTCCATATGTATGGTCCAGCTAGGGTTCTTTAATGGGGATATGTGGACTCCTGATCGGACACAGACTGCACTTCACAGAGATTGGAACATCCCCTCTTGCCTGCCCAAGGTGGCTTCTAGGAACATGGTTTTTCCAAAACCTACTGCCAAAGTCAAGATTCTCACATGATCGTGGTTCCCAGGCTATTGAAGGTATGAGCATTGAGAATGGAATTGCCACCTTTTTATGAAAGGAAGACTTCAGCTTAGCTGCTAATATAAGGAGTCCTATGAATCCAGACAACCCATACAACCAAGAGGTTTGAGGTGACATCAAATGGCTTTACAGGAAGGAGCACAAGAGAAAACTTCCTAAGAGAAGAGTGAAACCAAAGAAATGAGAGGTTCCTATTCAAGGAAATAGAAATAATGGGAAAATCTGAAAATAAGTTTTAAAATGAGTATCTGTGAAATCCTCAAAGAAATTATAGATGGAAGTGAGAAACTCAACAATGAGTTAAATACTAGGCTGACACAATTAATGAAATTGTAAAATGAAAAAAGAACTGAACAAATTTTCCAGGATGAAGACAGAAAACATGATTTAAAAAAAATGACAGAGAAATTAACAGACTTGGAGGCTGAGAAGCAACAATATCTGTCTGATAAGAATTTTAGAAGAAAAAAATACAAATAATTGGGAAGAGGGTCTAAAAGAGTTAGGTAATAACTAAAATTTTCTAAAATTAAAGACACAGGAGCCTTCAGATTAGAAAAGCCTAATGTGTACACACAGCAGAAGGAATAAAAATAAACCCACATATGGACATTGCAATGAAGACACCATAAAATCCATCAATCTGGTTGGCAGCTTATTTTTCACTAATAAAAGAACCTGGTGAAAGTGTTATGTGAAAATAATTGTGAATGTATAATTTTATGCCTTCAAGAGTAATTGTAAAATGGTAAGACATCTTCAGACATTTAAGGACTAAGTTTAATACTATCAGATTCTCACTGCAAAAACTACTGTAGGGTATAATTCATCAGAAAAAATTAAATCCAGAAGAAGTGGGAATCAAGAAAATTGGTGCACAAAGAAACTAGGTATTGTGATGATAAAAATACATAGGTGTTTACTGTAAATAATTGAGAAAATATGCTTCTCTTTATCTTTAAAACATGTTGGAATTACAATTCCAGACAACAGTAGCAAGAAAATTAGAGTGAGGAGATCTAAGGGATATGAGGTATACTAAGGTCTTCCTTGGTGCATTTTGTTAAAAAAATTAGTAACAGCACAGATATGTTAAAAATTTGAGGGCAACCACTAAAACAATAGAAATAAAATGCCTAACTTACAAAGCTGTGTAAGAGAGAAAAGAGCAAAGAGAGGAAATTATACTGTATCAATTCAAAAGAGACTGTTAATGAGGGAAATAGAGAAGTAAAGCAAAAGTATATAGAGAACACAAAATAACATGGTAGAAATAAATCCAAATGTACATGGGGGAAGCAAGCTACAGAATAAGACTTTGTATATAGCATCGATGCCTATTATGCAAAATTTTAAAATCCTTAATAATTATAATAGGAACACATCATAAATGTGACCAACTAGATGCAATGTTTTAAATAGACTGAAAGAATCAAACTCATCAAACTCATGATAGTGGTTGAGTATTGGGTGAGGGGTCCAGGTAAACTTTATCTATGTGTTCATGATTTGTGTATTAAAAAAGAGACAATATAGCAAAATATTCATGATTATTAATTAGGGGTGAAAGAAGCCCAGGTATTATTAAACTTTTCCTTGCATACCTTATGTTTTTCTATTTTTAACAAAATATATTTGGACAGGATTATCATTCTATGTCTAATAATTCATTAACTCCAAAGCACCCAGGTAGCTATAGGCAGAACCAGGGCTAAGACCAATGCTTCCTAATTTCACATCCATGTTTTTTCTCTTATTATACCAATATTCTAGATATTCTGGTTATAATCAGTATAACTTATATTCAGGATAACTTGGTCTGTATGTTATCTACTCCCTAGGGGCCTTTAGAAATGACTTTTGAAAGTTCCTACGAGCTTTAGATTTTCATTTTTCCTTCTACTCTCAATGCCTAGATTGGCACCAATTTACCCTGGAGAGGTTCTTGTGAGCCTTAATTGAGAACCACAAAAGATAGCAAGATCTTTAAGTGAGTAGCTCTGAATAATTTCCCCAAACAGATCACTGCGGAATTTCATTTTCAACATGAATGGTCACACTTCAAGCAATGAATGAGACGCATTGTTCAGGGGGAAATGACGCACTCAATTCTGTAGTGCTGCTCAAGAGTCCTGGTTTGACTTAGGAGTGCGTCAGCATTTTCATTATAAACCCATCAGTGGGATGTAAGTTCCCAGAGGCTGCCTCTGAAATCAATTTGCTGAGTCACTGCTGAGAAGGGTTGGTGGGATAGAACCCACAAGACTGTCACAAACACAAATTCAACTTCTTCCAGGATGTCTTCTCTGACTATACTGCTCTTCACCTTCACCTGTTTTTGACCCCGAATATCTTCCTTGTTTATAGAGCTGGATAGCTTGAATATTATTGACTGATACTGATAGGCTCTCACTTCTCTTACTGGGTCACACTTTTTCCTCATCAGTTGGACAAAATCTGAACATAGAAGGTCTTTTATGTATCATGCAGCTCTCTATAGAGCCAAGTTAATGTTGCATACCACAGGTTTTTGAGATAGAACAGGTGAATGAGAAAGGTAACCAGTAATCTAAAATATAATTATGTATTTAGATACAAAGAAAATTCTCTCTTCATGGTCCTAGACTAACTCCCAGCTTAAGAGACTTAGTTGGAATGCACAATAGGCTGTTTTTTTCTGGAGTGTGGACATGATGGAAGATAAATGTGTGTGGCACATCCAAATCTATGTCTAATGTCTTTTGACACTGAAGAGCCGCTACCTTTTTCCTCCGGATTTCTGAAGCCAGCACATCCTTCGTAGTGATCCCAACATTAGTCCAAGTCTACCTTAGAGATGTCTTCCCCATTGGCTAATTCGTTTTCTGTGCTGCTAAACTCCTTTTGTAGTTACAGTATGCTGCATGCAGCTTAGCTCTTGTTTATATGTTGTCTTGGTCTGTGAGTTATTTCAAGGATATTAGTTCTATTCGCCAAGTAAATGGAAAAGCCCTTTGAGAACAGCCCCTAGCTCCAGGTATGAAACACAGTTTGAGAAGTTTGCTGACAACCTGCAAGGCACTAGAGAATTAACTCTGTATTGATTGATTGCTGTTGAGGGAAGACACAAAATTCACTCTTCTGGCTTGGGCTTCCTTCAAAGTCACAGTTGGTGGGTTGAGTTGGGGCACAGAGCACCTTCAGATGGTCTATAATCATGCTTCCCCACTCTCCTACAAAGGCAGCTGTCTGTTTTAAGAAATATTCCTCAATATCACCTTGAGGTTGGCAAGCTCAAAGCAGATTTTGACTTAGAGAAAGAACCTCAGCAACAGCTGTAAACCTTACCTTACTGCATAATTTCTTTGGCCACTTCAGAGAATCACAGCTTCGCAGAGGGAAAGTCCTTTAGCTGAGCAGCTTCAAAATTCTTCAGCTGTGATCCACAATAAGAAACACCTTTTACATTGTGACCTAGTACATACATGCGATTGAATGAGAGAGAAAGAGAATGAGAATGAAAAAAAGTCTCAGCAAACTCGTAACTAATGTGGTGCACTTGATATTGTTAAATCAACTTTAGCATAAAACTGCCCCCTTACCTCTTTGAACTTCAGTGTAAATATTTCTGTGTACATACTGAATTATAACCTAAGTGGAAGTGTAAACAAACTGTAAACTATCTTTGTGCCAATCATTGAGTTTTGGACAATGAAAGGGGGCCAATTGTTCAAACAGTGTCCAAATAAGGCAAAAGCCGAACTGTAACCAATCTGGCTGTTTCTGTACTTCACTTCCATCTTCTGTATGTCAGTCTCCTTTTTCTGTCCATAAATCTTCTTCCACCACGTGGCTGTGCTGGAGTATCCCTGAGCCTACTCTGGCTTGGGAGGCTGCCCGATTCACGAATTTTTCTTTGCTCAATTAAACTCTGTTTGATTTGTCTCATATTTTTCTTTTAAAAATATTATATTACTAGATCCTGTCCTGCCCTATCCTATCCCATCTCATCCTATCCTATCCAATCCTACGCTATTCTATTATATTTTAAGAGATGTTGAATATGAGAAGCTACTTTGAATTCACGACTCTGATATAGAAGTTACTTTCCCCGCATGCCAGATAAGAATTTCTTGCTCCCAGCCAGGCGCAGTGGCTCACACCTGCAATCCCAGCACTATGGGAGGCCAAGGCGGGCAGTTCACGAGGTCAGGAGTTCAAGACCAGCCTGGCCAACATAAAGAAACCCCATCTCTACTAAAAATACAAAAATTAGCTGGGCATGGTAGCATGTGCCTGTAGTCCCAGCTACTCTGGAGGCTGAGGCAGAAGAATCGCTTGAACCTGGGAGGTGGAGGTTGTGGTGAGCCAAGATCGCACCACTGCACTCCAGCCTGGGCAACAGAGCAAGACTTAGTCTCAAAGAAAAAAAAAATTCTTATTCCCCAATCATTTGGTATCTGCTTCAACCTTTTTAGCAATCTTCTAACTGGTAAGAAATTCTTTAGCACATTTGATAAGGAACTGTTTCTCTGTAACTTCTGTACCCAGATGTTTTTTGGAGCATCTTTTGTCGTCCTGGATTGTGGCTAAGGCCAAAGTCTACACTCCTTATGAAACACTGTGGCCAGACACTCCCTTCAGGGCTTTCTGAGAGGACACAGATACTTCGTCCCTCATTATGCTACAGGCTCCTCTCTTTCTCCAGATCTAAATAGGAAGAGGCCAGAGTCAATAGTTTCAGTAAGGAGAGGACTGCAAGAAAAACTGAGACGTTTGCCTTTATGGAAGTGCGGTGAAAGAAGTTTCTTCTTTCTCTGCCCATTCACGCCTGAAGCCAGGTAAGGGAGATCTCCAAGAGTATTATTCAAAAAGATTTGGGAAAGTCTACAAGGTTGATATTAAAAGAAAAGAATCCCAGCACTTTGGGAGGCTGAGGCAGGCAGATCACGAGGTCGGGAGATTGAGACCGTCCTGGCTAACACGGTGAAACCCCATCTCTACTAAAAATACAAAAAATTAGCCGGCATGATGGCAGGTGCCTGTAGTCCCAGCTACTCGGGAGGCTGAGGCAGAAGAATGGCGTGAACCCAGGAGGTGAAGTTTTCAGTGAGCCGAGATCGCACCACTGCACTCCAGCCTGGGCAACAGTGTGAGACACCGTCTCAAAAAAAAAAAAAAAAAAAATTACAGACCAATATCCCTCATAGAGATGCAAAGACAATAAGACAAATTTGCCAAATTAGATCTCACGATACATATAAAGGAGACTATTTCATGACCAAATGGAGTTTACCCTGAGCATGCAAGCTTAAATTAACACTGGAAAATAAATGTAATTTACCTTATAAAGAAAAACTAAAATCTAAACGAATGAGCAAAAATAAACCACATGATCATTTCCATAGAATTTGACAAAATCTAACATCTATTTCCGATAACTGTCATAAATTAGGAATAGAAGAGGACTTTCTGAACCTGATGGCGACCCTACAAAAAAGTCGACAACTAACCTTAACTACTGGTAAAAGATTTAAAGGCTTTCTCCCTAGGATCAGGAACAAGGCAAGGTTTTTGCTTTCATCACTTCTAGTCAGCATTATACTGGAGATTCTAGTTAGTGTAATATAGCAAGAAAGGAAATAAAGGCATTCATATAGGAAAGAAATAATGGAAAATATCTTTATTCACTGATGATATGATCATTTCTGGAGAAAATCCAATGGAATCTACAAAAAAGTTGACTATGAGGGAGTTGATCAAGCTTGCAGAATACAAAATCAATATACAGAAATCAATTGCATTTCTATCTATTACCAAATAATAATTGTAAATTGGAACTTAGGAAATGCCATTTATAACATCAAAAATATGCAATATTTGGGGAAAATCAGAGAAAATATGGGCAAGATTTATACATTGAAAAACACAAAATGGTACTGAGAGAAATTGAAGAAGGCCTAAAGAAATGGACAGAGATACTGTAGTCATGGAATAGAAAACTCAATATTCTCAAAATGTTATTCTCCTCAGATTACTCTCTAGAATCAATATAATTCTAATCAAAATCCCACTAGAAATTTTTGTAGAAATTGAAAAACTGGTGCTAAAATTTGTCTGGAAATACAAAGAAACTAGAAGAACCAAAACGACTTTGAAAAAGAAGAATAAAGGTAGATGGCTAACACTACCTGATTTCAAGGTATATTATAAAGCTACAGTAATTAAAACAGTGTGCTAGTCACAGAAAGATAGACAAATATATCAATGAACAGAATGGAGAGTCCAGAAATAGATTGCTACACATATGACCAACTTATTTTCTGCAAAGGTACAAAATTCAGTGTGGAAAGATGATATTTCCTAGAAAAGGTGCTGGAATAATTAGATAAACACATACAAAAACAAAAGTGAACTTGATTATTTGCCCTATATGCAAAGCAAAAAGAATTATAAATGTAAACCTTAAAACAATAAAACTTCTAGAAGAAAACAGACGAAAAACTTTATGTCCCTAGCTTAGGCAATAATTTCTTAGGTATAACATCAAAAGCACCATCCATAAAAGAAAAATTTAATAAACTGGATTTCATAATAATTACAGATGTTGCTCTTTGAAAGAGACTCTTAAGAGAATGAAAAGACAAGTTACAGATTGGGAGAAAATATTGGCAAATATGTGTCTGCTAAAGGATTGTATTCAGAATATATAAAGAATTCTCAAAACATAATAAAATAATCAACTCAATACAAATATAAGCAAAAGATATAAACAGACATTTTACCAAAGAAGACAAAAGGTTTAAAATAAGTATATGACAAGATAATCATTAGGGAAAGGAAAATAAAAGCCATAATAAGATACCACTACCTGCTGGCCAGGCCCGGTGGTTCATGCCTATAATCCCAGCACTTTGGGAGGTCAGGGTGATGGATAACGAGGTCAGGAGATCTAGACCATCCTGGCTAACACAGTGAAACCCCGTCTCTACTAAAAATACAAAAAATTAGCTGGGCCTGGTGGCACATGCCTATAGTCCCAGCTACTCGGGAGGCTGAGGCAGGAGAATTGCTTGAACCTGGGAGGCGGAGGTTGCAGTGAGCCAAGACTATACCACTGCATTCTAGCCTGGGCAACAGAGTGAGACTCCATCTCAAAAAAACAAAACAAAACAAAACAAAACAAAAAAAAACCACACACACACACACACACACAAAACCACTACCTGCCTGTTAGAATGGTTAAAAAGACTTACCATACCAAGTATTGGCAAGCATGTGAAGGAAACGAAACACTGCTGTGGGGATATAAAATGATACAAGCACTTTTGAAACCATGTAGCATTTCTTAAAACCTTAAACAACACCTACCATTCTAATCCTAGGTACTCCAATCCTTATTACTCAAGGCAAATAAAAACATATATTTACACAAGGATTTGCACATGGATGCTCACAGCAGCTTTATTGGTAATAGCCAAGAAGTGGTAACAACCATATATACATATGTCAAAACATATCAAATTGTATTCTTTAAGTATAGGTGGTTTGTAATATGTCAATTAGGCTTCCATAAAACTGAAAAATAATATTTTGAATATATGCCTGATACCACACCTCCAAGTACACTAAAAAGAAAATGAAAAGGGACAAAACTGTGCTAGAGAGAGTAAATTTCACTATTTTAGAATCCGGACAAGATGTCTGTTGCTACTCTGCAGGGAAGAGGGGTTCAATGAAGCACAGTTGAAAGCTGAGACAAGAAAAATAAAAAGCCATAGCATATGGATATTCTCATGAGTTGGGATTCCTCAATAGACAAGTTTTATTTACACACACAGATTGTAATTCCTCTTTGGGGGCTATTCCTTCTTCCTCCTAACAGTTCATCAAATATACCAAGGCAGCTGTCCTAACTCCTCTTAGGACACCCCTTGTCCAGAATAAACATTCCCAGTTTCTGCAGAGGCAAGATATGGTTTCCAGATCTACTCATGATTTTTTTCCTCTTGTTTCTACCTGGTTTCTCCCAATTACTACATAAATTACCCAGTGGGTGGGTGGACACCCAGGGGTGTCTGCTTGACACCCCTAGGTCTCATGCCACAAAGTGAGGACAAGCTCCCAGGGTCTCAGTGTTGAGATGAAAGGGCAGGTTTATTTGGAGAAAGCCCTAGAATTTCCCCCCCAGGGGACCTAGTTTGTGGAGACAAAAGAGGACCCTGGCTGAAGTCCCCAAGAAACAGCCCGAACTGGACTTGAGAACCAAGATATGTCATTTAATTGAACACTTAAAATGTCATTTCCTTTGGGACATGACTTAGAAATTGTTCCATAATTGAAGGTATTCTGAAACAATTGTTATATGGATGTATACATTTGTTTGATTTCTACCTTGGGCATTCCTATTCTTCTGGAACCCCAGGAAGAACTGACAGTTCAGGACATATGTTGAATCATGTCTCTCTGATTCAGACATATCTGGGACTCCTTAATTCATATGCTTCCATTTTATTTATTTTCTTACACAATCCACTGCATATAACGTGTGAATGAGACTGTGGATCTGGCAGCATTGCTGGGCTAACAGAGGGGAATTGGGATGAACATGACCTCAACAGGGCACAGCCTCTGCCTTCAAGGAGCTTAGTCTATTGGGGGAGAGGACTGGGGTCAGAATCTAGTATAGAATGTGGCTTGGGGAAGAGATGAACCAAGAGGAGGAAAGCTGGGAGGGCATGGAGCTGGATGCCAGCTGGGACACCATGGGAGCTGTCCTCCTGTCTCCCCATTGAGCTATAGGTACTTCAGCTCAAGAAGCATATTTTCTCCCTCTGTAACATGTCACTGACAGCCAAAATGCCCTACCTGGAACAAGGGAAACATGATGCATTTTCCTTCTAAAAAAGGCCTCATGGAGTAGCAGAAAATTGACCTAGTTTATAATCCTGGCCCTGCAGTTCTTAGCTGTGAGGCCTTGGGCAAATTATTGCCCACCTCTGAGTGCTAGTTTTCTCACCTGTAATATGCGGATAATAATTATACCTTCATTTTTGGTTGATCAATTAAATGATATCCCTTTGGACAAAAGTGCCTGACTCTTAGTGGATGCTTTATACAAACTAAACTGGCGGGGTAGACTTCGTGTCATGGGATTGGTAGAAATGTGTCTGGTTCTCACTGAACTGAATCACTGCCACGGCCCATCTCTATTACAAACCAGGAAGTGAACCAGTTGACCAATTTGGTTTTTGATTCAGGGGCAGAAATTCCACTTGGAGTGACCTGAAATGCTAATCCTCAAACCCAACTGCTCACACTCATCATCTAGGACATCTGTTAAAAATGCAGACTATTAGACCCACCCAGAGGCTCTATTTCATTCAGCCTAGGATGAGAGGAGGGAAACTGTGTTTTTAACATCTACTCCAGGAATCTAAAGCAGGATTTGTAAATGTGTCCTCCTTTGAGATCTGTCAGTTTAAACACAAAGTGCCAATACTCATTTATTTGTCTATCCCCAGAAAAGGATTTTGAGAACTTTTGTAGTTTAATATGCTGCTTCTCCAAGCAAGATCTAAAGGAAGAGATTGTAGAGATAATTATTATATCAACAGGAAAATATTTAGCCTACTAAAGAAGAAAGGTCAACAAACGGTTCCCAAGTAATTATAAAAATCACTTTGTATGCAAATAATTCTGCTAAACAGAGAATGTGCTAATTACAAATTATTCTTATCTCACCTGCAAAGCCTTCCCCTATGTTCAAATGTTGCTTACAGACCTGTGTCCTGTTCAGGACCCAGGTATCAGCTGTATCTTGTGGAAAACCAGGACCATCATCTCAGCTTTTGTGCTTTGGGGAATCTTCTGGGGCCAAGAGGTGACATTTCCCAGGGAACTCTGAGAGCTGGGCCTCATCTAAATGTAAACTAGGATGGGACTGCCCTAGGGATGGGACTGCCTGCCTACTGACACACATACTCCTGGCTCTTTATTTCTTTGTCAGTTTGTGATTTTGCATCCATTATCACCCAAGCAAAGGTCCTAAACTCCCCCCACATGGATGACTGGTTTCATCATCTGTCACTGAGCACTTACTATGCCACTAAGGCACTGCTTTAAGCATTTGGCATGCTTTGTCTTAACAGTTACGTGAAACATACACGATTATCATGCCTAATGGATGTACAAAGTCAGGCTCTGAGAGGTTAAATAATTTTGCCAATATCACACAGCTAGTGAGACAACTGAAGTCCAAGTACAAGACCCAGCGTCTCAATCATTCTACTCTACTTTTTCATACTTTTACAATATCTACATTTTATCTATTGATGACAGTTTCTCCATAGGCTATATCCTCTTACATTTGGCTGCCAGATTTATTTTCTATCAACAAGAAAGACAACACTTATTGGTGTATTGTAACAAGCCAGGGACACTTCCAAGTGCTTTTGTGCCTTATCCCATTCAACCCTCATAAGAACATTATAAAGCAGATTGTATTGTTACCCCCATTTAACTGAAATAACATGACCCCAAGAAAATTTTGCTCTCAGGGTTGCAGAAGTCATAATTATTGAGTCTGGATTTGAACTCAAGTCTTCTGACTACAAAGCTCAAGCATGTAATCTTTGAGCATACTTCCAGTCCCCTATAATATTTGTCAGTATCTTTCATCACACATCACATCCAGTTTGCCACTTACTAGCTTTTTACATAAATCAGTTGTTTCTACATCAGGATTATAGGTTGGCTTTTGCCCAGAAAACAGTCACAAAACCCAAACCTGGGAAAAGGCATGTAACAAACTAGCACACTGCATTGCATGTAACAGAGCTCAAAAAATATTCGTAGAATCATTCAACAGGAGGCCTGCAAGCAGAGGTATTCCCACTTTCAGATGTTCTGGGCATGTTGTCAGATAGCTCATACTTTATTTCCAACCTTGCCTTTTATTGCCTTCTGACACCACAGGGTGTCCTGAACTCTCAATTGTCCAAATAACTTTTGACTTTTGTCTCATACTTAATCTCTATATGTTGGGAATTTCCTAGGTCTGGCTGCCTTCATACTCCATCTAAGGCAGAATTGATTGGGCAAGGAAAGAAAGTTCCAAGTCTGGGAGGGACAAGGCAAACCCTCACTGCAGAACTTGACTTACAGTTCTCAGGAGCAGGAAAATCTGGGAGAAGGTGAAAGAAAAGACATTCAGGCAGGGAGTTGAAACCTGGGATCCTGGAGGTCCTGTGATGGGCAATGCTAATGTTGTTAAGCAGCACCTAGAGCCTGTGAAGACAAATAGCTGGAATACAGAGATAAGGGTAGGGAATTCTAGGAGCATGCTTGATTACAGTCCTAGACCACCCTTGTCTTGCAGGTAGGTTATCAAAACAGGGAATTATACATAAAAGAAAAGATGGTAACCTACTTACAAGACACAGGATATCAACAAGATCAGGATCAATGGCCAGGATGAATTAGTGATGATCATCACTGAGGAGGTGTCCAAAGATTCTATAAATTCTTACCTGAGAGCATCAGTAGAATAGAAGATAGGTAACGGGGCAAGACATAGCACTACTTTCAGTTGCCCACAAAGTTTAACCTCTCTTATACTTCCTTCAAACTATATTTTTGGTTTACCAACACTAACTCTTCATCCTCTACCATCTTGAATTCAAATATCTATGTCTGATTTATAAGGGCCCCTGGATTATAGACATACTCAATTGTTTAGTTTCTCACACTCTTTAAATTACACCCTCCCAACCGGGAAATTTGATGACCCGGGATATATTAGGTAACACCCTCTATTAGCACTGACAGGACACTTCCTAAGTAGCTACAAAAGTCCTGAAGTCCCAATATAATGTAGAAAAAAAATGGAACCTACTATTTCATGGACTGTTTAAGAAACTTTTCTGAATTTGTAACACCCACTGGCATAAGATGACTCAATCTCACCTCAAAAGATACATTTTCACAAAGATAAACATTTTCCACAATATTCTCCCAAAACAGAATTCTCTTATTATCAAACAACTAATTTATTTATTTATTTTTTTACCAGAAGCAGAAATCAGGGAAGGGAGTAATTAGCAGAACATAGAGAAGAAGTGATCTGGAAGTTACACCTTTGCCCCAAGTCATAGATAATTTTCTGGACGGGCATAAGGTGGCTTCACCTTCTTGGGGGCTCTTGGCAACCACACGTTAATGCCATAAAAGTGCTAGATGATCAAAGCGTCTCTCAATACCATGATGCCAAGATTATCTCCTTCTCAGCCTCTAGTAAACAATGATAGTTATACATCCTAAAAGGAGTATCCTAGGGGATATATCATAGTTTGCAATTTTAGTACCCCCAGATTAAAACCTTTATTGTTCCACAATTTAATTCTAATTGGGAGTCCTATTCTGTTGGAGTTGGTGGCAGACACTTTGCTTTATTCAGTTTGGCATTCTTTCCACCTCAATCTCAAAAGCTGTCTTTAAAATTGGGCTGCATACATGGTCCCTGGCAATGTGAAGCCTCCATCTAAACTTTTGAGGTTGTCTGTCTACCCAGTCAACCACAGAACTCACCCAAATCTCCTGTGGTTCTCCCTGATTGATCCATACAGGTCATTGCTTAGGCTTTTTGTGTTTCTGCCATAGTCACCAAAGTATACTAAACATTCTAAGATAAAAGGAAATGCAGAATATTCCTGGGTGGTGATTTAACTTTTTGAGTAATTCATGCTTTTTAAAAGCACCCAGGCTTTGCTGCGGTGGGCAACAGTAATTTCTGAAAACCATCTAATGGCTTCCCCACAGTGACTGCAGGGGATTATCCTGGCAGAGAAAGTGATTCATATCAAGGAATCTCGTGAAGGAGAGCCTTGGGGTGATGTGATGTTTCAGCTGCAGGAGACAGATAAAGCCACGAGAGGATCTTCACCATAAAAACATGGTACAATCCCTGGATGGAAAGTTCATAGAAATTTGGGGGCTCTCCCTAAGATGGCAGCCTCTGGGAGTTTCTTCCTCTCACAGTAGGTTACACCCAGTCTTCAACAATTCATTGCAACCACCTTGTAAGTATTCTTACTAGTTTATGACTGTAATGGTGTATACTCCAGTTAAGCAGATCTTAGCTATGACTCTCTGGATGCTTCTGTCTCTCCAGATCTGGGAGTGGCAGTTTGTCCTGCAACTGCAGTCCTCTGATGGGTCCAAAAAAATCCTTGACATTCTGTTTGTCCAGCTATTCTTGTAAGGAAGGAAATGAGGACTTCCTGGCTGTCTATGTGCATGAGTTAAAACTGGAAGTCTCTAGAGTTTTCCCCTACGTTTTCTTCTATAAGTTTTATAGTTCAGGTTTTACATTTAAATCTCTGAGTTAATTTTTGTAGATGATGTGAAATATTAATTTTTTTGCCTACAAATATTCAGTTGTTTCGTACCATATATGGAAAAAAAGCCAATCCTTTCCCATTTAGTTTGCTTTTGCACCCTTGTGCAAAACCAGTTGGTCATATATAAAAGTGGCCCTCTGTCCTGTCTTATTGACCTGATGTCTATCTTTAAACCAGTATTATATAGTCTTTATTATTACAGATTTATAATGAGTTTTGAAATCACATAATGTTATTACTCCAAATTTGTGTCTTTCAAAGTTGTTTTCGGTTGTAGGTACTTTGCATTTGCATAGGAATTTTAGAGTCATTTTGCCAATTTCAACAACAAAAAAGACTGCTGGCATCTCTATTGAGAATATTGAATTTAGAGACTAATATGAAAATAATTGACATCTTAACAATACTGAATCTACCTACATATATAAACAATGCATACTGCTCCACTTATTTAGATCTTTATTTTCTCATAGCAATATTCTGTGGTTTTCTTTGTATTGGTCTTATTTTCATCAAACTTAAGCCTGTTTTATATATTTTGATGCTATTGTAAGTGGAATTTAAAAAAATTTAGTTTATGATTGTTGCTTGTATATAGAAATGCAGTTGATTTTTGTATATTAATTGTTAATCCTGATGCCTTGTTAAATTCACTTATTAGTTCTCATAACTTTTTCATATATTTCATTAGATTTTTTTTTACATGAATAATTATATTTTCTGGAAGTAAAGATAGTTTTATTTTTTTCTTTCAAAATTTGATGAATTTCTTTCTTGCCATATTTCACTGGCTAGAACTTTTAGGACAATGTTGAATAGAAGTGATAGGGTAGACATCCTTGTCTTCTTCCTAACTTTAGAGAGATAACATTCTATGGTTCACCATTAAGTATGACATTTGTTGTATGTTTATTGTAGATGCCTTTCATCAGACTGAGGATGTTTCCTTCTATTCCTCCCGATTCTGGGGCAAAGGTCGCTTGTTCTTATACCAGGCTCCTCGGAGGTAACCATGTCTGTGTAGACTCTGGCCAGCCTCAGGTGGCCACAATCTGAGAGGGTCACACTGCATGCCTTTTGCCTCATGCTTTAGATCTTCCCTGTGGATATGAAGCATGAGAGACCATGAACAATTCAATGTGTGCACAACCTCCAAGTTCAAGAAAAATATCCCTATGCAGAACAATCCTTTGACCCTTGAGACAAGTGACAAATACATTCTTCTTTCTCCCTTCCTAGGAAGGACTGTTCTGAGACACAAATGTTTCTGGAGCACTAAGTGGTTCAAGTGTGAGATGCAGTGAAACAATCCATGTTGCCTGGTTCAAAGCAGAGGCCAGCTAGGGAACTGGCTCTCCACTCATTGATGCACCATTCTCACTTTTCCTCACTCCTACTTCCCATCAATTATACTTTCCAATAAAATACTAGCACATACGTCCTTCCTTCTGGGAAATCCAAGCTAAGAAGTTGTGCAGATGTGAAACCTGAACCTACTGTATTTATTTTCCCAACATGAGAGGAACTTGTTGAGGGATAAAGCCAACCCACAGGCATAGGTGAAGCTGAAGTGATCACAAAGAGAAGGAACTGAGCCCACTGGATGAAGTCAATGCTTTGAAACCTGCTCTACTTCTGGATTCAGATGTTGTGAAACAATACTATTTTTTATTGTTTAATCCATTATAAAGTTAGATTATCTGTTAATTGCAGCTGAAAGTTTACTACTTATGCCTTGTTTAATATTTCAGTTATTATATGTGATTTTTTTCCTTTACTTTTATACTTAAAAAGTGGTTTTCTATTGCAGGATTAAGTAAGTCAGTAGTTACCTTTTCTTCCTTGGCATCTCAGTGTTTTAAATTAACATGGTTCATCCATGTGGAATTATTTTGTGGGCTTGGTGTGAGACAAGGATCTAACTTTATCCCCATTCTAAATAATTAAGTACTGTGTCTGCACAAGCCACTTCTTCATTTTTTATTTCTCCTGATTGGTGATGACATTGTTGTAGAATCTCCTCTGCTTATGAACTTAAATAGGAATCAAGCTATGTTTCAGAGCAAGAGTATTTTGACTGCATTTGCCACCAAAGAGTGGCATTAGTGGTCACCTGTGGTAATTTTAGTTAACTTACTACATGTATTTGCTTTTTTCATTGCTAAATTTGAGTTTTCTAACATCATTAACCCTATTATATCAGATAAACACAATAGCAGTGTGACTATAGTAAGATAATGACAGAAACAAAAGTAGAGATCATTTTTAAGCAGTTTTAAAAAATAGAACATTACTAATGATTGCAAGCACTCAGAAACTTGTAAATATTGCACACATGTGTAGAATGAATAGTTCCACAGTCAGAAATGACCCTGATGGCTGGGCATGGTGGCTCATGCCTGTAATCTCAGCACTTTGGGAGCCCGAGATTGGAGGATTGCTTGAGGGCAGGAGTTTGAGACTAGCCTGGGCAACATATGAGACTCCATGTCTCACAAAAAAAAAAAAAAAAAAAAAAAAAAAATTAGAAAATTAGCCAGGTGAGGTGGTGCTGCCTACAGTTCCAGCTTGTTGGGAGGCTGAGAGGTGGATAGCTTGGCCCAGGAGTTGGATGCTGCAGTGAGCTATGATCACACCACTGCACTCCATCCAGCCTGAGCCACAGAGCAAGGCCCTGTCTTGAAAGAAAGAAAAGAAAGAAAGAGAGAAAGAAAAGAAAGAGAGAAGGAGAGACAGAGAGAAAGAGAGAAAGAAAGAAAGACAGAAAAAAAGAAAAAGAAAGAAAAGGAAAAGAAAGGAAAGAAAAGGCTCAGATGGACAAAAGCAAATTGTGCAACCTAGGAAAGTGTCAGACTCCTCTGCAATAAACAATAATCTACACTAACAAAGCTAATGGGAAATATTTTGGATGTGGGCTAAAGAAACATGATCAACATCAGTGGCTTGTTTGGTAAATGTTCTGAGAGGATAGGAGTTTGAGAAAATAAAAGCTTTATATGGTGCGAGTAGGCTGCTGATCCATCCCACTTCAAGGCTCATTCAAATCAGCACATCAAAGTGTGCAGCAAGATAAAAGGTGAGGTTAACTGCTGAGGGTCTCCAAGCACATACAGAGATGTTCAAGGAGGGAGCGGCCTACCCCAAGAGGTGTTATCAGCCTTCACGGAACTGACATGGTTTCCTAAAGGATAAGCCATTGCAGGAGGATCAGCAAGAAGCTGAAGGGTGTGCCTGGGTTTAAAGCACTGAAAGACGACCTCTCAATCTGGTTCAGTGGGAATGCACTGGGGGAAGCCAGCGCAAACAGTACCCTCATCATCACTTGGGCTTATGAACAGATGGACCCAGGAACTACATTTCCAAATCTAACTGTTCATAATTCTAATCTATACCAGTCTCTGTTTTTGGCCATTTATACTGTTCTAGTCACCAATCTGTCAAGTCTAGCACCAATACGGTACTGTTTTAATTATTCCCTCATGATTTTTATTTAAAAAAAATTTCTTGGCAATCTGTAGCCTTTATTCTTCCAGATAAATTCTAGAATCACTTCAGATTGAATTAACCTATAAATTACAATCAGAAGAACTGTCATATTTATATGAATTTTCCTATGTACAAATGTAGCATATTTCTCATGTATTAAGTCATATTTCATGCTTTTCAGACAACTGTGTGATTTTTCTTAATGAAACTATAGCACATTTTATACTCTTCTACTTTATATATTTTTTGTTGTTGCTTTATATATTTTTGTATTTATTTTTTAAAAGGACTTGTTTTTTATAATAGTTTCTGTTTCTTTGTGAAACATAGGAAAGCTTCTGATGTCTATGTATCTTTTCTGTATTATAAAATACTCTCGTTGGCCTTAGGAGTTTTAAAGTCAATTTTTTTACTAATTACTTTTTATATTTTTCTATGCTCTGGTAAAACATGAGAATTATTTATCTTTTCAAAGTTTGAAATAACACATTTTTCAAATCAGTTACAGTCTTTAACAATTTTTTTCAGTTATTTTTTCCTTTTAAATCAATGTTGAAAGGTCTTTTTCAAGAAAACGATCCATTTCTTTGAATTTATCACTATAGCATTTTATACAGTATTGTGTTACTTTAAAAGTACTGTGTCTCTTATCCTATCTTTTTTTCCTGATTCAATTTTCCTAAGGTCATTTATTGTGATTATTTTTTCTAACGTACCAAATATTATTTTTAAAAGTCTGTTTATCTAATTTTCCTATTTCATAATTCATTGATTTTTATTTTATACATACTATTTTACTCTCTTTATTTTTTAGATTAGTGTGGTAATCCTCTGAAACTTACTTGGCTGCTTAATTACTTTCATTTCTTATTGCTTAATAAACAAAAACATATAATGGTGTGAATTTGCCAATGATTCTCTTTTGGCCATAAATCATATATTTTGATAAATACTCTCTCGTTTTAGGAACTTTTTAACCAGTTTGTAATTGTACTTTTGATTTCCTCTTAACCCAAGTTTTTAAAGAGAAATGGCACAGGTTAAAAAATAAACTCTTGTTTAATACATATTAATGGAAACTCATTATTATATTCAAATTATCTTAATCTACTTAATAAAGAGTCGCACAGATATATTAAAGTAAACTGTTTTTCTGTAAATTTCTTTTTATATTTCTTATGAGTTTCAAATACATTTTGATGTTATTAATTGGTACATAAATCTGTTTCAGAAGACATCATTTATCAATTACAATGGACCCTTTATCTTATTTTGTGCAATTTCTTTTAATTTTAGTTTATCTGAAATTAATATTGTCATTTTTTTATGCTTGAATTTGCTTGATTCTGTTACATATGTATCTGGGAATTTTATAAACCAAGAGCCTGATAAAAGCAGGTTTGGAAGAAGTTACATTCCCTCTTGCCATCTTTTATTTGGCCCTCCATGGAGGTAATTGAAAAGACCACGCGGTGACCCAGTGTGTGAAACTACCTCCCTCTGTGAGGCCACAGTGCCTGCCCCACCCACACCACCTTCCTGAGGCTTTGTACCTCTGCCACCCTGAGCAGGGAGTGGCACTTGATCCAAAGAGAGCCTCTGAAATGGCTGCACCCGATATCTCAGCAGGTTACCCCATAGAGTGTTGAGTGGGCAACTCAATTATTCCCTCACCTGAAGAAGTCTGAAAGCAAGACGAAGAGAGTCCTTTTGCAAGAGTGATGTACAAAGCCCTACGGACATACAGACTTCGTGTGCAAGTCCTGTGGAGGAGAGGAGATGAGAGAGCAATCGGTTGGTGGCATCTGGGGACATTAAACAGTGACGTGGACACAGTGATGGCCTGCAGTGGTGAACCAGTGAGGGAACAAGTCCTATGGTTGGGGAGCTACCTGAGGCTGGAGAGCAGAGTACAGCCAGGCCCACAGTGGTGCAGCATACCAGGTCTCCATCCAGTTGGCTAGGACAGTGTCCTGTGCCCCTTCTTCCCTGAATCCCCTTCTCACCCTAGATGACCCAAGAGTGTCTCTGAATAATACATTGCTTCCCATTTTCTATTCATTATGCTTCAGTAAACTTTTTTATTTTCTTATTTTGCTATGCAAAATATATTGTTTGATTTTATATGTCCCAGAGACTTGAAAGGATTATATCATGTTCTGAATTCTTCCGTTTTTCAAAAATATCATTTCACTAAGTTTTAGTTGATATTTCTATAACTATTAAAGAAAAACATGGAATGGAATCTCTTGAATCCTAAGTTGAATATGGGAAGGGATTTAGCATGGTTTTATTATACTTCCTTGATACCCCTTTTTCCTTTAAAATATAAACTGAGATTTTTTACAAAGTCTGTTAATAAATCACTATTCTTTTTGCAATTCTTAACTCATGTCTCAAATTCTGTAACATTGACATTATTTTTAAGCTACTACATTTACAAGAATTATTCAGTTTTAATTCTATGTTTAAGTGAATGATTTCAGTGCTTATTTTCCCATATTTTTTATACTTCAACTTCCACATTTCTTATTATAATCAACAAATACCTGCATGGTCATTTCTAGGTACCAAGAATTTTAAGTACATTAGAATAATAACTCAATTAATCCTCACAACAGCCCTATGAGATGAGTGCTAATATTGTCCTCATTTTACAGATGAACAGAGGCACAGAGATAATAACTTGCTCCAGTCACATGACTCGTTAGCAACAGAGACAGGACTTAAAACCCAGCAGTCAATCAGGCTCCAGGCCCATGTTTTTTGTTTGTTTGTTTGTTTTTTTCTCTTTTTCAGACAGGGTCTCACACTGTGGAAAAGGCTGGAGTGCATTGGTACTATCACGTCTCACTGCAGCCTCAACCTCCCAGACTCAAGCTATTCTCCCACCTCAGCCTCCTGAGTGTCTGGAACTACAGGTGTGTGCCACCGTACTTGGCTAATTTTTCGTTTATTTTTTATAGAGTCAAGGTCTCACTAGGATGTCCAGGCTGGCCTCGAACTCCTGGGCTCAAGCAATCCACCTGCCTTGGCCTCTGAAAGTGCAGGAATTACAGGTATGAGCCATTGTGCCCAGCCCATTTTTTTTTTTTTAGATCTGCTCTGCTTCCTATCATTTGTAAGTTCTCAATTTTAGTTAATCTTTCTATAGGTTGTCAATTTTTTTTTTCAAAAACAGTACTTTTATGGTATATTTTCTGAACCCTTATATGCCAGAGAATGGTTTTTACTTCATTTATGAAATCCAGATTAATTGTGTTTAAGTTCACCTGGAGAATATTCTTTAAACAAATAGAAATTATGCTATAACCTTGCTGTGTTCTCCTTCGGCATTCAGTGACACTGAGGAAAGGTCTGATGTCAGCTGGATGTTTAGGAGAATTTTTAAAATCTTTATTCTTCTTACAATGTGGCAAAAGCATTATTCACAGAATAACTTTTAGGAAGAACCCTGTGTTTTGTTTTTGTTTTCCTTCTTCAAAAGAGTGCATTAAGAAACTGCCAGAGCTAAAAGGTGAGACTCTGAAGGCATGTTCCTATGGCAAAGGAAGCTGGTTAGACTTCCAGCCTGAGGCCATGGTGGGAGAGAGGAGAGAAATGGGCTGATGGGAGAGAGGGAAGCCAGTGCGATGACAGAAGGCCACATCATGCTCTGCAATGGCCTCTCCGACCTTTCTCAAACCTCTAAACTCATAGATGCAAATAGATTGTTTGGTGTGCTATGATACAGGATCCATAGAAATTGATGAAGGGCCTGAGTCTACCATGCAAATTGATAAGGGTGGAATGGGCAGTGTCTGGGAAGAGGCTAAAGAGGAAGCAAACTCCCTGGGAAATTTTAGAAGTCACTTGGGAAGACTTCATTTTGTCTCAGGCAACAGACTTGGGGATTAAAGACTGTTTACCTATATCTGTCAGAGACAGGGATTCTCCAGGTTACATTTCCAGCAACCATCTATTTTACAAATTTCTCTGTAGACTTGTAGTAGTTTTCTAATGATCAACTTTACTGAGAAAGTGATTAACACCTTCCATCTACATGATCAGATGTTTTCTTCAGCTCAAAAATATTTTATTAAGTAATCATGGTAACTAGGAACACAGGTACTAGAGCTAGGGTATGCATCAAGGATTTCTCATGTGTAAGTTGAAGAATCTTTTGCAAATTACTTTGCCTCTTGGTGCCTTGGTTTTCTTATTTGTAGAAATAAAACTTTGCTTCCACTTGTACTATTCCATGCAGCAGTAATTATGTGCTTATGGTGATGTTTTAGCACAGACCTGGCACAACACAAGGGATTGATAAAAGTTAAATATTATTATCATTGCATATTTTACTAGTGATTCTATTCCAATTATTCTAGCTCCTTCCTCAGGAATGCCTATAATTCTTTTGCTATTTTTTCTACTCAGAGGTATTTATATCTTTGCTTTCATTTCATATTAATGTAAAACTTCTCAGGTGTTCTCTAAATTACTGGCTTATTATTTTTTTCTTGTTCTTTAATGCCAATAACGTGTGCTTTTATTCTGCTATGTTTTCTTGCATTTTTTTAATCTTACTCATCTCTCATTTCATCTACTTATGTTTTTATTTCATTACTTTCCTTCCTAATATGACTGTCACTCTTTTATGTAGACTGAATTCTAGTGCTTAAGAATGCAAAACTGTTTTCAAATTTTCATCTTGTTTCTATATTAAATGGTTTTTCATAGCTGTTCACTTTTCTTATGTTTTGATATGCAAATTTACTATTGCTTTAAGTGTTTTATGTGTTTATGGATTCTAATAATAAACAAATTGCTTCTTCCTGGAAGAGACATGGAGCCCAATCTTCTGATTACCCCTGAGCAGGCTGTGTTGTTTACCTGTGGTTCTTCTCTCTACCTTCCTGGGTATGAGTAGAATCTTGGGTTTGCAGCTGAACATTGGGCTGAAGCATAGGCTGAAGAAGACATTTTTCTGATATGGAACTTCTCCATCTTCTATAACTTCATCTTTGAAATACATGAAAAACCTGGGGATATCATGGTACCAGTGTCCTTACTCTGCCTTCATCTAAAAATCTTTACTTCGGCTTACCCTTCCATTTATCCATTTATTCATTCAAAACAAATGGCTATTTAGTAACTATGAATTGCATGTCTACTCTATGCCAAGCACTAGTAATAAACTACTAATAAAATAGATCTGATCTCATGTCTCAGGAAGGACCCACAAATAATCCCACAAATATATAGTTGTGAATTATTGTATATTGTGAGGGGAAAGAGTAATGGAGTGAATATTGGAAGTGATCAAGGAAGACTCCTCTGGCACTAACATTTAATCTGATAATTGAAGGGTGAATGGGAGTTATTCAAAAGAATGGGAGGGAGAGCATTCCAGATGCGGGAAACAGGACATGCAACACACACTGAGGCAGGACTAAAAGAAAATCTGCGGCTGGAACACGATGTATAAAAGGGAGGATAAAATGCAAGGCTTTGGAAAAGTAGCCTAGGCCAGCTCAGGTAGGGCCCTGCCAGCTCTTTTTAAGGACACTGATCTTCATTCTAAAACCAATGAAATGCCGCTAACCAGGTTTTAAGCAGTGTAGTGATTGATATGCTAGAATTGGTCTTCAGATGATCAACCTGATTGGTGAGAAGAACATGAATTAGGGTGTCAACCACGGACACAGTTGACCAGCTAGGGGCTAGTGGAATGCATGAGAGAAGATAGTAGCTTCTACCAGGGTAGTTGAGTAGGAATGGCAGGAAGTGGGCAGAATGGAGAGATTTTATGAAGAGCAACATAACAAAATGTGCTGGAAGAATGGAGACAAAGAAGAGTGAGGAGTCAAGCATGCCCCTTAGGTCCTGGTTTGTGCAGCTTTGCTAGTAGAGTTTTTCATTGAGATAAGTTTAAAAAATAGTTTTGGAAGGAAAAAGCATGAGGTTATTTTTAGTAAGATTGCAATTAGAGGAGCCATGAAGACATCCAAGTAGAAATGTCAAAAGGCAGTTAAAATACTGATCTGGAGCTCAAAATAAAGGTTTGGGCTTAATTTGGGAGATTTGTGAGTCTTTGGCAAATGGACCTGTGCTCTGGACATCTTTGAGATCTCCAAGAAAGAGGAATTAACTTGCATAGAGAAGTGGGTTAGGACTGAGCCATGTGGAACTCCACATTCATTGGCTAGGGAAGAGAATGAGCCAGCAAATCATATTAGGTGAGAAAAGTCCACAATGCAGAGAGAAAATCAGGAGAGGGTGTGTGAATGCAGCCACAGGAAGAGGGGGCTTCTGGAAGGAGTAATGGTCAACAACGTCAAATAAGACATTTTGTTAGCTTTAGCCTTTCTTTCCTATTTTTCTAGCGAGGATTGTAAAAAATGTTATTCTGGGGGTTTCCATCTGTGAGTAGCCATAGAAATGGAAGTATTAGTTGGGAATGGGAGGAAGTGAAGAAAAAAATTCAGTCTGGACAATGACTACTAATTGTGTGGAAATTTTCTATATGGTGCAAATCCTGTTTCTCAACCAGAGAAAGGGGCTAGGATTGGGGTTAAGATTACAAAGACTCTGGAATTAGACTGCCTGGGTTCAAATCCCTCTTCTGTTTCTTTGCTAGCTAAGGAGACTTGAGCAAGTTTTCTGTGCACAGTTTCTTCATATATAAAATGGAAATATAAATATTACTTATCACATATTGTGGTTGTGAGAATTCAGTGAATTAGCATTTGCAAAGTATTCCTGCTGATGCCTGGTGCTTAGGAACCTTAGTGATTATTAGCTGTGCTTACAACTTCGAGTGGGCAAGCTCATTCTCTTCCTAGGGGTTGGCAGAGGCGGACAGCCAGTGTAGACCTCAGTAGAGCCTCCTTGGCAGTCTGCTCATTGGCATCCTTTTACCTGGTTGCAAGGATATATTCTCCATTCCGTTTCTTCACATGAATTTTACAGGGCAGTAATAGAAGGTTATTAGCCAGAGAATTGTCGTATGGTATAGTTTAAAAATTTTATTTATTTGACCAGATACTTGAAGAAGCAATCAGCCCCTTATAACAGACAGAGCTACTTGTCAAATAGACTGCCAATTAAGGGCACAGCAAGCTGATAAGACCCTTATGTTTTACTCCCCTGAACAAACAATATAACCCCTTTCAAAAGTGTGCTGTCAGCACCCTTTACAGCAGGCTCTTCAAGGTTGCTCACCTCATGGCCCAATAATAAGTCAGCACCACAGAATATTCCACAATGTTGTAACCCGTCTCAGCGAACAGCTTGTGGTGTGACTTACTGAACCTGAGTCTTATTTTTTTTTCTGCCTGTCACCTTAGAAAACAGCTTATTCAAGATCTTAGGCCTGTGGTCCTATTTTCCATGGAACATGATCCACTCATAAGTCACAAAAGTTCAACAGTATGAAGAGACCCATTCCTTTTTCCCCACCTGCCCAGTTAACACACAAAGACCTCAGCATTGCCACATGCAACTAATGGTATTGCCCACACCTGAATCTTCCAGAGGATTTTTTTTTAAACGTTTTCTTACCCCTACATTTCAAATCACTAAATATAGTATATTATGACACTTTTTTTTACCTTTTTAAAAAATATCTTGGGGAGCTTTTTAAATTAGTATACAGAGAACTCCTTCCTTTTTTAAAGTTACGTATTATTTCACTGTGTGGATATATGATGATTTATTTTAAAGGCCCTTATTGACAGACTTCTGGTGTGTTTCCAGTCCTTTGCTATTACAAACAAGGCTGCAATTAACAACCTTGTAGGTATATCATTTTGCACCTGTGCAAGTATATCTGTGGGATAAATTCCCAGGACTGGGATTACAGGTCAAAGGGTATTTGCATTTGTAATTTTGACAGATATCACCAAATTGCCCTTCATCGGGGTTGTACTCATTTAAATTCCCACCAGCAATGTCTAAAAAGGGTCTGTTTCCCCACAGCCTTGACAACAGGGTATGTTTGTGATCTTGTGGATTTTTGCCAATCTGATAAGTAAAAAATGGGATTGCAGTGTGATTTTCATTTCCATTTCCCTTATTATGTATGAGCTCATGCATCTTTTCATTTAAGAGCCTTTTGCATTTCCTTTTCTGTTAGCTCTCTGTTCATATGCATGATCCATCCATCCAGTGGGTTGTTCCTTTTCTCACATATTTTAAACATGTCCAGTCCTTCTCCTGTCCCCTGCTACCCTGCCCAATTTTTAATGCACCATCCTAGGATCCAATTCTTGTGTTTTTGGTCAAGACCCGTTCTTTCCTGAATTCTCTGTTAATAAGCACATGAGCGTGTGTGTGCAGAAGGGTACATGAGACTATTATTAGAAGTGGAACGAAGCAGGGACGGATGACAATTTAGGACTGACATTCAAACTCTGCCTTTTTTTTAAGCGGTGATTCTGGCAGACTCTCTCCACTTTAGCAGGGTTTCATTTCTTCCCAGTTCTGAGAGAAATGTGCAAATTAGAGAATATGTGTAACCTTGCTAGAGTGGTCCCCCTAGAACAATTATTCTCAAGATAGTAGTTAGGAAAATGGTGGAGCAAAGAATAGAATTTGAGGGAAATTGTCGAGGAGGAATTACCCTTACAACCATCTGTCAGTCACCTGGAAATCCATCAGTAAAGAAGAAAAATGGCCAGGACTCTGTCATCACTGGGGGAAGGCAGAGTGAGTGTCATTCTTAATAGAGATGCTGACATGGTGGGAGAGATCTTCTATGACATGCTCCCTTCCAGGAAGAAAACTCATTTCCTAGGTGTACATATCTGATCTGCCCTGTGCTTTAAAATAGAAATGATGAGCCCAGGTCAGGGGCTGCCCTGGGGTGGGAGGGAAACATAATCAATGCAAAAATTGACCTGGTAACATACACTCACATGAGGTAATGGCTTACTCCATAATACCGTTTAAAGTGAAACTCAGGAAATGGTTTAATATATGACCACCAATTCAGTCAAAATAAAACCAGGTGACTTTGATCTTAATCTAAGCTCTGTCACTTATTAGCTATGTGTCCTGAGACAGGTTGCACTACTTTTGGGCTCAGTTTCCTCTTGTGCAAAATGCAGGGCTGTGTTGCAGCATCTCAGGGCCCTCTTTCAGCTTCATGCATTAGGATTCTCTGTAGTACCACAGCCAGGTTGCTAGCAAACAGAGCCATACATTTCATTTCTAAGCATCTAAAGGAAATTTACTTTTAAATAGTAGTTATCACTAGTGGAAAAATAATTGAAAATTATTTGTGATTATCCATGCATGCTTCAAGTTCCAAGTCAGGTTCTAAAACCTTCCAAGTTGCCACTGACAACTTATTGGCCTCTTCACTAGCCCATCAGCACCCAAACACCTGGGTTCACAGCAGACCTGACTTCTCTCGGGTTATTTTGCTGAGTCATCTTCCAACTTCCATCCAGTAAGTTTTTCCTTTTTTTTTTTTCTTTTCTCCCTTTTTGTAAAAAGAGAAATTTTCAGGCAATCTCCTTTACTCTTGACACTTTGGCTCTTACTTGCATGATGATGAAAGGAAAACCGTGATTACATTGATACTGAATTTCCATACTTGAGCCAGTACTATGATTAGGCATCCTATATGATGTCTCATTCATGTTGTTATTGTCATTGCTTCTAGATTTAAATGATCAGATGTGGGTTTTCCTTTAGTATTTTGTATTTCTGATCACAGAATCTTAGAGATGGAAGAAACATTAAATATATCTTCCAGCTCCATCTCCCACCCATTTCAAAATGTCTTATACAGTATCCCTGACAAAGGGCCATGTAGTTGGTGAATACTACAGCTAATAAGAAACTCATTACTGCACAGGCAGCTAATCACATTGGTATCTTAATAATGGTAGTATGTGACTTCCCATTTTTACCCCTTTAAAAGCAGTGTGACATTGACCCATTGTTCTTTATGCCTTGCCTCATCCTAAACTATTAAGAAACTGAAACTCAAAAAGAAGAGTGACTTTCCCTAAAATTATCACTTTCTCCAAATTAGGAGAAAGCACTTGGCAGTTGGTAGTGTCAATTTAGTGTTTATTTAACAGTAAAAGTGCCAAATACCAGCTGTAATCTTTAGTAGCTGTTTTGTGTTGGGGATGCAATTCCAATTATTACATTTTATGAATTGACTTCCATCAAGGTTGAGACAATCTATGGATGAGTCTGGATTGGATCACAGAAGTAGGATTTTGTCGTAAGCTTTGTTCATCAGACATGACTTCAGAAAATTCACTTCTCTGAGTTTTGGTTTCCTAATAGTATGTAAAATAAAGACAGAAGACTAGACAATTTCTAAACATCACCTCTCCTCAGCTATAGCTTTTAATGAGGCAATGACAGTGCTATACAAATGGAAGACACCTAAACCACTGATAAATAAATGAGTGAATTGAGTTTTTATGACCCAACAAACATATAAACAAGGTAGATAACCATCCACAAGACATAGGCTCAGGGTTGCCAGAAAGTGTTCAGTTACCACCAATATCCATGAACATTCAGATGAAACATGACTTTCAATCCTTGGTGACTTCTGAGATGACATTTCCATTTTAGCCTCTTCAGTATTTTATGGTATTAATGATGCTGGCTTATTATAAATTTTATCACACCTAGAAGGGGAGCACTGAATTAACCTTATGAATTACTGGGTTCCTTTCAAGAAATTGTTTTGATGATGGTTGAATGTATTGGTTGGCCTAGGAAAGGAAGTGGGTCACATGAGCTACTGCTAGGTTGGTGCAAGGGTCCCTGTGGGGAGTGCAAAGAGGAGTGAAGTAACTAAGGGAATAATTATTTGAGCGAAGCCAAATCTTATTTGCATGCTCAGCCCAGGCCAGTCACTGCTTACGACATTGATACACATGGAAGATTATTTTCTGGCACAAATCTGTGTGTGGAGAATTTCATTGTCTGTGGAAAATAACAACTACCAGAACTCAGGAGAAAAACTGCCTCCCTAAACTTTGTAAGATACCAGTAGTGATTTGCCCCACCGAGGGCTAACGAAAGAAGTTGGGCCTTAGGGAATAATCTGAACACCCAAGAAAGATTTCCAAAATTGAGAAGATTTGAGTGATTCAGACAGAATTTAGCAAAGAATTTCACTACTTAGCTTTCACCACCAGGTCCTAATAAATTGTTGGTTTGGCCTACTGTTATCTGGTATTACTCATCTGAGAAATAAGAAAAATATAACTAGCATGGAGAAGAGGAAGAACATTGGCCTGAGAATTAGATCAGAGTTCTGGTTCCAGTTCCATGACTTATGGCTGTCCCTTTTTCATCTGTAAATGAGGGGAGAGATGACTGCTTGTGTTTCTTCCACATTAATAGTCCATACACTTTTTATAAAACAAAAGAATCATATCTACCTAAATTTCACATCTTCAATCCAGAAGTCATTGAACCTATCAATTGAAAATTTCCATGTAATTCAAGTGGTAAATTCCTGACAGCCCACATTTCTCTTCAAGATAAGCTCTTAATTCTAGACTATATATTTTACTTACCCTCCCTTTGCAAATGGTAGTCACCTTTTAAACATTATACACCTTCCTTTTTCCTCTAAAGATCTCATTTTTTTTTCTAAAGGTTTTTACATCCACGAAGCCCTAGGATAAACTAGACGTTTTCTCTAAAATCTCCCCTGACTAGAGTTGTCAGAGAAAATGCAGGACACCCACTTACATTTGAATTTCAGATAAACAATAATGTTTTTGTGCAAGTATGTTTCATGAACATATGTGTGATAAAAATTATCTGTTATTTATCTGAAATTCAAATGTTAGTGGCATCCTGTATTTTGATTTGCCAACTCTAACAACCCTATCTTTGACCAGACTTTTCTCTTCTTTTCCCCAGATCCTATAGATCTCTGTTTGAGTCATTCCATGTGTACTTACATTATTATTCATCATTTTGAGTGTCTGTGTCTGTCTGATTTCCCTAACTAGATTAGAAATTCTGTGAGAGACACAACTGGGTGTTACACATTTTGCATCTTCTCCTACCCCCAATGGCACCTTTTATCATTTTGTAATTGGTAGATTCCTGTGGGACTCCTTCACAACTGATGGACTTGCTCCCAGTTATCAAAACATGGGCCGCCTTTTCCTCAAGCAGACTCAGACAATATAACCATGTCACATTTGCCTAGACCCACAGGAAAATAGGATGAGACTCAGTGAAAGTTAACACTGGTTCCAGAGCAGGTGATCAGTGTTACCAGCAACAATGAAAAATAGAAAGTAATCTATTTCTAGTGAATTGAAAAGTTCTATGAGGTCATTGCAGAACTGCATTTTTGGCTAGACAATTTTGTCCTAGCTACACTTTAACCTACAATTTCTGTCTTGCAGGACACTGAACCAACCTCCTCACATATTTGAAATGTCTTGTAAGGTCCTGAGTTCCTTTTTGTGTCCATGTGCAAACATTCAAGGTTATATATCCCTTCTACCACCAACCTACATTTCTCCTCAAAATAAAGTTCTTTACTTTAACTTCCTTTCAAAACTGAATCTATTTTTTCCCTTTTGAGTCTTACCTCCTTCCACAGATTACTCAACATTTCCCAAAGACACCTTGAACCTCTGCCTGCCCTTCTGCTTCTGTCTCTAATGCTCCTCACCTCTGCCTCTCCAAATCCTACCCATTCATAGAGTCACTCATCTGTGAAGTTGTAGAGCAAAAGGAGCTCTAGGAATCTGGTCTAACTATGAAGAATGATGAACCTCAGGTCTATGCAACAATGCTCGGGAGCAGAGTGACCGAGCCACGACTCAAAAGTGACCCCAAAGTCTTTTATTTGTTCCCTTTCCATGTTCTTTCTTCAAGAATCAGCTTTAGCTACCATACCATCTCTTTCTGAAAGATTTTACTCATCATTGCAGCCAGAAATTTTTTCTCTGTCTCTTCTAACCTCAGGTGGCATTTTGGTTGTAGCCCTCTTGAGATACTTAGTTCTTTTTAGGTTGTGTTTTTGTTATTGGCCAGGTTCTGAGAGAAAGCTATTCCCTGTGCTGAGAGCAAGGATACTGGGTGGTCCCTGGGGTGCTGTTTTCCTAATGGCCTGATGGTGCAAGTGGAAAGAATAATGAGTAGATGGTATTGCCCAATAGCTAGATAATATGACTAAGGCTTGAGTCAGCAAGGGCTATGACTATCCTTAACATTCTGGGCAGTGTTTAGGGTAAAGAAGCCACTGTGGGAAAATGGAGCAGGGTTTTCTGGATGATTCCAGGGTTACAGATTAAGTATGGTGGAGAAGAAATGGTCTTTGGCAGAATATCATCATATCTCATTATATTCAACCTAAGCCCAGGATAACTTGTCATAAAGAGAGATACACAAAATGCAAAAACCTAATGTAACTCTGACTCTGTGATTACAGCCTTATCCAAAATCTCTGGAGGTAACACCAGTGGAAGCAACCTTAGAAGAGGAATGAGTTGGCAGGAGGCAAGAGGCAGGAAAGCACTGAGTAAGAGCTGGCAGTGTCAGTGTCAGCATCAGATCAATTATAGAGTGAGTTGTGTAAGCGCACATGCAGTAGCCTCAGGTCTCAACGTCAGAATGAACTGGCTCACCAAAGAGCATCAACAAAAATTCCATACAACAGCAGATCACACTTAGTCAAATTTCAGCAAAAATTATACTTCATATGGGAAGTTTTGCATCAACAATCTACCTTGTGGCTATTAATTGGCTTTAAATAACATGACTTTTTATCAACATCATTTTCTTTCCAATTTTTTCCCCAATGTTGAAACAAGAGGAGTGTATTTAGAGTCAACAACCACACATGGCTAATCTCTCAGTGAGTCAAACTCTCAAATCCTTGCTTTCAATGGTTGTGTATATAGTCAACAACCAACCAAGAGGTGGCTCCTATGTGTCAGGCATGGAGCCAGGCCCCATATGCAGCAGAAAATGAAACAGGCATGACCCCTGTCATCATTGAATTTGGTCTCATGATGCAAAACCATAAAACACCCTTTATGCACCATTTGACACAAGAATTAAAATATCCAAAAAGTTTTAATATATAGAGAGCAGGAGATTTTATAATGAAAACCCTTTTTTTTCATTTTTAGGAATGTTTCATCATGAGATGTGAGCATCATGTTCCAGGCCCTGAGTGCTTCATAAAAAAAAAAGTTCCTTTTCCACCAAAACAATGCCCTGATTTGAGTGCTTCATCAAAAGAGAAAGATTTCTCATGATAAACCATATTCTAAGCACTTAGATCACAATATAGTAAATTTTCAAAAGGAAGTCACTTTTGCCAAGATATAAAGGCTCATGTACGTAAATTCTATGCTTCCAATATAAGTACATTTCAAAAATATTATTAAACCCTTATTTACTGAGTGCTGCTTATATGCCTCCTATTCTCACTCTTTTTTGTGGTTGAATTTAATCAACACACAACTCTAAGGAATAGGCATGACTCATTATTTTCATTTTACACTTGAGGAAACTGAGGCACTCAGTGTTTTACATATATAAAAATGAGTATGAGGTTCAGCCAAAATTCAAATACCGAACGTCTGGCTCCAAAGCCCACATGGTATTCACCATAAATAGAAATTTCATACTAGAAATCATATTGTTTTCTTTCCCTCAGGAGCAATTTAGGAAATAAATTAAAAACTTTAAAGTGGTGATTTAAAGCAACTCACCTTTTTGCCAGTTATACGTTACCTTAAGAGAAAATTGCAAGAAATGAGAAAGATAAAGCTTGATGAGGATGACACTATCATGAATCACACGAAAAGAAAAGAGGATTATTTAGCATATTGAATATGAAGTTGTAGATTCAGGGCAACATCAAGACGGATGAACTCCCCCACCAAGCTGTTTAACAAACTGGCTCTCTGTCGAGCTGGCCATGCCGAGTTAGTAGCAGATCTGCAATGATGCCTCTACCAAGCTCACAATTATACAAATGGTGAAGCAGCAGGAAAGCACATAGAAGAGGGCTACACAGAAGATACGAGCTCCAGTCAGGTCATGACACAAAGCCACAGAACTTAACTGGGAAATGAGCAATGCTTATGTGTCCAGCATTGTCTTAATTGGTTTCCCATGCAGAGAGCTCAAAGAGCATCCTATCTGATATGCACCAGGCAACAACTGAGAACAAGGACCAGCCAAAGTCATCAGAAGGGTAGCACAGTTGCTGCTAGCAGGTAGGTGGATTACATGGGATGCTTGAGTGAAAGGTGAGACTCAGAGGCAGCTGGTCTAAGTTCCCAAGTTTCAATGGGGAGTTCCCAAGTCAGAAACCACCCATTGATTGTTCATGCCCAGACATCCATATCCTGGGAAGCAGGGATTACAGATTTATTTATAAATATGTCTCACCATCTCTATAAAAGCCTTGATAAGGAAAGCCACACAACTTAAGTTGGTTTGTAGCCCTGATGCTTCACACACTGAGTGCAATAATTGTTTGTCAGTTCTGTTGCACATGTGCTTTCTTGTTTGAGTTTATAGGAGGAAAACATTAGCCCCCAAATGCTTGGTTTGCCTTCCTTTTGGATGTGGTCAGTTGTTATTGAGAGAAGTGCTCAAAGGCTTGTGGTAAAGATCTGACATGCAGGGCTGCCCCGAGGCTTAATGTTGACTCAACTGAACATAAAAATCAACAAGAATAGTGATATCACTCAGTAGTGTATGGTGTGTAGTAAAAACTAAACTGTCAATATGTTTGAAAGTCATTACGTCCCACACTGTCAACATAAAATATATCAAGAGGCTGATTGAGGCAATAACCTCTCTTTATAGAGCACTAGGAAGCAGAGATAAGGATGTTCTCTGAGCAGTTGTCACAATGCAGGGCCAGATGTTGCTAGCTGACTTTTCCCCCATTGACCATAACATCTCCCTAGGAATCCCGAAGGGCAGCTCCTGGTTCCTGACAGTAGCCTAATTCACCACATCAAGAGAGTTATGAGGCCTGACCAGAGAGCCACTGAACCTCACAGAGTCAGCCAGGCTGGTGCCGCCCTCTTTGGGCCTCTTGCCAAACCAGCTCAGGGACAGGGGCATAGGCTTGAGGCCTCGGGGGAACAGGATAAGTAACCACATCTAGTTTAGGGGGCATGAGAGTAACATTTAATGATCTTGCATTGGGAGTGAGTTTTGGTATTGGGAGCCGCCTCGTATTTGCTGCTTCATTCTTCCCAGTTGTTACGAGATGTTGGCATTGCTATTTCTGCAGCAACTATGGCACATATGGGACTTACGTGAACTGCTCCGATGCCACAAGTCTGGTGAGTCCTGAGACTGGAATTTGGCCTCAGTCTGTGGATATCAGAGCAGATCATCATCTTTACTGGGTCCAGCCAATTAAACTCAGAATAGAATCTGAGTCAGGGCCAAGAAAGATCTTGAGGACAATGTGCCTATGTTGTGCAATGTTTGTGTTATATCACATTTTAAAATACAGTTTATGAAAAGAAAGAAAACAATTATAAAAGACCTGAGCATACACTGTGAGTCAGATCATAAGTCCTATTACCATCCTATCTTGGAGAACCTTATCCTCAGACATGAGCACTGTTGCAAGTTTGACATTCTTGAGAGCAGGTTCCAATGCTGGTGAGGGGAATCCACCCAAGCTGGAACTGTCATGCAAATTCACTTTTAGATTAGTTTGTACAGTATTTTAAACTTCTTAGGAAAGGCCACTAGAGACCTCCCAAAACATATATTCTCTCCTGCTTGAAGAAACACATGGAGTTAGTCTGACAACTCATTTATCTTGACTCCCACGATAATGTTTAGATGCTTCCTAGACATGTCTATCATCAAATGCTCTGTGTTCCAGAAGAAATTTTTCCAGCTGACCTAAATCGTGACTGTAGACAGTAACTGTTCAACACACTTTGTGGTTTCAGGAATTTGGAGGATGGTGTGCTCAGGAGCAAACCTTTTGATGGTCTATCACACCCTCCATGCAACTCACTAACGAAAGTCAGTTTCCCTCTCAAATTCCCAGATTGGCTCAGTCCTGTTTTACCTCTTGAATCTTCCTGAAAATAGAGCAGAGACAGAATGAGAAACACCTAGACTCAGAGAGGAAGAATGAGCCAGTGTTGAAACAATCCTGCTGACGAGCGTTCTGTAAGACTTTCAACCCTTTCCTTTACGCAGTTGGTTCCCATTTTAATTCCTTTTCATTCTCTTTACGAAAATGTATTCCCAAGTGGCTTGGCATAAAATACTAATTCTTCAGGTGCAGGCTTCCCTGCACATACTGTCTACATGTTTTATCTCCACTATGCATCTGCTTGGTTCCCTCTGGCTTTGAGTTCTATCCCTGTGTATGTGTGCTGCTGCTGCTGAGGAGGGATATGAAGAGAGAAGTGAAAATCTGATTGCTCCTCAGTTTGAAACTTCTCACAGAAGTGATGGGGTGAGAGCATGGGTCAGGCAGGAGGAAATGGGTTTGTGTGTGCAATGTATAGGCAGGACAGAACTCCAGAAGCCTCTATCCAACCCAGTTTCATAAGGGATGCTGGCAATTGGTTGTGTCCACCAGGGCCTCAGCAGCTTGTCTCAAAAGTTAGGCAAGATTATTCTTTACTTGAAAGCACTAAGAGAGATTGTTTATAAAACATGATGATTTAAGCCAAAAGAATGATTAAAATGAACTATTAATGATAACTATGTATTTCATTACAAAATAAAGTTTATGAATAGTTAGCTATAATGTACAGTGGCATTCTAATATCATCTCCTAATTCTGCCTCATAAAGAGATATGCTGGTTGTTCTCACTCAAAAGTGGGAGTTAAACAATGAGAACACATGGACACACAGGGGGAACATCACACAACAGGGTCTGTTGGGGTGGTGGAGAGTTAGGGGAGGGATAGCATTAGGAGAAATACCTAATGTAGATGACAGGTTGATGGGTGCAGCAAACTACCATGGCATGTGTATACCTATGTAACAAACCTGCATGTTCTGCACATGTATCCCAGAACATAAGGTATAATTTAAAAAAAGAGAAAAGAAAAACAGACATGTTAGTAACTTTTTCCTAAGGTCACCAACAACATTATTGTTTGTTTTGTATCAGACAGCAATGCCCCTTCTCCTATATCCCATTTCTGCTGATTCATCACAGTCTTTCCTCACTGGACTGATTGTTTTCCATTCCAGGGCTCTTATTAATAATTTTAATTTTTTCCATCTGCAGATGCCCAAACTTCAACGGGAGCTTAGGCTTCTGGAGGGAATGCTGACTTTCCTTCCTCTGTTGTGGAAAAGGCTAGCTGCCTGGTCTTCTTAATTCTAGAAATGACTTTGATGTGCCTGCAGTTCTCTTCCACTCCAGCTTTAGCATTCTGCCCTGCCTATATTCTCTCTGCTGAAATTTTTCTCTCCTCTTCACTGTGATGAAGTCAGGGACAGACTTCCTAATTGTCCTAATTTGGAACAGAGCTCAGGCCATAAAGCATCCTCCCTGAAGCCATTGATGGAGCAAGCATCTTCATCTCATCACATCCAATATTATGAGCTAAATAACAATAGAATCATAAGATTTCCTCAAGCCACATGTTAGTGTTAATAATGGCTTCCATAAATATATTTTGTTAAGACATTTCAGCATTTTCTAATTATTTTCACACATATTTCATTGCTTAAAGATACTAAACTAGTCAGGACCCATATTCTCATTTTGCAAATAAGAAAATGAAGTCTCAGAGAGGTGCACTATGTGTTTAAGTTCAAAACTGGTGTCAGAAACACAAGAATTATTGTCTTCTAAAACTTTGTTCATGATGCTTCTTGCCAGATGTGCTTATGGAAAACTATTGTGTGCAATGACTTCTGGCAAATCAAATCAGTTGGCCCAGGGGAAACAGGCTATTTAAAGGAGTCCCACTGTGAATCATTTTGTGAAGTAAATATTCTCTAATGCATCCATTTTACAAATCTGGATTTTCAAACAATGTGTATCTGCTGAAAGTGGGGTACCTGTGAGCCTCCACGTTTCAGACATTAAATCATCCTTCACGTTCCTCCTGATTAGAGGTGGCTGTAGGCTGGCTGAGTCTGTGACTTGTATAAACGGCAGCAGCAGAGGGGCAGATAGAGCCTCCGACAGACACTTGAGCAAGTCTAGTTCCTGGATTTGGCTTTTAAATCAGCTGCTTTCTATTATCTGCCAGTAAATGATTCCTCCCAGGTCTGAAGAGCTGAAGACCTTGGCCCAGGTCAGCACATAGCTTCTGTTCACTACCTCTTGGCTTGACCCTGTCTCACCTTCCTCTGTCTCCTGAACTCCTGGTGCCACCACTCCCAATTCCAATGGGGGATTTTGCTATAAATACGAACCCTTGATCATACTTTCCCCTTCTATGTTTTTGTCTAACCCTTTCCCCCAACCTTGTTTCTTCTGATCCCGCTAGTTGCAGGGTCCTCAGCTCAAATAGATTCTCAGCCCTGGATGTATATTAAACTAATCTGGGGAGCTTTCACAATTTTTCCAACACTGGGGCTCCATGATCAAAATTCCAACTTAATTGGTCTGTTATGGGGCTTGAATGCAATGTTTTCTGTTGTTTGATTTTTATGCTATGTAGGTGAATTGAACATACAACAAAATGGAAGACTTATGATATACTTGATGGCCTGACCTTGACCCTGACTCCTGATTATCAAATGATCCTTGCATTGGGTTGAATTGTGTCTCCCAAACTTCATATGCTGAAGGTCTAACCCCTTCAGAATGTGACCTTATTTGGAGATAAGGTCTTCACAGAGATCATCAAATTAAAATGAAGTCATTAGGGTAGGCCTTAATCTAGTATGACTGGCACTCTTAAAAACAGGGGAAATTTGGAGGCAGACCCATATGCAGTGAGAATGCCACGTGAACATGAAGAAAGCCATCTATAAGCCAAGGGGAGGAGCCTGCAACAGATCCCTCCCTCACAGCCCTCAGAAAGAACTAACTTTGCCTATACCTTGATTTTAGAGCTGTGGCCTCCAGAACTCTGAGACAACAATTTTCTGTTGTTTAAGCCAGCCAGTTTGTGATACTCTTTTACAGGAGCCCTAGCAAACAAACATTTCCCTTAAGACCTCATTGCAGTTGCCCTGATCCTGTAGCACAGCTGGAGTGACCAATTTGTTTCAGTTTGCCTAGGACATTCCTGGTTTTAGCAATGAACGTTCTAGGTAACAGGAACCTGTTTATTTCTAGAGAAACCAGGACAGTTGATTACCCTAAACAAAGCATAATGATTATGTGTGTAGGTTGCAGGACCTGACAATCTGGGTTTAAAATCCATCTCTGCTCATTCTTGGCTATGTTGCTTTCAGCCTCAGCTCCTATAGCTGCAAAACGACCTATCTTGTAGTGACATTGTGTGGATAACATGGACCAATGTGTGTAAAACTCACAGAATATTTCCTGGTACAGCATGAGTACTCAATAATATTTAGTAAGTTAATATTTTTATACAATTAAAATCAGAAAACAGTCATACAAATATATTTCCTTTTGTGATAGTAAGATAGTTAAATGGCCTTGCTTTAAGAGCTGAATGTAGTCAAAGTTACATGACTTCCATTCACTCATTCCAATCCTGGTTTTTCTTCATGTATGACTGTAGTATGGTCTTGGCATTTCTCAGTACTTCTGCTCTTTCTTACATGATGCATATTTACCACAAGGCTGGCTCTAGAAATCAAAACAAACAGAAAAAGGAATTGTCTTAACCATTTGGTATGTCTATTTCCCATCTCCTTGCAATACCATGAGGGAAACCACCCATGGGCAACAGGTAACAGGCATGACCTGGTCTGACAGTGAAACTTCTAACCCGTCAGAACCAAAAACGTTCACTCCGGAAAGAAGGCAGGCTTGCGAATGAGGAAGTGTCAGTTCTCTGAGGACAGATAGAGGTCAGGAAGAGAATTAATAGAGGGATGTTACTGAGGTAGAATTGGTCAGGAAGCAAAGGCATTGCTGGGCGGCTATGGAGGGTTGGGGTTAGTTCAGACAGAGGGAGCCGCACCAGTAAAGACAGGAAGACATGAAACTGCCTGGCATGTTAGGAGACTGGAAGTAGAAGATCACTCATAAAGGGAAGAAGAGAAGTCATGTTCCTACATTCTGGCTTCTCTGGAGTGTAGGAACATGTAGGGAAACAGCAAGAGATGAATTCAACCAATCCTAACTTTTCCCTCTTTGGCATAAGGCTAAATCACATAATCAACACTTTGTGAGAACTGCCTCCAAAACCAGATTTTTAATTCACTGAGGATAGGGCAGTAATTTTTACTTTTAAAAAATCCTCCTAGTAAAATTTTGGTATAAGTCACTTACTAGTAAAAGTAGTTAATTATGTCAATAACTCTTTCAAGATGGACAGATGTTGAACATATATATATATATGTATATATTCTAAAATTATTGTATTTGGAATCTGTGTGTTACCTTGCAGAATTCATTGTGCCAACCCCCTTTCACCACCCTTCCCACCCTTGGGCTTATCTGGAATCTGAATCTGTCCAAACCTGCCTCACTATATTCCAGCTACAACTCCAAATTGACTTCCATGAGCCCTGGTAGAATATAAAACTAGGGCTTTGGGGAAAAAGGTCATATTTACAATAAAGGTTGCATGGTGTTCACATCTAAAGCCATTTTTATAATTTTCCTTATTTAATTGTCTCTTTATTGCTTGATTTTTAATTTTGTTTTCATTCCTAGCAATTTTTGACTGTCTTTGATTTCTCTTTTCTGGACCTCTTTGCTTTTCTCCATATTAACTGCTCCCTGATCTGAACTTATGGATTTTTCTGGATGTGTAGTCACCGCTAAAGCCTTTCTATTCAAAAGGTATCAGGGATTCTTGCCCCTGGTTATGCATGACAGTAACATGTGAATCACACGTGCAGTTTGTTGCATAGCCTCTGCCCAGGAAATATGAATTCAGTAGAAACAGAAGGAGTACAGGAACCTGTAAAACAAACAAAATACCAAACAAAGAACATTGAAAAGGAACAGGAGAAAATCCACAAATCATTCTCATGTGCAGGCTGGAATGAGAAGCATTTAATTGGACATAATATCTTAATTTCCATAGGCCTGCCATTTTCTATTGCTGCATAAATCCCAAATTGTATTGCTCATCACAATGTAGCAAACAGAAAGACAGAGGAGTCCATATGTCTGCAGGTACCAGATATGGGACCACTACAAATTCACTATTCTTGCAAATTTTAGTGCAGAGACAACATCTGTAAGGAGAGAAGATGCAAACATCTTCTATTTCTATCTGGCCCACTAATTATACCTTGAATATTAGGAGATTTGGGGATAAGGGGAGGGTCAGAACATAACCCTAATAACATAAAACCTGTTTGGAAAACCAGGTAAATTTTTAGTCTTGTGAGTTATTGTAAGTGTCATTGAACATGAACATTCTTGGAAATCAGATGCTTTCAATGAAATCTTGAGATTCAAAGCTGTAGGCTTTTAGAAAAGAAAAACTGAAGAATGGTTTGGTTATCATGATGCCTTCAGTGGGGAAAATGGTCCAAGCATGAGAGGCCATGGTGACCTTCACTAAGCAAAGCTCGTCTCTTCTGCTGCCACTTCCCCTTGGTGTAGCTCTTTAATCTTCGAAGTGTGCTGACATTGTTCATTATCCCAGACACCAACAATATTCAATTGGTTTCTACAGGGATGTCCATTTTATGAAGCTGAATGTGAATGAAAGACCTTGGTGTAAGTGGTGCACTTATCGAACCAAGACTTTACCATGTTATTCATTAGGCAAGTGAATTAATGTCAGGCCTCCTTATCTATCGGGCCATCATGGGACAGGCCAGCTCCTTGACGGGATTCTTTCATGAACAGTTATTTGTGTGAGAGAGAAGATCTTAGTGAAAGCCTGAAGGGAAGTGCCAATGAATTAGAGTATTTTCTGCAGAGCAGATGCTCTATGAACAGGGAAGGAAAGCTGCATTGTAAGACCTAATACTTCATGTGCTGCCTTGACACCTTTGAGCCTCACAGGACCACGAGGCCCTAAGTGTGAGTTCCTCTGCTCTCTCCAGAGATGTCCCCAACCCAGCAGAAAGGCTTCCCACCTGGCTAGTTCTACTATCAACTAGACAAGCTGCACCCCTCCCAGCGCTTAACCTAATGGGTTTCACCTCCCTTCCAGCCAGCAGTTACGCAAACAAGCCAATCACATCCTCCTGTGGGAACCAGGGGTCACCTTACCCTCGTTGTTACAAAGCCTGCCTCCCACATCCCCTGATGGTTCCCTCTGTTCTGAGTGCAACCCCTAGGTGGCCTTACATGATGTGTGGTGTCCTCTTCCCCGGCTCAACCCCTGGACTGTGAGTACACATGACTAATAAACTGCTGCCAGCCTCATCTGCATGGTGTCAGTGTAGGTGTGCAGTCATCTAGTATTAATTTAGGGTGGGGATGTCTTCCATCACCAAAGGGGTAAATAGGAGGCTCAAGTTCTCTCTGTCTGCAGAAGCACTTTGCCCTTGGTGATCACAAAATAGGCAGTCAGGGCCCTGGTTTCCAAGACAAGCATTTCCAATTAGGTCTGTAACATAAACCCCCTTAGACTCAGTTTTTCTGTCTGATACACAGACATCATAGCATTGGTATCCACCTGCTGCATAGGTTTTTATGACATCTAATAATGGTGCTTTTGAACAATATAGGCACTAAAAATCTGTAGAGCTATTCTATAATAACTGAGTTGTGTTTTTAGAATAATTTTCTTCACTTAGTCTGGGATGGAATGGGGTTACAAAAGCAACTGAACAGTGTCTTCTGAGTGATCTAGAACATTCTTTCTTAGCCTTCCTATACCTTCCCCTGAGAAGTACCTGGAGAAGGAGGAGTGAGAGGAAGAGGGAAAGGAGGAGGAGAAAGGAGAGAGGACAGTATGCGGCCAAACTGACAGAGTAGTGTTATTTTCCTTTGCGATATTCTAAGACAAATGTGCCTAATTGTACCACCTCACCTCTGCATATAGAGCACGGTTTGGGCATGAGGTACAGGGATGAGCAAGAGTCAAGAATTAGACATGCACTCTGACTGTAAAGGACATTATAATATAACTTGGGTGACAGACAGCTTTAAGTGTCTTATAAAACATTTCACGAACAAGCAAATATTGATATATCTTTTTCTCTCTGCTTTTTTCAAACTCTTTTATCTTTCAAATTTCTACAGCTACATCAAAAGTCTTCCCCAAAGCTCCATTCCTCAATGACTGCACAAATTGCTAGAAGTTTGAGATTGACACAGACTTTAAAGTTCAGTTATGCCAACCCTGATCTTCCCTTTCCAACTTGCATGGTGTGCAGATGTTAAAATGAGCAGGTGTGTGGGGTGAGAATAAAGTACCTATGACTAGAGGCTTGGGGGTGGGGAGAGAAAGTTGCATAATGGACGACTGGGGGGATTTGCCACATAATGGAGTGGGGAAAGAAGACTCGAGGGAGAGGGAAGATCACTCGTAAAGGGAAGAAGGGAAATCATGGAAGGCAAATGGCAAGGTCAGGAGGCTTAGAGGGTCAAGTCCATGTGAAAGGGAGCCCAAAAGTAAGATGGAAGCGTGGCTGATCCTAGAATGACTTATTCCCTCTACTTAAAAAATATTAAATTTATATTGAAGATAATGGAGAAGCTTTAAAATATGTGTGTGCATGTGTGTGTGTGTTGTGATCAGACATGTGCTTTAAGAAGCTCACTGTGGCAGTAAGTAAAATGAGATCGCACTGGCAAATTGAAAACTAGGGAGGACTATTTAGGGACTCAAAGTCTGAAAGGGGGAGGGATCAATCCATACCTATAACTGCCATGAAAGGAAGAAGTGGGTTTGGTTTATGTACACTTTGTGTAAAAGTAGAATTCAGTGTATGCACTATGCATGGCTGTGTGCTCCTACACCAACTTTTCTATTTTGTACGTGGGTGACCTAGGGCAAGTTCTTCTCTTTCTTTAGGACTCTTCCTCCTCTGTAAAATGAGAGGGTTAAATTAGATCTATTATGATTGCTTCTAGCTCTTAACACTCTCTAAGACTATGATACTGGTCCAATTTGAATGGCATCCAAGGAAATTTGGTCAGAGGAATTCCCAAAAGAGCTCATTATAAAGTGGTCCCATAGATTACAGTCCCAGGGCAGCTATGGCAAGACTTAAGAAGACTATTACTAAAGATAATAATAGTGTTTTGTTTTTATACAACACTTTCACAACTATAATCAGCATTAATCTTCACCCCATCATTGTGAGGTAAAGTGGTATAATGATCATTATCCACATTTTAAAGAGGAGGCATTGAGTCCTTGAAAGCTCAACAGACCCGCCTGAGGTCCCAAACAAGTCATGTTTGAGCCTGGACTGGTATCCATGTCTCTGAGGCTGTAACACTGCTCTTCACATGCCCTGGAGCTGCCTCGGGGCCCTCCTAAGCCTTCCAGGTGCCTGCCTAATGAAGACTTCAGCCAGTCCCCTCCAATGAGCCCTGAGGTCAACAGTTACCAGGGTCCACTTCAGCTTGGTTTGTTAGATTGGCAGGAATGGCCCTGAGTATTTATGACTTACTCACGGTAGAGAAATATTACTGTGAAGAGGTTCCAAGCAGCTTCATTTTGAGAAGAAGGGAACCCTCAATACAGTTACATGCAAACAAAATCTGAAATGCTCTCATTTTCTATGTGAATTACAAGTCAAAAATGCAACTTCTTGGCATTTTTCCAAGTGGCTCAGAGAGCTTCACAGTTTATTTTCAGCCAAGTGTCCTGGCCTAGGAAATGAGATTTCGTAGGAGGGCGGTTGTAGAAACTTTTAAGATCAAGAATCCTTCCTTGTCCTTTCTTCTGCTTCTCCACCATATTGCAGGGAAGACCCATCAGAGGTCTGTGATGGGAGGTGAGAATAAATTTCTTACAGAATTCCTATTCCTTAACAGATGGGCAAGATCTTGGTAGATTGTTCTCCTGTCCTGCAGACTCTCTGGCTCCAGCTGAATCTATTGCTCACTCTATCCTCTGTCTCCTCCATTCCCTATCACAAGTTCCACATTGACTGATCAGAGATTAGGTGACTTTTATGGAAGGAAGAAAAAGAGGGGGAGGAAGAGGCGTTTATGTATATATAATATTTAATGAGTACCTAATAGGTGCCAGGCATTATGCAACTATTTTAGATATATATTATCTTTTTTAATCTTACAATAATCCTATGAGGTAAATATTATTTTAAAGATTAAATGAAGGAAGTGGAGTAACTTACTTAAGGATACATGGGTAAGTAAAGTGAGAATTTAAACCCAGGAATGTATGACCCCCATTTTTTTCCATCTCACCATGCTATTGTTCAGTCCCATTGGTTAGCTTGTTGCTGACTTTGAAAATTTATCTGAGCAAACCACTTCAATTTTGCACAGTATGACTAAAATCTTGGAGTCATAAAGGACAGAAGAAAGAAGTCAGTGAAGTTTAGGTAAGAATCTGACTAATATTTATACAGATTTTTCCATACTCTTCAAATAACCTTATCTTGATTCCTCTTTTGTTACTTCTGATGTGAAAACTGAGGCAGGTAAGAGTTATGTGCAACAAAGTCAGTCAATTTCAGAACCAGGATTTGACCCCAAATATTGTGTCCCCATTGTGGGGCTAATTTCCCTTCACCGTGCTCTTATCTCATGTAACTCTTTATCCATCCATGGTCAAGAGACAGTACTGGTGGCAAATACAGCTTCTTTGACATTTTAATGATTCCAATGATAGTGGTATTCTTTAATTAAGACCTCTATAAATGCTTTTCTTGAAATTCCCCATGATAAAGATAATAACTTCACAGACCAAGCTGAAGGAGTGCATTCATTGGCATTTTTACCAATTTTCTTCTTGTTCCAGAGTGGTTCAAATAGTATAGGATTAAGAAATGTGTTTTTAGGGTAATTTGGTCCAGAAATTTCCAAAGGGATTTATAAGAAATGGTTTCCACACTCCAAGATCAAAAATATCCATCTTACTCACTTTAGGAAGGAAGTGAGGAAATGGCAGGAGAAGCTATAACAGAGTCTTCATGAAAAAGACTCAATCCCTTGTGATTAATGGGAACCTCTAAAATCAGAAGCCAAGGCCATTAATCATTCAACCAGCTCTCCATAAGGTTGGCATCATCCACTCACCCACATACCTGTAATGACTCAATTCACAACAGGCAAACTTGAACTGCAGGAATGGTCCTCAGAACAGCATTTTAAAACTGTTGTTAGTGAAACATGGATGATCTCATTAAATCAATGAGTTTGTTCCTTTCTAGTCCATAAATGTGGCTTAAAGGCCATTTTTAAGGCTGGACTTAGGGGAATTGCAATTGCTTTCAGGACTGGAAGTGATAGACAGGGAGATTTTTATCTCAATGTGTGGTAGGAATTCTTGGGGTGAGCTTGATATGCCTAAGTGCCCATGAGGCTGGAGGAAAGGAGTGCAGAAGAAAGGTCACCTATATTGGATGGCAGAAAGGATTAGATTTCCTTCCAATTCAAAAGTATTGGTGTCTTAGTTATTTCTTGGCATGGTATAATTAATTGAGAGACACATAATGGAGCAAGCTCCTCCAGGGAGTTCCAGATGGATTGTAAGAGCACTGTGGCTCTCCCTGGAGAAAACTCACAGGAATAGAGGTTGTTTCAAACTAGATGACTCCCCTAGCCCAAGGTATTCTGTGCAAGGGTGGCCAGCAATCTTCTGGTGGAGGAAAAAATCTTATGTCTATTGCATCTGAATACTTCTGAGTTCTTCATTAAATCTTAGTAAGGTAGAGTTCTTTTGACTGGAGTGTTTAATTACATGGGCCTTACTGCATTGACTGAGCATTTAAATTTGTCAGTAAAGGGGAAAAAAATCTAGATGAAGAAATTTTTAAAAATATAGGTTGTTTGGAAGTCAGTACAGACTCAGTCTCTTCTTTTTCCAAAAGACATTTATAAAGCATGAACTACGAAATAGGGTTTGTGATAGATACTTTGTAGAAAATAACTGAAAACAGCATTATAAGACAGTTGTGATTATTTCCATTTTACACTGGAGGATACAGAGATGCAAAGAAGTTGAATGGCAATCCCAAGATGACTCTACAACCTTCTTCATGATTTTAGAAGAAATATTCACTCCTAGGTCCCAAGCACCCTCACTAGTGAGGAAAAATAAATACCGATAACCAACACACTAATTACATGGAACTAACATGGTGGAACCACTGGGATTTTCTACTTGACCTGCAATTATACAAAAAATTAAATTCATCAGGGGAACTCATAGCCTTCTAAGTATATCATGAGTTGGTTATATTTTCTTCAGTTCTAAGGACATTATCTATTATGAGCTAAATTGTGTTCCCTTAAAATTCATATGTCGAATCCCTAACCACCCAGTACCTTTAAATGTGACTGTATTTGGTGATAAGACCTTTAAATATCTGATTAAGTTAAAATAAGGATGTTAGGGGGAGCCCTAATTCAATCTGACTGGTGTCCTTATAAGAAAAGAAAATATGGACAGGCATAAGAAATGGCAAGGATGAACCCACACTGAGCAAAGAGCATGTGAAGAGGCGGCACGAGAATGGCCATCTGCAAGTCAAGCAGAGAGGAAGCCTCAGAGGATACAAACCCTGCTGGGTTCTTATCTTGGAGAGGGAGGTACAGGGCACAGACAGCAGTAGAGTTGAGACCACTCCAAGTGGACTTGCACCAGTGAAGAACTCACAGCCCATTCATATGGTTTTAGCTAAAGGATCTAAACAAATATAGTCAAATATATTAAAAAACTGTGTTCTTAGTTTTTGCCAGTCATATTCCATATTGTTTACTGAAGAAATTCTGCATTATACATGAAATCTCTCTCTCTCACACACACACACACACACACACACACACACACACACACACACACACACACACACACATATTAGGAGAGATTCTGCTTATATCTCTGGAATCTCAATGATCCAAATAACTATGGCATCCAACAGAAATTTCTGTGATGATAAAAATGTTCTCTATCTGTGCTGTCCTTTGCGATAACTGCTATCCACTGGCTACCGAACCCTTGAAATGTGGCGAGTGTTACTAAGAAACCGAATTTTCAATTTTAGTTTAATTAAGTTAAATTTGAGTAGCCCTGGGTGGCTAGTGGCTATCGTATTGGATACAGCAATTCTAAATCACGTGGAAAAATTGAACGTGGCATTGGTTTTGTTTGGAAATGAATAACAAATAAGGCTAAACACAAACCTCAAAAAAAAATTCAGCGTCCAGTAATATTTTAGTACAGACTCCATTGTGTTTTGCAAACACCAATTTGACTTTTTTTTTTGTGTGTGTGTGTGTGTGTGTGTGTGTGTGTGTTAGTGAGACGGAGTCTTGCTCTGTCGCCCAGGCTAGAGTGCAGTGGCATCATCTCGGCTCACTGCAAGCTCCGCCTCCTGGGTTCACGCCATTCTCCTGCCTCAGCCTCCCGAGTAGCTGGGACTACAGGCGCCTGCCACCACGCTGGCTAATTTTTTTGTATTTTTAGTAGAGACGGGGTTTCACCGTGTTAGCCAGGATGGTCTCCATCTCCTGACCTCGTGATCCGCCCGCCTCAGCCTCCCAAAGTGCTGGGATTACAGGCGTGAGCTACCGCACCTGGCCCCAATTTGAACTTTTTAAGAAATAGAAAGTAAAAAGAAGATGTAAAACCCAGAAAATGTGCCTTAACATGTAGTTACATGCCTAAGGGAACATAAAGAATTATAACATTTTAGACATATAGGACATGTTAGAAAGAGGTAGTTTTGGATTTCTGATTTCTAAAAAGTGGACTGGGTTCTTCCTGAAATCTTCACTTCTTGCACAAAACCATTGCATATGTAAGAAAGAAATCAATTACTTCAAAGCCATACTTTGTAGTATGAACAAAAAAATGAGGAAACTTCCTCAAAAGAGATACAGACAGGAGAAAACATGGTGGTGAAATGAGGACAGAACCGTATTGCTTTGCCACTTGACAGGGAGACTTTCACAGATAATGAAAATTTCAGTGGGAAAGTTATGTGGAAAAATTTTCTTGAAGCTAAGCATTTAACCAACAGCTACCGATAATATGAAGAAAGCTAACACCATAAAAGGAAACAGAGATAACAGAGTAATTTGAAAGGCTCTTAAAATATTTAAATATCCTCAGAGAGATAATGGATGAAATAATATTCTTGAAAAAACAGCCTATAAAACAAAAACAGGAGATTAAAATAAAAGTAGGTACCTGAGTGCCCATCAGTCAATGAGTGAATAAAGAAAATGTGGTATATATATGTATATATACCATATATATATATATATATATATACACATATATATATCAGGGAATACTACTCAGCCATAAAAAGGAATGAAATGATGGCATTTGCAGCAACCTGGATGGAACTGGATAGCATTATTCGAAGTGAAGTAACTCAGGAATAGAAAACCAAACATCATACATTCCCACTCATAAGTGGGGAGCTAAGCTCTGAGGATGCAAAGAATGATACAATGGACTTTGTGGACTTGGGGGAAGAAGGTGAGGGATAAAAGAGTACAAATTGGGTACAATGTATACTGCTTGAGTGATGGGTGCACCAAAATCTCAGAAATCACCACTAAAGAACTTACTCACGTAACTAAATACCACCTGTTTCCCAAAAACTAATGGGGGGAAAAAAGAGTAGGTACCTATGACAAAAAAAGTTTTAAAAATATAAATAAAAATATATATATAATTAAAAAATCCAGACACAGCTGAAGGGCAAACCAGTAAGATAGATGTTAGGTTGTATTCACACAGAAGATAGGGAAACAGAAACTACAGACCAAAATTAAGTGGTGTGGAAACTTGATCTAGAAATTCCAAATGCATTTAATAGGAGTTCTCAAAATAATTTCTTTAGCAATCATTATCTCTCCCATAGTTCTTTATCCTCTGAAGCATCTGAATACTCATGCCCTCTTTTTGACATTCCTGATATCAAGTTTCTATTCCAAGAAAGCGGATTTGCTCACTCACTCTGTCACACACTACACTTACCCTGATCTCGAAGAACATTCCCCTGCCTAAATTATGTGATCCCAGGTAGATGCTGATCAGAACTCCACCATCCTGCAAGGACCACCTGCAGGCACATCTCCTACATGAAGTCACATCTTGCTCATTGTGTTCCTCTCCTTGGCTTTCAAAAATGTGATACTTATTTAATACATCATGGCATTTTCCACATTGTCTCAATGATCTCACTCATAACTGACACTAAATGCTTAGTTTGTGACTAATATTTTATATTTGCTTTAAACTTTATACTCAAAACAATGCTGTTAAGTGGACATAATTCTTCCATTTTTCAGGTAAGAAAGATGAAGCTTAGGGAATAACTTGCTAAAGACCACAGGGCAAACAAGTATCAGAGCCAGGATAGACCAAAGACTGCAATATAGGCACTGTGCAGGTTAGGCACTGTGCAAAGCGGGGCAAGAAGAGGACAAGTGAGGCCTGATAACTTATTCTCTGCTCAACAAGCCAACAATGTGCCCTGCCTGGGGAAAAGGATGTCTTATTCTAATTTGTCAGAGGCATGCTTGGGATTTTTACTGCAAGAGATCTGAGTATATCTGCCTCTTACCTGTACATACGCCCCTTATTTAAAAGATGGCATAATGAATCCCAGAGAAATAAAGTGATTTTCTGAAGCTTACAGAGCTAGTGGAACCTGAGCTGGCATTTCAGGCATTCCATTTCTCTGTCACCCTACTTGAATTGCATTTCACTTACATTTTGTTATACACTGTTTATCATTGCTTTATGATTGTCTCTTTGGTCTATATCTTACACCTGCAATAAACTGAACTCCTAGAGGTCAAGGACCATTTCTTATACTATCCCAGCACCATATACCCTACACTGAGGCATAGAGAAGATTCCAGCAGACATTCCTCAACTCGAATAGAATGCTTTTCAGAATGAAGTTGCCCCATGGACCTGTAGGTACCTCTGCAACAGCACTTGGTCATAGGGTCTTGAGAATACAGCAATCTGTACTCACTCCTCTGGGAGTAAGACGTCACCAGCTCCTAGCCAAGTAGTTCCGTCATGTTGGGGTCTTTACTGTTACCACTGGCTTCCAAACAGAGGCAGCCTTATCTGGAAAAAATTCTTTGAAAATTTCCTTTATCCCTTTCTTTTTGTTCATGCCCAATTCCATCTTTAAAGCAGTATAAAAAGGTATAAAGAATCACTGTGGAATTAGACCTTACAGATTCCAAGAATAATAACTTACATATGTCTTGAAAGGTTTAGGTGTTAAGATAAATGACATAAGCTCCAGGCATAGTTATGGGGTCAAGAAAAGCAATATTATTTTATATAAATATATGTATGTATATATATATATATATATATCCCCACATATTTATGTAATTTATGTAAGAATAAATGGGAGCTTTTAGTAGTTCTCATGCCTGAGGTTATGTGCTAATAAGTAGAAGATCTTGGAAGGAACTCCTAGTCTATCTAACTCTCAATCCAGTGTTTCCTTCTCTCATCACAGCTGCTGTGCCCTGAGGGGTGAGGGAAATGTGGTCGCCTAAAACACCATCAAAGGTTGCTGCTTAAACACTTCCCTCAGCCATATATGAAGGCTAAATCAGATAAAGATCCCAGGAAGTGTGCAACAGGTAAGGCATCTTGGAGAATTAAAAATAAATTCTTCTAATCGTCCTTTAGAACGTTAAAGGAAGAAATCATATCAGAGCCAGGTAAAAATTCAATGATATCTTTCCCGATAGTGAAGCAAAATGATCAAGAAATTCAACTCTGATCCAACCCACAGGCAATTGCAGCCATTCTCAAAAGGATCCTGTCTTCCCAAAATAAATGTCTGCTCCACTTGAGTTAAAATTAGACATACGTTCATTCTGGCTGTTGACACAGAAGCCTCTGGCAAGCAGGGTGGAATCCAGAATCTTCTACAGAAATGGCCAATCTCTATAAACATCCCCCAACATACCTGAGACTGAAGAAATAAAGTGTCTCACTATTTCTTCCACATCAGTATCCCCTCTATCCCTGCCCCACAACCAGCTACACTTAAACAAGCAGTGTAGTGTGAGAAAAAAACTTCCTCTCTCTTTGTGAGTGATTTCTAACATGAAATGGCACAAATATGAGATAGCTTTATTTTTTATAATGGTATTAAATTTATAAGATGTGTAGACTTTTCTCAGCAATATAATATTCATTGTCTCCTTTATCCATTCTTCGGACGGATATTTACTGATTGCCTACTATTACATTGTGCTAAGTATTTGGATATAAGACAAGGTCCCAGTTCTCAGTAGCCCCATAACTAAGCTATGGAAAATATTATTATCCTTTCTTTGATGAATAAAGAAATAGACACTAGGAGAGGGTAAGTGACTTTCTAATGTTAGTGTTGGAGGAGAAGAAAAGCCCAAGCCCAACTCTTTCAGAGATGTGAGTTCCCTTTAATCCTCATTCCCTTCAAGGCAGAAAAACCTAATGGCTTATGTCATTAAATTCATATTCAGAATTTGAATATTTGAATATTGCTGGGCTCAGAATAGTGAGCCCAGCAATAATGCTGCACATCTACAACCCTCTGATCTTTAACAAAATCAACAAAAATAACCAATGGGGAAAGGAGTTTATATTCAATAAATGATGTTGGGATCACTGGCTAGCCATACACAGAAGATGGAAACTGGACCCCTTTCTTATACCATATACAAAAAATCAACTCAAGGTGGTTTGAAGACTTAAACGTAAAACCTAAAACTATAAAAACTCTGGGAAGACAACCTAGGACATATTCATTATTAGAAAAACCTAATGAATATGTCAGTTCATTACTGACATATTCATGCTGCTGTTACAGTTTTTCCCCAAGGGTATTAAAGATACGTGAATAATCATGGGAAGAACGTTTATTTTTGGACTTGGGGCAATAATTTTTCATGTGATAGGAAAGAAAGAAGTAGAATTTAACCAAAATTTCATTTTTATTTTTTTTTGAGATGGAGTCTTGCCCTGTCACCCAGGCTGGAGTGCAGTGGCGCTATCTTGGCTCACTGCAACCTCCACCTTCCAGGTTCAAGCGATTCTCCTACCTCAGACTTCCGAGTAGCTGGGATTACAGGTGCATGCCACCACGTCCGGCTAATTTTTTGTATCTTTAGTAGAGATGGGGTTTCACCATGTTGGCCAGGCTGGTCTCAAACTCCTGACCTCATGATCCGCCTGTCTCTACCTCCCAAGGTGCTGGGATTACAGGCATGAGCCACCGCACTTGGCCCAAAACTTCACTTTAAACTTTTTTTTTTCCTGCATGAGCTATTTTGATATGAAAAACAACCTGCTGAGACAACTCTTTTTGTTTTCTACTTGTTTACCATAATTCTGGTTCCTGTCATTCCAGCCCTTTGTCCTTACAACAGCTTCAGAACTGGTCTCATTTCTAGTAACTTCTTATGCAAACCTAGACATAAAAGCATTCATATTCCTAGAAAATAATATCTATTTAATTCATTTGCTCAAGGAACTTAATTTTTTTTTCTGTAGGACAAAGTCTTTGTAAAGGTTGGAGATCAAACTCCTTCAAAATTATTCCAGTAATCAGGCCCAATCTTCCCACTCATTCAGTCAATATTCATTAAGAATTTAGGCTTGGGATACAACAGTATAAAACCCTGAGTCTTTGTATCCAAGGAACACCTGGGTTGGCAGGTAGGGAGAGTAAACGGGAGCAGAAGGGTAAGCAAATAATTACAACATGGTCTGAAAATTCCCTAGTAGGAGCCCCTGGTAGGCAGAGAAAGAAGTCTTCAGGAGAAGTGATTAACTCAGCCTAAAGATGAGTGAATAAGAAAGGCCTCCTGCATATTGCCAAAGCAAATCTACAGATTCAATGCTATTCCCATTAAACTACCAATTACATTCATTGCAGAACTGGAAAAAACTACTTTAAAATTCATATGGAACCAAAAAAGAGCCCAACTTAAGAATGATACAATGGACTTTGGGGACTCAGGGAAAGGGGAGGAGGGTGAGGGATTACACATTGGGTACAGTGTACACTGCTTAGATGATGGGTGCACCAAAATCTTAGAAACCACCACTAAACAACTTATTCATGTAACCAAACACCACCTGTTCCCCCAAAAACCCATTGAAATAAAAAAACAAAAATAAAAATAAAAAATAAAGCAGAAAAAAAAGAGCCCAAATAGCCAAGGCAATTCTAAGCAAAAAGAACAATCCTGGAGGCATTGTGTTACCTGACTTCAAACTATACTACAAAGCTAAGTAACCAAATAGCATGACACTCATACAAAAACAGACACATAGACCAACAGAACAGAATAGTGAGCCCAGCAATAATGCTGCACATCTACAACCCTCTGATCTTTAACAAAATCAACAAAAATAACCAATGGGGAAAGGAGTTTCTATTCAATAAATGGTGTTGGGATCACTGGCTAGCCATACACAGAAGATGGAAACTGGACCCCTTTCTTATACCATATACAAAAAATCAACTCAAGGTGGTTTGAAGACTTAAACATAAAACCTAAAACTATAAAAACTCTGGGAAGACAACCTAGGAAATACCATTCTGGACATAGGCCCTGCCAAAGTTTTCATGATGAAGATACTAAAAGCAATTGCAACAAAAACAGAAACTAATAAATGGGGCCTAATTAAACTAAAGAGCTCCTGCAAAGCAAAATAAACTATCAACAGAGTAGATAGACAACCAACAGAATGGGAGAAAATATTTGCAAACTATGCATCCATCAAAGGTCTAATATCCAGAAATCTACAAGGAACTTAAATAAATTTACAAGCAAAAAAAGAAACAACCCATTAAAATGTGGGCAAAGGACATGAACAGTTTTCAAAAGAAGACATACACATGGCCAAAAAGCATATGAAAAATGCTCAACATCACTAATCAGTAGAAACATGCAAATCAACACCACAATGAGACACCATCTCACACCAGTCAGAAAGGTTATTATTAAAAAATCAAATAATCACAGATGCTGGATTCTAGTGAGGTTGTGGAAAAAAGGAAACATTTATACACTTCTGGTGGGAAAGTAATTTAGTTCAGCCATTGTGGAAAGCAATTTGGCAATTTCTCAAAGAACTTAAAACAGAATTACTATTCAAGCCAGCAATCCCATTATTGGGTATATACCCTAAGGAATATAAATTGTTCTGCTATAAAGACATATGTATGCGTATGTTCATTGCAGCACTATTTACAATAGCAAAGACGTGGAATCAACCTAAATGCCCATCAGTGGTAGACTAAAATGAAAAAATGTGGTACATATACACAATGGAATACTATGTACCCATAAAAAATAATAAGATATGTCCTTTGCAGCAACATGGATGGAGCTGAAGGCCATTATCCTAAGCAAATTACCACAGGAACAGAAAACCAAATACCACATGTTCTCACTTATGATTGGGAGCTAAACTTTGAGTACATATGAACACAAAGGAGGGAACAATAGCCACCACAACCTACTTGAGGGTGGAGGGTGGGAGGAGGGTGAGAATTTGAAAACTACCTATCAGATACTATGTTTATTATCTAGTTGACCAAATAATCTGTACACCAACTCCCACAATACACAATAACAAACCTGCACATGTACCCCTGAACCTAAAATAAATGTTTAAACAAATTAAGTATACAAAAAATAAGTTTTTAAAAAAGAAAAGCTTCCTGAAAGAGGAAATGTTTGAATTCCTCTCCACCTAGTCTTCCTTTTCCGTCAAGCCAGTCTTCTTACTATTCAATGTGCCAGTTGTGTATATTTCTGCCTTTTATTTTGGCTTAATTCAATGACTACTATTTATTGAACATTTACTATGTCCTAAACACTGTGTTATGGATACAAAGTTTTATCACATCAACCCTCAAAACACTTGATGTCATTGGGAAAACTAACTTTCCATATTCCTCATGCATTTACTCAATACATTTAAAAGACTTAAAATATATACAAAACATTGATGTCTGACATCATCATTTCCTTTGTCCAAATATCCATCTTCAAGGACAGGTCCTCCATGAGTTTATTCTATTATCTCCCAGGACTCGGAAATACCCCTGCTGCATGTCTGGGGCCCCATTATATACTGTTTTATTCTCCTGTGGTGTTACCTATATAGATTGTATTTCTGTATGGTGTCATTGGTCAATGCTGAGGGATCTCATAAGAAAAGCTTCCAAGGAGTATGTGCTGTGTCACTACCCAAATGATTTTGTAAAGGGTGTTGTTAATTCTTTTACTCAGAGTCCTCTTTATGATGGCTAGTAGTCCTCTTTATGAGACATTCCTAGCTACTGTTAATGTTAGGAGAGTTCTGGGTATCCTGAACAAGTCATCTTTTTGAACCTGATAAGACACTACATAATTTGCACGATTCATCAGGCTTTTTTCAAGGTAAACTAAATTATGTCTTATAACCAAATTTGTGGCCAACGCATAGGAAGTATTTGTGAAATGTTTGGTTCCCTTTACTTCTTTCCTCTCTCTCTCCTCTTCCTTTCTTCCTTCATTCCTTCTTTCCTTTATTTACCATTTTGCTATTTTTTTTTTACTTTTCCTGGTAAGGTACCTGATGTCTCTTCTAGACCAAAAAAAAAAAAAAAAAAAAAAAAAAAAAAAAAAAAAAAACCCTTCTAAATAAATAAAAACAATATTTGCACTTTTCTTTAGTTATCTAATTCTATAACATAAAGCTATTATGGGACTAGGGTTTCACCATAACTTTAAGGGTTAGATTTTCTGGGAAATGTCTGGCAGTTTTCCTGTACTATGAATGGTGGAAAATGTAAGCAGAGTTCTTTGTAGGAAAACAGGAGCAAAGCTCTTCTTTTGCTTCGTAATAGGAGCAAATTGAAACAAAGCTGAGGTATAAATTTCAAAGAACAATCCTGAAGTCATTGAGTCTGAGGAGCAAAAAGATAAATTCAGGCCTTGAAGTTCACACCTACTGGGAGAAGGTAGGGAATGGGGAAAACTGACCCTTATATTAAGGTTCCTGATCTGCCAAGCTTTAATGATATTCCCTTCCTTAAACTTTATTGATTTTGATAAACTCTTAACTCTGTCTTGCTTTAGGGAAAGCCATTGAGGTATATATTTTTATGTAAAAAGTGTATAGAATCAACATTTATTCCTTGCTGAAGACCTACAGAAGATATGGAAAACACATTTATTGAAAAACGATTCAGTAACCAACATTCAGAGAAGCACAGGGAACCAATGATTAGCTTCAGGCAGTGAGAATCAGGCCAGATCTCAGTAACCTTCTCTGTAGAGTGCATTCCATCTCATTGAAACTCCCAGCCTAGCCACTGAATAAAGCAATAATGCTGCCCACACACAGGTTTCTACCCTCCAGGTTTTAGACTATCTAGCAAGTTGTTGATCCAGCATCCAGCTCTCTTCTATCTATAGTTCACATTAAAGTTGGCCTTCTAGGCCAACAGTTACCTGGCTTTGTAAGAGAGATAGGTAGTAAGATAATGGAGGGTTCCGTGGAAGAGTCCCTCCTTGTCTCCCTTTTTTCCCATAGACTACTCCATTTAATAATCTCTGGGGAGATATATTTTATCATAAAGGATTGCTTCTTTGGATTCAAATATTTCTGTCCTTCTAAATCTCCATATGTCTGTATAAATGAGTTTCTCTAGTGTTTTATCCTGAAAGCTTTCCTTCCTGAAAGTAGAGGACAATTGCCTTATTAAAGAGAAGAAGGGAAAAGGGCAGTGGAGGGAAGGAAGAGGGAGAGAGAGAAAGAGAGTTTAATTCCAAGAGGACAGAATTATATATGGATATATGTCCCATCTTTTAATCCCTGGGGTGATCAAAGAAACCACAAACCATGCGAGAATAGATTTAAAGTGATTCTGAGCTTCTGGCACCCTGGGGATCCAGAAAAAAAGTAAACTTTTTCTAGAGGAAAATATATTCATCCTAAGACTTTGGGAACCTACACAGATATGTTTTTGAGAGAGAGGACTAGCCCACCATCAAAATAAACAGGGACACAAAACAAGTGAATACATCCACGAAGCAGCAGAAACAACAGAAAGAAAAAAAATATATTCACAAAGACTTTATAGTTGTATAAAATCACACAAATACTACAAAATAACCATGTTTACTACATCTATGTATAAAAATATTAAAAGCTTTAGAAAGTATATTTAGGGAATAGGAGACCCCCCCAAAAAGCCTGGCAAATTAAACAACAGCTTACAAATAGCTGGCTTCAGCTTAGGATGCAGAAAACTGAAAAATGTCATCCTCACTCTTAGAATGAAGAAAAGTGGATAATCTATGAAAAGATTATTTTTCTCGAAGACATCAGAGAGCTGAGTTTGCAGGACAACTGAGTAGCCTGAAATCCAAAGGAAGGGAGAAGTCTCCAAGGAAAGACAGGACACAGCACTTGCTTATTAGGGGCAGGTGCCAGGCATCCTGCAATCTGGTAAAAACTACTCAGCTAAAATTTGTAACAATTGCTAAAGAAAAATCATTGCTAAAGGATGATTAAAAATATAGAAACATGGGAGACACAGACATAAAGAAAATGAGTACAAACTCTCAGGATCTTTTCCAGGGACCATACTGTTGACTCACAAGAAAGATGGGGGCAAGGTGACAAAGATTAGAGAAATCCTCCTACGTGCTGCATGCCTGGAGGAGGGAAGCAGCAATAACTTTAGGAAAGGCAGCAAGTCTCACCTGGATTCTACTCTTCTAGCTGCCCTGCAGAACAAAAGCCTTAAGCTGCTGGAGGAAGTACAGAAAACCTCTTACCTCTCAGGGCACAAGTGGAAACACATCATAGCTGGGAGAATAGAAGAGAAAAAAAAATCTTAACCCCTGGGGAAGGAAATAGGTCGGAACAACTTCACTTGGTTGGCGCAAAAGAACTTGTACTATTGAGGGAGAGGCAGGATCATGGAGAAGGACCTGCACATGAGACCCAGGGACAAAGAATTTTCCTAAGACTAAGGCTGAATAAGGACAACAGAGAATTCCCACCTGCTCTTCCCTCTGCAACCAGCCTAGCAAATACTGAGGAAGAAATAACAGCAGTTTAAGGGGAGGGGAGAAGCAAGAACAACCAGAGTGAGCTTCTCTGGGCCTTAGGCACAAAGGGAAGACACAATACTAATGGTGAATTAGACATTGTCTTAGACCATTTATGTTGCTATAAAGGAATACCTGAGACTGGGTAATTAATAATAAGAAAGTGGTTTATTTGGGTAACAATTCTGATGTCTGAAAAAGTTTAAGATTGGACATCTGAGGACAGCCACAGGCTGCTAATCCCATCTCTACTAAAAATTAAAAACTCATGGTCAGGCATGGTAGCTCATACTCATAATCCCAGAACTTTGGGAGATCAAGGCAGGTGGATCACCTGAGGTCAGGAGTTTGAGTTTCATGGCAGAAGGTAAGAGGGGGCCAGCTGTGCAGGGATTACATGGCAAGAGAAGAAGTAAGAGATAGAGGTGCCAGGTTCTTTTTAACAACCAGCTCTTGTGGAAATGAATAGAGAGAGTTCACTCATTACCATGAGTACAGCATAGAGGGAAACAAGTCCTTCATGGGGGATGCACCCCCATGACCTAAACGTTTTCCATTAGGCCACGCCTCCAACATGAGACATCAAATTTTAACATAAGATTTGGAGCAGTCAGACAAACCAAATTATAGCAGACATTAAGAAAATAACCCTGACAAAACCAGTTTTTTTTTTTTTCATGTGCAAGCTAATGCTAGAGGAATTTGAAGCCTAAGGTAAACAGAAGGTAAATACAGCAGTAACAAAATCCAAACCCAGGTCAATTCCAAACTAGATTGACTCAACATCTCCACCACCACCACTAAAGGCATAGGCATGATAAAGTTAAAAAGCATATCTATGTCTAACAAAAATACTATTTGTCTTAGCCTTTATAGTCCTACACAAATGCTCATCTTCCAAAAAATATTATAAAGCAAAAATTCAAATGGCACACTATCAAGAAAAAAAGATCAATAAAATCAGACTGAGATATGCCCCATATGCTTCAACTACCTGATAAGAAATTTAAAGTAACTGTAATTAATAGACTAAAGGCTTTAGTAGAAAAGGCAGGGATGTATGAACATATAGAAAAATTTTAGAGAACAGAAATAAAGATGGAAATTACATGATCGAATCAAATGAATATGCCAAAAATAAAAGAGAAACAAAATATACAAAAATGTCTTTGATGAACTCATAAAAAGAGTAACAGAGAATAGAAAAACAATCAGTGAACTTGAAGGTAGGTCAACAAAAAGTACCCAAACTAAAACAGAAAGAAATAAGAATAGAAAAAGGAAGCAAGCAAAAAAAACAAAAAACAAACAAAACAAAACAAAACAAAAAAAAAACAAGCAAGCAAGAAAAAGAAAAGAAAAGAAAAGAAAAGAAACAGAAGCATATCCAAGAACTGTGGGACAATGTCAAACAGTCTACTGTATTTACAATTGAAATTTCAAAAAAAAATAGGAAGAGAAAGGAGAAAAAAATGTGAAAGTTATAATGACCAAAAATTTTTCAAAATTAATGAAAACATCCAACTCACAACTGCAAGAAGTACAGAGAACATCAATCAAGATATTTATCTATATCCCCCAAAATACACCTAAACAAATCATATTTGGACTGTTGAAAATCAAAGATAAAGAGAAAACTCTAGAAGGAGCTGGGGGAAAGTTGGTGGGAGATACATTACATATACTGAAAGAGAGATAAGAATTACAGAAGACTACTCATCAGAAAGTATGCAAGCTGCAAGAGAATGGAGAATAATTTCAAACTGCTAAATTTTTAAGACATCAATAGAGAGTTCTCTACCAAGTGAAAATATCTTTTAAAAATAAAACTAAAATAAAGCTAAAATAAATTTCTTATACAAGCAAAAATTGATAAAATTCACTACCACCAACACTGCAAGAAATGTTAAAAGAAGTTTTTTTGGCAGATGGAATATAATACCAGAGAATAAACTGAATATACAAAAAGAAATAAAAAGCAATGGAAATGACATAGGGTAAGTATAAAATTTATTTTATTCTAATTTTTATTACTGTGGATATAATTTTCTAAGGCAAAATAGTAACAATGTATTTTGTGTTTATTGCATGTAGTAACAGCATAATGTATAATAACTATAGCATAAAAGACAGATGGAAAAAAGTGGGAGTATGGTGTCATAATGTGCTTACACTACACATGAAATGGCATACTATCATTTGAAGGCAGTCTGTGACTAATTAAAGTTGTGTACTATAAATCCTGGGGCAACTACTGAAAAGAAAATTTTAAAAGAGATATAAATAATGAGCCAATAGTAAAGATAAAATGGTATACAACAGAAACATAAACAAATGAAACAGCATAGAGAACCCAGAAATTAATCTATTATGTACAGCCAACTCATTTTTGACAAAGGCACCAAGAACATACATTGGGGAAAGAGTAATCTCTTCAGTAAATGGTGCTGGAAAACTGGATATTCATGTACAGAAGAATAAAACTAGACCCCCCACTTCTCATCCTACAAAAAATCAACTCAAAATGAATCAAAGACTTTAGTAAGACCTGAAACTGTAAAACTACTAGAAGAAAACATATAGAAAGCACTTTGGGGCATTGGTCTGAGAAAATATTTTATGAATAAGGCCTCAAAAGCACAGGCAACAAAAGCAAAAGTGAACAAATGGATTATATGAATCTAAAAAGCGTCTACATAGCAAAGGAAGCAATCAATACAGTTAAAAGACAACCTACAAAATGGGGGAAATATTTGCAAAGTATACATCTGACAGGGAATTAATATCTAGAATATACAAGGAACTCAAGTATCTCAACAGCAAAAAAAAAAAAAAAAAGGGCAAATGATCTGAATGGACATTCCTCAGAAGGAGATATACAAATGGCCAACAAATATATTTTTAAAATGCTTAGTGTCACTAATCATCAGGGAAATGCAAATCGAAACCACAGTGAGGTGTCATCTCACCCCAGTTGGCCCGGCTATCATCAAAAAGACAAGAAAGAACAGATGCTCGTGAGGTGTGGAGAAAAGTGAACTCTTACACACTGTTGATAGAAACGTAAACTAGTACAGCCACTATGAAGAACCATATGGATGTTCCTCAAAAAACTGCAAATAGAACTACCATATAATTCAGATACTGAGCATTTATCTAAAGAAAAGGAAATCAGTATCTTGAAGAGACCTCTGCGCAGACCCGCATGTTTATCACAGCACTATTCACAATAGCCAAGATATGGAATCAACTAGGTGTCCAACAACAGATGATTGAATAAAGAAAATATGGTATACACAATGGGATACTATTCAGCCATAAAAAAGTGAAATCTTTTAATTCAAAGCAACATGGATGGGACTGGAGGACATCATGTTAAGTGAAATAAGCCAGGAACAGAAAGTTGAACATCACATATTCTCACTCATATGTGGAAGCAAAAAAAATTTGACCTTTCATCAGTAAAAAGTAGAACAGAAGATATTAGAGGTTGAAAACGGTGGGGGAAACGGGAATAAAGAGATACTTGCTAAAGGATTCAAAATTACAACATAATAAGGGGAATAAGTTCTAGTGTTGTATAGCACTGTAGAATGCCTATAGTTAACCATAATATATAGTTTCAAAGAGCTAGAAGGAGGATATCCAGGGCTGGGTATGGTAGCTCGCACTTGCAATCCTAGCACTTTGGGAGGTTGAGGTGGGAGAATTGCTTGAGCCCCTGAGTTCACGGACCAGCCTGGGCAACACAATGACTAAGGCTAAGGCTGAATAAGGACAACAGAGAATTCTGGCCTGCTCTTCCCTCCCCAACCAGCCTAGCAAATATTGAGGAAGAAATAACAGCAGTTTAAGTGCAAGGGAGAGGCAAGAACAAACAGAGTGAGGCTTGCTGGGCCTTAGGCACAAAGACAAGACCGAATGCTAATGGTGAATTAGACATTGTCTTAGTCCATTTACATTTCTATAAAGGAATACCTGAGACTGGGTAATTAATAATAAAGAAAAAATGTTTATTTGGGTAACAATTCTGATGTCTGAAAAAGTTTAAGATTGGACATCTGAGGAGGGCCACAGGCTGCTAATACCATCTCTATTAAAAAATTAGCAGCTGGGCGCAGTGGCTCACACCTGTAATCCCAGTACTTTGGGAGGCCAAGGCAGGTGGATCACCTGAGGTCAGCAGTTGAAGACCAGCTTGGCCAACATGGCGAAACCCCGTTTCAACTAAAAATACAAAAATTAGCTGGGCATGGTGGCGGGTGCCTGTAATCCCAGCTACTTGGGAGGCTGAGGCAGGAGAATCATTTGAACCCAGGAGGCAGAGGTTGCAGTGAGCCAAGATTGCATCACTGCACTCCAACCTGGGCAACAGAGCAAGACTCCATCTCAAAAAAATAAAAATAGTTAGCTTGGCATGGTTGCACATGCCTGTAGCTCCAGCTACTCAGGAGGCTGAGGCAATCCACATTCCTAGGCCCCCTGGTCCTAGTATGAAAGAGAAATGCATTAGCCAACATTTTTTCAGCCTTATAGAAATGCTACATAAAACTGGGGGAGTACTAAATGGGCAGATAGCAGCTGATCCCAGTGTCCTAGTATTAACATTTTAACATGTCATACCTTAGCAAGCCTTTGGTATTTATCCCATTCTCTCTGAACCACATTTTGTCGTTGCTAGCTCTGAGGTCTAGATTTAAATCTCAAAAGCTCTAAAGCCTCTTGGGCATCTGTTCTTTTTGACTATTTGACTGTATCTCTAGATGCTGAGCCTGGTGATGATCCACCCTCTGCCTGTTGATTCCTATCATGTGTAGGAATCAGTTTCTGCTCTCCTGCTGCCTCCACATTACTTGATATCCTCCCTAAGAACCAACCTTTCCTCCTCACCTACTCAACTGTGTTGTCCTGCCTCAGCACATTACTCCATATCTTACCAACATTGTAGAATCCAATTATGTTGGTCCTTTTTGGCTAACATCATCATTACACCACAGTAACCCAGTCCTATTTGAATCTTGAACCACAAGAATATACTAAGGAGAACAAAAAAATTAGGGGAATATAACATCCCAGCAATTTTTAATTATGAGATAATAAGAACTATAACATGGGACAGACAGTAATTCTGCTATTCATTTTTTCTAGACTATATCTGTAGCAGGCAGTGAAGCATGTCTTTTTTTTTTTTTTTTTTTTTTTTAAATAATTGGTAAGGGTGGGCGGTTGCATTCCCACAATATATCACACTGCAAGTCCCTGACATGCCTTTCTTTCTGGCTGCTCTAAACTGGAAGGAACTCATTTATTGCTATTATTATTGTGATTATTATTGATATTGTTTGTGACTTTATTTTTCTGTTTCATTAGCATTAACTAAAGGGTCCTGGGCTTTATCTAGGTAGAAATCTAGTCACAAGGTAGGTATAATGTATGCCCCAGGCTCTCTGACAGCACAAAAGCAGAAGTTCAAATGAGAAGACATCAAACATAATTTTTCTAATTTGTAAGGACATAAGAATGCTTTGTGATTGTCCAGCTTCAGATAACAGGTGGGGAAGTCACTTGAGGACCCACCAGGACTGGGCATAATGGGGTTCTCAGCCCAGGTCAGGACATTCATCTATAATCAGGGAAGCTTGTGATATAATTAGCAGGTAAAAGAAGGGTGACAAGTTCAGTTTAGCAGCAGACAGGATGTGGGTGGTCCTGTGTTTCAGAGACATGCAAGAGTGAGAATAACACCCTATTAACCAGAGGAGAAGAAGAATTCCTATAGGATATGTGAAGGTGAAGAAATAAGACTAAACATGCAGAAACCAGATGAGAATGTATGACCAATATTGTTCTTCACAAGAGATACTTTTGCATCTTGAAGTGGTGGAAAGAATATTTTTTCTAGGAATGAGTTCATCAGGGTTCTAATCCAGGGTTTGTGCTTGCATAATTATATGTCATGGAACAATCTACCTCTGCCCCTCTTTTGGTTATAGTTTCTTCATTTGCAAAATTAAGAGTTTGTACCACATGGTTTCTCAGTTCTCACTCCCCTTTCACATGCTGCCATGCTACTCTCCTGACTCAATACAGTTCTAGAACATCCCTTTTCCGTGCCTTCAGAGCTTATTTACATGCATGGCCATATGCACGCATGCACACGTGGACACACACACACAGCTGAGGCAATCATTTCAGGGATACATCTTGTTTATTCATAACCCAAATTGTATCTCTAAGTCTGACCATTCACCTTATTTCCATCTTGGCTTCAAGTGGCTTTTAATTTTCCTAGAAATTAAATCAGATATGGAATCAAATAGCTTTTACTTAAATGCTTACTATATGCCAACATTCTGCCAGAAAGTTTATGTCCATTTTGACCATTCTCATATTATTAAAGACACATGAGACCAACAATACTACCCCCCCTTAATAAAGGAGGAAAACAAGGTTTAATATTTTGCAAAATTGTACAACTGCAAGGGATAAATATATTTTAAATTATATTTTCTAACTACAAATTAAAGAATAAAGACTTATTTACTGATATTTATCAATATCTTAGAAATATTTTAGTGCCTACTGACAATTTCATCTCCAGTATGACATTCTCCCTGTCTATTTCAACTCTCTCTTCAGAAGTGATTGTTCTACCCATTGAGAATGTCTCCTATGTCTCCTACCATCTCATCATCTTGTACATGATTCCTTAAAAAAAAAAAAATCTCACTTCATTACCCAGGCTGGATTATGATGGCACCATCTCAGCTCACTGCAACCTCTGCCTCCTGGGCTTAAGTGATCCACCTACCTCAGCCATCCAAATAACTAGGAGCAGGTGCATGCCAGCAGGACTTGCTATGTTTTTTGTTTGTTTGCTTTTTGGAGCTGGGGGAGTAGAGACAGGGTTTTGCCATGTTGCCCAGGCTGGTCTCGAACTACTGGCTCAAGTGATCCGCCCACCTCAGCTTCCTAAAGTTCTGGAATTACAAGTGTGACCCACCTAGCCTGGCTGTTACATGATTCTTATTCAAATGTGAGCTCCCTGAGGACAGAAATTACATCTTACAACTTATCTGGAGTCCCTAGTACAAATCACAAAACCAAGAAAATTATAGGTGCCCAATAAAGAAGAGATGAATAACTGTAACTCTCCAGTGGCCTAGTTATATTCAAAGGTATATAAAGTTAAATTCTATTGTTTCTCATATGTGCTTAGCATCTTTCAATGAAAGCTATAAAAGAAAGCAGAAGTCCCAACATATTCATTGCAGAAACGTGAAAGAAGATATGAAGGTGAAGATTCTGATCATCTCTTTCTCTCTGTTAATGGGGTGGTGAAGGACAGAGCACAACACACTGTACTTAATGCAGATTCTGTTCAGTGAAACAATGATTACAATCAATTTGACTACTAATGTGACTTATCTTGTAAATTGCTGGGTCATTAACTTCAACAACATCAATGTGCTGTCACTATCCAATTCCACCAAATTAGTGTCCGAGGTAATAGGAGGACAAATGTATTAGTGCATTATTGGTGGCTAATAGAGATGGCAAGTCTTTAATGTGCTGCAGAGAGCAGCTGAGGCGCCAGAGACCAAGACAACAAGGCTAAGAGAATGTGTGAAGAGATCAGAATCTAGGGCATGGTGGTGCATCAGGGCTGCTGCAGGGACTTACCTGCCCTCTTTTCCTTGGTGCCTGAGATGGCAGAAGAGCTGGGTACTGGGGAGATCTCAATCTATGGCAGAAAGAGGGAACATTCCCACTTGGGGCAAAAATTCTAAAAGGCATAGCACTGGATCATCCAAGAATAATGGGCCTGTCTTAAAGTCAGATTCTTAAAGCGGGATGTTTTCCTATCAGCCCTGCAGTCACAGAATGCAGGGGAGCACATACTCACGCTGCACACTCAGGCGCATTCCTCATAACCTTTAGATTCATAACCTGAATCTAAAGTCGTCATAGCAATACCAAGCTCTATCCTGGAAGTTACCATTTATCCTCCTTCTAGGGGGATTTGTAGTGCATCTGATTTCTGCATTTGAAAGGAAGAGTATTTTCTCCCAGTTATAAAAGTTTTGGCATCAGGAAAAAGGTGGATAAAAGCCAACATCTTTCATGACGATCCTGAAACCTCACCCTTCTCTACCTGCAAACAAAGATTACTCTAAAAGTTTGAACTGTTTAGGAATTGTTTTAGATTTTTCCTGAATTCGTGTGTTTTCTTTACCTTCATTAATATATAGGGCAGAAAACCATCTTTGTTGATTATATTTAGGTTTCAGTTAGTTTATTTTGGAATGTGCTCTTGTCCCTTACCTAAGGAAAAGATCCATTAGTATGTTGAGACTGAACATTGGCAGATGTCAGTATAATCAATGCATTTGTATCATGAGCAATTATCTATATCCAAGACCTATTCTATACAAGGTTTGTAGCATGTGGTGAAGCCAGCTGTCACAAAGTGTATCGCTTACAGTCATTGAGTGTGATAGATATAACTATTACATGTATTGTGGCTTAGGGCTTAAGGTTGATCCTGAATAGATTTTCCACATCCTAACAAAGAATTACCACCACAGAGGCTGCCACAAGGTGACAGATATGGCTCAGTATAGCTACTTGCCACAACCGATTAGACATATAGAAATTATAACACATAGATGCAAAGTTTTATAAAATTATTTATTGGGAAATAGCTATATATTCCAGAGGGCTGCAAAAAAAAAAAAAATGTACAGCGAAGTTCCAGTGCACCATTTCCCCAGCCTCTTCCAATATTAACATCTTACACAACTCTAGCACCATAGTAAAGCCAGAAACCCGATATTAGTATAATCCATAGTTTATTCATATTTTACCAGTTATAGATGGTAAATCTATAACCCATTTGTGTATGTTGAGGGATGCAAATTTACAGTTCTATGGAATATTATCACACATGTAGCTTTGCATAACCACCACCACAATCAAGACACTCGACTATACCATTGCCACGAAGATTTCTCTTGTGCTATCCCTTTATAGCCACACTCACTCTTTCCTTCCCCAATATCCCTAATCCCTGGAAACCACAAATTTATTCTCCATCTCTTTAGGTATGTTATTGCATGAAAGTTACATAAATGGAACCAATACATGTCCTTCTGAGACTGGCTTTTCACTTAGCATAATTTTCTTGAGGTTTGTCCAAGTTCTATTTCTCAATAATTTGTTTCTTTTTCCTGCTGAATGGTATTCCATGGTATGTATAACCACAGTTTATTTAACTATGCACCCATTAAGGGATATATAGGTAGTTTCCAGTTTGAGATTATTATGAATAAATCTGCTATGAACATTTGTGCACATGAAAATAAGACTTTATTTCTCTGGAATAAATACCCAAGACTGAAAATTCTGGGTGAATGTTAAGTAGATTTTCAGTGTTGAAAGAAACTGCCAAACTTCTGAAGTAGCTGTATCAGTTTACATTCCCAACAGCAATGTATGAGTGATCTGGCTTCTTTGCATCCTTGCCAATATTTTCCCTTGCCATTATTTTTCATTTTAGCCATTCTGATAGGTATGTAGTGATATCTCATTGTAGTTTAAATATACTTTTCACTAATGGCTAATGATGCTTACTATCTTTTCACGTGTTTACTTGGCATCTGTGTATCCTCTTTAATGAAATGTCTGTGCATGTTTTTTGCCCATTTTCTAGTTGGATTTTTAAAAATATTCAGTTTTGGGACACACAGTGCTTTTGCTTTTACTTCAAGCCTTGTATTTGGAAGATAATTTTAAAAAATATTTGTATACTGCATTCTTGATAAAATTTAATCTTGACCTGGTTATTCTTTAAAAAGTGATGTACAGTAATAGGCACTCACCTGTTTTCCTTTGCATTCACTTAGTAAATACCTAATGAGTAACCTGCCTACTTTCATAATTAATCATGTACCTCAATTATATTTTGAATCTCTAATTAATTGGTATGTCGCTCTACAATCTACTGCATCCTACTTCTCCAACTTCATCTTTCACTACTCTATCCATTGACTGACTGTTGTGCTTAATTACCTTCAACTTCCAACTTCTCCTCAAACACTCCATATCTTTCTTGACTCTGCATTTAAACAAGCTGCTTTCTCGGGATGGGATAGCTTTTGCTCCTTTCTTCATGAAGAAAACTCCTACTTGAAGATCCAGTTCATATATCATCACCTCTATGAAACCTTCTCCAAATCTCCCCAGTCCTTTAGTCACTCTTACTCCATTTTGCTTGACCCTAGGTTACAGCATTTACCTAGCAAGCTTTTTGATGTCTCAAATGACAAAATTTTCACAATAACTTCTGGCTTTCTTCCCCTGTAAAATAGCTGACAGGGCACACTGAAAGTAGGAGGCTGGTACCCTCTGCCTAGTGCATACCTTGGTCCTGAGAACCGACTGTGTGTTCCCAGGTTTGGTAGTTGAACTTTTTCATTGTGATTATGTAATTAAATCATGTATTAAACTGATGATATGAGTGTGAAAAATAAGGGTTGTTTTTCTGAAAATTATGTTAATTGGTCTGGAAAGACTTGATAAAAGCAAGTCAAATTAGGTATGAGTGAAAAATTATACAAGAGTGGAGGTAAAAATAAAACATTCTAGAGGTATTCAGAATTCAGACTGTTTTGATGCAAATATTTTTAACTTTTCACTCTTCCTCAAAGCAAAAACACTAAAATTAGAAATTGAATATAATGCATTGTAGACATGGTTTACATAAAAAGACCATGTAAAACACCAGCTATTGAACCCATACGCAAAAGGCATTGATATTACATTATAATTGATTAATGATCATTTTAAGCTAAACATACAGTATTTATAGCATTAGCAATTTTACAATTCTTTTTAACTTTCTCAATACACAAAATACTGGTTCAGATTATATCAGTCGACATGGCTTCTATTATGTTTTCCATTGAAGCTTATCATTCAAAAAGCCTTTTTGTTTACATGCTTCTCACTAGATTGAGAGCTCCTTAATGTCAGGAACCTGGCATTTTGCCTGACAAATCATGAGTACTCAATAAATTATTGCTGAATGAATGAAAAGAAATCTGTAAAACAAATTTATAAAAATCAAAAGAAAATTGTATCTTATGATCTTCATGCAATTATTTAATCCAATTCAAAGAAGTTATCAGTTTCAATTATCAATAGTCAGTTCAGAAGAGTTCATTCTCTTTCTTCTTTGCACAGCTCCACATGCCCAACAGAATTTGGACCTCTTTGATGGTGTTAGCTAGTCTTGCTAACAGTATGTATGTGTGTGTGTGTGTGTGTGTGTGTGTGTGTGTGTGTAAAATATGGACCTATAAATTTAACTACATCTTACTATAAAAAAATCAGCCTTTCAACATAAAGATATTCTGTTTCTTAACTATTATTATTTTTCTACACACCTTCTGTAAGATGGTCGTGATATAGCTTAAAATAACCTGGATATCTAAAATGAAACATTTTAAAAAGCAAGCCTAAATCCAACCCTACGAATTTCATCCAGAGTATAGTGTGTTACTCATAAGCCAATTTTTAATCTAGACAGTTGCTCCAGGCAGCATCCATAATATCCATGTGCAATCCAACTAGCTATGTTAAGTGTTTTGCGTCAGCTTTCCACTAAGTGACAGAAACACCTTCAAGCTCTGAGGGGTCTCCTTAGCCCCATCATTGGTCCAATTAACATAGGATAGAAAAATTGAGGGTGCCTTTTTTTTTTTTTATCTCTACCTCTGTCCAAGTGATTTGATTAGCCAAAGATTTTTAGGATCTCATTGCAAAAAGCAATTAAAAAAATGAATGGGGCCATGCATTTTTTATCGTTTTGGCTCAGCTCCTGTTCTTACTTTCTTATACAGGAGAACCAGTGACACAATCCACCTTGGTATGAGTGTCAGCCATCTTGTCTTTCAACTGGAAAGCTAGAAGTGACAGCATGGTATATTAAGAGGTCTCTGCTTGAATAAATTGATGTCAAGTTTTATTACATATAGACCAAGCTAGAAGGCACAAGACAACCACTCAACAACTATGTATTAAACAACGAAATCAACGAAATGGCATACAGCAGTATTTCAAATTCTTGAAATACAGATAGGGACAGGCAAAAACTGTATTCTCTAGAAGGCTGAAGTCAGCCAAAGAAAATGCACAGTAAACACAAATCGAGATATTTATAAGATCCTTATGGTGTTAAAAGCAACTACTCTCTTGTCTTTATGGGTTGGAACATGGGCAAGATTCTTCAGAGATATCTCCTAGAAGCACTAAGACTTTCTAGACATTTAAAGAAACATAGAGCTGAAATAGAGTAAGCCTGAGGAAGTGGCTCATACTCATGACTTAGTTTAAGAAAGAAATAAATGAAATAAAAAAAATTTTCAAGTAAAACCATTTCTCGGGATGGCATAACACAAAGATACAAATCAATACCACTAGCATTAAAAAAAAAAAAGTGTAACTCTTACTACATTCTAGAAGAATATTTTTTTCAGACTAAGGGTTGCAACCCAACAGAGAATTGCAAGATCACTATTTAAAAAAAAAACATGAAGCAAAATAGAATAGAAAACATCAGAATATCTCACATGTAATAAAGGTAGATATTTCTTTGTTTCAATTATGGGTATGTGAGGCACTGGATTGGAATATAAAAATATATTCCTATGCACCGTAGCAGAAGAAATTTAAAATATTGCTCTAAGAAGTTCTTTGCAAACTTGGCTAATAATCAAAACTATCTAAGAGCTATAAAAATATACAATTTTTCAGGTCTCCTTGTAAGAAGAGGTCCAGAGATCTGTGGAGAATGCCTCAGAAAATGCTACAAACCATGAGTCATTTACTCTAATTAGAATGAGCAGTGAAAAAATTAACAGTAGTGAGAAAGCATGATACAACCTAAGCATCAGGACCCACAAGCAGCATTAAAGAGTCATGAGTGTGGGGAGAAGTTCATCACAGAAGACCATTAGAGGAGATTCAATGAACACCTGCCACAAGCAGTATTTGATGATATTGAAGGCATTGCAGTTTAAGGAGGAAAAGATGAAACACTTACATACAAAAAGCTTGATGCTTCAAGATATTGTTAATGTCATAAGTACCAAGAAGTGAGGAAAAATAGGATTTCAGGACAGAGTCCACCAGGGATAAACACATGAAGGAGATAAGACTTGCCTTGGCTGAGCCTTGAAGAATGATTCAGACAAAGGTTTCTTGGGGGAAGGGAATCTCTTCCTTAAATTGTACACTGATTGCTGAGAACAAAATAACATGATAAGTGGTGGTGAAGTAGGGAAAGCTAGTGGAGGAAAAATAAGAAAATGAGTCAGAAAGGTAGATCTGGATGGAAAATTCAAACAAGATGAGAAAAATAAATGCAGGCAGGACAATTAAGTTTTCTATTTCTTCTCTTGGATTCTGCAACAAAATTATACATAAATATTTTTTTTAAAAAAAGAGAATCCAAATATATTTTCTAAAATACTTGGCTGGAAGAGGCTGGGAGCTCAGGTTTAACTGATGGGTTTGGAAAGGAGATTTTGTTTTAAGGCTAAAATAAAAGTCATACATATGGTGTTCCAGTACTGGTTTTAGTATCCTCCATTGCAGCAATTGTTCTCAACCTAGAAGAAGCTGTGAGCTTTTAAAATTCTCAATGCTTTTTGCACATTGATTCTGTATCCTGAGATGTTGCTTATCAGCTTAAGGAGATTTTGGCCTGAGACAATGGGGTTTTCTAAATATATAATCATGTCATCTGCAAACAGAGACAATTTGACTTCCTCTCTTCCTATTTGAATGCCTTTTATTTCTTTCTCTTGCCTGATTACCCTGGCCAGAACTTCCAATACTATGTTGAATGGGAGTGGTGAGAGAGGGCATGCTTTTCTTGTGCCTGTTTTCAAAGGGAATTCTTCCAGTTTTTGCCCATTCAGAAGGATATGAACAGACTCTCAAAAGAAGACATTTATATGGCAACAAACATATGAAAAAAAGCTCATCATCACTGGTCATTAGAGAAACGCAAATCAAAACCACAATGAGATACCATCTCACACCAGTTAGAATGACGATCATTAAAAAGTCAGGAAACAGATACTGGAGGGGATATGGAGAAATAGCAACACTTTTACACTGTTGGTGGGAGTGTAAATTAGTTCAACCATTGTGGAAGACAGTGTGGCAATTCCTCAAGGATCTAGAACCAGAAATACCATTTGACCCAGTAATCCTATTACTGGGCTTATACCTAAAGGATTATAAATCATTCTACTATAAAGACACATGCACATGTATGTGTATTGCAGCATTATTCACAATAGCAAATATTTGGAATCAACCCAAATGCCCATCAATGATAGACTGCATAAAGAAAATGTGCCACATATAAACCATGGAATACTATGCAGCCATAAAAAAGGATGAGTTCAAGTCCTTTGCAGGGACACGGATGAAGCTGGAAACCATTTCAGCAAACTAACACAGGAACAGAAAACCAAATACCGCATGTTCTTACTCATAAATGGGAGTTGAACAATGAGAACACATGGACACAGGGAGGTGAACATCACACACAGGGGTCTGTCATTGGGTGGGGGGCTAGGGAAGGGATAGCATTAGGAGAGATACCTAATGTAGATGACTGGTTGATGGGTGCAGGAAACCACCATGGGACATTTATACCTATGTAACAAACCTACACATTCTGTACATGTATCCCAGAACATAAAGTGTGTGTGTGTGTATGTAAGTGTGTGTGTGTGTGTGTGTGTGTATATATATATATATAAATAAAATCCCAGTGCTTAGGCTCCTCCCCAAGGAAACTAAATCACAGTATCTGGGCATAGGTCAGGAGCATACATGCTTTTGAAAACTGCCCTAGGTAACTTAACACACAGCCAGGCTTGAGAACCATTGAAAGTGATTCCTGAAATTCACACTGCTAACACAGAGCAGAGTTTATGCTCTCTTTCTTGCTTTTCAACAGAATAAATCAGACTGACATTTATTTTTTTTCAACCTTGCCCCAGGGCATAGCCACAATAGAACCATGGACAGCAATGATTCTTTTCCTTAACTCTGTAGGCAAAACCAAAGATGAGCTTTTAAACTGAAGCTCCTGACAGCTGCTGCTGCTCAGGGCCAATTATACTGACCTAGACATCCTCCCCTTTCCAGCTTTATGGCACACCATTGTCAGACTTTCATATTCAGAAATATCTGATGGCCCTGAACTGTTTAAAGGCAAAGCCCAAACTCTTCATCCAGGCACTCCTGGCCCTTCGCAATCTGGCTCCAAACATTTGCTCTTGCTGTGGTCTCAGAATTCTGTCTATAGAGTTGCCTTACTGTTTCCATAAATACCATATCCTTCTATCTGTCTCTTGTTCTTGTCTGCATCTGCAATGACAACAGTTCTATTCTTATACTCAACTTATCCATGTGTTTTTATTCAATGTCAAAATTGAGTTTAAGTTCCTTCCTGACTCTCAATAGTCCAACACTCTACAATTTCTATGAAGCTTCTTTCTACTTACTCCCAGCATCAGGAAAGATGTCAGATTTAATGGCAAAAAAAGAACTTCAGTTTTTCGGCAAAGAAACTTCATTGTATTTGGATTATTATTCAGCTTTATGATTCTGTGATACAGCTACTTGGGACCAAACCCTACTTCTTTTACTGGTTTATTGCATGATCTCTCAATTTCTTTGCATGTAAAGTGGATAATTTCACCTTACGAATAAGAGTTCCTACCTTAGAAGTGAGGATTAAATTAGATAATGAAACAAAATTCTTTAGCATAGTACTGGGTCCCTAGTGAATCTTCAATAAATTGTAGCTATTTTTGTTTGCCTGTGTGTTCACGTAGTCTGACAAATACATCTTGTCTGCATTAGTTCATTCTCACATGCTATAAAGATACTACCTGAGACTGGGTAATTTATAAATGAAAGAGATTTAATTGACTCACAGTTCCACGTGGCTGGGAAGGCCTCAGGAAACTTACAATCATGGCGGAGGGGAAGAGGCACATTTTCCATTGCAGCAGGCAAGAGTAAGAGCCCGGAAAACTGCTTTATAAAACCATCGGATCTTGTGAGAACTCATTCACTATCACAAGAATAGCATGGGAGATACTGCCCCCATGATGCAATCACTTTCCACCTGGTCCCTCCTTGGACATGTGGGGATTATGGGGATTACATTTCGAGATGAGATTTGGGTGGGGACACAGCAAAACCATACCATTGTCCCTTCAGCAAAACTGGAAGAATGCTTAATGGCAGAACATACTTTGTAAACTTTACCACCTGATTCCAAATACTATACAAAAACAAGGTTTTGAAATCAAAGCATTGAACTTCGAGTTTCAGCTCAGCTATCTAGTTCTTATTTGATTTTGGCATGTTGTTTCATTGAACTGAACCTCGATTACCTAATATCTAAAATTAAAATTATAGTAATAATAGTATTTACTATATTCTGGAGATTAAAGAAGCTAATATACCAAAACATTATTTATCTCTCAAGTATTACTCAAAAAAGTATAGTTGTACTTATAGTAGTCTATATGTTTATTGAATTATTCCACAACATCTAAATTTGATATTACACATCAATACATATATTCATTTACTAAAATATTGGCTCTGTGTATTTGTTAATTGAAAAATCAAAAAGTGGATGTGAATTTCACGTCTTAATTTCTTCATCTGTAATATAATAGTGCTAAACAAGAAGAAAGATCTTTAAGTTCTTTTTTAAGTCTAATTTCTAGATTTTTGGAAAGTGCTTATGCTTTTATCTGAGTTTAAAAATGCAGATAAATGTACATACGTATACACACACAAATATCCATCTTATAAAAATTCCCCAAGCTTTTTATTTATATGTTATACACGAAAAAATAAATAGAAAAATAAAGGTATATGCTGTTAGTGGTTACCGCTGGATGAAGGACTTACAGGTGATTCAAACATTTTCTACCAGTACTTCAAATGTTCTACAATGAGATTATAGTTACTTTAGATTTTTTAATGTTATTTTTAAAAATAGTCATTGAGACATAAAAGTCCATCCTAAATATTAACATATATTTGTCTATGCATGTGCATACAGAAATATCTTTTAGGACAAGCAACTGGCAGCATCCTATGACTGTGCCTCCTCACCAAACATTTATTTTCACTAATTGCTCATTATATTTAGAAAACTGAAGGGACAAAATGAATAGAGTGGGGCACACACTGTAAGTCTTACTTGATGTGTTGTGATGAGGTTATTACAATATCGTGGTTGGAAATTTGACATCATACAAAAAATATAAGGCATAAGAACTGTTCCCAGAGAAGCCCAGCATATTACAGTGATTGGCAGGGTGTGGTACAGTCACCAAGCTCCCTCAGAGATTACAACTCATAGGTCCATTGACTTTATAACTTGGTATCAAGGAGGCCAAAAGGAGTTCAAAGACAAAGGACTTAGGGTTATATTTGAAAGTACTGAAAAAGTATGAATCTATTTCAAAAGTAATTACTATGCTCTTATAAATAGAACAATATCTAACAATTTTCCCCTAAATGGGAACATGTCTCCCTCTTCAAAATGCTGCAGAAAATAGGTTTTTATTTTCCATAGAAATAAACTTCACAGACATCTTAGTTGGTAGCATATATCAAGCACAGCAAACAGTACCTATGTATTGTTCATCTGGTTTTATTTGGGGGCCTTTGAAGATCATATTAATTCTTTAATGTGGATGTGTGAGTTTACTGTGTGAGCAACACACTTAAATGGACATGAAGTAATATGGGTCAAGGATTTTTAAGCAGTGATTTTGAATAGGCTATGGGGGTGCCTAATATCCTAAAACATAAGTTAAATTATTTCTGGAAAAATTAATTATAGCTTTCAACCTTTTGCAAGGAGTTTACTACCCAAAAATTCAGGATAGCCCTGGTTTATGTCTATTTATCTGGTTTAATTTTATTTTATTTTTTTTTTTGAGACAGGGTCTCACTCTGTCACCCAGGCTGGAATGCAGTGGCACAATCTCGGCTAACTGCAGCCTTGGCCTCCCTACTCAGCCTCCTGAGTAGCTGGGAACACAGATGCGTGCCACCATGCCCAGCCAATGTCTGAGATAATTTTTGTTAGCATATTCTTTCACTCTCAAAATTGTCCCAGCCTAGATTATAAATCATAAGGTTACTCTATTTAAGGCCCATGGGTTAAGTCATTGTTTTTTTTGTGAATGACAATAACAAGTCAGCCATGATTTAACTTGTAAAAGACAGGGCAGCTTTGAGATAGGTTTCATGAAATTCTCAGAACACAAATGACACACACCAACCCTGGGTTTAAACTCTTTCATTTTATATTCTACTTAAATATGGAAAATATGACAGCTCAATACCTTAGCAATGGTGCATCCACCACCCCAGAATATGTCTGTTCATTTTGTTCTTAGTTACATTTCATCTGGTTAGATACTAGAAATGGCAGGTAAAGAAATATTTAAGTTTTTGTGCATTCATTCAAGTAGCATTATCAAATACCCATTTAATAATAGTTCTGTAATAGTGAACAGGGAGAAAATGTAAAACAAGGTTTCATTTCTCCCATCACTTATAATCTGTGTGAAGAGATACAGCACATTTGTTTAAAGACAAAACATCTAATGAATGATAGACAGGTAATTAGTGATCTCAGAGTTTGAAGGCAGAGCTCACTATAAATTAGAATGGTTAGAAGGACTGAGTGGGATGAGTGTTTGAAAGACCTCAAGTGACAACCAGTGTTCTGTGGGAAATATTATCCTCCAGACAATGGAACACCCTTGGACATTTTTAAGCAAAAGCTAGAATGTACTAACATAACTTGAGAAATGACTTTGAGGCATGGCTTCCTGAAAATAAATTAATTCTTTAGTTTTCCAATGCAGAGTTACAATAATTTTCAGGCATTATAGTGCCTTCCCAGCTCCATAGCACTTGTCTAATTGCTAAGTCTCTCCATTTTGGTTTTCTGTAGTCTGTTATTTAAGTATATTTTGATCTACAACAACTTGGGATTTTTCTGTCTTTCTAGGGAAGGCACTTTAAGGCCCGGGACAGTGCCTAGTTCTATTGTGCTTCTCTACGAAACATATCTATCTCTCTGTATCTGTCTTTCTTTCTCTCAGGCACCACCCATCCCCCTGCCCCCGCCACACACACACACACACACACACACACACACACACACACACCCATCCACACACTAATTGATCCCAAACAGAAGCCAGTCCTGAGCCTTCATGCAAGTGGTGGATGGCAGTGGACCAGAGCCTTAATTTCATTTTAGTGGTCATTTCTCATATTCAAATGAGCAGGAAAGGCTATTGATTGGAAGAACAATTGCAAATGAGGGAAAAGAAAAGTTGCCTGCGTCACAATGGGTATTCTAAATAAAATCCCTTATCCTAGTAGACTTACCAGAATCTGAATCATTTGATAGAGCTGATCACTCTCATCATCCTTCTGACCTTTAAGTGTCAGAGAGTCCCAGGGCTTAGTTTTTGGTCATCTTCCTCATCTATTTTATCTGGTGAATTTATTCAGTCTCAGGGCTGAAATACTAGCTATATGCTGGTGATGGCCAAATTTATATCTCTACCTTTGACCTTTTTCTGATACCCAGATGCATGGCTATAATGTCCTTCTCCACACCCCTACTTGGAGATCTGAAAGGTAACTCAAGCTTTACATGTTTGAAACAGGACTCTTGATTTGAAGCCTTACACCAAAGCCCTCATGCTCTCACTCTATTTCCTATAACACAAATGGCATCTTCATTCTACCAGCTACTTGCTCAAAGAAAAAACTTTAAGTCTCCTTAATATGAGTCATCTTTAACATCTGTCTCTCTCTGATGCCACACATATAATTCATCAGCACTGTTTGTCAGCTCAACCTTGGAAATGCATTTAGATTCCAGAACATGTCTCCCCATTTCCATTGCTGTGCCCTTAATCTGAAGCCATCCATTCTCTCCCAAGTTATTTAAATTGTCTCCCAACTGGTCGCTCTGCTTCCAGCCTTGCCTTCACAGTGTTCTCCACAGTACAGCAGAGTGAGCCTTGTAAAACCTAGTCAGATCGTGGCACTCTTCCACTCAAAACCCTGCAATGGTTTCCATCTCACTCAGAATAAAAGCCCAAACACCTACCTTCCTGTAAGATGCTATAATACTTGTCCCTGCCACTGCCCTGATCTCATTTCCCCCCTTTCCTTATTGTGCTCTCCACACACTTTGTGCTCTTAGTTGTCCCTCAAACATACAAAGTATGTCTAAAATAGCACCTTTCCTATTCCTCACTATATATCCTTTTCCTACTCCATTTTCAGATTTCTTAAGCTTAGCTCACGTATTATCTATTTATTATCTGTCACTACTGGAATATTGGAATATAAGTCCTATGAAAGCCAGGATTATCTATTTTGTGTGCAGCTATATCCCCAGTGCAACAGTCCTTCATGCTCAACAGATATCTGTTGAACAATGAAGTAAATATGTAAATGATGAATAAATGCACATGTACTCACAAGTAAACATGCAAATAAATAAGCCTCCTGTCATGCTCATCTATGGAATCTCCACATTTGCCCAAGTAGAGTTCTGAAGGTTGCCGCACCAGAGCCTTAATTCTGCTGACATATAAATAACTACACAGATTTTTGTTTCTTTTTTCCAGAAAAGAGTGCAAGAGTTAGCACATTTCCCATCACCACTCCCTGCGTACCTTCTTATAACTTACTACCTGTGACTTTTCCACTTGGAATCATTACATGGAAAGGGTCATTAGAGACTATCTAGTTCAAATAATCATTTCAGAAGCAAGGAAACTGAGGCTCAAGTTCGTGAAATGACTTGCTCAAGCTTACAGAGCTGGTTAAGAGCAGAACTATAATTTGATTTCAGGTCTCTAAATTTTTATGCCTTTTTTTTTTTTAAATCACCACAAGGATAAGGAATCAGTCTCTTTCTCTCTCTTTCCCCTTCTTTTTCTCTATCTCTCTCATATGTTGTCCTTGCTACCACTGTTGGTGATCAAAATTCAATAACAACAGTCTTTAAAGAGAGAGCCAGATTTGCAAGTGCTTTTGGAGCTCAATGATGACTTTCTCTGAGTGGGAGAGGCTGGTTATAGGGTCCCCCTCACTTTCACAGAACAGAAGAGGCAGGGACTCATCTGTGGGCATTGGCAGGGCTGGTGCTTACTGACAATCCCTGAGAATGGAAATATCCTGCTTGTCCTTTTAACAGGATTTCAGCCAGAGATTTGAGGGAAAAGTACCGCAGTCTAGTGGGCTGTGAATATGAGTGGAAATGTCAGAGCTATGAATCAGTTAACACATTTTTATTTAGCATCTTCCTGTGAAAGAGGATGAAAAGACATGGCTCCTGTGCTCAAATTCCTTATCACTTCAGGGTACAGTCCAGAATAGTACAAGATCTGGTTAGATCTTAGAGGTCCTAGCACTTCAGACATAAGAGGCATGACTTGGGTGGTAAGAATGGGGGTGGTTTGGGCTGGTGTGGTGGCTCATGCCTATAATCCCAGCACTTTGAGAGGCCGAGTTGGGTGGGTCACCTGAGGTCAGGAGTTCAAAACCAGCCTGGCCAACGTGGTGAAACCCCATCTCTACTAAAAATACAAAAAATTATCTGGGCATGGTGGTGTGGGCCTGTAAACCCAGCTACTAGGGGGCTGGGCTGGAGGATTGCTTGAACCTGGGAGGTAGAGGTTGCAGTGAGCCGAGATCGTGCCATTGAACTCCAGCCTGGGCAACAGAGCAAGACTCCATCTCAAAAAAAAAAAAAAAAAAAAAAAAAAAAAAAAAAAAAAAAAAAAAGAAAGAAAGAATGAGGGTAGTTTTCATGGAAAACACAAAAACACAATGCTTAATCTTGTCATGGAATGGCTGTGATTTAAGTAGGTGAAGCGTATTGTGGTGCATTACTTGCTCCTGTTCTCTCTGGACTCAAGCAGTACATTCATATATTCTTCAGCTTATGGGATCCTCCAATCCTCCCTGGAAGGCAGAAAAACCAAAGAGCATATGTTCCATCTTGCACAGAAAAACTGAGACTCCAAGCCATATAATAGCCCAAGTTCTCCCATCTGGTTGGAGCCAGAGTTCCCCACACTCCTTCCCAGGATACTTTTGAGAATGTCCTGCTGGAAGATTGCTTCTCTGTGTTGTTCTCTGCATTCTGGAGATGCAGACACTAACCCAGTCTTAACAACTCTCAAGGAGGTCAAACTTGACTTCTGCCCTAAGTTCTGTGACATAATTTTTAAAACAAAAAAGTTCAAGGCATCCCAAGGTGTCAGTTTCCTCTTTGCTGTTCATAACCAAAATGTTTTAACAGCCCTGAGGAGCCGTCCACCCATGGGGCTCTGACTCTTTGAGACCTATCTGCAGAGGGTGCACAATTGACCTGGCCCTGCTGATGAGAAAAGCACAGATGTCTACCATCTGGTCAGGGGTCCCTGTGCCTGTGCCAATTTCCTGTCACTGACAGCCAACACTTGATTGATGGAATTTAGTACTCCACCATTTTTTTTCCTTCGTACACTATAACCTCATGAATTCAGATGGCACTTAGCCAAACTGAAAGAATTTGAACTCGGGCAGGGTAAAGTTTACCATCAATGAAATGAGGGTCTGTTATATAAATTACCAATGTAAACAGGATTGTAAAAGGGACAATTTAATCTACTTACAAGAATGAATTGTTTTCAAGCACTTAAGTTGCATAAATTTACATACAGTGTGCTAATTACAAATGATTGATATCCAGTCATTCAAACACATCTGGTAGGAGCCCTGTTCTCTAACAATTTATTAGACACTAGATTGCATTACTTGAAATATTTGAAAATGGTATAAATGTATCTTTTATATATGTGTATTCACACACATTTATATAAAAGACAGTCCTTGCTTTTCATGGAGTCATGTCATTGGAAACCTCACCACAAAGATTATCAAGCACAGATCACTGAGAACCAAGTAACACTTTTAGGTACGAACAGTGTTATAATTAGGACTGGTGTGCCTGACCCAGGAATCACACCAAGTAAATCACGGAATCAATCAGCCTTATGTTATAACAACTTAACCTACAACAACCATGACTAGAGAAGACAACTAATATTTATTGAGCAGTTGCTACATCTGAATACCTTATGTGCGTTATCTCAGTCACCAGGACTTGCCCATTAGGGAGCTACTGCTTCCATTTTATGGGACACCGCATTGAAACTCCAAGAGATTAAGTAATTTGCCGTCAACCACATAGTTGTAATCAGAGTTAGAAGTTAAATCTAGCTCTGATTCCAAATCCCATGTCTCCTTTTAGTACTATAGATCTATAAGCCTTCCAAACTGTTAGATTGTACATAGCTATGTGAAGTGTTTGTAATTTACAAAATGGGAATTAATATGCTGCCATCTTCTATGACCTGGATGAAATGTTAGCCCTCATGAAGATGCGATGTTAAAACAAATCCTCCTCCTTTTATGCAAGTATGTTTTCCAAACTGTGAAACTATTCATTACAATATATTAATTTAAATACAGCTGCAGTATCTTCAACATATATTAACTTCTACTTTTTTTTCAATTGTTGAAATACATGTCTTAGTTTTCTGATAGATATTAGGCTCATTAAAAGTAGAGACTAATATCACCAATCTTTATATATATCACGCTCATTTACTACCTAAAGTCTTGACCAGCAGGTGCTAAAATGTGTTTGTTGCCTGAATTAGTAAATGAATAAATTTTATCTTATCACAAATTATAATATGCCATAAATTCAAATCATCAATATGTGGCTAATAAATATTAGCATTTAATCTTAAAGATTAACTTAAATTTTAGAAAGTTATTGCTAGTGGTAATGGGGAAACAAGGTGTTAGGAAATGATTCGGATGTCTAGGGAGTGTGAAAACCGTCTTCTCTTGAAAAAATGTCCTATAGCTAGCAATTCAGTTATAATGAATCCCTTGACTTCAGATTTAACATTCAAAAATTTAAGAAAAACTTTATTAAAACTGTGTTAACACAGAATATAAAATTCACCACTTTAACTATTTTTAAGTACACAATTTAGTGGCATTAAGTATATTCTTATGATGCAACCATCACCACCCTCATTCATCTCCAGAACTTTTTCATCATCTCAAACAGAAACTCTGTATCTATTAAGCAATAACTCCTAGTGCCCTCTCCACCTGCCTCTGCTAACCTTTATTACACTTTGTGTCTCCATGAGTTTGCCTATTTTGGATACCTCATATAAATGGAATCCTACAATATTTTTTAAACTGCATTGGCATCATCTAAATATTTTAAAGCCTCATTATTGACTTCAAAATTGATACATTGGAGGACATAAATATTTCAACTCTGGTTCTTTCATTATTTATATTTGTTTTCTTCTCTTCTTGTATTTAATAATATAGAAAGCAGGCTTGCTGATAAAGAGTCAACAAAGGGAACCAAAAAGAAGTATATATTTACAAATAGAAACAGTTGCCTGTGTGCTAGTTGTTCAGGGTAATGTTGAATATTCATCAATGATTACATGTGTATGACAGCCAGTTTCATATTCACCTTTCTCCTCCAGTCCCTGCCTCTTGTCTTTTCCTTTCCTTATTCAGTCATCATTAAAAACCATCAAGGAAACAGGCAATCATGGTAACATGGGGTGTAGTCAATAGGCAGTGTTGAATAAGAAAAACAGCAAAAGTGGATGTCAATGTCCTACAAAGCATCAACATTTCTACTCATTCTGACTCTTCTTCTTTCATACTAGTTCACCTAAATCCAAGCTAAAAGGTGCTGAGTGAACCATTAAAAAATCACTCCATGAACTCTGAGCAGGTGACCAGCCACAGGAACTGAAAATGGGACTCAGCCATCAGGTCTAATCATAAAGTGCCATATTGCTTCAACTCTTCGAAGTCACAGAGTCTCCATTTTAAGCAAAGCCTTTAAGTTATCTGTTCCCCTCTGTTGAGGAAATGTTCTCTTTGTTAATGTCATCCCATTACTCCTCATCACCTCTCCTTGTACTAGGTTGAGTAATTCCTTTGCCTCCTTAGAAGTTAAACACTTCAAATATTTATAGGCTGTAACTTGAAAAGCTTTGGGCTAATGGATCATGTTTCTACCTGAGGGACTCCTTCATTTTCCAAAATTACTGTAGGCACATAATCTTTAATCCTCCATTATTTCTGATTTCTCCAGGTTAAGCATCTGTGGGTGGCAGCAAATTTAACTGATATCTCCAAGCTGCCTTTTAAAGATAAAGACCTTTCTTCCCTACCTTTAACATTTGAGATTTTAAGAGAACAAATTGGTTCTGTACTTTCTGGCATAGGAAGTCTGATTCAGCCAAACCAAACATTAAGACTGAAGAGATGCAGCTGTTTCTTGAACCGGAATACAGGTAACTTTTATTACAAAATATTGCTAGAGCTTTACATTGTTCATTGAATAAGCAGCTGTGAATCATCAAATGAGAGAATATCTATGAAAGGGGTTCATAAAATATAAAATTAATTAAAATAAAACATATTAGTATTAACATGAATTGTGTCAGGTCGTTTGAATGTGTGAAGTTTTATTTATTTTATACTAAAATCTAAAAAGTAATAGCATTGGGTATTCATAAAATTTACTGCACAGAATTTATCCTTTTATCTATAATATAAGGCCATCAAAATGAGCGTTATTGTAATAAGAGTAGTTCACATTTATTGAAGGTTGTAATAAGAGTAGTTCACATTTATTGAAGGTTTACTTCATGGCAGTACAGAAGGCTAAGTATTGTACAAAGATTCTATCACTCCTTACAGTATCTCTCAGGACAAGACTTATTTCTCTAATGTACAAAGGAGCAATTGGGGGCTTGTAAACTTTGTTATCTGAAGCCACTTTACTAATGTGAACTTGAACCCAGATCAGTTCAGTGACAATGTCTAGGTTCTTATAGTACTCCCCTTATGTATATTATGGTGCTTTTCAGTTACTAAATGCACTCAACTATTTCCTTAACTAAATGGGTGCAGCTTCCAGGTTATGAGTTCTTCAGAGAGTTTTGTCTTTTTCTTCCACTGTCAACTATGAGATGTCTCATCTTCCTCTCAGTGACAGTCCCCTCCCTTTCCTAATCTGGTGCTGTAGGTCTCCTAAGGACGTGGAAACCAGATGAACATGTTAAAACTGTGCAGTAAATGAAAGTCAACACACACTGAGTGTGGGACTAAGAAGGCTGTCTGAGCAAGATGAGCTGTTGCATAAAGCTGTTGTTTTAAGCAGAAGCAGCTATCAAAATGCTGAAGGAGGGGTAGGAGCTGCATTAAGTGAAAAGTACGTGAGAGCCTTTCCGTGGGCTTCTCGGTTTAGGCATTTTATGACTATGAATGCAATTCTTGTAAGCCTATTGGAATGAACTATTTGTTCACTGATTCATTAATTCCTTCATTTCACACACTTTACTAAAAACCTGCTCTAAGCCAGTAGCTGTTCTGCCAATCAAACATATACTTGAGAGGAGAAAAAAATGGGACCCCACCCTCAAAGAGAGCATTCTCATGGGGAAGAAAGGGCTTAGACCATGACTGCACAAAAATCAAGATTGTTGCTGAAGAAAAATGCAATCTGAGAATGTAATGGAGCATGAAGGGTTATGGAAACCTAAGATGACATTGGAAGTGAATCTTGAATAACAAGGAGAAGCAAAGATCTGAGGGAAGAGCTGTTCAGGCTCTTTCTTCAAATGAAAACAAAAAGTGAGATTTCCAAGGCAGAAACAAGCTGGGCTTCCAAACAGAAAGGTCAGCATGATTGGAGCTTGGAGATGGAGAGGAAGAAGACAGAGACCAGATCACCAGGTGCTGCTAGTCCAGTCTTCATGCAACAGGAAGACTTTGGAGGCTTTTAAGCTGTGATAAGGCATGATATGATTCACATATTTAAAAGACAAATTTGACTGCTGTAAGAATTAAATACATTAATTTTTTCTTACCATACAGCTTTCTAGGATGTGTAAACACTTTCTAGGATGTATAAATAATTTTGTTAAACTTAGATCAGACTAATCATTTTATCAGCTTTTAAATTAAAAAAACAAAGAATGAGCACCTCAGGGAGTTTCTTTTTCTCTTCATTTCACAAAGTCCCTTTATATAATCCTCCTTCCCTCTGGGATTGAAAATAGCATCATCTCCAATGGACCTAGACTCAGAGTAGAATGTCAGGATTTTATCAATCTTGTGTTATTAGTCGCCAAGGATTCCACCATGGAGAATGACTTCCGAGATGCACAAAGACTTTCCCGCCTCTCCCTAAGCTTTGGCCCAATCCTCCTTCACTTACTCTCTAATGCTAGAAATGCCGCCTTGGGAATTTTGTTTCTTTAGCTCAAGGAGAAGATCCTTTGCTGAGATGCAAGTGTCTTCAAGGGGAGCAGATTTCAGCTTAATATCACTGGTTATTCTCACCTCAAATTGAGGTTTTATTGGGAATTGAGGGTTAGAAGACAGAATGGGAAGAATACTGAGAAGGCCTGAATGCTACCATTACTGGGACAAGATCAGATATAGAGAACAGGGAGGATAAGAAATAAAAGCCTCTGAACTGAAAAGTCGCTCAGGGCTGTGGTTCCTTTTCTACTTAATTCCAGCCTTTCCTTCTGGCTAAATGTTACTTTTTCTTTTTATTCTTCACCCTGCTTGAGTGAATAATAGGCTCTTCTGTTTTGAGAAAGAATTAAAACAAAACTTGCTAAAGCTTATTCCTGAAACTAAGGCAGAGGGACAGAGTGGAATCTCCAGAGTGCTGCCTAGAACATCTCCATTAGTAGTCAATGCTTAGTGCAGCAAAGAACTATGTATCTGCGGAGTGAAGAATAGCAGAAAAAACCAATTCCTTCTTGAGACAGACAATTTGGCGCAGCAGGAGGAGCACTGGAAGGGGAATGCAGAGACCTGTTTTGGAACAGCAGTTCTAGCCTTTACCCTTGTTGGGACCTAGCTAGAAGGGGAGAGTATTTCAAGGAATTCACAGTAAGGAGTCAATGACTGGTGAACTAACCCTCAAGAAAATCCTCAATTAACAAAATATCTCTCCAATAGACTACCCAGGAGTGGGGAGGAAAATCTCTACCTTCTAACCACACAAAGCTAACTCTGCCTGCATGAATTAACCCTCAATTGCATTCATGTTTGTGTGTACATAATTATCCTCATACATTGTGTATATTTATAAGTAAACCTGTATGCATGTAGATATATGTTCATTCATATGTGTGTGCATATCTACACACACAAGAAAACCTGAATGCATATATGCATATGCATACACACATATGTATGTGAGAATACAACTAAACCTGCATATTATGCATGTGTATAAATGAGTTTGAACTTCTCTTTAGTAGGGAGACTCTGGCCATGATGGAGTAACTGGTACTATATTCTCCTGCCCATCAGAAAACTATAAAACCTGTATAAATTATATCAAATCATTTGTTTACAGATATCAGAGAACAACCAAATAAAATGGTGTATTCTTTAAGAGAAGCAGGCATAGGAGATGATAGCCAGATTCACTCAGACTTTCTCCCAATGACTCTTTTGGGATTTGATGCATGAAAGAGGGGCCCAATAAATGCTTAAGTGATCTTAATGGCCAAAGGAAGCAAAATTAGAGTTTGGGCCTGCTAAGGTAACTGGACTTTTGAAGGTATATTGCCAGAGAAGGAGCATCTCAAAAGTCTGTATGGAAATATGCATCACACCCTAGACCGACTCCTTGCCTGTGCAAGTACAGCATGAGACTATAGGAAGCCTAGAGATAGCAGGTGCTGAGAGGTTGAGAGCTGACCAGTGATTCCAGAAGCCCCGCAGATGGCAGCCAGTGTAGCAGTACCTTGAGCAACACCCTCACCAGTTAAAGGTTCTAAAATGGCCATTCTATAAAAGTAAGGGCTGTGCCTGAGAATAATAATTTAAAAAAAAAAAAAACAGAAATAGCTCTGTTCTACAAAACTTTTACTAGGCTTGAAAAGAATCAAAGGGGTTCACCAGTAATTAACGACCTGCCAGAATAAAATTCAATTTGCCTTAGAAGATAACATAATCTAAAACCTCTGCACTGCATTATAGACAATGTCCACTATACCATCAAAATTTACTAGACATAAAATCAAACAGAAAAAGTGACTCACAATAAAGAGATAAGACGAGTTAGCAGAATAAAATGCAGAGAAAATCTAGGTGTTGGAATTAACAAACAAGGACTTCCAAAAAACTATGTTGAAGAAAATAGAGTGAAAAAATGGGTGGGATAGATAAACAGATAAAATATTTCAGTAGCGAGTAAGAATCTACTAAGAAGTCATTAAATGAACATTCTAGGAGTACAAATATAATATCAGAAATTGCACGTGTTTAACAGCAGACTGGACACAACAGAGGATAGGATTATTGAATCTCAAGAGAGGTTACGGGAAAATACCTGAACCAAAACATGGGAAGAGTAAAAAGAACAAAACAGAAGGGAATATGTGAGATGAATGAAGCCATTGAATATGCATGTAATTGTATTCTTAAGAGAATAGGAAAGAAATAGTATTTGAGGGGGAAAAGCTCAAGAACTTTCCAATACTGATGAAAGACACTAACCCACATATTTAAGAAGCTCAGTAAGCCATAAGTGGTAAAAACACAAAAATGTTATATCCAGGCACTATAGAGTCAAACTTCTGGAAATATAACTGAAAAGAAAATTTCCATAGAGAGAAATACTGGCATGAGGGAGGAAGTTTGATTTCTTTAAATAGCCTTTAGATACTGCTTTACTGAGAATCCTTGGCAAATCCTTTGACAATTTTTAAATGCTTGTTTTGATAAAATGGGAGAGCATATTATACACCCCTTTGGAAGTTACTCAATACCTGCCTCAATTTCACTTCCGTAGTATCTTATCTCACCATTCCAGCTCCCCTGAGAGCTGCAACAGAGCCAAGTGTCTCTTTTTCTTATTTCCACAGTGTTTTATGTCTATATAGATCATGCCTCTTCATCTCAATGCTCCCCTTCTTAAGGATGCAGCCTCTCTCATGAACATTTCACATAGCTCCTTCAAAGCTTGGCGCAATGCTAGAACAAATTACACTCCCTACGAAATTTTGTCACATTGAATTAATTAAAGTGTATTAGTTCTCATAACACAAGACATCATAAAGTTTGCAAATTTTTTTACTCATATAATCTGTGCATTCTTTCAATCAATATTTATTATGCCCCTTCTATGTGTGAAGCACTTGTATCTAAAAAACAATTACCATTGTTCCATAAATTTTCAAAATGTACCTAAAATAGATTAGATAAATACCAAATTCAGTGTCCTGTTAAACATTATTATCCATTTGCAATATCTATTACCCTTTTAAAATTTCAATACCTAAGTCTTTTATAATCAATTGCGATTGCATAAATACACAATAACTTTTTTATTAAATCTGAATTTAAATATTTGTTGTACAGCCTTAATTTAAAATCTGACCCTCTTTTGAATGGAACGCCTTTATGAAATTTAATAAAACATGAAGGTCATAAAATGTATTAAACTATTGTACTTTCCATTTTTAATTCTGAACAGGCACAAGATTCAAAGGAAGCAGGCTGCTTTCTTGCAGCAAGACAAGGCAAGTTGGAAGAGAGGATTATTTTTCTTCTTCAAAGCTCTCACCCTCAGGAGGATTCCTATCAACTACTTTGGGAAAGAGTGAGTACAAAAAGACAGGGGACATACCAGATGACCTCTCTGGGACCTTTAAGCCTGAAGATTTCATTACACATTCTCTTCTTCTGCAAATGTGCCCGGAGAAATTTTAATGAATAGTGAGATCCCAGCTGCTTGTGGTTAAAAGACCATCAACACCATATGAAAGGTTTGTCAGAAACAAATACTCCAAGTGGAGCAAAACAACCTCCTCAGAGCATAAGTGACCAGTTTTTGAGACACTGGATTTTTGGGAAGGGCTTTGAGAAGAAAAAAAAAGTTCTTAGTTGTAGCTTTTAAACTAGTGTCTATTCATTCCTTAATGTTCTCTCTAGCTGATTGTTTTTGGTACTAGAGAACTTGATAGACAGTGAGTAAGTACTAATTGAAGAAACAGATACGCAGTCCTCTTCTGCAACATTTTCTCATGAGTATGATTCAACCTGAAGTGCTTCCACAACAATTTTGATCCCTTGAAAAATAGTGCTTTTTTTTTTTTTTCCTCCAACATCTTGTAAAGAATTTCACTGAATAGCTTGGTTCTCAAACTTTGGTCTTGACCCAAACTAAAGTTGCTGATGCTCCACAAAATGGCTTGGAAGCATCCCCAGAAAAAGAAACACTTATCCTCCCTGTTCCCAGCCTCCAGGCCAACTGCAAAAGGGCAAGGAACATGGAGTCTTTACCAGAGGGAATCCCATTCTAGCGTGTTCTCCACTCGCGCCACGCAAACTGTGGTGGGGGCGGAGAGGAGCACAACAGTTTCTCTTATTAGACAACCACTAGCAGCCCACAGTTGACTGTTAATATCATCTTTTGCTTTTGACCTCTCATCTTGGAGACAGAACAGAAAGGGAAAGAAAGACAGGGTATTATTGCATTCTTAAATTGTTAGTTTATAATATGACAGACATTGTTCTGTGAAATATAAAGATGAGGAAAACGCTGCTGTCATTCACTTGAAGGAATGACTTACTATCTGGCAGAGAACTGTGCTGGATAGCTTCCACTCACTGCTCCTGACTCACCATGCACCCTCTTCAGTGTCCCAGAAGGCTGACAGCACAGACTATATCAAAAGGTTTTTTTGTCCTCTGCTTCCTGAAGGGTTCAGTTAATGAGGAACCTTGCAGTGAGAGAGAGGAGACAGAGAATGGAAAGAAGTTGGAGAATATTTATTCCCCTGGCTCCCTCCCTGCCTATTCACCTGGGTTATCTGCATCCGTCAAGGGAACCATGGTCCCAATCAGTGGTGCTCTGCACATTCTCCTTATGCCTCCCCTCTCTTCTTCAGGCTTAGTGGGGTAACACCAAGATATTGCACTATCTGCTGTAGCTCACTGCAACCTGCACACACTTTGAAAATACTTTTGTTAGACTATCCTAAACTTATCCAATTTTATTTTGCCATCTGGGACTGATAACAGACTTTGACTTACTTGCAGTGTGACCCTGGCCACATTATCTAACCTCTCCATGCCTCATCACCTTGACTTATAAAATGGAGCTAATGATGTATATCTTGCATATGAATTTTAAAGATTAGAAAAGTATACAAACACCTGACTCATAGTAACACCCCGTTGTCTTATTCAGGCATTGGACTTCAACTCAACTATATGGGCTTAGCCAAAATAGAGAAAGATCAACATTAAGCTACAAAATATGGTGATTCTGTAGCTCATTCCCCTTCATGAGTGTCTGGTCTGAGATAGTCTCAGTTTGCATGTGACCCTTGTTCTGTGGAAATCTTCCCACATTGACCAGGATTTTGTGTTTGAGGGTTTTCATTTTTTTTTTCATGTTTTCATTTTGGTTTTGTTTTGTATTCTCAAGGCCCCTAAACAAAAGGCAATCATTTCATTGGTACTCAGCCAGGAAAGATCTCTCTAGTGGAAAAACTGGCTGAGATAAACTTACTAAAAAGTTGTAAGTTGGTTCTCACTGTGGTATTTCCTAAGATATTTCAAGCTAATGTTGATTTCAAATCATATTTTCTGGCTTTAGAAACTACTCCTCAGATAGGATGGCTCTCCAATATAAGTGTTCAACCACAGGCAGCTGTCCCTCTGCCTTTACTTCTTTACAGGTTGGACTCTATCACCAGAGTCCTGTCTCTCCCTTCTCCTTGTAGATCAAATTCCTAGCTTAGGTCTTTGCACAAAGCAGACAGATACTCAATACATATGTACTTCACAGATTTAAGACATGAAAGGGTGGATCATAAAATTCTTTACAAGCTCATCACAACTCCTAGGAAACGATTCTTCTCTCTTTTCCCACCAGTGGAGAGCTGAAATGCATGATGAGTCAAGGAAAGTCATAGTTTATTGGATGCTCACTTAAAATAAGAAAGCTTCAGTTCATTAGAACTTATGGATGTGAGTAAGGGGTGTGGGGAATTCACAGACGTGATGAGAGATTTTTGGTGGCTGCTCTACTGCATGTACTAAGCAAATTTTATATATCAAAACTAGTTGGCCTCTCTGAATCCTTGATTTATTATTTTAAAATGGAAGACACCATACCACTTTCATTCCCTTTATTGTTGGTATCATTGAAGTAGCCTGAAGCTAAGTATTGCATTTTGGCACAACTGAGGTGACAGGAAAAGCTAGTGATGCAGCTATGGGTCCAGGCTGCCTTTCCTCCATCTCTTGAAGTGACCTCTCATTTATTGAGGTGTTTGCATCCCCACTCTCTGTCTCCTGACCTTGTGATCCGCCGGCCTTGGCCTCCCAAAGTGCTGGGATTACAGGCGTGAGCTACCACGCCTGACTCCCTTGATAGTTTCTGGCCCCCTGGTGTCATCTCCTAGGGTGGCAAGCAGCTCTAAAGAACCTGCAGTTTGTAAACAATGCTAACAAGAAAATCCTGACAGAGGAGATTTTTTATTCACTTTCTTGACTTATTTACAAAGATCTCCTCCTCCCTGTGTTTGTGGTTGTCTGACGGGCATACTGTGTTCGCCAAGTTGTTCTGATGATCTTGCGGTGTTAAGTGCCAATGGTGAAGGAGAATATTCTGCTCTGAAAAATCAGTAGCTGAGCCAATCAACTTGGACTCTCAGTGGCCTCAATACTTTGGGACAGAAGTATTTCAGTAAGTTGATCCTTTAGCATCCTAGTCAATTGATGACACTTCCATCTATTTAAAACATAAACTCACTTTATCTGGAAAATTATCTCATTAGCTATTTAAATTAGTTAAGTTAAATTTCTGGCTATGTGCCACTCATTCATTCATTCATTCAACAAAGATGAATTGAATTCTGCTAAGAGTCAGGCCTTGTTATAGGAACTGTAGCAGTGAATAGAACAAACAAGTTAGTAAAAGCCCCTGCCCTTATAGAGTTTATGTTCTATGAGAAGCAGATGAGGAATGAATCACACAATTTAAAAATTATGTAATATATTAAAAGACTTTAAGTGCTAGAGTGAAAAATAAAGTGGGAAGAGAATAGGAGTGGCTTGGGCAGAGACTTCTAGTTTTTAAAGGCAGTGCTGTAAAAGTCAGCAAGATGGGGTGTGCTTGGCATCTTATTGGCACAAGGATGCCAGTGTGGTTAAGAAGTGAGCAGGAGAAAGCATTGTTAGAGGTGAGATCAAAGAGGTGATGGGGTCAATGGTATAGGACTTGTGGGTCTTTCTAAATGAACTTTGAGTTTTACTCTGAGTAAAATAAAGGCACTGGAGGGTTTTGGATAAAGAAATGGCATAATTTGATTTATGTTTTAACAGAATCATGCTGTTGAAGCTAGAATGAAGAGTCCAAGGTTAGGAGTAGGAGAAGTTAAGAGAGCTCTACCATAATGTAGGCACGAGATGAAGGGATTTTAGTGGTTTAGGTGAGACGGTAGCAGTGCAGGTAGTCAGAAGTGGTCATCTAAGCCAAAAGTTGCTGATGGATAGGATGTGGGGTAAGAGAAAGTGAGGAGTCAGTGATGACACTGAGGTATTTGGCATGAATCAGTACCAGAATGGTGCTATCACTAATCAAGACAGAGAGAACTGCAGAGGAGTCAGTTTTTGGGGAAAGGTCAGAGCTCAGTTTTTGACATATCAGTACCTTTCTGGTGGATCCAGTGCTGTGTGAGAAGGAGTCCTTGCAAGAGCCTCAGCCAAGGGTTCCAAACTATGAATAAGTAGTTATTCAGTGAGTCAGTCTATCTATCAGAAAATATTTGTTGCGCACTTACTGCATTCCAGGCAGTGTTCCAGGCTCTTAGGCTACAATAGTGACTAAGTCAAACCAATCCTCTTTTGTTATGGGCTTACCTTTTTGTGAAGGGATACAGAGGTAAAAGGTAGATGGTAAAAGATAAGATGGATGATAAAAAATAAGAATCTAGACCTTTATTCTCCTTATGTTAGTCAGCTATCCTTTGGTTATGAGCACTAGAAGACGGATGGATGGATGGATGGATGAATATAGATGAGTAGATGGGTAAGTGGATAAAGATATAATATGATATAATATGATAGATATACATGAGATGATTTCAGAAAGTGCTAAGTCCTATGAAGAAAATGAAACAGAACGAAAATAAATACATTTTAAGAAGAAGGACCCATTGTGGAAGCTGCTTTAGGCAGGGTGGCCAGGAAAGAATTATCTTAGAAACTGATACACAAACTGAGATCTAAATGACAAGGAACAGCCAGCTACAGCGAGATCTGGGAGAAAATATTCTAAGTTTAAAAGAGACGAAATCAAAGTCCTGAGCTGATGGTGTCCTTTGTGTGTCCAGGGCACAGAAGGAAGGCCAGTGAGGCTGGAGTGTGGTGAATATGGGACAGAGTGGTAGGAGGATTGGAAGAAGATACAGCGAAATAGGTAGGCAAGCGTCAGATCAGGTAGGACCTTCAGGCTGCAGGAGAAGTTTAGATTTTATTACAAATGTAAAGATAAATCACAGGAGGGATATCAACAGGAGGGTTTCCTAAGCTGATTTGTATTTTTGAAGATCTCTCCCATAGCTTTGTGAAGACTGGCCATATAATGAAACAACAGAGAGAAGAGAGGAACTGCTGGGCGGCTGTTGAAGTGGGTTGTAGCACTGAGATAACAGTTGTGGGATTTGGCAGCATATACTAGAGCCACTCTAGCCAATACAGTAGCTACGAGAGTGCCACATGTGACTCTTTCTATTTACATTTATGTTAATTAAAAATAAATTAAATTTTCAGTTTCTTAGTCACACTAGTCACATTGCAAGTGCTCCACAGCCACATGTGACTTGTGGCTTTTGTGTTGGACAGATATAGAACATTTTTGTCATCACAGGAAGTTCTACTGGGCAGTGCTGCTGCAGTGGTAAAGCCACAATGTCTCCATACCAACTAGCTGGAACAGCTGTAGATAAAGACAATGCAAGATTTTCACATCAGATAGATCATCAGGAAAGCAGAAACAGACCAAATGCTTCAGATTTTTTTTTAATCTAAAACAGGCAAAAGTTGATGTTGGTTTGATATCTTTCTTCTCCTATTTCTGTAAGATTATTGGATTATCACAGACTGGTGCTTTCTGACCTCCACAGTCCATATTCCTTCTGTATCTAGCCTTTTATCCTGATAAATTCCTAGTAAGAACCTAGACCTTTATTCTCCTTAGTCAGCTATCCTTTGGTTATGAGCACTAAAAGTCTATTCAAACTAGTTTAAATATTAGAAAGAAGTTATACATGTAAATATATAACTCATAGAACCCAATGGCTACATAATGGGGTATCATAGGACCTGCAGAGTTGGGAGATACTAAGAATTTCTCATCTCTGCTTCATTTTTCTGTCACAGATGAGCTTCTCTACTCGTGCACTCATCACGTAAATCAGAGCAGTACCCAAAAGTGGCCACACCCTTTGAATCTATATAGGTTTCTAGTTAAAGCACTGACACTCATTAATTTAATCTACTTAATCTAGGAGTTCCTTTTTAATTCTGAAAAGAGACATGGATTTCCTGAGCTTCATCTGGTGTAGTTAGCCATGGCATGGCTTGGGGAGCTTCTGGTACTTGGGGTTACATTTCAAAGAGGAGGTTCTCTAGAAGGTGGTGTGAATGAAGAAGAAACAGCAGTAAAGAAATGACTGCCATTTTTGCCAGTGTCCTGTTCTTACTCAGTATTCATGGAACCTAGTGAAGATTATACCAAAGCTACAACAGGCCAGACAGGCACCTATTAGTTATACATGTATTTAGCAATAAGCTTGGCATTCTAGAAGACATGAGTCCTATGCTGTAGGTATTTACTAATTGCTAGACATTCCTTAAGCAGAATCCTTACCTTCAGAGGAAGGAACCAAAAGGAATAAATCAGGCAATCAACCTTTGACTAGTGTTATTACAAGTAAAGGGAAAAGACTCAGAAAACTGGTAATTTCACAAAAGTATTGAGGGAGATAGATGTTCTTGTATCCATGACTACTCAGGCCTTCTCTGGTTTCATCCCTAATTCCTTGCTCTGAATTCAGATGGCTTCTTGCCATCTGACAAGATCACCTATGGTAACTTCTTGGTGGATGCTCATAACTAGAAGCTTGAAGACACAGGCTGTGGTTTCTTCATCCTTTATCCAAAGCACAGTTTCTGGCATAGTAGATGTCCCATAGATGTTAAATGCATGGGTGGATGGATGGATAATGATTAAAGCCTCAGTTGAAAAGTTTGGCATTCTTATGAATTCTGCTTAGTCCCCCTGGAGAGGCCAGATCCTCTTCTTCATCCACATCTTTATCCTTTTTTACCAGTCTTTTTCAAGAGCAGGGAATTTGTATTGGTATTGAGGACTTTGACATTTGTATTACATGGGAAAAGCAAAAGACTAACAAGGGGATCATGTTCACATTAGCCTGAGGGACTGAGTAGTTTTCAGTATTCAAGCTAAAACAAAACACCTTTCTCTAAGGGTGTAAATGCAGCTTTAATTTCAAAAATGTGCTTTTTCTTAGAGGCAGAGGGAGTTAAATAGTTCATAACAAAAGGTGAGGATTCCTGGTATTGAGTTCTAACGGTAATGACCATTACACAGGTTTTTGATTTGTGCTGGATTGTTGCTGAGCATTAAGGACATCCTACCAAAGTCCAGGAAACTGCTAATTAATCCTGCAGGAGACTGCAAAGACACACTTGCCATTCATCCAGCAAGTGCTATTTAAAAGCCTGTTGTGAGCATCTGAGTGCATTTGGGCTAAAGAGCTCATGGACTAGACGCAACAGGAGCTATACAGACTACCAGTGCACCACCAGCGTGCACCAGAATGCATGTCCCAGCAAACAACTCTCAATTGGCCAATTTGCAACAGGGCACCCTTTAGCCTCTTTGGCCCTGGTCATTTCCTTCCCACCCTGCCCTTTTGGAGGCATCAACATTGAGCTCAAAACATGTTCAGTGCATTCTTTGCAGTGTACCATTTGTACCTTCAACAGCTAGGCTGACATTTGTTAAGGTAATATAAGAATGCAGCAGATAGACAGGAAGCATGAACTTCGGGTCAGTGAATCCAAAATGCTCTCTCACTACAGCCTGTTTTCTGCACAGCAGGCTGTGGCTCTAATGACTGTTTCTCATTGAACTCCTAGAAGAGCAGCAGTCTCCCTTTCCTTCAGTATCTTGCCTGTTTCTCCTTGGGGGACAATCAGCCTCTTGTGCTTTTTTCATTCTAATGCAATGAGCCTCTAAGAGTTGGCCTCCCAAGCTCTTTGGCAGTAAATGCATCTTGAAGATATGAAGACACAAGCAGCCACCTCAATAAGGAAGAGATACAGAAATGTACTGTGAAGTTTCATGTGACTAGATTCAGTTCAGTGAGCATTTACAGAGCATCTGGGCAGGTGTTCAAGGTAGTGAGGGGGCAAAACCTTTTGAGAGCTTACTACAACCTGGACACCAGCACTGGAGCATTACCTGAGCCAGCTTAATTCATACTTCCCCACTCTGTGAGGACACACTAGAGGACACACTACAGTCTGAATTTTAGACACAAGAAATGGAGAGGTTCAACAACTGGCCCAAGTCCCACAGGTAGAGAAGGCTTTAAAGCCAGGACCTTGCATCTATATCGAAGCCTAAACTCATTCCACTTTTCCACTGTGTCTTCCTGAAGCTGAAAAGGCACAGGAGATAAGGAGGAGACCACCCCTCATATTGTCTTATGCCCAATTTCTGCCCCCAAAGAAAAAAAGGAAGTAAAAACTAAAAGGCAGAAATGAAACCCACAGGCAGACAGCCCGGCACCACAGCCTGGGCCTAGTAAAGATTGGCCCCTGACCTAATTGGTTATGTTATCTATAGATTACGTTGTATGGAAAAGCACTGTGAAAATCCCTATCCTGTTCTGTTCCACTCTAATTACCAGTGCAGGTGTACACAGCCCCCAGTCACGTACTCTCTGCTTGCTCAATTGATTAAGACCCTCTCACACGGACCCCCTTAGAGTTGTAAGGCCTTAAAAGGGACAGGAATTGCTCACTCAGGGAGCTCAGTTTTTGGAGACGTGAGTCTGCCAATGTTCCCAGCTGAATAAAGCCCTTTCCTTCTACAATTCGGTATCTGAGGGGTTCTTGTCTGCGGCTCGTCCTGCTACAGAGAGATGTAAGTCCAATCAACAAGTGATGGGTATACACATGTAGTTTAACAGAAAGAAAGGAGCAGAGCATCCCAGCAGGAGTCTAAAGAGGGAGGAAGTTGAGATAGGAGGGGCCTGAGTTTGAGGCTCAGTTCTGCTAATCTCTTGCCTTCCTACAAGGCAGCGTGGAGGTGAACCTGAGTGCTCTGTGAGCTGTCCCCGCACTTCACAAAGCCTCCACCCTATGACGCCAAATTCTCCCTGCACTTAAGGCTCCACAGATGATCTGCCTATCTCTCCTCAAAAGCTTCACCAATTCTTGCATTTTTAACTCAACAAGCATTCATTTAACAATTAATATGCATATTAAATGCATGCTTCCTTTTAAACACAAGTGTTCAATGTCAAACATTTTATTTGCATGTGTGAAATAAAATATATCCAATTATTCATTAAGCAGTATCTTCATAACAAAACAGAAGTGGCTAAAATAAAGAACCTCTGTACAAGTGGTTATTCTCCAGCTATTTTAAAAGTTTCAAACAAAATCGTCAAGACATATTACTAAATGAAAAAAGCAAAAACAAGATACAGAACATTTAATAAGCTAGTGTGAGTGTGTGTGTGTGTGTGTAAAACACAGGAGACCAATAACATTGATTGCCTCCAGGAGGGAACTGGATAGCTGAGGAATAAGAACAAGAGGAAGACTTTCACCATACAGAAGTGCTTTCCAAGCTACCTGTGAGGGAGAAGGACCAATATTTTTCCCCTCATTCATTACAGACCAGTGCATGGTCCTATTACGTATGTTTCTATGCAGATTGCTTTATGTACCACTTACCACATGACTTTGACAATGTTCAAACCCATTTATTCCCTTTTCCTGGGCTAAAGTCCACTGGTTTTACACTTGGACGTAGAGAAAATGTCACATTGCTACAGAAGTTTCTAACTCTTACTTTTTACTCTGAATTTCTGTTGTGTACAACAAGAAATGAATGTGTACAATGTAGTTTAACAAAAAAGGAAGGACCTCACGTGAAAAAAAAGAAAACAGTTCCCAGAAAGGCACTGCCATACATCCTCCTGCACTTTTGACTTTGAATATATGATCTTTCCGGAGGAATTTGCTTTATAAAAAAATTGCCAGGGAAACACCCTTAGCAGAAGTGAGGACAGACTTGAGGATCTTCAATTCCCTTGGATGCTCTCTTGCAGCATCAGCTATCAGCAAAAGTGTGAGACTGTTCAAGTCTGTCTGTGGCTCTTTCACCACCTTCTGTAGTAAACAAGATGCTCCATCCAGTCCTTTCACCTCCTTTCTGGAGGAATCTTATGGTTCCTTCCTCTGTACTCTCTGACACTTAATGTGGAGGCCAACTCACTCTTATGTAGGTATACAGTCCTAATACAAAAATACACTATTTCCCTTTCATGTAAACAGAGAAATTGAAAATATAGTTTTCCAGACTGAAGGAAACAAAGCCTCAGGATTGGATATCAGATTTGAGTATTTTCAGTTGGCCACAACTTACAGCTGGTCAGCTCTCAGGAAGAGTGCATGAAAAATCCTGGGAGTGGGGTCAGGAGACAGGGGTTCTGTAGAACGTTCATGGTAGGTGTGGCAAGAAGTTCACAGGAAGGAGACACTAAAATTGGAGATTAAGGTAAATGAGGCTGGCCATTTCAGGTTCGTGTAATTCATTCAAGTAGTGATTAGAACTAAACTGTGCTAAGTCATCTTAAAGATCCGAATAGTCACCAGTTCAAACGTAACCAGGCTGAATATTTTAACAGGTCTAAAGAGGGAGAACATGTCTATCAGAAGCACAACACTGTGGAGTTCCAGGGTCATCTAAGCCATGACCAAGGGAGATGTGTCCAGACCTGAGGACAGAACCTACCAGGTCCTGGTGGCACAGCTGTTCCTGCTGCAGAGATAGTAGTATCAACCTTGAACTACTGCTCACCAGCACAGAGCTCATCCACCCTGTTCTCACGACATATGGATTAAGCAATCTGTTAATACAGGTTGCACCACCATGTGTCTTTGCCTACGGGAGAGAATGTGTTGGCTCTTCTGTTATATGTCTCATTATAAATTACTAAGCTGGCTCTGTAGTTTATATTCCAGGCTCTTATAAACCTAGATAATGTGAATCTATTCTGGCCATACAGATCTACTTTTGGTCAAGAGGAAAATGAAAGTGAATGAGCATATGAGGCTAAAGAACTGACCATGGGCAGGGGTTATTCCAACATGGCAAAACTACGTGAGGCCTTGTGGCAGTCGGGTGGCTAAAGACTGGGAAGCTGGCCTCACAATGCCTCTCTCTCAAAGTCCTCATGTACTTTTGGTAAAAGCAGAAGCTCTAGACATAATCTTGAGGCTTCTGTACTGGTTTTGATTTGGCATGGCTCAACAATGAATAATTGCAGTATGTCTGACATGCAGTTATACAGTTATAATAGTTGTAATTAATGACCAGGTTAAAAAGGCCCCATGTCAAAATGGCCAAGATAAAAAGCCATATACTTTGTAAAACCTGCTTTAAATTTAAAAAAGTTGAGATAATCCATGTATATGTTTCAAATTTTAACATGTATTTTTAAAGTACTGTGAGAAGTCTCCCACTCTTGCCTTATTTGCCAAGTTTCCACAGTAATCCCTGTGATTAATTTACTGTCCATTCGTGTAAATAGTTTGGCATACTCAATCCAATAAAATATATGTTTTTATATATTTCTTTTTTTACACAAAGTCCCATGCCCTGTGCTGTCTTTTGCATATCGTGATGATCTTTTGTTAGTATATCTTGGGTGATTTTTCCATAGCAATACAAAAACAAAGTTTCTTTCAGGAAGTCATATCATTCTTGTAGTAAACGAGGTAAGAACACAGGATTTGGCATCGGACAAACACAGCTTCAACAGTTACTATTTAAGTGCCTTAAGTGGGTTTTTTAACTCTAGTAAATTTTAAATTTCTAAATCTACAGAACGAGGAGAAAAATACCCTGTTTACAAGGTTTTTATTAGGTCTGAATATATAGGTGGAACCCTTCCCATGTTGTCATGCACAGGGTCATAGGAAAGAAGAGGAAGGAAGCAAGAAGGTGGAAGAAGGAAGAGGATTTCATAGTAGCCTTATTTTCAGGTTCCTGCAAATCAACCAACTGGGCACTGGATAGATGAGTTTCCTCCAGTGAACTTCGGTGTCCTCATTTTTTGTTGTTATTGTTGTTGTTTGTTTGTTTGTTTTTTGAGACAGAGTCTCGCTCTGTCACCCAGGCTGGAGTACAGTGGCACAATCTCGGTTCACTGCAACCTCTGCCTCCTAGGTTCAAGGAATTCTCCTGCCTCAGCCTCCTGAGTAGCTGGGATTATAGGCACGTACCACCACGCCCGGCGAATTTTTTGTATTTTTAGTAGAGACGGGATTTCACCATGTTGGTCAGGTTGTTCTCGAACTCCTGACCTGATGGTCCGCCCACCTCAGCCTCCCAAAGTTCTGGGATTACAGGCATTAGCCACCATGCCCAGCCTTCAGTGTCCTCATTTCTAAGCAAGGAGAATTAGATTGGACAGTTTACAAAGCATTTGTGGTACAACTGTTGCAATTTAATACCGTCAAGGAATTCATTAAGCTTGCCACTTTAAAAATATAATAATATTTAAAATATTTATATATTTCTTTAATGTGCATTTATGTGCCTGCTATATAAATATTTAAGATATTTAACGTGCATTTATTATGTGCCTGCTATATAAAAAGGAGTTAGAAAAAAGATGAGTAGAACATATCACTGCTCTTTGGAAAAATTTACAGGTTTGATATGGGCAGGGAAAATACAAATGAGGGGGCCAAGAAAAAGGGGAGAAAAGAAAACCTCTTAAAGCCTTCATTTGAATGAGATGGACAGAAGGTTCCATTGGGAACAATGAAGTTGGCTGAGAAACCTGTCCCAGTGGGTTTTCTGGCAGCAGAGAAGGCCTGGTTAATGACTTTGGTTTTAACTTTTATCTCAGAAATATGATGAGGGGAAGGGAACACCCTCTTGGATCTAAGGCACTATAAGCAGCAACACAGACACTGAGAAAAACTGGCTCAGTTCATCTTTGAACTCACAATTTAATCCCAATTGATTTACATGTATTAAGCACCTGCACATACTAGTTTTGTAAACTTGGGCGAATTGCCTTCTCAATACTTCAGTTTCCTCACCTGTAAGATAGGAATAGTAATAGAAGTCTACCTCCTGGGACTGTTGATAAGATTAAATTAATATGTGGAAAGCACTTGGAATAGTATTTGGCCCCTAATTAATTCTGCATAAATACTTGCTATCCTTGTTATTGTTATTTGGGGCCAGGAACAGAGCTTATTGCTAGAGGAGATATGAAGATCCATCAGATAGCTTGCTTTCAAAGAGAAGGATCCACATGATGGCTGAAGCTGCTGCTTTCTAGACTTACCTTAGTTACATAGGGTTGGGTTCACTACATTCTCTAAGATAAAGTCTTCTTGACTTAACTGGACAACCTGGGTGGTTAGTCTCTGTATCGTGGACTTTAGCCTAACTTAAATCTTTAACATTGCTCATCAATCAGCTATTGTCCATGAGGTAGGGAAAGCTGGTTAGTACTTTCTAAAGAGACTGGAGAACTACAAGACAAAATGACTAGATATTCCTGGATTCAATGCCAAAATGCTATGATTCCATTTTCACTGGGAGCCCATGAAGATAAAATACTCAGTACATTCCTTTCAAGATCATATAACCCATACCAAGATGGCACTAACCCACGTCTACAGTTTTAGGTCATTTATAAATATAACTCCAGAAAATTGAATAGTGTGGTGGTGGCATTGTTCTGGGGGGAACTCTTCATGGAGCTTTTTCTTGTGGTTGAAATAAAATAACTTTTTGAGCAACTCCAATACAAATGGCTAATATCTCAATATACGGTGGGTTTTTTATATCCTCGTACATTTTTTTCTAAAGAGAATCAACAAGAAAAAAAGGATAATTATGCATGTTATCCCTCCTCTGGCCTCCTCCAATCTCTGTCCCCCTGCCTTCCCCAAACCATCAGAAACACAAAAATGATCAGGAGTCAATTGCTGCAAAATCAACTGAAAGTGGGTGATTTGCAGTTGGGTATGTGGGACCAATTGCTGTGATAAATGTTCTTTTAAGTAGCCAGTTCTGCAAAGGATATAGACTGTTTACGTATGATTAATTAAGAAATAATTATCTTTGACTGGAGGAATATGAGACAATAAATGGAGCATAAAATCTAAATACTCAGGCTGCTGCCTTTACTTTCAATTGGTGCCAAGGAGATTTATGATTTGTATAAAAAGACATGATAAACTCCCCCCACCGCCCGCCCGCAATCCACCCACCATTTCCAAAATCCAAAGGCATTGTGAAATCACACTTGACACAATTCTTTGTTTATTCCATATTCACTGCCTGCTGGTGCATCACATCAAAAGAGCATAGTAATGCACAATTGCTATGATGCTCTCATTTTCCATGTGTTGAATAGCTGTGTCTTAGAGGTCATTATCAGTGTCTTTCTCCACCACATTTCCATTTGTTTATTGGTCTATAGAAGTGGTCTAGTAACGTGTTCCCAGGATCTAGTGCTCCCCATGTCAGTCCACCTTGCATACTGCTACTAGTTACATCCACCTTGAACGTGGTACTCTCATGTGCAAAAGCAAGCCAAAAACCTCTCCAAAAGTTCAATGACTTTTTTTTCCTTTTTTTTTAAATCTAGGGAATAAAATCTAGACTGTTTAGTCTTGCCTTCAAGTCTCTGTCTTTCATGAATTCGTGCATTTAACAATCATTGAATCCTCACATGTGACAAGCATGTAGTAGGAATGTAAATACAAGCAATATGTGTTCGTTGACTCTTGGACCTTATACTTCTAATAGAAGGAAGAAGAAAGGTAAACAAATATAAGTGAACCAAAGTTGAGTTCAACAAGAGAAAAATGTACAGAGCATGGTGCACGCACACACACAAAAAGAGCATGTAATTACATTTTTCTTGGAAAAACCTAGAAAGCTTTCTACTAGGAGGTTGATAGTTTCAATGAGTAAGCTGAGCTGATTAATTTTGAATGACAGAGGTTCTCCAGAATACAAGTTAGAAAAGGGAATCCCAAGTGGAGGGTGCAGTGAGAAATAGGGAGGCAAGTTTGGGAGTGGTTAGGAGCTTGATATGGGGAGCAGATAGGAGTACGACAAGAAAATAAGCTGGAGGCAAAAGCAAATCAAACGAAAATGAGGTTTAAAGAGGTAAGAATGATCTCAGTGTGGCACAGATTTTTTTTAAACCAGGTAGTAACATGGACAGGTTTTAAGCCAAGTAGTAATATCCTTGAATTTTTGTTTTATACAAATTACTCTGATTCCACGTGTTGAGGAGAGATTAACAGAACAAGAAGGGCTATAGGGAGACTGTTTAGAGAAAACATCGGAGTCCATAGGAAGGATACTAAGATCTCAAACAGCATATTGCAACAGTGCTTTGGAAAGAGCATTGACTTAAGAACTAGATGAACCTGGGATGCTACTTAGAAACTATGTGAACCATGCTAAATCACTTAACCTAACTATGCCTACATTTTGTCAGCTGTAAAATAGAAATAATATTACCTACCTCCCCAGATTGTTGTGAAGATAAACTAAAATAATCTTCAAAGAGGGTCTAGCTGGATGTGGTGGCTCACACCTGCAATCCCAAGCACTTTGGGAGGCTGAGGCAGGCAGATCACCTGAGGTCAGAAGTTCGAGACCAGCCTGGCTAACATGGTGAAACCCTGTTTCTACTAAAAATACAAAAAATTAGCTGGGCTTGGTGGCAGGTGCCTGTAATTCCAGCTACTCAGGAGGCTGAGGCAGGAGAATCGCTTGAACCTGGGAGGTGGAGGTTACAGTGAGTCGAGATGGCGCCATTGCACTCCAGCTTGGGCAACAAGAGCAAAACTCCATCTCAAAGAAAAAAAAAAGGGTCTAAAGGCCAGGCATGGCGGCTCACGCCTATAATCCCAGCACTTTGGGAGGCCGGGGCGGGGAGCAGATCACAAGGTCTGGAGATCAAGATCATCCTGGCCAACATGGTGAAACCCTGTCTCTACTAAAATATAAAAAATTAGCTGGGCGTGGTGGCATGCAGCTGTAACCCCAGCTACTTGGGAGGCTGAGGCAGGGGAATCGCTTGAACCCGGGGGACAGAGGTTGCAGTCAGCTGAGATTGTACCACCGTACTCCAGCCTGGTGACAGAGCAAGACTCCATCTCAAAAAAAAAAAAAAAAAGGTCTAACAATATCTCACAATATCTCATATATAGGGACTCAACAAATAGTAGTTCCTATAAAGACATAGCAATGGGGATGGAGGATGTAAGGATGTGACAGATGCCAAAGAAATAGAGTATACTGGATAGGACTTGGTCTCTGTAGTAGGCCATTTTTATACTGCTATAAAGAACTGCTTGACACTGGATAATTTACAAAGGAAGAGAGTTAATTGACTCACAGTTCAGCATGGTTGTGGAAGCCTCAGGAAACTTACAATCATGGTGGAAGGCAAGACACGTTCTTCACAAGGTAGCAGGAAGAAGTGCCAAGCAACGAAGGAAGAGCCCTTTATAAAACCATCAGATCTCGTGAGAATTCACTCACTATTATGAGAATAGCATGAGGGAACTGCCCCCACGATTCAATTACCTCCACCTGGTCTCTCCCTTGACACCTGGGGATTACGTTCAGGTTAGAAAGCTTGAAAGTCATTGATGACACGTGCTTAAGCAGTTTCCTTGGATTTCTAGGGGCCAAAGCCTTGTTATGGGGACAGAGAAGTGAGCAGATGAGGGAATGGCAAAGATGAGTGAAAAATGTTATCTGGAACAGGGTATAAAAAAGAGAAATGCATATGTAAGAGGGGATAAGGACTGACAGAGGGTTTTAAGAGCTGGAGAGAAACCAGTAGATGTTTACAGTCTTTGAGTAAGGATCCCTAGGGAAACAGTTTATAAATATATGCAAAAGAGAAAATAATTGATGGATGAGGGCAGGAGAAGAAGAATCTAGACTGCAGGTGAAAGGATTGGAAGGAGCAGGTGATGAAACAGGTCTTTAGTGTTGATAAAATAGTCCTATAAGCATGCCAGCTGTGACAGGCCAGAGTGAGTTCCCCAAGGGTGTCCACACTGAAATCCCTGGAATCCTGTGAATATGTCATGTTACATGGCAAAAGGAACTCTCTGCAGGTGCACGTAAGGTTTTGAGCCTTTGAATAGGAGAGGCGCCTGGATTCTCCCAGTGAGAACAATCTAATCACATGAGTCCTTAAAGCAGTGAACTTTCTCTGGTTAAAGTCAGACAGGTACAACAGAGAAAAGATGTTTCTGAAATTTGAAGTGTGAGAGGAACTTCACTCACTGTTACTGAAAGAGGCCGCATGGAAAGCATAAGAAATGCAGGCAGGTTCTAAGAGAAAAGATTGGCCCCTGGATGACAGCCACCAAGGAAACAGGGACCTCAGTCACCAAATTGCAAGGATCTGGATTTGGCCAATGATCTGAATGAACTTGGAATCGGATTTATTCCCAGGGCCTTAAAACACAGCCTTTCTGACACTTTAATTTCAGCCTTGTGAGACTAAACAGAGAATCCGACTGAGCCACATTGTACCCAGACTTTCTCCACACAGGACTGATTGCTAAGTTTGTGGTAATTTGTTATGGCAGCAATAGAAAACTAATACAACAGCTGGCAGTCTGTGGGGAAGAGAGCTGAGGTGGCAATGAATGCCATGCCAGAGGACAACCAGACCCTTATACCCCTTTTTTTTTTTTTCTGAGACAAAGTTTTGCTCTTGTTGGTGAGGCTAGATAGAGTGCAGTGGTGTGATCTCGGCTCACTGCAACCTCTGCCTCCCAGGTTCAAACAATTCTCCTGCCTCAGCCCCACAAGTAGCTGGGATGATTACAGGTGCCTGCCACCATGCTGGCTAATTTTTTGTATGTTTAGTAGAGACGGGATTTCACCATGTTGGCCAGGCTGGTCTTGAACTCCTGACCTCAGGTGATCCGCCCACCTCGGCCTTCCAAAGTGCTGGGATTACAGGCCTGAGCCACCGTACCTGGCCTCTTGTACCTATTTTTCAGTTTCTCACCCAGTAAAGCTTTTGACCTGCCCTGGTGGTCTGGGTTCTTGCTGCAGACTTACGGTATAAAATTCAGGCAATGATTGTCCCAAAGGAATGTTACTGCTGGAACAGGCAAGAGCTAAATGTAATCTTTTAAAAAAAAAAAAACTTTTATTTTAGATTCAGGGTACATGTGCGGGTTTGTTATATAGGTAAACTTATGTCATGAGGGCTTGTTGAACAGATTATTTTATTACCCAGGTACTAAGCCTAGTACCCAATAGTTATTTTTTCTAATCATCTCTCTCCTCCAACCCTCTACCCTCAAGTAAGCCTTAGTGTCTGTTGTTTCCCTCTTTGTTCCCATGTGTTCTCATTATTTAGCTCCTACTTATAAGTGAGAATATGCAGTATTTGGTTTTCTGTCACTGCATTAGTTTGCTGAGGATAATGGCCTCCAGCTTCATCCATGCTCCTGCAAAAGACATGATCTCGTTCTTTTTTTATGGCTACATAGTATTCCATGGTGCATATGTGCCACATTTTCTTTATTCAATCTGTCATGGATGGACATCAGGTTGATTCCATGCTTTGCTATTGTGAATAGTGCTGAACTGAACCTTTTTCTTCAATTTTACCTCTAGCTGCACCCTGTAACCACATACCTCTCTACGTTAGTCTCCCAGATATTCTTCACTTGCGGTTCTTATTATTTCCTGAAATCCATATTAACCTCTTGCTCCTACAGTTTTTCAAGAGTTGATCTGGGAGAGGAAACCAAAGACTGCCCAATTTCTCCATCTTGGCAGAATGGAACTGGTGAATTCACTTGATGTGCCAGGATCTCACAATCTCATTTAACCAATTACCAGCCCCACATGATAGGTGATGTACTACTGTTTAACAAAGAAGTAAACTAGATTACAGTTTGTAATAATTGTTGTAGGGTACACAGCTAGTAGGTGACAAGCCAGTTGATCCTGGATGTTTCTAAATATGAAAGCTGTTCTCTTAATCATGGTAGCATGCTACCACATGAAGATCTGCATTTCCAGGCCTAGCACTTACTGAAGAAAGAAAGGTGTTGACTCTGGTAAAGGTATTTCAGGGGTTGGAGGCCCTGTCGGGCTGAGAAGGTATTCATACCCTGTTGATAGCTTCCTATTTTGCCAACTCATGAGGTTGGCTCAATGAGGGAGGAGAAAACACCAACAGTTATGATACAAAACCCACCAGCTGATTGACCTTTTTCTACATCTTTCTCAAGCCCGGGGTAAAGGATATTTCACTGTTCCCTCAACAGTAGTCCAGTATGCTTATGGATAAAAGTTAGACGCTGCTTTCCACCTGGGATAGAGCTCTGGGTTGGAGCCTGTCGCCCAGCCTTTGTCAGTTGCATGATTATGGCTGGCTCGCTTACACTATTGTGCCTTAGTTTGCTTATCAGGAAATTGGGGATAACAATGGCAGTTTTTCAGCAGCAGAAGTCTGAAAAAGGTGATCCCTCAGGATCCTTCTACCCTTAATATGTGGAGCCCTATAATGAACGATTTAGCCTCGTGAAGGCTCTGCTACAGACAACTGGATTGGGAACGATGCCACAGGAGAAAGTCATCCCAACTAAAAAGTAAACTAATCTTTTGCACTTTGCATTTAAGCAAATCTGAGTTCTTAAACCTTTCCCTATACTTAACTCAGTTTCACAAGCAGGAATGAACTTCCAAGTTACCTCTCTGTGAATAATGTTCTATCACACATCTGCATCATCGTTGCATGTCACAGAGGAACTCCATAAAGCTAACGTATGACCCAGGTGTCAAAATACCATTTCAGGAAATAACTCGGAAATGAATTTTGATCACCAGGACACAGTCCATCCATTCAGCACAGGGAGTCTCAGTGCTTCCTGTGGCTCACTCACCTCTTAAAATAGCATCTTACAGCAAATGTTGAGGAAGCAATTAATTGTGTAAAATAACACAAAGATTTTACCCTGAATTGCAGGATCACGTTTACTCAAATCCTCTTGGGACTTTTATAAGCGCTTTCTTTCTCCATATTGAGGAAGTCTAAGCCAGCTAAGAAAATGACCACTGGTCAAACTGTTCCTGGCCTAGAGAAGTGGAGGAGGGAGGCCCTAACAAAATCTTAAACAGTCTTTCTTTTTTTTCTCCATGAGATTCTAAGTCCTAGAGAATGCTTTCCTTCTCTTTCTTTGCCCCTCTTTCTTTCCTTTTCACTTTTTTCCTCTTTAGGTTTAGGATTTTTATTCTACCACGTCTACCCTTTTTGTTTTGTTGACTGAGATCAAATCCTTTCCCAAGAGCAAGTTTGGATGGGAGAGACATGGAAGAGAATAGACAGACATTAGTTATGCTTAGGTGAATGCCATAGAAAAAATAAAATGAGAGATGCATATTAAATAGTAATTATGGTAATGAGGTTAATAGTTGATACAGAGTTAGACTGGCAAGAAGTTGGTTCTTTCTGATATCAAGAAGACTGCTACTACTAATGCTACTCCTATGGCTACTCCTAATACAAATATTGCTACTAATAAAAATATATCAAAAGTACTGTAACTTTCCATTTTTCAAAGTGTCCTTCCGTTGTTAGTTTTGTCTGACTCTCACACTTGCATGAAATAAGAGAGAAGTTCTGGTTATATTATCCCTTGCTTGGCTGACACTGGAGGCAGTTGGGCTTACAGATGGCAATGAAGTCACTCCAGTGCACAGTGGAAGACTAAAGACTAAACCCAAGTCATTCGATTCAATGTTTGGCTCATTGCTTTGCATGTCACTCTAAGGCTTCATTAATAATATCAAACTCTCAGGAAAGCAAATTTTGAGGAACCATAAGGGGAGAAAACAACGTTTAGAGGCAGAAGAGAGCAAAGGCATAAAAGGAAGGTTCATGGGCTTGGGGGTCCAATGTTGTTCTCTTGGCCATTTTTACTCTTGGTTAACTTATAATCATACTGCAGTTGAGCTTCCCTGACTAGAGGCTGCTCCTGCCAGTGGATGTTTATGTGACTGAGTGTCAGGGAGACCGCAGGATAAACTTTGCAACCAATTTCTCCCGGCTCAGCATACCTCCTGTGTACTGTCAGCAAAAAAGGAACAGACAGAGGTGATGTTTTTATTGAAAATCAGTTCACCCAATGAGCACAAGATCCCAACTACATGGCACCCAAATGGGCCAATTCCCTGCGATTTTCCGCAGAATTACCCTCCATTTGTCTTCACGGTCAACTAAGCTTATCTCTTGGAGGAAACAGAGTCCAGGGTGGCTGGGTTATACTCTCATGCCAACTCTAAAATTTCCTGTTGTCCTGACAGCTTGCGAGACAAGGAAAATGCTGCCCATGCTGGAGTCGCCAAGCAGAGCATCTGACATCAAAGCACCTGAAATCCCATGCCAAGCAAAGGAAAGGAGAATGCAGGCCTGGATCAGGCCAACCACCAATTTCCCAGGTGTAACTTAAAGATTTGAGGGAGGCAAACAAAACAAACCCAACCCAACAAAATTCAGTCTTTCCTTGGAAAGAAATTGAACAATTTTAGGATAGTGCTTGGTGGTGCCCTAAGTAATAGTTACAAACCTAGTTGTCCTACTGTTGACTCATAATTATAAGGGACATGTCTGAATAGTGCTTTTATGTTTCCAAAGGACATGTACCTGCAGGATCTCACTTGGGTCCCACATAAACACAGGAGCAAGTTATAAGGCAATTCATCCCTATCTTCTTGGTGAGCAAACTAAAACAGAAAAAGTCTAGATGGTTGTCCAAGGCCACACATAAATTGGTTATGGAGCCAGGCTCTGAACCAGAACTCCTGACAACTGTACAGTGGCTTTTCTCTCCTGCCTATGCCTGGCTATTTCATCTTTCAGGAACTAGTTTTTTTCTGTTTCTGTAGTTAGTGAAGTTCAGTGGCATCTCTAAGGGTACAGAACAGGACATTAGCATAAAGCCAGAATTCTTGATTTTCAGGCATTCATTGCCAGACTACAATACATAGTACTGTTTTAAGAACACATTCTGACAAAAATAGGGCCAGATTCTATGAAATATAAATCCTACAGATCTGGAGGCAACTCACCCCTCTATGTGCCCCAGGGCCCATGTCTACTTGTCTCCAGTCCTCTTCCCACGGCTGAATATTCTTCTATTTTTCAGACTTGAGCATACGCCTAAATTTCTGGATCTTGAATTTGTACTCTCCATAGCACTAAATTCCCTTCTGTCAACCCAGAACCTATTACCCAATTTTACTTTTTCAGCCTCCCTGTATCTACCTTTTAACTTTTATAGTGACTTCTATGAGTTTAGACTTTTTGACTTTGTTTGAGTTCCTTCCCTGGACAAGTATTTTTGGCTCTGCATTAGATCTACCATACAGTTTCTTTACCGCTATCCTCCCTAGTTCTTCCCTGCCCTTTTTAACTGGCTAGACCCATGGACTCTTAATTCATTCTGCAAATTCTCATGGGACACCTACTAGGCAATGCTGCATAAGCCAGTGCTGTCTCAGCAATGTTTGAAGGGACTAGTGTCTTTATTCTTGGTCTGGTGGAGAGAGAAGCCACTGAGGCATTTTATCTTAACATCTTGTCCTTATTTCAGCAGTTCCAAGGCAGAATAAATGGAGCGGGATAGCATTCCCCATTTGGAAGGATGTTGGTATGACTGCTTAATAGATTTGGGAGGAGGCTGTATTGCAATTCTTCATTTCCTTTGTCTATTGTTGCAGGTTTTCATTAACCTTTGAGGTTGTCTTCATTTTGTGGTTTGCATTTTAAGCATTTTCTGATTTTGAAACTGCCTAGGAAATAATTTATTTTGATCTAACTGCTTCCATCAATTACTATTATATTTAGCTCTTTTGTAAAATTGCGAACTCCACACTCTCTGCTTATCTCAGGCCATCATCCCATCTATTGGTGGCCCCTGAAGTTCAGGGTTTCATTTAGGAACTGAGCTTTGTGCACTTGAGGAAATGATCTCCTAATGTTAGATTCCTGCTTCTCTTCTCAATGGGGCTGTTCTCTTTCTTCTTGTAGTCCTAATAGAAAAGCAGGAAGAAACAAAGAAATATGGAGAAAGGAAGAAAGGAAGAAGGGAAGGAAGGGGAAAAATAAGGAAGGAAGGAAAGGAGGAACGAAAGAAGATAGGAAGGGAGGGAGAAGATGAAGAGAGGGAAGGAGAAAGGGAGAAAAAATTAAAACAGATGAAGAGGTGAATAGATGGGTACATTGAATATTTGGCATGTGATTGGTTAGAAGGGCATATTTGGCTTTTACTGGTTGCTCCTAAGTTGGAAGAAGGGTCAAAAATTAGGGAAAAGTCAGTTATTAATAGAGTCCTGGCCATTTTGGACTGATTGTTACAGAAGTTGTATTGTTTAGCATCCCAAGTTGTCACTAGAGACAGTGATCTGGCTTCCCATAAGTCTTAGACTAGGTGTGTTTTTCCTGGGTTGTCAACAAGGGGTTGGTTTCCGGGCAGGTTACTGCTGGTCATGGGTTAAAGTTTTCCCTTTTTTCTTTTCTTTTTTTTTTTTTTTTTTTTGAGATGGCATCTCGCTCTGTTGCCCAGGCTGGAGTGCAGCGGCCCAGTCTCAGCTCACTGCTATCTCTGCCTCCTGGGTTCAAGCAATTCTCCCTGCCTCAGCCTTCCGAGTAGGTGGGATTACAGGTGCTCACCACCATGCATGGCTAATTTTTTTGTATTTTTAGTAGAGGCAGAGTTTCACCACGTTGGCCAGGCTGGTCTCAAACTTCTGACCTCAGGTGATCCACCTGTCTTGGCCTCCCAAAGTGCTCGGGTTACAGGTGTGAGCCACCGCACCCGGCCAAGTTTTCTCTTTTCATATATGGTCTGACCATTGTCCATTTGTATATTCAGTCTCTGGCAGGGCAGTGGCCAAAACGTGGCGGAAGCATAGAGTGTGGAAAGGGAAGGAATGGAAGCTAAGAAGGTGTCTAGAAGAACAGCCTTGAGAGTTTGGACTTAATCTTCCAGGCCAGTCATTACCAAATATTTTCGTCTGCACACAATTGTCTGTAAAACAATTTTGAGTAGGCATCTCAAATATATCGATCTTTAGGTATTTCTAAATTTTATACATGTTCCATTGAATTCATATTTTTAAGAAAATAGAAACAGGGATTCTATACATTGTTATTAATTTTAGTGACATTTTGCAAATAATTGGATTATTATATGACACTAAATTTTGCTACAGATTCGTAGTTCGACATGGTGTTGTCAAAGCTGTTTTTTTCACTTAATGTTTTGAATAGTTAATAGAGTCATATTGTTCCAAAGTCACTGTGATTTCAGAAGGTATGAAATGAGAAGTCTCTCTCACCCCAGCCCCATCCATTCATCCTCTTTGCCCACACAGTGAACAACTTTTATTAGCTTTTAATATCTATTTATATAAATAAACCCTTTCTAATATTTATTTATGCAAATAAAGCAAATGCATATATATAAATAGATACATATTATTATTTATCTTTTTCTTTTATGAAATGGTGACTCCCAAGGTTTTAAATGTCTTGTTAATTATCATATGATTATTAGATTATGTTTCAAGGCAGTTCATATGCTCAGGATATGATCTGAAGGAGTAGTCTAGTGTTAATCGTGGTAGACGTAAACACGCGTTTGGAACAGAGTTCTCAAGGACTTAAAACGTGTTTTAGCCTCCTTATCAGATGTCTTTAGGTTCTTGTTACTTAGGCTATTGTTATTGTTTAGGTTATTGTTATTACTTTGTACTGGAGCTGATGAAGGTCATATAGTGGGATAAGACCTGGGGAAATGACGATTCTATTTTATCTTGTTGTTTACTCATACGTTTCCTCATCTCTTCAACTAGCAAGAGTTTTTGAAGCAGCAAATTGTTTAAACCAGTTATTTATGTGTGGAGGCTGGTTTAAATAGTTCAAATAGTATAACCTCAAATCCACTTAAGTGCAGTATGTCTCAGGCTCCTAATGCCAATAGATGCCTAGAGGGGGCCATCTTCTGGTATGTGCTACCTCCTTTTCTTGTAAAGACCTCACCTGCCCTGATCTATATGTTAGCTCTATCAGTAAAGATTAACTTTTCTTACTTTTTAGGAAAACACATTCAGAGAAGTTCTAGTATTTCCTTCCCAGAGTCCTGGGGCGTGTATACTCCCTCTTGAAGACTGTGCTGTCGGCAGCAGTGAGCCACTGAAGGTTAGTCAGAAAGTGGCAGGCTTTTGAGGAGCTCCAGTGTTACAAAGATTTGCTGCTCAGACAGGCATGAGTTTTAGCAGGAGGTAAGAGGACTGGCGAGAGGTTGTTAGAACACATTGGGCAAGAGGTGGCAAGGCAGTTGTGGTGCAGGGGAGGAGAAAGAGCCAGGTGAAGTTTTAGGAGGGTGAACCTTCAGGAATTACCGAGCTTGGATTTGAGCAATAAGGAGGACTCCTGTCAGGAATGTTTGCATTTTAAGAGACGTTGCCTGGGAGAATTGCAGACTATCTTCAGGGCAAGAGAAGATGTATTTTAGGCAGAGTAGGGTTACATCATCCTGTTTGCAGTCACCTGTGTCTGTGTGCAGGAACCCTGCTGTTCCCCTTGCAGGAGCTTCCTAGATGTCTTGGGGGCTTAGGGCTCTTTGTCTTTCAAGGACTCTCCTTGGAAGGCTGTCCTGGAAGTCCAGCTCTCAGAATAGTCATTACCTGAAACTCACTGGGGGAGGGCAAGCCATTTTCACCAAGGGAGAGCCATTGAGTAAGAAGAAGGGGTTCCTTGGGAATTGGAGGATTGTTTCACTACTCGTTCCATACTGCCAGGGCCATTCTCTGCCAGGTTGGAGGGAGAATCAATGTACAAGGCCAAAAAAAAAAAAAAAAAAAACAGGATATGAGTCAATTGTTCCCTTCTTCCCATTTAATCATATACCTGTGAAACTGTAGTGTTCTAAAAGAGAAATGATAGAGGTGATAAAAAAAATGGCTATAGTGATGCAGCATCGCCCTCCCATCCAGGGCCCTATGTAATGGACCATCTGTGAGTGCAAGAATCGGTTTTGTTCACTGTGGTGTTCTCAGTACCTACAAAGAACTGCCTGAGATTCAGAAGGCCATCAATAGACATTGTTATAGAAGTAAATCAATGACTGAATGACTGAAGTCCGTCTGTATAGATGTTCATCTCTCTCCTTTGGCATTTCCTAAGACAATGTCTTCACTGTGTCTGTCCTATGATGGTATTTTGCACTGTTTGACAATTATATTAAGAGCAAGTTCTCCTTGTCCTGTAATAAAATAGTTTTTGTTTACTTGCCAGTGAACAATTCTAATTCTAATCCTGATCTGTGGTCTTGAGTTTTTATTGGAGGCACTCGGGACAAAGCCACCTGCTACTCCACATGACAAACCTTTGCATCCTTGAAGATAGTTATTTTCCCACTGAGATGTTTCTACAGTCCAGTGCCAGCTGGGTTATTCAGCCATTCCTCTGAGATATGATGTGGTTTCTAGATTCTTCACCTTGTCGTCCGTCCCTTTGATTGGCATATCTGGTAATAGTTGCAGGGCTAGTGGCCATAGTCATAGTAGGTGTATCTGTAGCCACATACTTAGTACCCCAGGCTTCTTAGTAATGTTTTCTGCTTGAATAGCAGTGAATAAAGTACTTTCAAAGACAGTGTCTGACTTAACTCTCAAGGTAACACCAGGAGGTAGATACTATGGTCTCTCATTTTATAGAAGAAGGAACTGAACATAATTCTTGCCTAAGGTCTCACACCAGAGGACCTGCAGTTCAGCCCCTTGCTGGCACAATGTTTGTGTGTGTGTGTTTTAAATGCTTCGCCAAACCAGAACTCGGTACCTTGCTGGCATAATGTGTTTTTTGTGTGTGCTTTAAAAATGTGTCGCCAAACATCAAATACTCGATGTGTGGCCAGAAACACCACAAATATTGATGAGAAAAGAAGCAGAAAAGGGGGCAGTACCAAGATACCATTGCTGTGGGTGTGGGAGTGTGTGAAGGGGCCTGGGCTAGGTGTCTGGCTTACGAGTGTCCCCACTTCTCTCTTTCCTCTTCCTTCCCTCTTCCTCTATGCCGGGCCCCAGACTTTCCTTCCTCTGGTAGTTACGGAAGAGCCTTCAAAGTGGGCTGGCTGGGGAGTCACTTGCCAGTGACTTGCTACAAATTCCTCAGGTCTGACCTGGCCCCCTCCTGGGCCCTGGTTTCATCCCAATTCCACTCTGCAAGCAGCCACTCTGTGTTAATCCCTGGGCCACACATCTCTGGGTCTCCTTCTGGAAAATTCAAGCCATGAATTTATAATACATATTTCAGTTCACTCAAACATAGCACTGTGCAGTATTGGGCAGCTTGTATTTTCTTCCAAAATTCTGAAAGGCAAGAGCTTTAGAAGCATAAATCACATCTGACCTCACTGGCTGGCCCATCCTACCTGCGCTGGGAGAAGTCAAACCCCAGTGGCGCCGGATGTTCAAAGACACAATGTTCTCTTGTGATGAGGGTTTCAAAGCGTCCCTTTCCTGGAATGGGGGTAGGCGACCCGAACGGGGCTGCTGGAAAAGGCCCTCAGGATTTATGAGCCTGCCGAGACTCAGCGCGCTTGCTTGTGTAACAAGAGGAAGACAGAACATCCTGTCACCACATCAGGTTCTTATGCACCAGGCCTTCTGGAAATGTTTTCTCAGCCTTGGAATCGAAGGCAGATGGAGTTAAGTTGCTTTGGTTCACTTGCGCCACCTTCTCCCCTTCTCAAACGCCATTCAAATCCAGTGAACCCAGAAGGGGCATGAAGGAGAAAGAGCACAAAACTAATAGACACTTTCTGAGGCACAGCCCACATAAAGGCCTTTCTGATCGCTCCTCCTTTACCCCAGGCTGCTCCTCCAGTAGCCCAGCTGCTCCATCAGTCCATCAACGAATCAATCAACAAATGCATGTTGATCATGTACTAATGGGCATGGTGGCCCTAGGTAGGAGGGACAGAAAAAAGTGCTCAGCAGAGGCTCTTTCCTTGGAGGTGCTCCCCTCAGACTTCAGCAGACACTCAACACAGCTGACAGCAATGAGAAACAGTTCATTATTAATCAGGGCTAGATGATCTGACCTCACAGCCTAAATGCTCCAGCGGGGCAGAAGGGCAACTGCTTCCATCTGGCAGAACACAGGTTAGGGTGGGATTCTAGAGGCCAGGAGGCTTTCACGGGACTGGAAGCCTGGACACAATTGAAACATTAAGGGGTTAGTGAGACCAGTCTAAATAAATACCAGCTTATGCAAGGAACGAGAAGCCCGCATGATTGAGGGATGCCGAAGAATGGTGTCCTGGCTTGGAAGAAAAGTGACTGAGTTGGAAGGTTATATTGTTTCCTCTCAGGAGCTGAGTAAAATGCTGCAAGGCAAATTTCATAATGAGCTGAATTACGTTAATATAATCTGTGTTTCAACTTTCTAGGGACCCATGATTTGTGTTAGTCTACAGGTCAGCACCCTTTTTGTGCAAAGGGCCAGATAGTAAATGTTTCAGGCTTTCTGGGCTATACGATCTCTTGTGCAACTATTCAAGTCTGTCATGTCACAAATGCAGCTGCAGATAATATGTAAATGAATAAGTAAGCCCGTGTTCAAATAAAGCTTTACTGATGGACACTGAAATTTGAATTTCATGTAACTTTCATGTGACATAAAAATATTATTCTTCTTCTGATTTTTTTCCCCCAACCACTTGAAAATATAAAAACCATTGGCTTGTGGGCCACACAAAATAGCAGGCTGGATTTGGCCCAGGGGCCGATGTTTATCAGCCTCTGGTCTGGTAGGAACAGTATCACATTCATGTCGGAAAAAGAGAGGAGAGAAAGAGGGGAAAAAATATCATTTATTAAGTGCTGACATCTACTTCTATCTGAGTTTAAACTCGTTTGCTCTTTGCTTGCTTCACATATTTAGTGATTCTTGAAAATAACATTTCTTAAACATATGTTTAAAAGGTGTACTTTTTTTTTACGTTAAGCCATACTAATGGTCATTCACAGCCACGCTGATTTGTGAATTCTTTATCTCAACTGTCTTAGACATCATTGACTATATTTTCCTTGAGGGCCAGCACCTGTTTTATGATCAGTGTATTTATATTGGTTCACAAAGACTTTTTTTTTTTGGAGTATACCTACAGTAATTTCCTGTTGTGTAGAATCAGCAAATTTCAGAGCATTGTATGTGCAAGGTACTAGGTATAAAAGGGAGCACATAATCAAAATAGAAGACTTGGCCCATAAACCACAAACCAATCTCTCTAGAATTTTGAATCCTGGTTTATTGTTTTTAAAATGTATCATAAATGCTAAGCAATTTCAGCCCAATTTTCTTTCTTTTTAACATTATGATCCCCTTCTATTTATTCACTTACATTCCCCATTGACCCCTCTCCTTCTTCCTTCTGTGGCACTTTACCTCACTAGCCAATCGTGTCTCCTCTCTGTTCCATAATTCTGTGTGGATGACTCTTTTTTTTTTTTTTTTTTTGAGAAAGAGTCTCTGTCACCCAGGCTGGGGTAGTGCAGTGAGTGGTTCCATCTTGGCTCATCACAACCTCCACCTCCTGGGTTCAAGAGATTCTCGCACCTTAGCCTCCCATGTAGCTGGGATTACAGGCACCCGCCACCACACCCGGCTAATTTCTGTGTTTTTAATAGAGATGAGGTTTCACCATGTTGGCCAGGCTGGTCTCGAACTCCTGGCCTCAAGTGATCTGCCCGCCTCAGCCTCCCAAGGTGCTAGGATTACAGGCGTGAGCCACCATGTCCGCTCCTGTGCATAAACCTTAACCACATATTTGCTTGTATTTTCATCCCCCACCCCACCCACTTCCCTGCATTTTTGGCACATGCCAGGGAATGCCTCACCTTTGCAAAGGTTCTCAAGCTCAGTGAGACAGAACAGTCACACCACACGTGAAGCAAAACAAATTTTTCACTCACAGATAAGAACAAATAGAAGCCTAGGATCCCTGGGGAGCCAGACTCCAGGCTCTGGCAAGTTGCCCCAGGCGAATGGAGTTCTGTCTGCACATGCTGTATGTTTCACTGCAGCTGAGGGCCCCAGAAAGCACTCTGCTCTTGGGTTTTATACCCCGGGTGTCTCTTGGTTTGCTGAGCCCAAGTGTTGCAGAGCATCCTGTTTTACGAGGGATGAGGGCAGAGACTGTGTTGCCCTGGACACTTCCTCTTTATTTCAGGATGTCACATTCTTAGAACGTTCTACAGTTATTCTGAGAAATAAGAGCTGGAGGAAGGAGAGCTGGATTGGCCAGGGCCATCTGTAGACCTGTCTGCCTACATTCTTTACTTTTTCAGGCAGTCCATATCTACTCTTTAAGGTCAAACTCAGTTCCTATCTACATCTAGATATATTATTTTTCTCTCCTTAACTCTGCCAATGTGGGTAGTCTGGCCCATTTATTTTGTGTGGCATATCTACAATTAAACTTGGAAAGACCCTTAACTTGTGATCAGAGATGGGCTCTAGGCCGTCTTAACATCTACCAGCATGTAGCACATGGTCAAGCCTTGAGAATATGCTTAATAGTCAAATCCTCATGTCATTTAAAATGACATAAGAGAAGTTAGGAACCATAGAAAGGATGGAAAGAGAAGGTTCAAATAAAAGTGGGTGAGGGAAACAGAGCCAAGAAATCCTAGAAAGCAAACCAACATTTTTCACACCACAGGGAAACGACAGAAGATGGAGTGCTGCAAAATTAGAAAAACTATCTTGGACACTGTCTCTTTCTAAAAGTTTAGGAAAACTAATTTCAAATAAAAATTAGAAACAGAAAAGTATCAACTTCTAAATCCTATAAAAGTTATTAAAAGGAAAAGACAAAGGGCTAATATCCAGAATCTACAATGAACTCAAACAAATTTACAAGAAAAAAACAAACAACCCCATCAAAAAGTGGGCGAAGGACATGAACAGACACTTCTCAAAAGAAGACATTTATGCAGCCAAAAAACACATGAAGAAATGCTCATCATCACTGGCCATCAGAGAAATGCAAATCAAAACCACTATGAGATATCATCTCACACCAGTTAGAATGGCAATCATTAAAAAGTCAGGAAACAACAGGTGCTGGAGAGGATGTGGAGAAATAGGAACACTTTTACACTGTTGGTGGGACTGTAAACTAGTTCAACCATTGTGGAAGTCAGTGTGGCGATTCCTCAGGGATCTAGAACTAGAAATACCATTTGACCCAGCCATCCCATTAATGGGTATATACCCAAATGAGTATAAATCATGCTGCTATAAAGACACATGCACACGTATGTTTATTGCGGCACTATTCACAATAGCAAAGACTTGGAACCAACCCAAATGTCCAACAATGATAGACTGGATTAAGAAAATGTGGCACATATACACCATGGAATACTATGCAGCCATAAAAAATGATGAGTTCATGTCCTTTGTAGGGACATGGATGAAATTGGAAACCATCATTCTCAGTAAACTATCGCAAGAACAAAAAACCAAACACCGCATATTCTCACTCATAGGTGGGAATTGAACAATGAGATCACATGGACACAGGAAGGGGAATATCACACTCTGGGGACTGTGGTGGGGTCGGGGGAGGGGGGAGGGATAGCATTGGGAGATATACCTAATGCTAGATGACACGTTAGTGGGTGCAGCGCACCAGCATGGCACATGTATACATATGTAACTAACCTGCACAATGTGCACATGTACCCTAAAACTTAGAGTATAATAAAAAAAAAAATTAAAAATAAAAAAAAAAAAGAAAAGAGAAAAAGAGACAGAATTAAAAACATATCAATAACTTATGCCCACAAATCAAAATTCTAATTCACTGTTTCAAAATGAGGCAAAAGATATATGAAAATAATAAGAGACATGAAATAATAGCATAATTTATAATTAGGAAAACTCAGAAATAAAGTGACAGAAGACAGGAGAAATTGAAAATGCAGTTGGCCCTTGAACAACATCGGGGTTGGGGTGCCGAGAGCCTCACGGTCAAAAATCTGTGTATAACTTTTGACTCCCCCTTCAACTTAACTAGTAATAGCCTACTGTTGACTGGAAGCCTTACCAATAATATAAACAATTAACACGTATTTTGTATGTCATACGTATTATATACTGTATTCTTATGATAAAGTTAGAGAAAAAATATTACTAAGAAAATTGTAGGGAAGAAAAAATCTATTTACTATTCACTGAGTGGAAGTGAATCATCATAAAGTCCTTTATCTTCATCATCTTCACGTTGAGGATCCTAAGGAGTAGGGCTGTGAGAGATAACTTTTTACTGCGATATGCAATTTACTGGAGCGATGAACTGTTCATACGGTGATGATTAGTGTCATACGACATTTTAAGTGGATACTTGCAAAACTTGGGCTCACTACAATAGCAATAGGAGGTGACTATGAAATTATTATAGTAGGCTATCCTGTACTATAGTCAATTTTATGCAGTTATGATTTCATGCTGCATCTTTACATTTGTTTATATTTCCCTTGACTGTGAATAGTGTTGTGTATGGTCTATAAGTGTGCATAAGATTTGATGAGTTTTAACTTCTTATAATGGATTCGTGTATATTTTATGATAGCAAGTGATAAAATAGACTAGTATCTGCATATGTTTTATGCATTCATAATATATATTTTTGTCTTTTTTGATATCTCTAGGCTACTTGGTTCACCTGTCAGTTTTTGCAAATTGTCACAAATCTCCAAAAAAGTTTCCAATACACTTATTGAAAAACATCTGCATATAAGTAAACTGGCACAGTTCAAGTTCATGCTGTTCAAGGGTCAACTGTATATAAAAATATAATGTCAAAGATGAAGATGAAACCAGTAGGAATACAAGAGTGAATAAACTCAACAGAAAATACCTGAAGAGAAATAGAAGGTTGAATGGAGGAGAATTTTTAAAATTAAAAACAAATGTGGGGGAAAGGGTGAAAAGAACTTAAGATTCTTAACAGTGACTAAAATTGAAGCCACACGAAGAAGATCCCTAAAGGTAACAGAAATCCCTGAAGAAGAAAATCAACACAAGAAAAGGGAATAAATACTAAAATACTTGATTCAGGAAAATGTTCCTTAACAAATATTGAATCAGTTATCTAAAGAGACCATTAACCAAACCAAAATATATTCTAGTAAAACTATTGGATTTTAAGAAAAAAGAAAATATACTTTGTGTATCTAAACAGAAAGAACAAGTGACATAAGGGAAAGAAAATTAGATTATAATTAGGTTTTTCAAAAGCAGCATTTCATGCCAAATGAGAATGGAGGAACCTATTTAAAATACTTAAGGAAAGAAGTTGTGTGCCAAGGATTTTATATTCAACCAATGGACTTTCAAGTATAAAGGGTACAACTCTTATTAACATGCAAGAACTCAGGAAGCTTTATTCCAATGAGCGTTTTCTTAGGGATTTGCTTGAGCATGAGTTTCAGGCAACCAACATGACTTGAAGCATTGACATAAGTCTGGTTGTGAGCACTAAATAGTTACTTTTAGAACTAAGATTAAATGTGTGTTGAAAGGGAGCAGATAGATATGCTCATTATGTTCTGAAAATGTAGATACAGAACAACTATAAAAATGGGAAAAGGCGGAAAACATATGCTATTTTTCTATGTTTTTAGTAATCATATTGATAATTGTATTATGGCTGTTTCACTTTTTTATGGTTGTTTTTAAATTACGGTTGTTTATATCTTGTGTATATGATGTGGAGTAAATGAACCAAAAATAATATGTTTTTCTTTTGATTCTTTTAGAAGATACAGATGTAAGTTTTAGTTAAAACTTTTACAATTGAAGTACAAAAATTTAAAATAAATTTGAATTAGAAATATCAGTATGAATATACACATACACACATTCATACTGATATTTATAATTCAAATTTATTTCAGATTATATTTCTATGTATCTATCTATCATCATCTATCTATCTATCTATCTATCTATCTATCTATCATCTATCTATCTATCTATCCATCCATTCCTAGGGTCCAAATTGTGGTCTTGAAATACCATTTCCCAGTTAAAAAATGAAATAAGTATTCTTGAAAAGATGGCTCATTTCAGGTCTAACAGAAAAATCATAAGATGAGCTTAGAGTGTCTTGTAACATCATATATCCAAGAAGTCACCAAAGCTTACCAGATTATAAAAAACAGCTGGGATTATGGAAAAACGACTTAGGAACCAACTTGAATAGACTCCAATGTGCCACACATGGACGAATTTAAGCTTCAATAATGACAGTAATTACAATGATTGAAACCCTGCAAACATGGCTAAGCCCATGAGTTCAAGATGAGATTAAAATGAAAATTCTAGTTGGTCATCTTTGGAGGACCACAGGGAATATATGATCTTGAAAATTAAAGAAAGAATCAAATATTTATCCTGCTCTTCCTGTGAGTTGTACCAAGAGGTAATCAAAGAGTTGACAAGGGGAAGCATCTCTTTATAAAAGCATACCAATTAATGAAAACATAATAATGTTAAAACATCATCACTTTGCAATCTCTCATAAATTAATAGACCTAGGCATTAAAACATCAATGGCTGTGAACGTCACAGAGAAAGAACCAGACATATGTACTACTTGATGTAAGAACACAATGCCACCTATAATCGTGCTAAAGGGATCAACCCTGCGTTTGATTCTATCTCTAGATCCAGGCAATTTTCAAGGAATTCTGAGGACAGAAGAGGGAGCATATTGAACTGCATCTTGAGTATGCATTCAGCAGTATCTACACTGGGGCAACCCTACAGGTCAAATAGTCTATGTTCTTCAACAGGTACATATCAGGAAAAGTAAGGAATGTCGGGGAGACGTAGATTCAGAGACTTAAAAGACATAACACATTTTAAAAGTGAGCAAGACTAACCATTGATGTCCAGGAATTCACTTGGATGATAAAACCATGATCATAAAAAACACATGAAAGCAAGTAACGAGAGAGCCTACCTTTGAAGGGAGGGCTGGGCTGGGATACGATGAGGTACATGGAGGGGCTTCTGGGGTAGTTTGATACGTTCTATTTCTTGACTTGAGTGGTGCTTATTAAAGGTTTACCTTATAATTCATAAAACCACATTTTGTATGGTTTGTACATTGATATTTTATTTTACAATGTAAGGATTTTAAAATAAAATATGTCCCCAAAGATGCAGAGAGTTCAGAGAGCCCTTGAGGGCTTTGTGATTATTTCTAAACATGCACATTTCCCTGGTCCCCCTGGGCAGAACCTTATAGCTTCCTAAGCCAAAGGCTTTGGCTCTGGCAGAATGAGAAGCAAAGCCTTTTCCCTAGCTTTGTGTCATCCCTACTCTACCTCAGCCTGGATCTAGATGTGTGTTTGCCTGGATGTGTGTGGGAAGGTGAGAGAGAGATGGTGGTGGTGATAAAGGGTACAACGGAAAGTATGGAAGCATGGACATAAATTGCTGAACTGAGGAATAAGTATATTTTAGAAGTTTGAGTCAAGGTGATAGTAAACTATTAGGCCTGAAAATACAGGCTCTATTATGATTGTCACAGATATTTCAGGGAAATAAATAACAAATCTGTCTTGGGGTACAGTGATGACATTCACAAGGCATTGGCAGTCCCCTTGCATTCTTACTGAAGAAATCTCTAAGATTCTCCTTGGTGACCACATGCCCATATCACTTCTTTTGGTGCCATTTGCTTTCTGCTGCACTTCTTCACTTTCCTTCACCCTCTCCAAGGTAAAGAGCTCCTTTCTGACCTCCTAACTCATTATTGTTTTCCTTCCCTAACCTCTCAGGACACGGGCATGCTGGACATTGTGGGATTTGGGGAATACTGAGAAATGTGGTAGAGTAGGGAAAGAATCAGATGGGGGAGTCCAGGCCTCAGACTCCAGCCTGGGAGCCACTGATAATTGATAAGCCATGTGAGTAGTGCAGGTTCACTTTATGTCCTTGTGCTTCAGTTTTTTCCATTATAAACTGAGGGACTTCAGCTATAAGCTTTCTAAGGTTCCTTCCAAAATCACAGTGTGTTATTAATTGAAAAGCTCTTTGGCATCACGAAAAGGTAACGAATGACCATATGAGATGTTACCAAGATTACTTTGCATTGTAGAAAAGTATTTGACTATGAATGTACTGAGTTCTAGTCCCAGCTATGCCCTTTATAGGTGTGTATTTCAAAAACAATTCACTTTATCTTGATAACCCTGTTCTGTCTCTCACACTAAAATGTGAGTAACGTCAACGTTTCAGGGGTACTTTTTGACTTAAAGTGTAAATAGAAAGACAAATTACAGACTGAAAAAAAATTTGCAAGTCACATGTACAACAAAAGCTTTATATTTAGCATATATAAAAAATTATCAAAAGCAGTGTTTCAAAATCAAACAATCCTATTAGAAAATGAGTGAAATATATGCCAAAACATTTCACTGTAGAGGTTGTGCTAATGGCAAAAAACAAAACAATTAAAGAAAAAAACTGCATGATAACTTCTTCATCATCATTGGCCATTATAGAAATGCAAATTTAAACTACATGAGTTATTACTACTACTATGGTCCAAATGGTTGTGTTTCCCCTGTAAATTTATATGTAAAAATCCTAACCCCCAAGATGATGGTGTTAGGAGGTGGGGCCTTTTGGGAAGAGATTAGGTCATAAGGTTGGAGGTCTTATGAATAGAATGAGTGTTCTTATAAAGGAGGCCTATTTCCCCCTTCCACCACATGAGGATACAGCAAGAAGGCGCCATCCATGAACCGGAAAGTGAGGCCTTTACCAGACAATGAATCAGCTAGTGTCTTGATCTTGGACTTACCAGGCCCGAGAACTGTGAGAAATGAATGTTATTTATAAATCATCCAGTTTGTGCTATTTTGTAATAGCCACCTGAATGGACTAAGGCAACTACATATCTATCAGAATGATTAAGATAAAAAATAGTATTAACATCAAATACTGATGAGGATGCAGAGAAGTTGGATCATTCATACACTGCTGGTAGGAATGTAAGATGGTATAACTACCCTGGAGAATAGTTTGGCAGTTCCCTTCAAAACTAAAAATGGACTTAACATATAGCCCAGAAATTACAGTTAGGGGAAATTTTCCAAGGAAATAAAATTTTATTTTCCCATAAGTCCTTGTATATGAATGTTCATAGGAGCTTTATTTAAAAGAGCTCCAAAATCAATACTGCCCAAATGTCCTTGAATGAATGAAGAGTCAAACAAACCCTGGTACTGCCATGGTATGGAATACTACTCAATAATAAAAAGAAACCAACTATGGGTACCCACAACAACTTGGGGAACCTCAAGAAATTATGCTAAGTAAGAAAAGGATAGATATGTGTCAACTGTTCTGATACTGCTATACTGGAATTAAATACTTACTTAAGTAAATAAATGGCAGATGGTAAGATTTGCGTTTTTCATTATCAAGTGGGAGAGTATAGCTAAGCAAAGGGAGGAGGTTAGAATGATCCATGGGGTAATAGATTAGAGTTAGAGGTAGCAGTTTAGACTCATGTTTATAACATGAGTCTAAATGAATACATATAGAAATGAACACATATAGAAATATTCATAGATCTGTGGTGAATATACATGAGGTAGTATACACACATGTATTTCCTTGCTGTGTCAGCTGAGAGGGCCTAGAAGCAATAATACTCTAGTAGGAACAAGCATACCTGGCACTCAGAACTTGGTTTCTAACACCCTTCTCCCATAAAAAGAATCAGAGCTCTTAGAGAAATGACTAATTCTAGGACTGTCCCAGCATACACACAAAATGATGCTCCTTTGGTATGAGAAAGTAAAACAAAACAAATAAAACTAAAAACCCCACCGTAATGATGGGAGTATGTCAAAGGGACCCAGGAATCCACAGAAAAAGCTTTCAATGGCCATATCTTTACTAAGTTGAGCAACAAAATAGTGTTGGAATATAACCCAAAATATAAAACAGGTGTCCATGAGTCTATACCAATATAAATAAATCATCAAGTAAATGAATAAATGAAGGATAAGAGACAAGCCTCCTAAAGGACAAATACTATATGATTCTACTTATCTGAGGTATCCAGAGTAGTCAAACTCATGGAGACAGAAGGAGAAAATTGTGGTTTCCAGGGGCTGGGGAGATGGGGAAATGGGGAGTTGTTTCATGGGTATAGAGTTTCAGTTTTGCAAGATGAAAAAGTTCTGGAGATTGGTTACACAATCTCCAGTGAATATAATTAACACTACTGAACTATACACTAAAATGGTTAAGATGATAAATTTTATGTTATGTGTATTTTACTACAACTTAATATTTCTCCAAATGTTTTCAAAATGGCATAATTGGAAAAACTGGTGAAATGCAGTCTGCAGTGAGGCTAATAGTATTGTACCGCAGTTAATTTCTTAGTTTTGATCATTGTACTATGGTTATATAAGATGTTAACATCAGAGGAAGCTGGGTGAGGCATTAAATAGAATTCTGTACTGTTTTTGCATCTTCTCTGTAAGTCTAAAATTATTTCAAAATCAAAAGTGTTAAAAACCCAAATCTCCTGTGCATAAGAATTCCAAATAATTTATGTATAAATGCAGACCTTGAGGAGGTGGTGCATAACTCCACATTTCTTAAGTGTGGGCTCCATAAAGTGACTTCCTTCCAAAGAATACAGTTTCAAAATGGAGAGGGCCGGGTGCAGTGGCACATACCTGTAGTCTCAGTGATTTGGGAGGCCGAAGTGGGAGGATTGCTTGAGGCCAGAAATTCAAGACCATTCTGGGCTCCTGTTGTAGAACAGCCTGCTCCTCTTTCTACAAAAACTAAAAAAAATTAGCCAGGTGTGTTGGTGCACACCTGTAATCCCAGCTACTTGGGAGGCTGAGGCAGAAGCATCACTTGAGCACAGGAGTTTGAGGCTGCAGTGAGCTATGATTGTACCACTGTCCTCTACCCTGGGCAACAGAGTAATACCCCATCTCTTAAAAAAAAGAAAAAAGAGAAAAGAAGAGTAACTTTACAGTGGATAAACTGAGCAGATACTACCTCAGCCAGGTGATCAAGGTTAACATCAACAATGATGCATCATATTGATAGTAGGTACCCCTGATAGGAAGTGAGGACAATCACACCTTTGTGGTCTTCCTCCCCAAAGCATATGACCCCATTCTAATCGCGAGAAAATCATCAGGCAAACCCAATGGTGGGATATTCAACAAAATATCTGACCAGTGTTCCTCAAAACTGTCAAGGACATCACAAATATGGAAAGTCTGAAAAACTGATATAGCCGAGAGAAGCCTAAGGAGGCATGAGGATTAAATAAAATATGGTATCCTGGGTGGAAACTAAAAAAGGACATTGGCTAAAAACTAAGGGCATCTGAATATAGTGTGGACATTATTAATAATGATGTAATGATATTGTTTCATTAATTGTAACAAACAAACGTACCATACTATTGTACGAAGTTAATACTAAGGGAAACTAGGTGCAGGGTTCATGGGAACTTTCTGTACTATCTTCATAACTTTTTCTAAATCTAAAACTTTTCTAAAAATAGACTTTATTTTTAAAAGGATACATATTGCATGATTCCATTATGCAGTATGTATGATCTTGAAATAACAAAATTGTAGAGATAGAGCAGGCATTCGTGGTTGCTAGGGGTTAAGGATGATGAGGGGAACTCAAAGGGAGGTTGCCACAGTGAAAGCTCTGCGGCTACGGTGCAATTGAATATCTTGACTGTGGTGGCTGTTTCACAAGACTATACATGTGACAAAATTGCACAGATCTCTACACATACAACCACACTCACAAATACACACACATAAATGAAATCATGTACATCTGGTGAAATCTGAATAAGCTCTATGGATTGTGCCAATATCAATGTTTTGATTTTTATATTGTACTGTGGTTGTGTGGGACATTGGCATGGGATGCGGAGAGTTGGGAGACACTTGCATAGGACTCAGTATATTCTTTAGCAACCTCCTGTGACTCTGTAATTATGTAAAAATAAAAATTTTAAAAGTCTTTGAAAAATTGAAGACTTTGTGAGATGTCAGATGCCAGCATCTTAGTAAACTGTACTCACTAGGATGTGCCATTGAACCTAGCTGACTCATTTGTGCAGGGCTGTTTTCCGGTGTCATTATTTTCTTCCCACTTCTCCTGGCAGACAGCTGGGGCAATTGTTAAGTTTGGAAATGGATTCTGGAGTCTTCTAGAGTATGGAGTATTGCTGACTATAATGGTGGTGGTAGGATTTCCTGGATTTGTGAGTGGCTATTGAGGTCTTGAGGCAAGGGCAGCATGGACAGTTTGAGTGGGAAGGAGAGGCAGATACCATTCTGCTAGGAGTTTATTCTGCTTTACAAAGACACACAGTAGATCTTGAATTTTTTTTAAAGGGTTTTGTTCTCACAAAAGAAATTTTGTGAAAATGAGAAAAAGATGCCCACTCAGGGTGGGCACCACACCAAGGGAGCAGATCTTGGCAAGATAAGTACAGGCTGGATTTTAGCCCTAATTTTTTCAGCCAAGTCCCCTTGTGCAGGGAGCAATTGGTGCAACCTTATATGACAGCCCTGGTTGACAATTATACTCTGTCATATGTGGAATTATTAAGGGCAGTTACCAAATGAGTGGTACAGGAGATAAAGAGGTGTTTCTGGACTGTGGCCGTAAGATTTCCTGGAGAAGGTGAAGTTGGAATTAAACCTTAAAAGTAGGTAGAATTTGGATAGGCAGAGAACGTATAGAGAATATTCATTATCTAGGAATGTTTGCTTGAATAAAATTCAACGAGGTCTTGTCTTTCTTGCTCATTCTTCCATCTTTGGTACCTGGCAATGTGCAAGCAGGGAAGGAAAGAAGGGAGAAAGGAATGAAGGGAGGGAAGAAGGAAGGAAAGATTTAACTGTATGTCATCATTATATTTTTTTCATTAACTTCTTTCATACTACCACATTGTATTGCTGGCTTTACACAATGGTGGGAATAAAGTTGGAAATCAAAGATAGGTTCTGTTGGGAAGGTACAAAGATGACAGAATCAGAGATTTTTGACTTGAAGAACCTTGGAGACACCATTGAGAGTTTAACCTCCCATCTTATAAAGTAGGCAGATGAGACTCAAAGAACTTTTGCTCTTGGATACAGAGTCTTTAGTGACCAAGCAGGAACATATTCCATGTCACTTGACCCTTATTCCAGTGCTCGGTCCCCTAAAAAGTAGAGAATTAAGCTTTAAAATATCAAGCTTTTTATAATGAGAGGATGTAGTTTCCAACTCTTTTGAGGTTTTAACACTTATCATTTGTTACTTCCCAATCTTCCCATATGTGAATGTAACACTTTGGAACTAGTTTTTTCTTTAATTAATCCAAAATGAAAGCCCTTATGACACTTTAGAAAAGTGCATTACCATGCTTTATAATGATTTAAAACTGGGTGTTGGCATTTCCATAAAAGTGAAAATGTTAGTAATAAGGAATGGAAATGCACACACCACTGTTTTGCACCTACCCACTCCCTTTCATAGCCATTTGTTATTTCATCTGACCTGTAAAGAGTCTTTTTATGACTGTGGGCAAATCCTTTAGCCCTGAGCATCCCATTGTCCTCACTCCCTATTGCATGTGTGACAGGTTAAATTTTTCCACGTGGCAATTGATTTCCAGCATCCTCACTATTCTAGTAGTTGCCTCTTCCCAGTACAGGCAGCGAGGTTGGTTTGTGCTTATCCCCTCAGGGCATGTTTCTGACAGCAGAAAGCAGGGAAAACATGAAAAATACTTTCTTTCTGGCTTCAAATGTCTAGAAACTTGGGAAATAGAAAGGAATTGGGCACAGAGAAACAATTTGGAAGAAAGTTGGAGCCAGGCTTTCCAGGATCCCTCCTTCCTTCCCCTTTGGATTAGAAAAATGATTCCCTGGCTCTGCAAGTAAGATTCTGCTATATGTTGGTGGAATGGAGCCTTACAAATTAATAAATATTGAGCTGGAGAAAAATTAAAAAGTATATATTCCTCCCATCCATCAATTTGTAGACTGAGATTTGCACCAGCCACATGTGTGGATACATCCAACTTTCCTGAGAATCTTTGTCAGCACATTGCTCCGCTATGGACTGTTTAAAAACTTTAGAGTTGAGCCAATCCATTCCTAGGCAACAGCTTTGTCCCTGCATGAGAAGCTTGTAGGAAGAGATTAGGGCCACTCTCAGAAGTCATTGCTGATTTCAGAAGTATCAATGGAATTAATGAGCCCAAGTTAGAATGATGACTATAGAATGCTTTAAATTGTCCTAGTTCAGTGCAAGATAGTGGGAGGAGGAGAGGAGAAAGAAGGCAAGTCCTATTCTACTAGAGGTGGCTGACCAAATTCTCTGAGTCTCAGGAGACGAGCTGAGGTAGGAGTGCTTCACTCCTCCTGCAACGGCTCCCTAATACTCTACTCCTGAAGACTTCCATTGACGTCTATAATTCTACTGCAGGTGCTGCAAATACCGAAAGTCACAGTGGATGTTATGCTGGGTCAGATTGATGGCTAGGAGTGGGGAGCAGCTCATAACATTTCCTGACTATCTTGTTGGCTTTTGGAAGACGCACGTCCAAAGGTAAGACAAAGAAAGAAGGCAAAAAATATATAAATGCCTGTATGTTCACATACAATTAAAGTATAATGTGCAAAGTGCTTAAGACAGGCTTTTAAAACCCACTTATAAATACAAACTAAAAAGTGGAACAGAATGGGTAGAAAAAACAGGCAGGAAAGCAGTAAAGACTCCTTTTGAGACCCCATCACTCTTTCACAGCTGGCCATATTCAGCTTCAAATTGCTAGTTTCATTTTTCAAATGGAGGCCTAGTAAGTCCCTTTAGAGCAAGGACGCTCAGCATAGGCACTGGGTAGGTAATCAGTAACTGTCTGTCATTTATTAAGTAGCCCCTCCTGTCACTCCAGTAAAACCTTAAGTGCAGCCAGGGATCCTTCCTTCAGATGTCTGACATCATGGGATATTTAGTAAGAAAGCTTAATCCCTATCTGTAATGCTCTTCTAAAAATTTAGGACAGGGTGGGTCTTCAATATCCTACAGTACCCTTTGATTGCTTTCAGCAGAGGCCTAACTGGTTCTATGAATCAGCCCTGGCTTGGTGGCCAGTTAGTGCAATACTCTGTGAACAGTAACCCAGTAAATCAGACTCAACTCTTACCCAGAATGTACTTCCCAGTATCATACAAAAGAGAGACGGTTGTTAAAATTTTCTCAATGATTCTGTATCCAGTTGGTGTGAGCAAAGACCCCCAAATGCTATTAAACTCCTTAGTGATGTAAACCAGATGGAAAATAAAACAAAAGAATTCACAACTCATGTTAGACTGAATTGAATGTCTTTAATTTCACACAATGAATAACATATGAATAGGATTAACTTTTTTTTTTTAATAGTTAAGTGCTCTATACTGTGCTAACCTGATCTGGTAGCGGAAAAGACTGAGCTTTCTTTTAGAAAAAAATGTTTAAAACCCAACATCTAAGACCATGGAGGAGCATGACAGTAAGCATGCTAGATGTATCTACGCCTCAAATAACAGCAAGTCCATGTTCATTTTAAATGTACAAAAATGCTTTATGAATAAAAACTGTTACAAAAAGAACATTTCAAACAATGTACAATTTTCTTGCCTCTATATTCAATAAAATACAAATACATTTTTTGTTCTAAAATATGTTTACATACAATCAAAGTAGAACATGCAAATTACACTTTAAAAAAGGCTTTTAAAAACCACTTATGAATACAAACTAAAAATTAGCCAGCACGACTTGTAAGACAATCTTGTGCCCCATTTTTTCTTTTGAAATATATATGTACATATTTAACACATCATGTGCATTTATTATTATTTAAGAAATAGATTTTTTTTAAAAAAAGGAAGAAAAAGAAAGACACCAATCTAGGGTGGAACCGCCCTTCCACGTTGACCAGTTGGCAGCTCCTTTCAATTTCCCCCCTTTAGTGTTTATTAGACCTGGGCAAGTGGGCAATAGATATCCAGGAAGTTTCTTCCTTGGTTGATATGTGCTTCTAAGACTGTTCCCCAAATGACTGAGTCCAACAGGGAAGGAAGACTCATCAGTGGGGTGAACTCTCCAAGAAACAAGAGGCAGAGAGGACCTTGTATTGTGGAAAGAAACTTTAAGAAACACCAAGAAAATGCTACGATATATTACAGTTCGAGTTTCTAGGCACTGTGATGACATTATCTGTAAGCTCTGGCATTTGGACCACTGTGATACTATAGGGTAGTGTTGAGAATAACGTCTATATTTATCTACTTTTACATAACGAGAAGGACTGAAAATCCTGCAACGTAACACTTAAATGGCTTTTGAGGCATTTCAGCTTCTGCCACCCCTCTCTCTCCATGCTGCAGTTGGTATTTAAAGGCTTTGGAAATATGTGTGTAGACTTTAGACAGTTCCCAGGTAAATCTTTCTAGTGATAGGAAAAAGATATTCTCCAAAAGCTCATTATCTGAATATTGTTGGGTAATAAGCTAGGAGAGGGATTTTCTACTTAAGTCTTAAAACCAAAGCCTTTATGATCTGCATGTAGTACATCACCTTATACTATAATTCTGTCACCACTTGCTTATCATATTTATAGACCCAGCAATGCGCAGAACACAAATTCTGACTGCCATTGAACATGGCCTCCTAGTCCGGACAGCAGCCAAATTAACATTCTAATCTTCTGCCAGCCCTTAGTCACCTTCTCTGGGCTGTCAGTGGCTGCTGTTTCCTGGTCCTGCCAAGTCACAAACCAGCCCCTGACATGCTTTCCCTTCCTTTGACCTTTCTTCTTTGGGTTTTAGCCAGAGCTGGGCTATTTGAGGAAGTTAAACTTCTGCTCCTCTCATTTGAGATGAGGGGTGGAAGAGCAAGTAGCTCTTCCAGACACTTAGTCAAGTGGATTAAAGATCCATCATCACCTTCAAGGTGACTTTTGTATCTAGATTTCATCCTTTTCTCATCACTAACCAGACTCCTTACAAGTGGGTCTGCATCTGCTTACTGAAGGCAGGTAATCCAGAAAACAAAAGAAAAAGAAATAAAAATCAAGGGGTTTCTCTTATAATGAAATATTTTGTGAAGCTGTATGTGGAGCACCATGCATCCCAAAAGACCTCTTCTCAAAAAAAAAAAAAAAATGCAGCCCCCAGAAGGCAGTGTTGGGGGGCCAGAGACCTCCACGATCAGGGTTGGGAGAGCTGGGTTTTCTTCCTAGCTCTGCAACCGTCTGTAAGCTGCATTGGCCCACGGCTGAGCTGAGTTTGGACAGGTGGGGAGAGGCTAAAGGAATTGGGGGTAGTTAGAGAATAAGAAAATGGTTGTACTGATGAGATGAGTTAGGTTAATGAAAAGCAGAAGAAAAAAATAATGTGATACTGAGGGAGGAACTGGGTGGTGGAGAGAGGAAGCTGAGTAGGTGACTGAACTTGCTTCCACCTCCAAGCAGCTGTTTAGCATGCCTCAGCTTTGGTCCTCTGCAGTATTCCAATCTATTCCTAGGGTCATACAAGTAGAGGATTCGAATTTAACTCACATGACCACTATAGACCAGAATTCACGTGTAAGTTGCAACTCTGCTGTTAAATCTCCTGAAATATCTTTCAGAGCTTTGGAAATTCTAATGTACCCCAAAGCTTTTTTGGAATTTCTCACCTACTAGAGGTTAATGTCAAGTAAACTTTGGGTCCTTATTAAAGAAGTTTGCAGAGTGCCAGCTCATCTTCCTCTGCAAGAAGATTGAGTCTGCTTATAGACGTGGTTGGAGAGATAGTACAACACAGGAAGGAAGAAGGGCAAACGAAAGAAAAAAGGAAATGATTTCAAAACCCAGTAAGAAGAGAAACCTCTTTATGGCTGAATTGGAATGAAAACGTTGCTGTTTTATAGCAATGGTGGGGTGAGAGGGACTAATTTAAACCTTCCTCTCAGGTGACTTTGGAACCACTCAGATAGGGCTTGGGAATGACGAATTAAAAATGGCTGCTTTGATTTTGCTGTTCAACTTGCGTGAAATGCCAAAGGTCAACCAAGGTCACAAACTGAGTATCTAGGATATAAGCTTTAAAGTAGAGGGGAATGCAGTCCTTTAAACTTACATATTGCTAGGATTAAATGCGATTGAACTAGTGGGCAGCAAATGATGTGAAGTCCATGGTGACAGAGCACAGGAGTATGACTACGTGGGTAATTTCAACCAACTCTTGGTGCCATAACGCAGCAGTAATGTTTGCAAGCATATTAACTTGGAATTTAAAAATTTACTCACATAGATACCCCATCACTTATTCTTTTATGTTGCCAACAAAAATCCATCTCTCTCTAAGGAAGTAATATTGTGTTCCGAAATGATAATACAATTTCCAGCTGGTCCCAACTTCCTGTAAAGAAACTTAATTTGGAGGTAAACCAGATATTCTAATTCCCATTAGAAAATTTAATTCTCTCTCTCAGTGTCTCTTTCTATAATCTACCATGCCAGGTGTTTGATGTCTTGGGGAAGGTAAGAGGGAGTGAGGGAGGAAATTGAAAATACTTATTTGAAATTTCCACAATCTGACTTTTAGAAAACATCTACGGAAATGGAATTCTTCATATTCATTCTGAGCCTGCTTAACATATTTTATTTGGGCTGTGGAAATGGATAATAGAGATGGAGTATCTGTCCACGCTAAACCAATGGCTAGAGTACAACTTGGATGAGAAATGTACAGCTGAAATTGACCATTTAAAAGACGATTTGTCACACACAGTTTGCATCCATGCAGACTGATAGATTTATAATTACATTATGTACAATAATGTTTTAGTTTATTAAGGCAACCACAATTTGGATACTTTGTCCAAGGTGGCTTGATAAAATTGAAGTGGTGATACCCTTTGAGCATTTTATTTATTTATTTTTCCAGATAAGAACACTTACTCCCATTTGCTTTTAAGAAATAATTATCAAGGGATAATGGACTTCTATTGTGTTTTTGTTTCCTTTTTTTTTTTTTTTTTGAACAACCTATGACAATTATTTGAATGAAAAAGATCAGGTACCAAGGCATTGCTAGACACTTGTCTTTCTGGTGGGTCTGGGGTTTCAGTTTTTGGTGGTTTGTCAGTTACTCTATTTGCTGTGGGGTATTTAAACCATTTTATTCTGCCTATGCTCTGCTGACATGTTTTAAGTATAAAAATAGCCTGGTTGACATCTGGGTCAACATATCCTTGGCTGCTCTGCATCACTTATTAAAAAGGTTTTATCAATACTGAGTATGTTTCACAACGATTGGGATTCAAACCCAGGTTCTTGGAACAGCATGCCAAGGGTGAACTTTACAGCACAGGTTAAGGATTACTTTATTTAAATGTGTACCAAGAAAAAAAAAAGGCAGCAAGTAAGTTAATGAAAAGATATATGGAAGTACAATGGGCAAAGGAAAAATAGGAATAGACAATGCTAAAAATCAGTGTATGTGCAATAGAAGAGGCACACAGAACATGAATGCGGGTCTGAGGTCGCCTATCACTAGAATTCCACCTTCTGATCACACAATTCCATCGAGAAACTGTACGGTTAAGGGAAAGATTCAGGTCACCTGAAGATGACGTTGGTACCCCAAAGCTTAGCAGAGCTTGAAAATCAAAAGAAATAAAAACCAATTAAATGGAACGGGTTACAGCAATGCCAGTTGAGCAATTTGCAGCTTTTCTCCCCTTGGAATGTTTCCTAATTGAGGGTGTTTCCCTTTCGATTTTCCTGGCCAGCAAATGAAATCGGGAGTCGAGGGCGCACCTTGGCAGCGTGAGGTCAGGAGAGTGCCACCAGCCTGCTCCTCCTGGGGGCCTTCCGCTCGCCTGCGGAGGATCCAGCCGTACTGAAGCGCCGCGTGGTGGGAGCTGCGGTGAAGCTCAGACAAGCTTCTTCTGAAGGTGTCTCCCTGCTTTGCTTTCCCAAGAGCTCCTGATGGCTCAGCCCCGTCGTCTGGCCGGATTCTGCCTGCCCGGCTTCTGGAGAGAAGGGCGTGGGTGTCCCTGCAGCGGGGGATTCCGCCCCCGCCCCGGCTCACTGCGCTTCCCACGTGTCAGTTCCCTAGGCCCCAGGTGCAGACGCCCAGACCCGCCCTAGGGAAGGACCTCGCTCTCACTCCCTCGGGACTTCCTCTGCCTTTTGGCTTTCACCTCCTCTTCCTGGGGAAGGGGCTGCTGCGGGGGCGACTGCTGTGGGGGCTGAGCGGGGGCCTGCGGTTTGTGTTTCCTCTTTCCGCCTCGGGGGGTCTTGGGTAGAGGGGGTGGCGGGGGCAGGGGTGGTGGCGGCGGTGGCGGCAGGGGCGGCGGCGGTGGCGGGGGCAGGGGCGGCGCCTCCCGGGCCATGTGGATGACCGCCTCGATGGTGGCCATGATGGTGTCTTGGCTGGCGGCGGGCTCCAGCACCAGCGGGCTCAGGCTGGGCTTCTGGCCTCTTTTGCTGGGCAGGTCGATGCATTTTTCCAGCACCGGCATTTGGTCTCTGGAGTCCTCATCGAACTGGGTGGGCTGCTTCCTGGGACGCCCGCGCCTCTTCTTCACGAAGTTGTTGCCTGTTTTTGATTGTCTCTGCAGCCGCTTGGCCTTCAGGATCTTGTTCACGTGGTCCAGGTTCTTCTTGGTGGACAGGATCTTGGTGTAGTTGCACATCTTCCGCACTTCGCACTGGATGGCTTCGATCTCCCGCCGCTTGAACCTCTTCTTCAGGGAGGAGCCGACTGCGGGAGGGGAAGAGATAAGAAATTGAGCACAGGATGCAAGGTGCCTTCAACTCAGCCTCTTCACTGACAGCTAGCATTCTACTTGGCTATAAAGATTATAGAGAATTAATGCTATGGGTATGTCTCCGTGCCCAAGATGCATTATTCCTTTTTCTTTATTAAAATAAAAACAAACATTTCTCAAATATTCACTGTGCATGCAAAGTACTTCTATTGACATGATTTCAGTCCTCCCAACAATTATGTGAAATATTGTTGCTTCCGTTGTAAAGATGTGGAAACTGAGGCTCATACTGTGGAGGTAAACTGGCCTAGAGCCGTGGGACTCAATGGCAGAATCACAATATAAATCTTCCCATTATTTCTCTTATTATATAGGTAATTTTGTATTCACCTTTTTGACATTTGATCCGATTCAATTTAGCAAAGGATTAGACTTTCTCTTTTTGTAGGTGTTAGATGAATAAAAAGGCACGTGGGCCTCCATATCAAGCAGATGTACTATCGATCTCATAGAAGAGATGCCTTGGCCTGATCAAGGATAAGAATATGTAACTGAACCATTTTATTCCTAACCCTTCTCCACTGACACAAGGAGGCTTATTTCCTGGAGCACTCTAGTTATCATGGCATCATCTCGCTGTGCTTTTCCCCCAGTGTTCTGGACTAGTCAAGTTCCCTGATGGCATTCAGTTAACCAGGTCCTTCATAACCAGTTCATCCTCTGGGAACCTCAAGGGAAGTATCAGCCAGGTGTTTCTGAATCATTTACACTACCCCTACCAGGCTGGCGTTTGCAAAGAGCTCTTTTCATGTCCTGTTGGCCAGCTGCACCTCTATTTTATGAGCCGAACTTCTTGTCTCAGGAAGTCCTGCGCTGCTGCCACTAAATGGCCTTCAGAACTGCTTAGTTTTGAAGTTCAGACACCATAAAGCGTGAATGGCTTCAAGATATAGCCAACCATTCCTCCTGCAGATCATTCTTTCTCCTTGTGTTGGTCATGAGCAGGCACATGTGTGATACCTGTGTGCACATGCACACACACACACACAAATGGGCACATACACTCACACAGACTCCATGGCTCCACCTTCAAGGTGGCCACTCCCCCTGGCTGTTTATAAACATAAGAAGTGTGTCTTCACTGAGTTCTTTGCCGCTATGATTTACGCTGCATGTTCAACCCGAAAGGAGCCCATGTGGAAGACCTACGCATAGAGGGAAGTGTGTTGCATTTTATCATTTTGGTTTGTTGTTTCCTCCCATTATTACTTTTGTACCTACTAATAGAGAAGCAGAATAAATATCTTAAGAGAGAGGAGGAAAAAAGACGCTTAAAACATGGATACCATTCTCACTTATTGTGGGTACTCCCACTTGATTCTTTCCTCTGCTTTGTCCCATTTCTCTCTCATGCTGTGCCCAGCACAGATTGCCAGGAGGGTTTTATTTGAAGTTATTTACACCCCCAGCTTCATGGAGTGGAAAGAGCTGAGTCCCACAGGCCAGGTCAAAATGTTACAGCTTTTGGCCAAAGGTCAGTGAGACTGACCGAGCAATGAATAACTACTGAATGATCTTTAAAATAAGTTATAAAGATCAAAATAGAACAAAGCCAGAGTGAGCTTCTGACTACAAAAATAAAATTTTTGTAGTTAGTTTTGTAAAAGAAAAAGGTTGCCTGGTTGTAAGTTATCAGAGGCAAGAACCAATGCCTGTCTGTCTTTATGTCCCTCAAAGGGCCTAGCAGGGTGCCTTGTATATAAAAGAGATTTAAGAATTGTTTCTGGACTGACAAATCAGTCTAATCAGGCCTTGTAGTCGTATTCCCTAGAAGAGTTCTAGTTTGGATTTTTAAAGTGATCATTGCAAATATAGTGATACTAAAACTTAGCCCACCTTCATGTCAGTGACAGATAATTTACCTTGTCCACATAGTTCAGGAATCAATGGCAACTAGTCAGTAGTAATACTCCACAAAACTTGACAGTATTCCAAGCAAAGCTTTCATTTACAGTTTGCCCTCTCTTTAGTTTATATCAGTCATAGAGGAAGCAAATGCTATGTGATATATTATATAAAATAGCATGAAAGAATAAAGTAAATCACCTTGCTGACATGTAATATAGAAGTATAAAGTAAATCAATTAGTTGGCAATACTGTATTTGACCGAGTTAAGCTTGATGGAAATACTCCATGAGCTGCAGGTCATTTGGGGAAAATATAACCAATGGATTGTCACTCTATGTGTTGTCTTTTTAAAATGAAATGCCAAAATAAATAAGTAAACAAACCCCAAAAACAAAATCTCCAAACCAAAATAAATAAACAGAAACCTAGCAGATAGCAGATAATTCCATATTCAAAAACATGTGCTGAATAATTTATTAAGTCTTTGCATTAAAAAAGGATTATGAAATAAAAATTAATTCTGATAGTGTAAATCTACCAAACAATCCTAAAAAATGACATAACCAACTCTTTTGTGCCCACCATTCACATTTAGCAAATGTTAACTTTTTGTCATTTTTTTTTTAATAAGAAAACATTACAGATGGAGCTAAGTCATGGCTCCCTTCTCCATTCCTTTCCCTTTTTTCTATGCTTGTTTTAATCCTTTTGTTGCATATATATGAGCTCATGTTGGTAAAAATTAAAAATCTGAATCTACCTAGTATTGGTAATGATGTAAGAAACTAGGAACACTCACATACTGTTGGTGGGAGTGTAAATTGTTATAATCATTTTGGAGAGTGATTGGGCAATAACTGTTAGAGTTGAAGATGTACACATTCAGTGTCCCAGCAATTTCAGGTCAAGCTTGCCTGCTTTACTCATATATATCAGGAGGCAAAAGTCATATAAGGATGTTCCTTGAAGCTCAGTGTATGATACAGAAAACTGAGAACAATCTAATTAATCAACTGTGTTACATAAAATAATGCAATATTATACATCCATTAAAATGAATAAACTACACATAAATATATCAACATGGTTAAATCTCATTTAAAGAGTTGGGTAGAAAAGGAAATCACAAAAACATGTTTAAGTATACTACTTACATAACTTTAAAAACACACGTACATCTTGAACTTTTATTTTATCTTCAGAGTCCAGTTGTGGAGGTTTAAAGTGACTGCTGTGTAGGAGATCAACTGTGAGTCAAAGATTTGGTGGATGACTCACCTACTACTCAACATCTACTTCCCCCCAAGGCAACCTCATAGAGTTTTATTAAGCCACTAGAGTAGGGCTGTCCAACAGAGTTTTCTAAGATGGCGAAAATGTTCTCTATGTGTGTGCTGCCCCATAGAGCCACTAGCCACTTGTGGCTACTGAGCACTTAAAATGTGGCTGGTGTGACTGAGAAACTGAATTTTAATATCACCTAATTTTCATTTAAATAGCTACAGTGTGGCTAGTGGCTACCCTATGGGGCAGCACAGATCTAGAACTAACTACCTTGAACTACAGAGGACAGAAGACACACAGGGATTCATTCAGTAAATTGTGGACTGTGGGAGACTCTAGACAAACAACCTGGTGTCTTCCACAAATAAATCGCAGGGCAGGGAGAAGATGAAACTGTGCATCAAAAGAGACTAAAGAGATAAAGGACCTTATTTGGATGACAATTGGAACAAACTGTTAAAAGAGATCATGAAATAAATGGAAATTTGAACAATGGGCATTTCATGATATTATGTAACTACTATTAATTTCCGTAGGTGTGATATTTGCATTGTGATTATGCTTTTTGAGTACCTATCTTTTAGAAATGCATACTAAAATATTAATAGATGAAATCACATACTATCATCTGGGATTCACTTTAAAATACTAAGGAAGGGAGGAGGTAAGTGGAAGTATTGATGAAACAAGATTGACTGTAAGTTGATATTGTTGAAGCTGAAGTTGATATTGATGGGTACATGAGGTTTATTAATGCTATTCTGTCTACTTTGGTATATGTCTGACATTTTTGATAACACAATGTTAAAAAAATTATAAATAAGTGGCAATAAAACATCCTAAAATCTTAGGGCTGGACAGTGCTCTAATTTTCACCCTCTTGGGGCTTTATTTCACCTAAATATTTTTTGAAGGATAAGAGGAGATGTTCCCCGTGAAGGTCATGCATCCACCATCTCCCTAGAAGGCTTAGCTTGTAGCTGCCCTCCTGTTTTAATGGCACAGAAACATGAATGAGTTCTCTGTGTTTTATGCTTTCACCAACTGCATAAATAAATATATGCCATGAGCCAATCTCCATTGATGGCATCAGGCATTAGGACTTAGTATCCCTCGTTCTTTTGCACATTATAATCTTTAGGGTTTTTCACATCTACCAAACATCTGAATTTCATTTATTTCTCCTTTATGCTTGTTATCCAAACTTTCAGTTCAGATTTGTCATTCCTCTGTGTGAATAATAGCAGAGTATGGTACAGTAGAAACGATTCCGTGTAGAAGAAGCTGGAAAACAAGGTGAACTGAGATAAACCCCTTAACCCCTCCATCTCTGTTTCTTCATCTGTTACATTGGATGGCTGAACCAGATGCTCTTGGAAGTTCCCTTCTATATTTAGTTTGCCGTAATTCTTTTCTATACTCATTATTAATTGCATCCCCAAATGTGGGGTGGCTTTCTAAAACATTTACTTAATCGAATAATTCTAAAATCTTAGTGTGGGGGGAGGAGAACTTCAGACTTGGCAGGGTTTGATATTCACAAATCTTTCCCCTTATTGCTTATGATTTCACTGTCCCTCTAAATGTTTACAGATTTTTCTCTCTTCAAATTGTTTCATTATTGGACAGTCATTTCTGGGCTCTTGCTGCAAGATTGATTCCATATTTGCTCTCCTTCCTACAATTGTCCTATATCTTGCCTGCTCTTTGTTAGTTTTAAAGAATAATTATTGAGTGGCCCAGGCAAAATGCAAATTCATTTCTTCATAACTCGGCAATACAAATTTTCTTTCAGACCCTATCTATATTTGAAATTGCCATGCAAATGGTTGAGCTGGTTTTGGTCCAGATCTAGACATTCTATCTTTTCACTCCCATTATCAGAAGATTGGCTCATCAGCATTCTGTTGATTTTGTCAAGTCGTTTATGGTAACTAGAGAATGGACTTAGCACTGCTTTTTGGATGCAGAATTTGTACATACAGTAGGCCCCCTGAGCCAAAGGCTAACAAGGCTTAGTTATATAGAAGATTCTCAAGAAATAGACACTCATGTTTGTGGACTGTACTTTGCCCATGTACAAGACACATTCTATTTTACAAGAAAGCTTTGGGTGGATTGTGGAGGGAGGCAAATTTACTTCTAGATTCCTTAGAATTTTTCTTGCTGTTTGAATGTTCCTAAGGGGAGGTGGAAAGATGTTGAGGAAGGCTGAACTGCCTGGAGTTGGGGTGCATTTCAGGGCAGATACAGCTGGAATATCTTGTGCTTCAATCAAGGCGGAGAGTTGCAGTATGAATTGCTCTGTGTGCTGATACATGTTAGAAGATTCTCTGAAGGCAAAGGCCACATCTTTTTTTCTCTACTTCCAGAGTTCCCAGCACAGGCCCATTGATACAGCAGTACCTGATCTGGTGCATACTATGTGATCAGCAAATACAAGCTCAATGGCATTCAGTTGTCTCATGTTCTCTAATGTAAATCCTGCATTTTATTTATTTATCTTACTTTGTACTTCTGCTTGCCTTGGTAATGGTCTCTTATTTTCCTAATGCTGCTTTTTATTTTTAATGGGGAGAATGAGGCAACCTACCTTGGCATGCAAACTTTCTTCTTCCATCCTTAGAATTTAAATTAACCTTCTACAGTCCTGGCCTTAAAAGCTCTTTTGAAAAAGATGGCAAGTTGCCTCTGCTAGTGAGGCCTCTGCAAGGTAGGGGGCATCTGAGTTGCTGCTTGTTATCAACACAAATGCTACAGAACTGCTAAGTTTAAAGCAGTAATTTAGAATTAAGAGTTAGCAGATGTGGGGGATTTGTCATATGATGGTGTTTTCACTCTGTTCTTAATATCATCTTAACATACTTTGGGGTTTCTTTGAAAACATGACTAGCTTGTTTAAAGCATAGTAACTGCTTGACTATTCAAACAACAACTTATTCTTAGGGGTTTATTGTGAAAGAACTTTTTATCTTAGTTGCAGTGGCTTGAAGGACTCTGGTCTGTGTTCTGCTCCTATTTCACATTTTTTCTTGGGACAAGGTAGGAGAGGTGGGCAGACTGGCTGATGGAGAGGTGAAGCAGTGGGGTATGTTAAGTGTGAGCATGTTTATGTGTGTGAGCTCTGAAGTGGGCTAGGCCACCAAACAGTTAGTGCCCCAGGGCAGCTCTCTAATCTTCTCAGGAAGGGTGTTGGATTTAGAAATCGGCCTAGTGCTCTCCTGCCCCTGCCACCTTGCCCACACTGTTCACCTCCTCTCTGCCTCTCTAAATTAAACCAGCAGCTTCCCAAGTGGGGTGCACATTCCCTCCAGAGGAAGCCAGACAATTTACTGAGCTGCAGAAAGAACACATTAATAATTTGTATTTACATTATTTATATTTTACCTAAATAATTCTAATGCTTAATAAATGGAACTCCAGCCATGCCCTTACTTGCGCTGCCCATCAGATGACAGGTCACCTGTCACACTTGGGCATGAGATTCCTGGGAGGAGGAGAGGCCATGTGCATTCAAGGGGTTGATGGGGGATCTCACTGGCTTTCAGGGTGCTGTCAGTGTCCCATATTTTAAATCTGTAGCAGGCCAGCCCACACGGTAATTTTAGAAAAGCAAGACTTTTCAACAGAAAAACATTTCAAAATACTTTGTAATGAGATGAAGAAGACCCATACAATACTTTATATACCACATAGAGTTCTGTTGGTTATTTCACACCAAACTGTATACATGAGTTGCCATTTTCAAAGATGAATTTGGCAATTTTCTTGTACAAAAAGACAAGGGTTCCAAATTTTCTTAACTCTTCTAGGCTGTCAATGGACTGTCAGTAATGTTACCCTGCAGATGTTAAAAAACAAAACACTTAATGTCCCTTTACAGTAAACTGGGCCAGAAAGTAACTGCTTTTGGAAAGAAACTCATGCTATAGAAAGAGCAGTTTTAGAAATTTATTGCAAATGTTTCCACCATTTGGCAATTTTGTTGCTGAAAATAATATAACCTATAAAATCCCTTTAATCTGCAAATTTGAATACCTTGCAAACAGAACTACTTTCGAATGAAGAGTTGGACTAAAAAAAATGGACCATCTAATTGTTAATAAAGAGGATGGTTTGCCAAGTTTCAACAAAAATCTTGTTTAACTGATAGATGAGATTGGAAAAAAATAGTACTGATTTAAGCACAGTCAACAATGTACTTTATTCTTTTGAATCTACGTGTATGTGAAATATTCTTTATCCTACAACAAGTATTGAAACAAACTGAATTCAGAAAGAGAACTTTAAATTACTTATCACAAGTGCTTAAAAAAAAACCAAGATTTTCAAAAACAAGTATACAAACTCAATTGCTTGGCTCTCCTTAAAAAACTATTAAAAATATTTAAATCAGTATAACATTTTGATAGCAACAAAAATATTTTTGTTTCATTAATAATAGGTAAAATGAAATTTAAAATAATTTTAAGAATATAATGTATTTCAAGTTTATCTCATCCTGTTAAAGTTTGTATTTAAGAAAAAGAGGGCACATATTTTTAGTATGTATTTAAATGGTATGACTGTTCAAAATTATGTTACTAATATCACTGCATGATCAAAAATCTGGAGCCCACTGCTTTAAAGTTGTCCTTTCTTTTTCAAAAAACTCCTCGAGAGTTTATTCACTCACTTGGTATTTAATCCTCAAAGATCTTAACTTTCTATGGCCTAGGAAGCATTAAAGCTTCTTGAAGACAGCATGTGTTGTCCTTTTTCATACCCTTCAAAACAAAGAACACAGTTCCTGTGTCATAGTAGATGTTTGATTAATATTTCCTGCTAGATTGTTTCAGACTGTCAACTCCTAGAGCCCAAATCCTGGAGAGCATTCATCTTTATATTCCCCAGAACACCTTTAATTGAGTTGCATGCAATTCCATGGCAGTGAGGGGTGCCCTATCCATGGAGAGCTCCTTGAATGGGATTTAATGCTGACATTCTTTATTTGATTAGGCAATTCACAGGTCCTGGTCTATAGGCTTCTCTGACCATAAGGAAATAACGCCAGTTATTTCATGGGCCCACGGGTTAGACAAACCACCTGGGACTTTGGACAGATAATGACAGTGGCGACTCATTCCAGAGATAATCTAAGCTGAGTAAAAACATTGCTAGGTTGCTCAAGGGACTTCTAAGGAGGGCAAGCCAGATTTTGGCAGTCCTGAAAAAACTGGGCAAAACAGAGACCTCAGAAATAAGAGAACCAGCAAAAGATGAGATTATAGCTCCCTGTAAGGTGCATCATGAATATTCATCACAAGGGGTTGCCCACCATGGATGAACAGAGGAGTGTTTTAAGTCTGGGGGATTTTCTGGAGATGCTATTTGTCAGCCACTTATAAATAGTCAGCTGGGCACGGTGGCTCACGCCTGTAATCCCAGCACTTTGGGAGGCTGAGGTGGGTGGATTACGAGGTCAGGAGTTTGAGACCAGTCTGGCCAACATGGTGAAACCCCATCTCTACTAAAAATACAAAAAGTAGCCGGGTGTGGTGGCGCACGCCTGCAATCCCAGCTACTCAGGAGGCTGAAGCAGATAAATCACTTGAACCCTGGAGGCGGAGGGTGCAGTGAGCCAAGATTGTGCCACTGTACTCCAGCCTGGGCAACAGAGCCAGACTCTATCTCAAAAAAAAAAAAAATTAGTGGCTTCCTAGGCTTTTGGTAAGGAGTGAATTGGGAATGGCAGCATTGGTAAACTGAGAAATACGAGGGCATTTAGCCGTCCTCTGTTTCATTCAACTTTGGCTTTTGTTTGTTGTAATATGGATCAAGTCCCAACACACTGATGAGACAACATGGAAGGCTGGATAGAAATGTAGTTAACGCCAAAAAGTTTGAAGCTACATCTGTTGAGTCTCACAGCATGCCAGTTGGTCACACAGTGGGGGTGGTTGCACCCTCTCAAAGGGCTCTTTATATTTCTTTTTTCTTTCCTCTCAAATGTGGTATCACTTTATCCTTAACCATAAATACCTTCTCTTATATAATACCCCAACTATTGTGCATGCATGTTCTTACCTGATTGTGAGACATTTTCTTTGTCTCTTTAAAACTTTGAAAAAAAATAGAGGGAAGAACAAAGAACCATATAGCAAACATGAACATAGGAAAATTTCCACATTTTAAATATTTAGGCTCAGATAAAATAAGTCCTGTTGACCATGCTAGAACTTCAAGAATTACATATAATGGTGAGTATCTCTGTTTTGTTTTTTTCCTGGTCTTAATAGTAACTGCATTTGTTTATGTATTAGCTAGCATACTTGGCAATCTGATGGAAAACATATTGACCAGGACATTAGAAGAATGAGGTTCTGATCTTAGCTTATCACCCCTCAGTTCTGTGTCTCCAGACAAATCTCTCAATTTCTTGAAAGGACCCTTGCTTCTCAATAAACATAATTCTACAAAAGTCATATACCTCCAGGTTTTCTGTGCTCTGGGTAAGACATCCTCTAATCCTTCATCTGTGTTTCCTATCAGATGAATTCTAGATCAAAACAAATTTTTCATTTTGATCACTCTCTGGAGATTATATCATCTGCTAAAGTTGATCTGAGATTTTAGTGCCTAGAATTGAACTGATTTTCTAGATATGAAGTGGTTAGTACAGAAAAATTGGTTTGATTATTTTCTGTGTTCAAGGCACCACATTTATATTAAAAAAAGCTACATTTTTTAAAAACTGCATTTTTTTTTTCCCCCAACAACATTCTACTGTTGGCTCATGTTAAATGGAGGCTCAATTAACTCCCTTAAACACTTTCAAATAAACAGCTACCAACACTGGCCAAGGCTATGTGGAATTGGGTGTTAAGCTTAAATGCAAGCCTTCTATTTAAATCTGCAAAGTTTAATTTTATTAACTTTGTGAATTAATATTCTAGTCTGTTGTGAAAATTTTGAAACTTAATTTTGTTTTCTCAAAAGAGTTCTCAGATTTTTAGGAATTTTCAAAGGGCTCGAATACTCTAAAAGTTAATGCCTGTCCTTTTAACTACCTCTGGGCTGGATTCAAGTGACTAAAAGCCATGCTATCATTTTTTCTTTATTGAAGTTTTTAAAGAAAAAGATGTCAATTTACAAAATTAACTATCTTTGTATTCTCCCTAAAAACAACAAGCAATTCACACCAATTGCTTTCGACTTTCTCCTGTCTGTCTGGTTAGTAGATGATGGATGAACCACAGAAACAATAATTTTGCATAGCCTACAGGTGTGTGTGCCCAACTCTATTATTTCTGTAAGTGTCAGAGAGGATATTACATCTGATGTTGAATAGGGAAAAAAGTCTTGCATTTTTCTCTTATCCAGAGGCAACTCTTCTGCCCTAGTGAGAAAAAAATAAAAGAAACAACACAAAGCAATACCAGGCATTGTTCCAGTGCTCCCAAATTTCCACTGGAATTCAGTTTATAATTCAGTCTTAAAGCTTTTTATGAACACTTCATATCTTTGTATATTCCACCCATTCTTTAAAAGTCCAATTAAGTCCTCTTCCTAAAAGCCATGCATGGACTCTCATTTCAGCATTCATCTGTTTGCTCCTCTCTATGTTGCCTGTATCTCTCTGATGGCACTTCACTTAGTCTGCCCTCTATTATGATTATGGGATTAATCTATATGAACGCTCTTCGTAAACTCTATTTTTCCTAAGGGACAAGGACCATCTCTTAGCCCTTCATATTCATGCTTGGAATAAACATTGATTCAGGCCCAGTTTGTGCCAGGCACTGTACGGGGCATGGAATGTTGTGCCTTCCCCCTAGTGAGCAGCACAGAGTCTAGCTGACTTACTTGAAATCAATCTACGTGACTTGACTTAGCACTTACGATCTATTTTGTAAAGTCTGTGTTTGAGGCATGAAAGGATGTTTTTGGAGATTCAAATCACTGTCAATTAAATTAGGTCCTCACATATTTCAGCTGTTCCCTACTCCGTTCAGAGCACCATTAACTGAAAGTCTCTCAGAACCAAGTACTGTGAAATATAGACCAACACCTAAACTTCATTCCATAAGAGAAGTGGAGTTTCAATGACAAAAACATGGACTAAAGCAAGATTGGAATTTATTAAGAGTCACCAAGAAAACCAGCTTGAACATTTAAGGACATTAAGGATGTTAAGAACGTTAAGATTGACTGAAACGATGGGTCCCCTGGAAAAGGAACACATGCACATATTATACATTAGAGGGAGAGAGAGAAGCGGGGGAAGGAATGGTCTTTTTTGTTGTTTTTGAATAGACTTTTTTAGAGCAGTTTTAGATTCATAGCCAAATTAAACTGAAGGTACAGAGACAGAGGTTTCCCATATATTCCCTTGCCCCAGCACATGTATAGCCTCCACTATGAATGGTCTTTTCATTGCCAAGCATGTGAATCAGAATCATAATGGTTTATTACGGGAGAAGGGTCATATGCTCTCTTGGCAAATATATATACATTCACATTCTGAGTGCTATACTAGGAGTTTTTTGAAAAAAAATTGCTTTAACTTTTTCTTTTTTTCAAGTATAAGCTTGAACAGACTCAAGACGGCAAACACTCCCTCCTCAATTTAAGATTTGACAATTTAAGAAGAAAAAGCTCATTCATCATCTTTCCCTTTTAGAGACCATAAATTATTGGCTCATACACCATGTGGCTTGGATTCTAGGAAAAGTTAGTGTAAACAAATCCAAGTTACAATGCGTGGAGTAGGAGAGTGAGTCATAAACAAAACACAGACATATGCTCTCATATAAATAAGGGCCTGGATCATCAGCTTCCCAGAGTCTGCTTCCCATTAATTACACAACAAAATGAACTTTCCATATGTAAAGCCCAAATCACTTAACTCTGGCAACTTGTATAAGACAAAGACCAGGATTGTGACTAGGTAGGCACTAACAAAACTAGATTTCAAAATAAAAAGTGTCCTCTCAAAATATCTTCAGGCATTGGAGAACAAGAAGATGCCCTGGAGGAGAATTTTTGAGTAACAAAACTATCCCCAGGCACTCCAGGAAGCCTGCTTAGAGGCTGATATGGATCCCTGCTGAATTTATAGGTAGTATTAGGCATATTCTCTTTTGTTCTGAGTCCTGTCATTTTTCTGATGCTGGCTAGCCCTGGATCCCGGCCACACAGAGTGTTCACACACATTGCTGGGACCACTGAAAAATTTCCATTCCTTCGATCAGTTCCTTCTCTCTGTCTTTTGAAACTATCCATTGGTAGCACTAACTCACATTTCCTGATTGTCTCATGAAGACTATCTGGTCTCTTTTAGTTTAAAGAGGTATCAAGGAAAACATAATTCCTGGGGAAGAGTGTTCTTCAATAGGTCAGACACTCCAAGAGAGAGGGAAAGTGAGGTTTTTCCTTATGTCCCTTTCAAAAGCTGATTCCATAAAATAAACTAACGGAGTTAGTTCCAATGGACATTAAAACAACAGATCTTAAACTTTAGGTGTCCTGGATAGGGGAAAGAGGACAAAAAGGACTTTTACTCTTTACTAGTTGTGGGGGTGAGGAGGTAGCTTTCAACCATTCACAAACTCACGGACTATTTTTGTAACAGCTATGCTTTGTATCATACCTTACACCGTACAAGGCAAGTAGAATGCATTGCTCTTGCCCTCAAATGAAGGCAAAGAGGGAAGGAACTAACATTTTTTGAAAACCTACAGTGTATATTGCAGTATTTCATGTATTTCCTCATTTAATTGTGATTACAACCACTTGAGGACCTTGATTAGTGTCCCTTAGTTCCTCTACAGTACAGAGATGAAAACCAAGTATTTTTTTCCTAAGAGCACACATCTCAGAAGTTGTGAAGGCAATAATCAAAGCAACTGCTGCCTCATTTCAAAGCTAATTTCATGCTATATTTCCTTAAGAAAGCAAAGAAGACAGGGAGCTAGAAAAAGACTGATAAAACCTGGGTTTCCTCATTAATTTTATACTCTTGTCTGTATTGGAGTGCCAAATTTCTCTGAATTTCACCATCTCGAAGGCCTTTTCCAACCCCCTAAATTCCATAATTAAATAACGGAAGATATTACTGCAGATGACACATCATTGCTGCTAGATTAACTGTTCCTGCACACTGTTTTGATTCTGCTCCAGTTCAATGCCTTCAATGGCTCCCTGTAGGGAGCCAGACATTCAAGGTACTGAGAGAAGCTGGTCAGGGTTATGAAGAAAGGTAGGAGGCAGGGCATGGTAAACACAAGAGACTATGGCACATTTAATGGGGAAAATTTATCCTATTCCAATCAATTATTCCCAGTTAAAAATCTGAGCCCAAAGATGACAGTTTCATAAAGCCAGAAATCTTGATTATTATGTAAATCTTCTGATGTTCATAAATGGCTAATTTTTTAAAATTTATAACCTTCCGTAGGCCAACCAAAACACGAGTGTAGACAGCAATTGGGCCATGGCTGTCATTTTGCTATCATTGCCGGTCAGAATAGTCACCCTGCCTTATTCTAGACTTTTGGGTACTCCATCTTCTGATCTCAAATTTCCCTTCCAGACTCATCTGCCATTATTTCCATATAAATGCTGTATTCCTATCTCCTAGCTTCTGTCTGCTTACCTAATTCAGTTTATCTTTAGAAGTCCATCTTAACTCTTCTCTTCCCAAAAGAGAATCTCTTAGTACCATTCAGTTGAAAATTCATGACCAACCAATTGCTGAATAATAGTTTTGTTAGTATCTCAGATTGTTATTCGATCTATTCATTTAAAAATACTATTTGGTCATCTCATGTTTTGGAGGCAGGCCTTCCCACGTAGTGTTAAAGCTCCTCTGGGGCAGGGGCTAATCTTCTATTTTTTTTTTTTTTTTTTTTTTTTTTTTGAGACGGAGTCTCGCTCTGTCGCCCAGGCCGGACTGCGGACTGCAGTGGCGCAATCTCGGCTCACTGCAAGCTCCGCTTCCCGGGTTCACGCCATTCTCCTGCCTCAGCCTTCCGAGTAGCTGGGACTACAGGCGCCCGCCACCGCGCCCGGCTAATTTTTTGTATTTTTAGTAGAGACGGGGTTTCACCTTGTTAGCCAGGATGGTCTCGATCTCCTGACCTCATGATCCACCCGCCTCGGCCTCCCAAAGTGCTGGGATTACAGGCGTGAGCCACCGCGCCCGGCCCTAATCTTCTATTTGTATATATCATTCATAGAATTGAGTGCAGTGTGGCAAGTTCTTAAAAAAAAAAGGTTGACAATTTTTAACAAAGTCTTACAGATGTTTGAATAAGATGAGCTTGATATAGCCACTAACGCCCTCAAGGGTAGGGGACTTGGACTGTGTCCTGAGATAAGAGTATTTGGAAGGGGGAGTGAGGATACATATCATTTTCTAAAGGATAGTTAATGGATATTATGATCTAAGTCATCACATGGCTAAATTGTGACTTCACATGATTAAATCCTGACATGAGATAACTTTAGTTCTGACATGAGAGGGTTTCATAAAATACTTACATGTTAAGTTTTGAATATGTGATTGGTGTTTTCATCTGCTATTTCATTTCTTTCTTGCTCCTGCCTAGAAGGCAGAAATCACTTTTCTCATTTCATTGATGAGAAAACTAGAACTCAGAAGTCTCAGTGAGACTCTGTGACTTACCTAAGGGGATGGATTAAAAAGTATGGCAGTACTATAATGAGGACACCGCAATAACCCTGACCCTTGAATTTCAAATCCAGTTCCACTCTGCCTCAATGTGGTGGCCAGAAAGAGTCCAAGTTTCTGAGTTCCCAGTCAGGCAATATTTGTAACCCTTCTGGTCTCAATTTTCTCATCTGCAACATGAAGTGTTTGGCAAAAGTCCCTTGTAGTTTATTGTAATCCAGGTTTGTCTAGTCTGTTCCAATTGAAGCAGCAGGAGGAGACTCCTTGGGAAGATATGTTGGGATGACTCCAGTGTCTCCCAGGGAGAGAATGGAGAGAGCAGACAGGTGAGTGATCTCTCTCTCTCTCTCTCTGTCTTTGTCACACCTGTCTCACAATCTTTACTCTATTCTCTGTCCCTGCCTCCTTTCTCTCCATGCCTCTTCTCTGTCTCTCTGCTGTCTTAGACTGACTACAGCCTGCCTGGACCACTCAAGATCATTCTTAATGACAGTCATTACATAGTTCTTCTGCATTGCCTGAGACCATTTCTGCAGCAATGAATGGGAAAGATTTTGCCCTGCCACCCCCTACTCCTGCAGCTGGGCTCACTATGCCAACTTTATTGGAACCAAGAAGTTTTTCAAAAACTCTCCATTAATTACAGAAAACCCAATGCACAGTGCCCCCTTCTCATTAACACAGTTGCTTTCAGTTGCCACTAAATTATCTCACCACCATGACACCAACAATCTAATTAGACTTCTAGAAATGGAAAGCGCCAGTGAACAAGGCAGGCACCACACTTTCATCTCAAAACTGATCATAAAATATATGTGCCCTTTAATTCTTTGCCACATAAACTCTGCCCCATAAGAGTCTCCTTTCATTCTCTCCCATTTATAAAGAGAAGCTTGAATATTTGATATAAAATGAGTATCTTAATAGAAATCGCTTCACGTATGGGAGGTTTTCTTTTCCGAGTGTGAGGTCATTACAATAATCGCACCTGACTCCCTGGGCGTCTGATGCCTCACAGCCAAACCTCCCACTGGGCTTCAATGGAGGTGTGAATGATACTATCACTGGGAAGAAGATAAAACGTGTTATTATCATTACTCTATTTTTAAGAGGGTCTGACTGTGGCATGAGGTGGTTGGGAGCATAATCTGTATGAAGCATTCAGAGAAGATAAATTGAGTTAAACTTCTCAAGACACAGCACTTTCAAACCTGTCATTAAACCTCTGTATTTCCTAAAATCTCAGCTCTGGAGAGAAAATAATTAGCTAAGTGAAGTCCAGGCATGTCTATTGAGTATCTACTAAGCACCCAGCATCGTGCAAGATTCCTGACATTCAAATAAGATTATGAGTTGCTTAACAGCAAGTCTCCTGGCTTTTGCTTCTCTTATTTTCATTCCATACATCCCAAGGTTTTGGGAATTGAGATGCCCAATACTTATTGAGTGAGACAAAATCTAAATAGCAAATGGTTGCTGCCCTAGTGAAACCAATACTCTGGCCACAATGCAAGACTAACACATACAAAATAATTAAAGTACTGCATAGGCTGATGCACTCTCCCGTTTTCCATTGAATGGCTTATCCTGAAATTCTCACAGAACTTCTGAGTGAAGGAAGACACATATGCGTGCATATTCCTTCTTCTCTGAATAAATACACACTTTGGTAGTGCAAGTACAATGCCATATAGGCTGAATCTTTAACTCAAGAATAATCATCTTCAATACGCTGGAGGACTAACTAAGGGCTGGGCTGCTATTAATGAACAAAGGAGGCTGGAGGGCTGCCAAGTTGTTCTAGGTTGCTCCATCTGGTGAACTTTCTTAGGATGGTTTGCTGCTTCTGGATCTGATATAGAAACTGAAGGAAAATCACTGCCCCTTAACTCTAATGAATATTAGAGTTCATACACTCTTGAGTGTACCTTTTCATGAACCAAACACGTTTGTGCAGGAAACAGTTGTTCAATACACTTTGGCTAATATTTAGCAATTACTTATTGTTTGCCCACCTCGGTGCTAGGTAAAGTTGAATAAGATCTGGCCACAGGGACTATGCGATCCTTTGGTCCACTGTGGGACACAGGTGGAGCACAGACACTGTATTAAATGTAGGAATCAATGATCAATGAGCTTATAGGGAGCCAGGGAGGCACAGAGGATGTGGCATTCAACTTGACCTTGTGGTTCTCAATATGAGTGTCAGGGAAGGCTTGTTAGAGCTGAAGGCACCTATGCTGAGGCTTGAAGAAGCATCATGAATTAGCCATTCAAAGGGCATGAGAGGTGGGCAAGGGGGAAAAAGATAAAAAAGTTCCAGGGAAGAAAACAGACAACATCAACAATAGCAGCAGCAAAAACAGCACCCACTTGTCAAACTCTTACTATGTGTCAGGTACTTTGCTAAACTTTTCCCAAGGATTATCTCCATTATTATTCACCACGATCCTTGACACTAGGTCATATTCTTTTCCCCATTTTACAGACATGAACACTGAAGTCTTGAGATCACCTAGCTGGTGAGTGGAGCACTGAGATTTCAACACAGGCAATATAAAGCCAGAACACATGCATTCAACCAGAGCATTTCATGGCCCATGTGTGGTGTGTAGAAAAAATGAGCCAAAACTTAGAAACAAGGCAAATGGAAGGAGACAAGTCCCTTTGGGCCTCCCCAAGGATTATTAACAGTCCAGGAAAATGTGCCCTTGTTCGGCTTGCTGTCCACTACTGATTAAAGGCTTGGAATCTGCCAGCTTCTTTTTGGAGGGGAGGATGGAGCTTGCTCTGTCACCCAGGCTGGAGTGCAGTGGTGAGATTTCGGCTCACTACAACCTCCGCCTCCCAGGTTCAGCAGGTGCAAGTGATTCTCTTGCCTCAGCCTCCAGAGTAGCTGGTATTATAGGTGCCCGCCACTATGCCTAGCTAATTTTTGTATTTTTAGTAGAGAGCGGGTTTCTCCATCTTGGCCAGTCTGGTCTCGAACTCCTGACCTCGTGATCCACCTGCCTTGGCTTCCCAAGTGCTGGGATTACAGGTGTGAGCCACTGTGCCTGGCCTGTATTTTTTTATTTTTTTTTTTAGTAAAGACGGGGTTTCACCACGTTGGCCAGGCTGGTCTCGGACTCCTGACCTCAGGTGATCCACCTGCCTTGGCCTCCCAAAGTGCTGGGATCAGGCATAAGCCACCGCACCTGGCCAATCTGCCAGCTTTTATGTTAACTTGTGGACTTTTGCCCAGCAAAGAAGCAAATGATTTTTGTTTGGTAGAAGAGATAAACCACGAGGTTATGATTTTATTGCCTGTTAGGACACTAACTGAACAACTTGCTCTACACGCTTTCTCCAGTGCCTGCATTCTCATAATGCCCCGTTGTCTAATTCTCCTTTGGGCTGGCTTTACCACCATGCTGTCTTCTGCATTAAAGAGTTGAATGAACCTTTGAAATAACTTTAGTTTTTTGAAAATAATACTGTGGCAGTGGAAATCCCAAAGGAGTTGAAATTTGGTTCAGATTTCCAAGGAGATGAAGCTGGGGCAGAAGGCAGGGTCAGATTCTGGAAGGTTTGGTGCTTCCCTGGGCTTCCCTTGGCCATAGGAGAAGCTCAGCTGCTCTAGGAGGTTCAGATTAAATCAGAAAAGAGCTTATTTCTCCTTTAAGAGTGAAAATAACAACAAGTTTTGGAGGTTTTTCAGAAGGCTTTTGGTGTGTGATGGGGAAACACAGAAGCTTCCAACCCTGCCGAGTCCCTTGGTGGCCCAGAGCTGCGGGAGGGAGTGCCTTTCATGCACGTGCCATATTCAGCACAGCTTTCAGGACAAACGGGCTCATTTTGTGAGGCTTCAGCATGAGCCCATAGGTAGCACTTTTCAGACAACTTGAACGATTGCTTTAAATTTAAGCTTTGTTTGCTCTGGATCTTCTTTGGGAGGTTTTCTACTAAATATTTTAAGTGTTTAGACTGGGCACAAAGGAATATATTTCACAATTTGGAGACTTCTTCAATGTATATATTTATGGTCCCTGGATGTTCCAAATCCTATCAAATTGCACCTTTATTTCTTCTATTTTGGTTCTTCTAAAGATAAGATTTTGGCTGACTTGACCTGTTATTTTGGTTAGGGGCTCCAGGTCATCATTCAACATAACAACAAAAGAAGTAAAATAAATAATTGCATCATTCTTAAATTCCTGTTCATTGCTCTTTTTTGTAGCTGGATATTACTTCCTTATTCTGGGCCCCTTCCCACAGATGGCAGCTGGCTAAGAGAAAACTCAAGTATCATAGAATTTGGGAGCTGAAAGCAATTTTCACATCATTTTGTTCTAGCTACTAGTATGCTGAATTTCATTCTGATTTCATAGTATTAAGAATTCCCACTATTATTTGTAATGGTAATTAATTTTTCAAGCTTAAGGTTTTGCATCTTGACTACAGGTAACAGTTAGTTCTGATTCGACTGATGGCTGGGCTAATAACAAAATGATTTCCCTAACATTAGTCCCTGCCATGAGAAGCAAAATGCCTAAAAATTTAACAGACTTATGAAATTTAAATATTTTTACTTATTCATGGGCTCTGGTAGTTTTAAACATGGTAGATAATATAGTTTGAAATAATAATGGATTAGCCTTGATACAACAGATAGAAGCTAAGAGCTGTGCTCACTCTACTTCCTTGTTATCTCAAACTGAGCTACACCTCGAGCAGTTGAGATCCAATGATAGCATGGCTGATACATGTTTGCTTTTTTTTTTTTCTCCTTGGACTTAAGATGAGAGAATGTTGGTGTGTATGTGTTTGTGTGTGTGTGTGTGAGTGTGTGAGTGTGTGAGAGAGAGAGAGAGAGAAAGGATATACTTGTCTTCCCATTATTGCTAGTCTAGTCTTTCAAGTGCAAAACCATACAGATTTTGTTGCCTTGATGTTTTTCTGAGTTCTTACCACCATTTGGAATCTACTTATTCATACAGACTCATCTTAAATATAAGGGGAAAAAACATGTTTCTGAAATGAAATCACAGTTTCTCTATACATTACGTGATCTCCCTGAGAAGTTAGTTCAACATCTAGAAAATCAGAAAAATCAGCCTGGCTTATTCAGGTATGGATTATCTGATATGATTATTAAATCATGATTGGGCTAGTGTAATAGAAGTTGTTTCAAATTATGCCTCACTTTGAGCAAACTTTAGTGGCGCTTTTACTGCATTAGCCCTAATTACTCACAATAATGATGCAATGCTCCCTTGAATCAGACCTCCTTGGCTGCACCAGGGGACTGCAGCTGATCAATAGCTATTGAGCAGTTTGACCACTGAGGCTGATCTGTTTGAGCACCTCCGGCAGCCACTGTCATCCTCCCTCCCAGTAGCTCACAAACTGACATGTTCCCAGCTCGCCACTCTCTCCTGCATCTCCTCGATGGCCCCCTTTTACAAATCAATAATGTCATAATCATTATGCCTCTGAGACTCTGAGAAGGTAAAAAAATTGCCTGAAACAAAAAAATTGGGGGACCCATATAACACATGCATATATGCATACAAGCTAGAAAACACATATTTGTAAACCCCTGACTCATATTCATTTCTCCCATATTGTATCGTTTATAAAATAAGGTGGGAATGTTCCTTTGTTGTACTTTTACCAAAGATCACCTATTTGAAAAAAGTGCTGTTCTTACTACAGGTTGATAAATTATTTGGCAAGTATTTTCCAGCGGCCTACAAAGTGCCTGTCAAATGATTTCCATTTAATTGTCATTATGCCTGTAATCCTAGCACTTTGGGAGGCCGAAGTGGGCGGATCACCTGAGGTCAGGAGTTCGAGACCAGCCTGGCCAACACGGTGAAACCCCGCCTCTACTAAAAATACAAAAATTAGTTGGGCATGGTGGCATGTGCCTGTAATCCCAGCCACTTGGTAGGCTGAGGCAGGAGAATCGCTTGAATCTGGGAGGTGGAGGTTGCAGTGAGCCAAGATTGCACCACTGCATTCCAGCCTCAGTGACAGAGCAAGACTCCATTTCAAAAAAAAAAAAAAAAAAAAAGCAGTTTCAAGATTGAGTATGTTTTTCTCAGATGTCTCTCACCATATTTAATGCTGTAAAAGCATACAGCTACTGCCTCTCAAACATTTGTTTCACTCAGTGATTATTTACTGAGCATGTACTATGTGTCAGGAACTGTACTAGGTATTTTTGCATCCACTCTTTTTTTTAAAATTTTTTATTTTTTTTTGAGATAGAGTTTCGCTTTGTCACCCAGGCTGGAGTGCAGTGGTGCAATCTCGGCTCACTGCATCCTCCGCCTCCCGGGTTCAAGCAATTCTCCTGCCTAAGACTCCTGAGTAGCTGGGATTACAGGAGCATGCCACCACACCTGGTTAATTTTTGTATTTTTAGTAGAGGTTTCACCATGTTGGCCAGGCTGGTTTTGTACTCCTGACCTCAGGTGATCCACCCACCCTGGCCTCTCAAAATGCTGGGATGACAGGTGTGAGCCACCATGCCTGGCCTGCATCCATTATTTCTAAATAAAATTTCTAATTAATTGAATTACTTCAGTACCTTCTTATCTCAATACACGATTGCTTAAATTTGTTTTATAAGCCACCTAGTTTAACTCTTCTGTCCTTTTTTTTTCTCCCTGCAATTGTCTGGGTTTCCAAAACCATTCTGTAGGAATGGTAACCTATTAGAAAATAAGCTGATCCCTGCCTAAAGCCAGACGTAATTCTACCTTGCTTATAGTGAAAGATGAAGAAAGGCACTCTAAAGAAAACAAAAATCAAGTGAGTTGTTTCATCAGAAATACATATTACAGTACTATATATGTTACTATATTTCAAGCACCTAATTAAATAAGATCAAATCCAGAAACTGTTAACTACCTACTTTGTGCTTGGCTTTGGCTAAAGCTATCTATCTACCCCATCAAATTATGAGTTTCATTCACTGTTCTCCAAAAGAAGTAGAAGTCCATATTTATGGAGAAAAAAAATCTGCCTTTGCTCATGTTGGGACTATGACAGAAGTGGGAATCCACTGGAAATCAGGCAGTAAATCAGGAAATTTGGGTTCCAATCCAACTGTATAACCTCAGGCAAATCTCTGAATCTCAAGAGGCCTCAGTTTCTTCACATGTAAAACAGAGCATTGGCCACAAGCCCAGCCTGTGTGTTTCTAGCTCTCCCAGGTTTGTGGGAAGCTTTTTATCTGTGGGGAGTGAAATCTCAGGAAGGTCTGTCTTCCAGCACCTGGGGTAGATATCTGGCCTATTTCCCCCCAAAAGTCCAGCTCAACAGCCAGAGACCCGGAAATGGACCAAATCTGTGAAATTCTCATGAGGGTCTCATTTAAGTACTGCCAAAAATAAACAGCCCATTCTTGCATCCTGCAACAGGGGAGTCTGGGCTCAGCTCTGATTACCAGGGAGGCAAGTATGAAAGTATAATATCACCTGTTTCTACTGCCCATTTGGCATATTTGTAAATTATTTACTGGATGCACTAGAGGAGGCAGGCCCATATAAGCATGTGATCCCAACAATAAGTTCTCTTATACTGAAGGGAAAGAGTGCAAGGGAGGAAAATGGGGGACCACCTGTCTTTGGCCTCAGAGAAATATCTGTGCATGGCCGGCAAAGGTGGAAACACAAAGGCTAATTTCTCAATCCATAAAGAGAGGTCTCCAGTGCTTAATCGACAAGGTTGAATAACCACTGATCTGGGTGGGTGCAGACAATAGCCCAAATCTTTTGCTTAAGCCAAATGATGTCTTTTTTGAAGTCAGCCACAGCACCAGTTCCCACTTCCAAGACTCTGCCCAACTTGATCCCTTTGTTTGGACACCCTCCCACCAAGGTGCTACTAATCCATCAAGTCTCAGGAGTAACTTCCTCTGCATTTCTGTGTGACTTTCCCTCCTTTGTCTTCTTCTTGTACTCCTCACTGGCACCATTTACCTGGCCATTCCACCAAAAACTTTTTGTTTCACACCAAGTGAAGGCTCATGATCATATTTGAGAGATGACCCCATTCCTTCAGAGCAAGAGTTTTCAAATGGCTGGAGAGAACACCATTTCCAAGAGATGTTAGGAGACAGTCCCAGAAAAAAGGGTTGTGTGTTCAGATATGATTGTGTAATTCGGTGTCTCCCTCCTGCAACCTCCCAATGCACATTGGTCAATGCAAGGCCCCGGAAAGCCCTGCAGGAAGGAACCAGGGGTAAGGCAGCAGCTTTTCCTACACCTACTTTTCCATGAAAACATCCTTTATCACAAAAAACCTACTAGTATTTTGCTGAATTCAATTGGGGAAGTGTCATTCCAAGTGTTTCTTTCTGTTATTTCAACTGGGCTCATTTTCTAATCACCAGTGATTTCCACGAAGGAGGTAGGTATGTAGACAAGTTGAGTTCTTTGCTCAAAGCAAACTGCTAAATTGAAAAATGAATTTGGACTAAATATTAAGAATGAGTCTCTTCTTGGGTTTCTAACAGGGCTTTCTAAATACTGCAATGTGCTTGCCACATTTACATTAATATGTTAATTCAAGAAATATGTATGTAACATTGTCATGCTGTATGTCAGCGAGATAGCAAGAATCTAAACGGTTGACTCTGCCTCTGAGGTATGTGCAATTTTGTTACATGGGAGAAGTTGCAGTCTACGAAATGAGGGGAACTGCACGGTAGAGATTCTGGATGTCCTGGAGGAGCTGTGACTAGCTGGGTTTTAAGGACTTGTAGGATGTAATTAGGAATTGAGTAAGGCTGTCTCCACGTTCAGGTGTTAAGCCAAACCCAAGGCCTGTCTTCCTGGAGGCAGGGATGAGACTGACACAGTGGAGGTGGGCACAGGGGCTGGTGGGAGGCACTGTGGGGAACAGAGGTGGAAAGGACCAGGCTGTGGAGAACTTGAGATATCTAAATAAGGCATTTATATTTTATCCACTGTTGGTGAGGACTCTGGGAACTACTGAGAAATTCATCAATTCATGGGTAGAAGGTACCGATGCATCAATAAATCAGTGATTACTATCTTTCAACCCTGATGAGCAAGGGAGGCAGTGAAACGCACTGGTTGAGAGCATGGGCTTTGGAATCCTGACTGTCCACAGGTTCTTGGGGCAGGCTTCTTTACTCTTAGCTTCCTCTTCTGAAAATGAGGATACAAGTGCTTATTTTATGAGTTACAAGAAATAACATATATAAGGCCCTTGATGCAGAGATTAGTAATTCCTAAGGCTTGATAAAGAGTGATTAATAATGTTAGCATTTAGTTGCTACTCAGTGGACCCATATTAGAATAAAATGAAGAGCTTTCCAGAGTACCCACCCTCCACATTCCCAGGAGATCTCCTTTTCTCAGATCTCCTCCCACTTCAAAGAGCCAGTGCTGAAACGGCTCCCATGTTCAGAGTCTAGGGGAGGATGGCAAAACAGAGAACTCTTACCTGTATTCAACAGGCCATTCTCAGTGGGCTTTCTCCACATTCATCTTGCTTGGGGTGAACCCAAAGCATCTGAAAAGTGCTCACCTGCATCCGACGTTGCTGCAGATGCAGCAAGGAGAGATAACACTGGGGCTGGTGGAATTGTAACACTGTCAACTGCGGCTGGCTTCTTCCTGGTCATCATGGTGGGCACTGAGCCTTCGTTCTTACTATGCACTGCTGTCTGGTCCACTTTTAAGTGGGGACTTGGCATCCCTAAAAAATAACAACCCCAAAGCTTTCAGTCACTTTAAGGGAACAGGAAGATAGACAACATGTAACCTGGACATGATCTGAGGAAATGGTCAAATGATTTGAACACCTCCTTCTGGTACAACAAGAATGAAATTTAAAAATGCTAAAAGAGAAAAAATAGCTATGACTGGTTTTGCTTTTGTGGCTGAAGTTAGGAGTGTTGTCATTCTAGGTTGGCTGCCTGGAAGTGGTGGGGTCACAGCATAGGCCTAATGAAGCAGAATAATCCATCAGGTGCCCCTTTGCCTTTTGAGGATGTACATTCCCATCTTTACAGAGGCTGTGCTGTGTGCAGCATGAAGGGGAGTTCAGAGTGGAAGAGACATGGCTCCCACCCTAGTAAGACTTCTCATCTCATCCAGCTGGGGAAAGAAGACTGAATGAGAAGGAAAAATTGGACAGCAAGCTCGTGCAGGCTTGTGTTTTACTTATCCTAGGTGTTTGGGGAGTTCTAAGGATGGAGAGATCAGTGTTGAAAGAAGTGAGGAAAGGCTCATGCTGAAGCTTCAAGGATGAAGGAAAGGCATTTTCAGTAAGGGCATAGGCTAAGGCATGGGTGGGGAGTAAACATGATCCAGATGAGGCCAGCATGCCGGAGGTGGAAGATGAACTGTGGGGATTAGTGTGTCATCAGCCTGTAGGGTAAGGAGAGCTGATTTGGGGGCCTTTGAGTGTCTGGTCATAACACGCATCATATGTCATGTCATGATGATGCTGAAAAGCCTGAGGAGTCAGGAGGTGCCCCTGTAAGGAACTAGAAATTTCCTGTGTAACAAACAGTAAGAGCTATTCTGCATTCCCATTTCCTGAGCTTGAATCTAGGCTCTGCAATTTTCCAACTCTGTGATGACGAGTAAGTTACTTAATCTCTCCACGTTTTAAACTTCTTTACTTGTAAAAATGGGGTGGTGATGATACTACCTTGTAGGGGCTGTTGTGAGCATCCGACAAGTCAATCCATGTAAAGAGCTTAGAACCGTGCCTAGTGCATACTCCGTGCTATAAAAGTGCTTAACATTATTATTATCCCTATTATTGCGACTATCATTACTATGACCTGCTGCTTCCTCAGAACCAGTGGTAACCAGCAAGCAAAGGGTCAGTTCTTCTCCCTGACATGACTAAGAATATATGGGCACCTTCCCTCCAACCCCAATGCAAAAACAAGGCTCTCTAACTCATCCAAATGTAAGTCAAGAGGCTAAGGGTATGTGAATCCATTTCAAATGGTTACCTATTCAGTTTCTTCATCTGCAGGCTACATAACACTAACAGCAGCAACAACAAATTGGGCCTTACCATATTGGTTCTTGACTCATTTTTTCTATCCCAACTAACCTGACTGATCCAGTCCCCTCCCAGAGTAACACTACCTCACATAGTGAGATCAGCTTCTCTTGGGCCTCGTGGCAACGCTGTGAAGCATGTAGTGTGGATATTACCATTTTCTCAATTTTACAGATGAAGGGAACACATTTCTAAAAGGTTAAAGGAGACCTGAACTCACTCATACAGCTATTAATGTCAAAGCTGGAAGTTTCCAGGTAGCCGGACACTAAACCCAGGGATGACATTGGTCCACCTGGCCAAACTCTAATACCTGATCATGACCCCAGTCTGCTGACAGCATGTTTCATGCTAAGGATGAAGAGGCCCCAGTATCACACCTGGATAAGGCATCTGTAACTACCTAAGGAAGACAGTCATGCTGACATTTACCTCCTTCCTTCCTCCTATTCTCCATTCCAGTCTCTGAAACTCCCAGTTGTGATACCATGAACAAAAATGCCATTTATGCTTTTCTTGGAGTTTATATTTCATAGCACTTTGAAGGTGGAGATAGGCAAACATCAAATTCTATGACAGACAGATTGCAAGGCACAACCATCAAGAAACTAGAAGGTGTAGCAAGTATGTATAATATGCCTTGTTTGTAAAATTTGCAGGTGTGCTCATCATGGGCTAGGTACAGACATATTTAAAATTCATTCAAAATCATTTGTAAAGCGACACATCCAAATAGGTAACAGTGGTTATTCTGAGGAAGGAGAGCTCAGAGACTGGTAAGGAAGAGGGAGTGTTTTTACTTCTTAGCCTTTTTTTTTTTTTTTTTGAGACAGAGTCTCACTCTGTCACCCAGGCTGAAGTGCAGTGGTGCAATCTTGGCTTACTGCAACCTCCACCTCCTGGGTTCAAGCGATTCTCCTGCCTCAGCCTCCCGAGTAGCTGGGACTACAGGTACCTGCCACCACACCTGGCTAATTGTTTGTATTTTTAGTACAGACGGGGTTTCACCATGTTGGCCAGGATGGTCTCGATCTCCTGACATTGTGATCTGCCCACCTCGGCCTCCAAAAGTGTTGAGATTACAGGCATAAGCCACGGCACCTGGCCACTTCTTAGCCTTCTTTATTGTTAATATTTAAAAAACCCACAAATATGTATTAAACTTTTCATTCCTTTCAGAAAACAAACACAGTTTGGAAAATATCCAGAAGCCTATGGGCACTGGGGCAGAATGACTGAGGTATTTTCACAACTTGGCTGCTAAAAAGTCTGATAATGGGCAGAGCAGGCATGAGTCTGATGAAAATTTCCCATTTTGGTACACTGCACCACCATGGCATTCCCACCGAATGGATGGAGGCAGAATTTCCACAGAACAGCTCAGGAAATATAAGCGGTCAGATTTCTTTTGCATAACAGCTCCTCTGGAAAAACTCACTGATATGTCATCTTTATACCTGTGGACACAAGTTGGGAAAGTAATTCTTTGTTTAAATTATGCTATGCTTGGGGCATGAAGGCCATAAACAGGATTAGCAGTCAGATATTTAACTCCCACTTGGGAATAAACGGAGTCAAGTCACTTTAATTGTACCCATTTTTATGCAAATGCTCACAATCCAAATTAGTCTCAGTCCACATCAATTCATTAGAGTTGATCCAATCAGATCTCTCTTGGGTGTACTATGCTACTCAAGTGTTCATGTTACAGAATATACTAAAAGTAATAAAATGATATTTAAAACATTCTATAATTTAGATGGTCACTATTAGCTCTCTTGAAAACCCTAGATCCTTTAGAATTTTCTAGATTATAGTACGGCTTTCTAGTTACCACCCAATGATTTCAAAAACAAATTAAAAAAGAAAAAGAAAAGCCAGACATTTTTCTCAGCCATTTTTGGATTTTGAAAGGATAATGGAAACAATCCTAGAAATAACACAACAAGAATATTAAGAAAGCTTTAAACAAATGCTAATCTATGAACACTCATTAATCCACAAAATCTATCTGAGGGCAGAGGTGTCAGGAGACGGTGATGGGGTACTGGTCCTTGGGAGAGTGCATTGGGCAGGCTACTGGAAGTCTCTTCATTACCCTTCATTCCAGGTGGTGACTGATATTCTATGATGAGCAAAAGCAAAGTTGGGGGCGGGGGGGGCATTTGAAACGTTTCTTCCCAGCATGAACCAGGCTTCTATCAATGGGAGGGAGATTTTTGATGCTAGAGGGTGATCATAAAGAAACCCAGATTTAACCTTGTACGGACTGGACCATTGAGATGTAGCACCACTGCTTACACAGAGACAATCTGTAATGCCACGGGTGTGCTCTGGGAAGGGATCACTGTCTCAAACTCAGAAAGTAGACTGTATGGATAGCACCCTTGGTAGGCGTGTTCAGAGCATCCCTAAACCCCAACACGAGACAAACTGCAGTGAGGATTGCCTATTTGGAGGCCAGTAAGTTTTTAAAGAGGAAAATAACAATGCTAATAACTTTGTGGATCCAACATCTGTTCTTAATTAAAAGACACAGCCGGAAGGAAATACAGAAAACTTAAACCTATAGGAAAAACATTCCGCTATAACCTATTGACCTCTATTGATAATTTTTTTTTTTTAAAAAAGTCTCTGAAACTGTGCTGTAGCCTGTGTAGAAATAGTCACTCATTTTCAAAGGTAATTTCTCATAGACCACTTATCCCCTCAAACCTCTACCTGCACACCGTGTTTGCATTAGGGACTTGATTTATGGATTCCTGCTCCTTCGATGCAGAAGCTGACTTCCTGTTGCCTTGGTTACTTGGAGCTCAGTTCAAGGTTAAACTACTCCCAAATCAAAATCAGTGGCAGGCGCTGCATCTAGCGGCCAGGTTATTGACTGCCCCAGGATGCGAAAAGGTCAGAGACCAAAGCATTGTTTACTACCTTAAGGGTAAGTCAATAGCTTCAATATTTCGATTCTGTTTCTTCCGAAGTAGTAGTTGCTGCTCAATTACCTCTTCCCCAGGTTGCTCAAGGTCACAGAGGTCATGAAGGAAAAGTAGGGTCTGTGGTGGCTGACTTTCCCAGGATCCCTTTAATGAGCTCTGCAACCTTGGATAATAAAAACCAGCCTCACCTTAGAGAAGCTGTATGTTGTTCCATGGTTTATAAAGCTAGTTATCTACTTTATATCATTTCTCTATAGGAAGAAAAACAAACAAAAATCTTTGTGGGATGGCTACTATTTACTACCCTTTCCTAGATAAGAAAGTCAAGGGGTTCAGAGAGGTCATGTGATATGTCTAAAATCACACAGCTGTAAGAGGTGGGATGATCTAGATTCTCTGATTCCCAGTTGGTTCTTTGTTCTGCATAGTTTCTTTAAAATAAAAGAGGCGATGGAGTCATCACCAAGGGATCCATATGTAATTCATTTTGTAACATCCGCTGCAGAGCACAGTATACCTGGCAGATAGTATGTGATTAATATAGGCTTGTTGAACAGTTTAATTAATTTTGTAATTCTAAGATTTGCAAATGTAGATATTTCATGGTAAGAAAGCCCAGGCTGGCATGGTGGAAGAGGCTGACACCACTGGGATGGTTGGTCCCTTTAGTCATCTTCCTGGCTCCCTTTACACTGCAGAAGACAGATTTTGGCATAGACTGGGAGTTATATTGAGCAGTTAGTGGTTTTTAAGCTTGCAAAGAGCTTTGATATGCATTATGCTATTTGTCCCTTGCAGCATCCCTGTGGAGGACAAGAGGCAAATGGTAAAACTCCTAATTTACGAACAAGGAAATAAAGGCACAGAAGACCAAGTGATTTGCCCAAGCTCACATATCATATGTGTGGACGAAGCGAAGCTGAAATCCATGTTTCTTGACTTAATTCAATGTTCTTTCTTTCCCTATAACAAGTAGACTTTTGGGTAAACCAGTAAATGACATATTTTTCACAAGGAAAAAACTACTTTTGAAAACTTGATAATAATTCCCTCGCTAATATAATGGTTGTCTATTCAGATTATTCTATTGTTCTTTTTTCTTGTTTGCAAATGAACTTCATTCATGGCAATAAGGGGAATCGACATTATAGAATAAAGTGAATCAAGTAATAGATACCCGTAGGTTTTGGGAAATAATATTTTTTTGTGCCAAAGTCAATAAAAATTTTATTTTTAAATATGGCACTGGTCAAAACAATTAAAGGCCCTTTTCCCCAAGATTTACATTCTAATAATTTTTCTGTAGCATAAGGGTAGCTGTGGCTTTTTATAAGGGCAATGAAAGAGCCTAAAGCACTTTTTAATCATCAGAAGACAGAGCCTCTGCTACTATTCATATGGCATCTTTGGGTGAATTAGAAAAAGGCAAATTCCAGGTGAATGCAGCTCCATGGACTCAGAGCTTAGTAAAGAGAGGGCACCTTTGGGCAAATTAGAAAAAGACACAGCTTTCTGTGTGCACGTGAACCCCAGGGTCTCATAGCTTGGGGAGAGGAACACAGGATGGATTTTATCCCCATTCTCCTCCCATGCCAGGCACCTGTGAACAACAAACAACCTGCGTAATCAGAGGTGGTGACCCTATCAGCATTAGTTTTATGTCAAATAAGTTTTACTTCATTCTAGGATGAGTGAAGAGATGAATGAAGGAAATTTATCATCATCACTTTCATTCTAAGATAAATTTCACCTTTTAGGATGAAGGTTACTCTTGGGCAGAATACTATTTACTGAGTCTAGAATAAATCATTTGGAATTTAACAATCATTTGAGAGTTGACTAGCAAAACTTGGAAGTTGTGATCTCTGTCTTCACAGAGATGGTTTAGAAGTGGAGAGGGGGGTAAGACAGAAACACCTATAAAATTGATAAACCAAACAACGAAGGATGTCCAACGAGTCCTTCACAAATTAGGAGGCAAATGAGATCTCAGTGGGATCTGAGGTGACCTCCTTTCATCCATTTATTATTTCAATGTTTATTAAGAACCCATAGGTGACAAGCACCATCAGGCCTCAGGAACTTGAGTCCTTTCCGAACAGAGTCAACCATCCACTCAGGAAGATACACACAGGTACAGAACTCTCAATATTAAAAGTTGGGTAGAATTCCACAACTAGAAGCAGAAGGAGGGCCTGCCAGGGCTGGAAAATGACCAGAGCAAAAGCAGAAATTACATTTCTTTGTGCAGCTGCAAAAAGAGTGCTTTGGATGAGTTGTAAAAAAACAAATACTGAGCTATGCCTGGAAAGGCAGCTGGGAAAAATTAAAACCACATCTTCTTGTCAGGTAGAGTTCAGGCCTCCTTCCCATTTGTCGTCTCACCATCCTGAACATACTTCTGTAACAGAATATACCTCCTGTTTCATACTTATTTGTTCATTTCTCTTCCAATTCTTCTAGGCAATTGTAAAAGTTTTGGGGTTACAAACCATGTCTCACTTCCTGTTGGTTCCCCGGCACCTAGCTTGGTAGATACTAGGTACTTACAAATGTTAGATGGACACATCTATCATTCTAGGCTCAAACCTTTTAGGAAACTGCACTAACTACTTTAGCCTACATATTCCTCTATTCTTAAACTCCTTTTTTCCATTAAAGTGTGTATAGTATACATGCTATAAAATATAGCAAATAGGTAAAGAATATATTCTCTAGAGTGAGACTGCTGGTCTTACTAGCTGTGTGATCTTGGGAAAGTTGCATTAGCTTTCCATGCCTCAATTTTTTTCATCTGTTAATGACGTTGTTGTGTGGATTAAAGGAGTTTACATATTGGGGTAAACAGAAAATAATGTTTCCCCTCCAAAGCTGTCCACATCGTAATTCCTAGAACCTGTGAATATGACAAAGGTAAATTAAGATTGCAAATAAAAATTAATGCTGCTAATCAGCTGACCTTAAGATAGAACAAGTACTCTTAATTATCTAGATGGTCACAATACAATCACAAAAGCCCATTCAAATGAAAGAACGCAGAAGAGAAGAGTTAGTGAAAAAGAGATATGATGACAGAAACAGGGCAAGAGAAAGCAGGAAAGATCCAAAATTGACACCCTAACATCACAATTAAAAGAACTAGAAAAGCAAGAGCAAACACATTCAAAAGCTAGCAGAAGGCAAGAAATAACTAAGATCAGAGCAGAACTGAAGGAAATAGAGACACAAAAAACCCTTCAAAAAATTAATGAATCCAGGAGCTGGTTTTTTGAAAGGATCAACAAAATTGATAGACTGCTAGCAAGACTAATAAAGAAGAAAAGAGAGAAGAATCAAATAGACGCAATAAAAAATGATAAAGGGGATATCACCACTGATCCCACAGAAATACAAACTACCATCAGAGAATACTACAAACACCTCTACACAAACAAACTAGAAAATCTAGAAGAAATGGATAAATTCCTCGACACATACACCCTCCCAAGACTAAACCAGGAGGAAGCTGAATCTCTGAATAGACCAATAACAGGCTCTGAAATTGTGGCAATAATCAATAGCTTACCAACCAAAAAGAGTCCAGGACCAGATGGATTCACAGCTGAATTCCACCGGAGGTACAAGGAGGAACTAGTACCATTCCTTCTGAAACTATTCCAATCAATAGAAAAAGAGGGAATCCTCCCTAACTCATTTTAAGAGGCCAGCATCATCCTGATACCAAAGCCTGGCAGAGACACAACCAAAAAAGAGAATTTTAGACCAATATCCTTGATGAACATTGATGCAAAAATCCTCAATAAAATACTGGCAAACCGAATCCAGCAGCACATCAAAAAGCTTATCCACCATGATCAAGTGGGCTTCATCCCTGGGATGCAAGGCTGGTTCAATATACGCAAATCAATAAATGTAATCCAGCATATAAACAGAACCAAAGACAAAAACCACATGATTATCTCAATAGATGCAGAAAAGGCCTTTGACAAAATTCAACAACCCTTCATGCTAAAAACTCTCAATAAATTAGGTATTGATGGGACATATCTCAAAATAATAAGAGCTATCTATGACAAACCCACAGCCAATATCATACGGAATGGGCAAAAACTGGAAGCATTCCCTTTGAAAACTGACACAAGACAGGGATGCCCTCTCTCAACACTCCTATTCAACATAGCGTTGGAAGTTCTGGCCAGGGCAATCAGGCAGGAGAAGGAAATAAAGGGTATTCAATTAGGAAAAGAGGAAGTCAAATTGTCCCTGTTTGCAGATGACATGATTGTATATCTAGAAAACCCCATTGTCTCAGCCCAAAATCTCCTTAAGCTGATAAGCAACTTCAGCAAAGTCTCAGGATACAAAATCAATGTACTAAAATCACAAGCATTCTTATACACCAATAACAGACAAACAGAGAGCCAAATCATGAGCGAACTCCCGTTCACAATTGCTTCAAAGGGAATAAAATACCTAGGAATCCAACTTACAAGTGATATGAAGGACCTCTTCAAGGAGAACTACAAACCACTGCTCAATGAAATAAGAGGATACAAACAAATGGAAGAACATTCCATGCTCATGGGTGGGAAGAATCAATATCATGAAAATGGCCATACTGCCCAAGGTAATTTATAGATTCAATGCCATCCCCATCAAGCTACCAATGACTTTCTTCACAGAATTGGAAAAAACTACTTTAAAGTTCATATAGAATCAAAAAAGAGCTTGCATCGCCAAGTCAATCCTAAGCCAAAAGAACAAAGCTGGAGGCATCACGCTACCTGACTTCAAACTATACTACAAGGCTACAGTAACCAAAACAGCATGGTACTGGTACCAAAACAGAGATATAGATCAATGGAACAGAACAGAGCCCTCAGAAATAATGCCGCATATCTACAACTATCTGATCTTTGACAAACCTGAGAAAAACAAGCAATGGGGAAAGGATTCCCTATTTAATAAATGGTGCTGGGAAAACTGGCTAGCCATATGTAGAAAGCTGAAACTGGATCCCTTCCTTACACCACATACAAAAATTAATTCAAGATGGATTAAAGACTTACATGTTAGACCTAAAACCATAAAAACCCTAGAAGAAAACCTAGGCATTACCACTCAGGACATAGGCATGGGCAAGGACTTCATGTCTAAAACACCAAAAACAATGGCAACAAAAGCCAAAATTGACAAATAGGATCTAATTAAACTAAAGAGCTTTTGCACAGCAGAAGAAACTACTAGCAGAGTGAACAGGCAACCTACAAAATGGGAGAAAATTTTCGCAACTTACTCATCTGACAAAGGGCTAATATCCAGAATCTACAATGAACTCAAACAAATTTACAAGAAAAAAACAAACAACCCAATCAAAAAGTGGGTGAAGGACATGAACAGACACTTCTCAAAAGAAGACATTTATGCAGCCAAAAAACACATGAAAAAATGCTCACCATCACTGGCCATTAGAGAAATGCAAATCAAAACCACAATGAGATACCATCTCACAACAGTTAGAATGGCAATCATTAAAAAGTCAGGAAACAACAGGTGCTGGAGAGGATGTGGAGAAATAGGAACACTTTTACACTGTTGGTGGGACTGTAAACTAGTTCAGCCCTTGTGGAAGTCAGTGTGGCGATTCCTCGGGGATCTAGAACTAGAAATACCATTTGACCCAGCCATCCCATTACTGGGTATATACCCAAAGGACTATAAATCATGCTGCTATAAAGACACATGCACACATATGTTTATTGCGGCACTATTCACAACAGCAAAGACTTGGAACCAACCCAAATGTCCAACAATGATAGACTGGATTAAGAAAATGTGGCACATATACACCATGGAATACTATGCAGCCATAAAAAATGATGAGTTCATGTCCTTTGTAGGGCCATGGATGAAATTGGAAATCATCATTCTCAGTAAACTATCACAAGAACAAAAAACCAAACACTGCATTTTCTCACTCATAGGTGGGAACTGAACAATGAGAACACATGGACACAGGAAGGGGAACATCACACTCTGGGGACTGTTGTGGGGTGGGGGGAGGGGGAGGGATAGCTTTAGGAGATATACCTAATGCTAAATGACGAGTTAATGGGTGCAGCACGCCAGCATGGCACACGTATACATACGTAACTAACCTGCACGTTGTGCACATGTACCCTAAAACTTAAAGTATAATAATAATAAAATAAAATAAAATAAAAAGAAAAAAGAAACAGGGTCAGAGAGATGCTATGTTGCTGTCCTGAAGACTGAGGAAGGAAGTCATGATCACGGAATGCAGATGGCATCTAGAAGCTAGAAAACAAGGAAATGGATTATCTCCTACAGTTTCTAGAAAGAAATGGAGCTCTCCTTGATTTTAGCTCAATGAGTCCCATTCAGACTTCTGTCCTCCAATACTGAAAGATGATGCATTTATGTTGTTTAAGCCACTAAGTTTGTGGAAATTTGTTATGGCAGCAAGAGAAAACTAACGCACGTGTAAGAACACTTCCTTTGGTGCCCATTTATAGTAAACACTCAATTGTGTTAACCATGATTACTTCTTAGCACTACACTTAGTGATTGGCTCATTTTAAACTTATTTCTTACATATGTTAAAGTTAAGTGCGTCCCCTACAAGATTTTAATTCCTAGAAAGCAGAGACTTTATATTCTTTTCCTATATCTTGCTAGCATAAGACTGATCCAAAGAAATTATTCAATGGATATTTTTGGTTAATATCTTATATGAGAGAGAAATAATTTGCTAATATGAAAGTTAAGAGACTGAAATCATGAGACATTGGGTTATTGCAAGCTCTTCCCCATGATAGTTAGATGAACTTGGACAAGACTTGGAATCTCATTCTGCTTTGGTTTCCTTCTGGTCAGAATAAATCACTATTCTGATTCTGAGCTTTCTAGATTCAGAGAAACCACTATACATGGTCTGGCTAGTTCTTGCCTTCTTAATTCAGAAGTGCAGAAATAGACTGAGGAGATAACATTTTTGTTCATTAGAAAATAATAGATTTACATTAAAGAGTATTTTACTCTATGCAGTAAATTATAATAATGCAGAAGTCACTCTCTCTCGATTCTATAGTGGAAAGGTTATGCCAGCTCAAAGGTGTTCTCTAGAAGTGTCCAATGACATCATTTAGAATGGAGAGGTATTAGACATAAAAATTGCAAAGAGGAGACATCCCAAGTTAAAGGTTTTAATTTTTCTGCATCTCCAACATCAGATTCTATTCTTCCCAGGTCAGTGGTGGTGGGGGAGGGAGAAGCACATATATACACACAGAACCCAGCTTAAAGTTCATAGATATTTTTAAGCTCAGGTTAGAATTCTTGCCTAAGTTGGTTTGTACACGCACATACACACGTGTGTACACGCGCATGCACACACACACACATGCTACAGAAGGACAAAGCACAGATGGACAGAACCAAACAAAATGCTGATGTAATTGCAACCATGCTTTAAAAAGTGCAGAGACAATAGGGTGGTAACTATTCTCTGAAAAGTATAACAAAGGGAGTTGCAAAAGGTACTAACAAGGAAAAAAACCAATGCGTGCATGTAAGTAAGACCAATTTAGTAGTACAATGTACCAAGTATGCACGTTACATCCTTGGCAATCAGGTAGGTTACGAATTTGCTATAGTAATAGACATAAAGCATGTTACAGGCTATTGCTGAACATATTGGAGCTTCGGTAAAGTAAAATCAAGGTAGGTTAAGGGTGGAAGAAAGCTAGTCCAGTCCTTCCTGGGTATCTGAGTCCCAGAAAGGGGATGTGACTTGCTGTGCCTAGTGTCACATACAGAGGGTGGCAGAGGCATGATTCTGACACTAGTCATGTCCTTGGATCGTCTCAGGCCAGCATGCTGGCTTGGTGCTCAAAGGTTATATTCTGAGACTTCAAGAAACCAGTCTTCTTTTACTCCTGGTGTATGCTTGTTATGCCATAATCACAGCATGGCTTAGAAACAGACCAAGCCAAAAATGCCAGATGTGATACAAGCTGTAGGGCCACTGTCTCTAGAAGATTCTTCTCTAGATTCTTCCTAATGTGAAGGACTTAGTAATCAATGCCAGTTAATATAAGCATCTTTTGTAGTGTCTTCCTTTTTACCTCTAGAGCACATAGTCGCAGAGCACATCTGCATGGTAATACAGATCTCAATGCTAACTGGGTCACCTTATTTGCATTTTGATTACTGCTTATTTAGAAGCCACATTGAAAAAAGAGCTTGATATCAGGAACTTAGTGCATGCGTGCACATAAATATATGTCTAAACAGATAAATGCACATTTACTGGCTTGCGAAAGATTAGCCCAACATGTCCTCACCTTTTATGGACATATCTGTAGAAGTTTGGCCATGTATTGATGTTGGGATTGTAAATAAGGTTATGGAATATAATTAGTCTTCTCAGCAAAAGATCACCCACTGTATATGGCTTGAGAAATCAATTCAGCATACATTCCCCTTGTTAAGTAGTCATGTCTTTTGAGATGAGAAAGTTGCATTGTTTTAAGTGCTTTATTGGGTGTCCTTTCTTCAAACCACCTACTTTATTTCACTGTTTGAATTCCTCCTGTAGAATACAAATACATAGTGATTGTGTGCAGGCATGCACATGTAGATACAGAATGTGTGCTAGAAAAGCTCTCCTCTTTGCAATAGAAGTGAAAAAAAAAATCAGAGAAACTCAGACCCATCATTAGATAGATCTCCTAATCTTTATCTCTAGTAGTTCAGTCAGACAAGCTAATACCATGATGATGTCTTTGAAATCTCTTAGCAATTGGATGAGGAGAAGCGATAGTGATGAACTCCCAGCTAATAAACACAGAGTGCTTATTTCGGCAGAATGATCAATTTCTAGATGTCCTGAGGCTTGTCTGATACAGTTGATTTACTCATCCTCGCTTACTTCACTAATAAAGCCAAAGTCCACCATCAGATTACAGAGGTGCCTGGGATTTCTTAAAGGGGCAGGAGAAAGCCAAGGTAGTATTCATCACCTCCCTTTAAGCATCTCTGAGCATCTGTAGCCCTTGAAACCCCAGCTGCCTTCCTCGGCTGATACTCTGTACTCAATAGACTTTGGGCTAGTACAGTAATACAGACAATTAATTTGTTATCTTGTTAGTGGAAATTTAATGCAATGATCTAAAAGAACTCTTACATATTGTGATAAACTTTAGTGCCTCCAGGCGGCTCCCTTCACATTGGGCTCATTTCACATCTCATCCATTATGTAAATGAGATTTGGAAATAGTTGAGTTTCACTAATGTAGCTCAACCCTGATGGATTGGAGAGAGTCAGTCCTACTGAAACTAATGAGGTTAAATGCATCTCAACATTTCTTTCTACTTGGTTGATTCTGTAAGCCCCTGTTTAAGAAATGGATGCAGTGCATTTCTTTCAACCCTCCTCTAAGGTAATTTCACTGTTGCCTGGCTCCAGAGTGGTCCAAAGTAAGTCTGATTTGGATGATGTCTGTGTTGGTTCCAACCACTGCATTGTGCGCAGAGCTAATGGACAGCCTGCCATTACATTGTAGCAAGACTGACGAGTTAAGATAAAAGGGAAGTATTTTAATAGTAACTGTGTCTGAGAAGGTCTTTAGGTCATCCAGAGAAGAGTAGTGGGAAGTTTACAGAAGTGTACAGTGAAGATGAAGAGCCCTCGGTGGGGCTTGAGCTAAGAAAGGAAACTGTCATTGGGGAGGTTTGGAACTGGTAGAGAGATATTGCCTCTGAGTCAAAGATTCACAGACTGCTATGGAGGCAGAATGCTATTAAAAAAGAAAGAAGCATTTCAGGAAAAGCAGCCTCACACTATTATTCAGCATCATGGAACCAGAGAGGTGAGTACAGGATGCTAGTTTGAATCAAAAATCTTTTTTTTGATTCTGAACTGGCATCTTGTCTCCAGTCTTTGAAACTCCCATTTCTCAGCCTTCCAAATGAAATCCCTATTACAGAAGTCCTTACTCTTTATGCCTGTCTCAAGACACAAGAAACAGCCTGTGAAATTGTTTAGTCTTTGTTTTAGAGGGGAGAGAGGTTAAGAGGAGGAGAGTAAAGCAAAGACATGGAGACAGAAGCATTCTGTGTAAGGATCAAAATCCAAATACGTTAGTCAGTAATTGGGAAATATGCCACTTATAAGAAAAGAAGTTTTCAGCTGGTGGATAAGGCCATGCCCCTGGAGCCAGACGGTCCTTGGTTTAAATCCCAGCTTTGTCACTTAACTAGGTATTTGACCTTGTTTAAATGATTTAACCTCTTAAAGCTTCAGTTTCCTTATTTTTTAAAAGTGTAACAAACCTCCTACCTCAGAGGGCTATCGTAGGGATTAAATGAGATAATGCCAATAAAATGCTTAGCAAAGTGGCTGGCACAGAGAATATGCTCAGAACAGGCTAGCCAGGAACAAAGCCAAAGAACTTTGAATATTTAAAAGGCATTTAGGGTGGACACTACCAAATGCCTGACTGGAGGGTTGCAATTTGGATGACAGGTTGCTGGCCAACTAATTGCTCGATCTCTGCCATCCTAACTAACTTCGAACTCTCTGAACGCTGGAACCCCAATAAGCCAAGTTTTGTCATCATCTACATATTCAATTTGATGCTACATTCTCAATCAACGGCTGGTGGTTGGCTATAAGGAAGCAGTTTTGTGCACGTGTTAATTTATTCAGTAAAAGTTTCAGTGCCTACTGTGAATACAGCAACTCCGTGCCCTTTGGGGGACTGTAAAATATAAGAAACAGTCTAGTCTTTGGGTAGCCGAATATCCAGTTGATGAAACAAGATGCTGGAACAAGAAATTTAAATAAAAATAAAAATCTCCCCTGAGCCGAAAAGATCACCCATATTACCTTCCATTGTACCTGGGACCACACTAGAGATTTATGGAGGTGACTTGAACTAGCATATTCTAGCACAATCATTAAAAATGGAATTTATTTACTATATGTCTCAGATACAAACATAAATAATTGATCTGGTTGATTAAGAATCAGAATTTATGTTAACATAGATACCACAATAAAAGTAACAAGGCAACCAGTATGATAATTTTTATGAAAAAGCAGCATTTCAAAACAGTTAAGAGGATAAGCTCTGAGCCCATTCTCAGTGTTCAAATCACAGTTCTACAAGCTACTGGTTATCCAGGCCTGGGTAAGTTATTTAATCTCTCTGTGCTTCAGTTTACTCATCAATAATAGAACTAATAGTAGTACCTATCCCCCAGGCTTAAATGTGAGGCTACTAAGATACAAAGACACATTTCTATCTTCAAAGTGCCAGAGGCAAACATGTAAATGCTAATTTTATTTATTCTTATTTTTATTTTTTGAGATGGAGTCTCGCTCTGTTGCCCAGGCTGGAGTGCAGTGGTGTGATCTCGGCTCACTGCAACCTCTGCCTCCTGGCTTCCAGTGATGCTCCTGCCTCAGCCTCCCATGTAGCTGGGATTACAGGCACCTGCCACCATGCCTGGCTGGTTTTTGTATTTTTAGTAGAGATGGGGTTTCACCATGTTGGCCAGGCTGGTCTCGAACCCCTGACCTCACGTGATCTGCCCACCTTGGCCTCCCAACGTGCTGGGATCACAGGCGTGGGCCACCGTGCCTGGCCTGTAGATGCTAATTTTATTACTCTGTGAGAAGGATCACAGGCTCAGGTGTAAGAGCCATGACTACTAGAAAAATGAGTGACTTCACTGTTGGGGAGGAAGGACGTCACTGAGAAGGTGGTTGCACTCAGCACTTATTTGGAAGCATTCACTGAAAGGAGATGAAAGACTTTCCAGGAAGAAAGGCCAGCCAGCATAAAGGCATGAAGCACACAACAGTACCGCATGTTTGGGGAAACACAAGAATTCTTGTGTGGCCAGACTACAGGTTTCTGGGGTGGCCAGGTGAAATATAACAGAAGACTGGGCTCAGGATCAGACAGGGAATAGTGCCTGGAGTTTGAATTTCACCTGTGGGTCATATGGAGTCATGAAGGATGTCTATGTAGAACCATAAACACTCAGCCATGGAAAAGAGGTGGTTTGTTCTCTATGTGTCCAACTTGGGACAAAATCTGCTCCTAGTAGGTTTTGAGAAGGTGGCCAAGCAATTTTAAGACACTTTCGAATCAAGGGTAGAAACTGAACTTTTGTTCAGTTAACAGTAGGGCATAGTTAACTCGTGTGCCCTACTGTACATAATTCCGACTTGCCTTCCCTTGGTTTCCTTTTCTCTTCCTCAACATTTATTGGACAAATTCTACATTAGAAGTTTCTTTCTAGGCACTATGAGGGAAACACTAAGGAATAAGTTATGTTTTTTGCTCAGAAGACACCTAAACCCATGCTCAAATGATTATTTTTGCAAATCAAATCTTATTTGATTCATTAGGACAGCTCATGTTTAGAGAAAGCTGGAGAGGAGGGCTTAGAGAGAGTTATGTTTTCAAGAAAATAAGACCCTCCCTCTCTAGTGTATGTATTCTGCAAATGTGAATTTTTATATATTTGCTCTGGGGTTTTCAATTTTTCTTCTTCTCTTTATGAGTTGTATATTTGACATAGTTTTAAAGGACTTCATTCCCAGCACCAAATTTCCTATAATGCTCATTCTCCAATTATGAAAAAGCTTTGAACACACGAAAGAAAATGGGAGGTTTGGGAAGAGAAGAGAAACAACTGAATAATAATGACAGAGGGTGAACATTTCATTGGTGGTCTAAGAGGACAGATATGCAGATAGAAACCATACAGGCAGTTTAACCAGGAGAGCGAGTTGGGGAGGCCATTAGACCAGGCTGGGGGATTAATGTCAGTTCCTAAACAAGCACATGCATTATAGATTTAAACCGTGGCATCCTAATAACTGATTAAAAATAGTCAAAATAGATGATAGCTGGCATACAGACCCAAAACTAAATTGTTTTACTAATTTCAAATTTCATGCCTTGTTTAATTTGCAAACTGAAGTCAGTCCAGTAAGTTATAGATACCACTGAATTGATATGTGTTGTGATATTCATGTATTTATTCATATTACCTATTTATTTGTTCAACAGATGTCTGCTGAGCAACTATATTGAAGAAGGATGTCTGCCAGACCTTAGTAACAATGTCATTGCAAAACAAGATAAAGATGAAAAGAATTGGTATAATAACCAAGAAAGGGCAGTGATGATTATCATTCTAACTAAAGACAAACCACACATATTGAATTTCTGACCGCTATAGAAAGAAGAGTATTGAACATTGAGATTAGTTCAATACACAAACACCCCACATTTGCAGATGGATATGCAATAGAGAACAAAGCACATTGCACTGATGTCTGGAAAGTTTTGCACACCTAGTGATTCATTTACAGACCATGCTGGACAGGAGCATCTCCATACAGAGGTGACTTCAGGTGTTCAGTGCATGGTTTATGGTCATCAAAAAAAATTGCATGGTGAGAGGACAGAGATTCAGGACATGGGATTTCCAGACTCACTTATCTTTAGCTCTATGAGTTTGAGCATGTTACTGCTTTTTGTCCTGAGTTTCTTTATGGCCTCTAATTCCTTCTGATTCTGCATTTTGGGTAGATAGAAGAATTTCCTCTGCTCCTAAACTGTAGGAAATTCACCTGGCCACCTTAAGGGAAGATCTGAGAGCCAAATGTGGGAAACATTCCTATTTTTTAGAAGATAACAAAGATCTCATTTTTTCTTTAGATAAACCAAATAAAGTGTAATGGGTTTTGGGCATGGAAAGGCCTGGAGAACCCAGTTAGGTCCAGGCTTGTCTGGGTGTTTCTATGATGTAAGTGTGGGTGCCTCATAGTAAAAGTGACTCAGAAGGACATGCCCTAGTGTTGCCTTCGAGGAGAAGCCACTTTTTTTTTTTTTTTTTTTTTTTTTTTTTTTTTTTTTAAGACAGAGTCTTGCTCTGTCACCAGGCTAGAGTGTAGTGGTGTGATCTCGGCTCACTGCAACCTCCACCTCCCAGGTTCAAGGGATCGAGGAGAAGCCACTTTTTAACAAAGTCCCTTTGGTTATTTCAGGACCAACTAACTGTCCACGGCTGAAGACCAAACGATTATATGAGTAACTTTAAATCTCAACCTGCCACAACCCTGGGAGGTAGATAATACCAACCATATTTTATATATAAGGAAAATGAGGCTGAAATGTTCAGAAGCATTCAAAGGTCTCACAACTAAATGTTACAAGGAATTTGAACCCAAGTCTCTATGGTAGGTGCTTTTTCTTAAGCAGCTTTCCTTTCCCATGGCCACTGGAAATACAATTGACAATTTAGTGTGTGGACTCCAAAAACCGGCAGAGAGAATGAGAGGTGTTTTTTATGCATGTCCTTTAGGTAAAGGTATAAAAAAAAATTCTTGTCAACAAATGGCTTGTTTCTTAATTCTGTTTAGTTAGCCCTGGGTTCAAACAGGTAATGGCCTAATGTGGGATTAAGAAGTTGCAGAACCTGTTGAAAAAAAAATACCAATTCTGACTGAATGTGCAATTAGGCCACAACTATGGAAAACATCCATGTACTCAGAGCTAAAAAATAACTGTCAGGTTTGACAGGAACCTGAGAATTAAGCTTCCCAAAGAGAAGAAAGGAAGCTGAAACCAGGATTCAGAGAGCAAATGAAATAGTCAAGAATTGCCAATGAGGCAAATGCCAGACTTTTAAAGAGATTTAAAAAAATTACTCACAAAAAACGATAAATACATGAGTCAATGTATGTTAATTAGCTCGATTTAGCCATTCCACAATATATACATGTTTCAAAACAACATGTTGTACAGGATAAATATATATAATTTTTATTTGTCAAGTAAAAAGAAATTCCCCGACTGTATTCCCCAAACCTGGAAATTATTACATTTCCCAACTAACAAACCTGACAGTAAAACATTATTTTTTCCAGCCTTGGTTATGTAATATGTGGAATGTGTTTGTTTTTAAAAGTACCATTTTTAAAATCATCAAAGTTATCTGAGGGCAGCCCTTTTGTCAAGCCAAAAATGTGCTTGAAGGACATCCAGCCTAGAGAGTTCCTGGGTTCTAGGCTTGAGCAGGTGGAGGCTTCCTGTCTCCAGTGGTGTCATCAAAGGCTTGTCTGTTATTGAAGACATGGTGGGGTGGCAAGCCAATGGTTTTCCAGTGTTTGTTTGAAAATCTCTCATTAGGAGTCTATACTCTCCTTCTCACCTCTGGATCAGTGCCTCCTCTCCATTGTCCTAGGTTCCTTCCTGCTCATTCCTAATCAGGAGCAGGTAACCTCCCTTACTCAGAACTTCCACATCCGTGACCTTGCAGGGAGCATGAGCCTATGCCATAGCTCCGTAAATTTTGCTCGTAATCAGTTTAATACTTAGCCACATGACATTTCGAATTCATAGAATCAATCAGATACATCTTTAACCACTGCTCTGTTTTGAGCAGAAAAATTAACTTAAGCCTTAGATCCCCTGTCTGTAAAATGGGAATAAAATGAGATATCTTAAGGAATTTGTTGTGAGGCTTCAATGAAGTAAAAATCTATCCAGCACATAACACATCACCTGGCTCCTAACTAGCATGCTGTTATTTTAACATTATTACTGTTACACATAACAATCCTGACTTCCCAATACGATAATTAGTAAGTTGAGGAAAGAGACAATGTCATATACTTCTCATATGTTTCCAAGAGCGTCCACCCAGCAAAGGGCTAGTGAGAGGTCACATGATCAACACATATGTGTTTAATGGAAGTACACAGTGTTTGGTAAAGGGCACAGACAAGAACAGCTCAACACATACAAAACCACACAACTAACACTACCATTTGAAATGAAAACAAGATGGTAATTTTTCTCAGTCTGCATAAGGAATGTTTTACAAGTCTATAAATATTATAAATAAGAGAATTCAATTTTTATGATTTGAGGATTCACAGTAGAAATAAGGGCTATTTATTATTCCATTTCCCCTTTAAAGAAAGTGAAAAACAGAGGAGGTGTTTAACTGTGAGTGTCTTTAATTCTGAAATGGAGGGTCAGATGTGGTAAGGGAGAATCACTCAAAATCTGTAGCCCAGATGTTAGAATCCCAGACTATCAGGACTGGGAAGGATCATTAAGTGGATTCCAATATTCCACTGATGAGGAAACTGAGGCTCCCAGAAGTCATACTACATTGTTGGTGACACTGTCCCAACTCAGACCTCTGCACCCTGGTCCTCTTACCAACTCACTGAGAGCAGCCAGGACTTTCATGTGATTTTCCTGCCCAGGTTCCTAACTTTGCAGTTTCTTTGCTTATTTTGCCTAATGACTGTGAAGGCCCCATTAGGGAACGTGCTAAAGTGAGGTAGGGACGCAGTGTGGTGGGCAGACTCCTGCAGAGCAATGTGTGATTTGCTTTTGAGAGTAATTCGAAGACAAGAGGAACACATAGGGGCTTCTGACATCAATAAAAGTCACTGGTCATAATGGAAAAAGATCAGACCATGGTTTGCACTTTAAAAGAAACAAATTAGGTGGCAGTGTTCATTAGTAACGAGGCAGCACTTGCCAAAACATTGATAGCCACCTTTACAGCCACCTCTTTGTCTCTGTCACCAGTGGAAAACCATATCCCAGTCCCTAAAATTGCCCTTCCCTGCAAAGGTCCCTTCCTTCGGAGGAGTTTCTCAGATGCCAATCCATAATGCAGCTAAGTGTTCACAGTGGGCACAGGACTTTGGAGTTGCAGGTCCTTAGAGCTGGAGGGGGTCTTAGTGATCATTTTCCTGCCAAAAGAGGCTGGGGCCACCCAAGGGGACACATTTTGCAGAGTCCACAGTTTTGCCCTATGTTGGCCATATTTACTGGAGGGTGGGGTCTGGAGTTGTGTGCCTCAGGTCTGCTGTCAGCCAGTTTCATCCTCCTTCCACTCCTTCTGAGAAAGTGTGTCGTGCCCAGACCACCTGGGCCTGGGTCCCTCTTCCTGTTTTTTTTCTAGCTCTCCAAAGCCTGGAGCACTGGCTGTGTGGTTGTGGTGAAAATCAATTCAGAGTCCTTTTATCTCCACATTAAGCCTCCATAGCCAGCTGTTTTTATATGGAAGTCCCCACAGGCTGGGCCCGGTCTAGTGACCATTTGCAAGAAAACAAAGGACGAGACAAAAAGGCTGATGATGGCAGTTTTTAGAGGTGGGTACAGCAATTCCAATGGAGGGGGAAAAATTAAAAGATGACACTTCCACGCAGCCGTGAAAGGAGACGGAGGAGTCCTTCCTCTCCTTGAACAATAAAAGGCTCCTGCTAATTTTTACCAGAGTCGGCTCTGAAAACCTGCCGTTGACTGTGAGTCACTGGCCCTCCGGGGAATAGGAGGTGGGGAGGTGGGGAGGTAGGGGTGGGGGTGGAGTGAGAGCTCTCTGTGTGTGTGTGTGTGTGTGTGTGTGTGTGTGTGTGCGCGCACCAATGTGTATAATCTCACAGTGCCCAGAGCCCTGGAGATCCTGGAACACTTCAGTAGCACAGGCCAGATTCATTAAAAACCCTGGCTACAGGCCAGCAGTTAAAATTGAAGCAGCATATTTATTGCATTTTGTTCAAATAAATCTGAAAACGTGTGAATCATATTCCTTGGAGAGATTGGGAGAAGAAGTAAACAACATCAGGCTAATACTTACAAGCCGTGGCGGAGAGAGAACAAAGATACAGAAGGTTCCGCCGCGACAGGGAACTCTGTGGGATGCTCCCCCTTCCTAGGTGGGGGCTGAAGGGGTCCACACTCTCCCCCACCACTTTCTCTATGGGCTGGGTCCTGACCTTGGTGTCACTTTAGGGCATGGGCTCTGCTCTCTTCCCTGGGTTTCTCAGTTGCACCCTGGCTTAGCCCGCCCTGCTGTTCTCCTAGACGCTGTGGCTGCCATCCTGCTTTCTAATGGCAGCTGCAGAAATTACATTCAATCATGAGTTTTCCTAAAATAGTGTATAAGGGAAAACCTCCCCCACCCTCACCAGCCCCGTTCATATGAAATTCGGCAACAGCTCAAACTAATTGTTTGCCTCTAGAAAGCAAAATAAAGTAGCTGGTCAGCTCTATCATGTACGGGCTGTATTTTCTTTTGTTGTTTGTTTTCTTTCAGTGATGCTAGGGTGGATTGTCTGTTTAGGAAGGAACCTCCTTGTGGGTGGAGGCTGCATGTAGGACTTTTGGCCTCAGTTTTCTGAAGTGTAAAATGGTAATACTTCTTCTCATATGGTAATTATGAGGACTGAATACATGTGACATCTTGTAAGAGCATGTAACTCAAGAACAGAATATCCCCATGACTAAATGTCAAATCTCTTATCCTTCTCTCTGTAAAAGAAATGATTTATGGGCATATGTATGTCATACTTATGATCTATTTTTCTCTGTTCACCCCAAGATAGTTTCTATAACACAATTTTGCCACTGACTCCCTCCCTCATTGCCTTTTATCACACATGTGCTTGTTGGTGTGAAACATTGATAAAGGTAGATGCACAGGCATAAAGTGTAATCCAATATTCTTCTCTTACTTCTCACAAACACGTTTGTGAGATGTTTAGACATCTCTAAAAACCCTCTGACCTTCTGCCAGTTTTATCAGGCTTGGGGCATGAGTGGATGTTTGGAGGCATGCTGAGGGTCACCCGAGAAAGGCAGGTGCATGTCTGTTGTATTTTAAGGCCCTGCGAAAGGTTAAGTGTGCTTCTAAGCACCTTATACCTATTCACTGTAGTTAGGTTCTTAGGTGAAGATTTCATGGTGATGGAGGTAAAGGTAGATCAAGACCTAGGCAGCAGTTGCCAATCCATAGATCTGGCAGAGGGGGCAGGTTTCTGAATTGGGGCCAAAATGTGAGATGGCCTGACACACCTCACCTGGTGGAACAACCCATCTTGCCCAGACCCCTAGAGTAGAGAGTGGAAATACGACTTTTGAGAAGTTGATTTTATTCTAGTACCTTGATACCTACTCCATCTCATTGTTGAGGCTCCCCCTCTTCTGCTCTGGCCAGGTTTGGGGTCATTCCTTTCTACTCACTGTGCCTTGGACCCCGAAAAATCTAGGGCAAGTTGATCTAGCTCCAAGAACATCCTCCCCAAGCCCTGGCATGCTCGCCACTGATCAGGAATCCCCTGATGTGGAGGCAGAGAGTCCGGAGCAGGCACCCCACTGGCTGTTTGAAGCATGCATTCCAGTTCCTGAAACTCTTTATCTCACACACTGTGCTGGTAATAGGTATAGCCAAGACTTCAATTGCAGGTACATCATGCTAAGGCACTCTCTAAGACCTTTTCATGTATTATTTAATTATTAATTATTATTTATTTAAATATCATTTAATACAACAAGTCTATTTGTTGGAGCATTATATTCATTCTCATTTTATGGAGGAGGAAACTGAGGCACAGAGAAGGTAAGTGATTCACCCTTTATTACCACAACTAGTAGGTGGTAGGGTCAGATTTTGAATGCATGCAACCTGGCTACAAAGTCTTAACCACTAAACAATGCCATACGGTCCTTGTTTCTTGACCCTGTCAAGAATCAGACATTGAGTTCCCTCGATGTTTTTGTTTCCTGAGTGTGTGCCAGGAGGAAATTCAGCAAGCCGTCCCTAGGCCAGAGCACTTTCCCAGTTAAACAACAGCATATTTATTAATTTATTCCATTCTACATGAACCTGTCTCTGGCTGTATGGGCTTAAATTGAAATGCGCTGCCCTGATCCAACAGCAGGAGGATGTAATCTGAATTATTTCTCCCTTGCTGGGGAATGTGCCCTGAGTCACCAGCACAGATTCCTCCTCCTTTGCTTCTTTCCTGCAGGGTGGCAGGTCAGAGCTAGAGGAAGTCTGTGGCCCACAAACTAAACCAGTCCTAACTAGATGGCCTGGGCTGAAACCGATTCCTCTGATCTCCACCTCCTTGCTATGGACAAGCTTTCCCTATGAAGCTCAGCTGTTTCTTAATGGATGGGCACAGGCTGTTTTACTACCTCCCTCAGCCTACATTCTGGCTGCTGATTGTACAGCAGGCACTGGCTTTCCACAGCCCTCCCACCTTGGAGAATTTGAGTCCCAATGCTCAATGATTCATTTTGCTGTACTGTCTCAGAATTCAGAATTTTTTTTTTTCTGCCGAACATCCTTTGCTTATTGAATGAAAGAGTGAATGGATTATTGAATTAAGGCAGAACCTGAGAAGAAACCAAGTTGTTTAAACACATCTGTGTATTCCCAAGTGTCTTGGACACCACATGCCTTTTCCTGAAAGTAAATTTAAAAACACAGCAGAAAGAAACATGGTGGGTGAGTTTTGTCTGTCAACCACAACCGTCAGAGCTTCAGACTTCATGTCAGGATTGGGGATGCCTGGGAACTGACACAGGGCACAGCCGCTCAGTGGCTGCTGCTCAGAAACAGTCAGGGCTGGGTGTGGTGGCTTATGCCTGTAATCCCAGGACTTTGGGAGGCCAAGGCAGGCGGATCATGAGGTCAGGAGTTCGAGACCAGTCTGGCCAATATGGTGAAACCCCATCTCTACTAAAAATACAAAAGTTAGTCGGGCATGGTGGCAGGCACCTGTAGTCCCAGCTACTTGGGAGGCTGAGGCAGGAGTATTGCTTGAACCCGGGAGGCAGAAGTTGCGATGAGCCCAGGTCACACCACTGCACTCCAGCCTGGGTGACAGAGCAAGACTCTGTCTCAAAAAACAAAAAACAAAAAAAAAGAAAGAAAGAAAGAAAGAAAGAGTCAGAAACAGTCAGATATAATCCTAAATGGTCTGTGTCTGTGTCTAAATGGACTCCAGCTCTACAAACAGGCCTTTGTTTGTTTGAGAGCAAATTCCCACTGGGCTGAGGCAACCGGATTTTCCTAGCATCCTTCGTGGTGTGTTATCAAAGGTAGAGCAGGTAGGCAGGGTGGGGCCAAGGAGGTGAGCTCTGGGTCCCCCCATGTTATCTCAGCCTCCAGGAATGGCAGGAGGCTGCAGGGCCTGGGGCTGGCACAGACTCAGCATCCTGCTCTCTACTGTGCAGACACCACGGGGCTCAACCTGGAGTTTGTGTGAGGTGGTTGTGAGCTTGACAAAGCCATCACCTTGCCTTTCCTAAGTACTGACTCTACTCCTGTCGCCTTCCAGGACTGCAGTGCCAAGTGTATTATGCATGTATTTTAAAACATTTGACTAAATCTAGGAGTTACAAAGTATAGCTTTATGACATGGCTATACTCTGTAATGGTGAAGTCTGGGCTTTTAGTGGTAATTTTTCATCCCTCGTCCCTCTCCCACTCACCCACCCTTTCAAGTCCTCAATGTCTATCAGTCCACAATCTATGTCCATGTGTACATATTATTTAGCTCTTGTTTATCATAGAGAACAGGCAGTATTTGACTTTCTGATTCTGAGTTACTTCATTTAAGATAATGGCTGGTAGTTCCATCCATTTTGCTGCAAAAGACATGATTTTATTTTTTTTATGGCTGAGTAGTATTCCATTGTATGTGTGCATATATACCACATTTTCTTTTACTTCCTGTATTTTATGATGCTTTGACAAATCCTGCTGATCCTGGAGAGATGGCTCCTCCCAGGGCTAGTGAATTCCTAGAGCTAGCAAAGGACTCCCTTGAGAATGCATCTTTCACATGCAAAAGAACCAATCCAGAGCCCACATCTACCAACCAGTTCCTTTATGAGGCTCTCACAGGATGAGTCACTATTCCCCACACTCACACCACCCCAGGGCAAGGTACCAGACAACTGGGGGCAATCTCTACACCCTGGAGGCCCCTGAAATTATTCCGACTAGCCAATCCGAAATCTGCCTCCCCAGCCTCCCCGATTCCATCCCATGATAACCACAATACAGGTTTTTGTCCCCACTTTCCCTTCATCCTTTTGCCTCTTGATTGACCTAGTTCTTCCCCCAGTGGCCCTGCCTGGTGTGCCATGCCTCCTGTTCCCAGGAATACTGTGAGTATAAAAAACTCTTCCTTCATGACGGTCATTCCATAGTGCATCTCTTACCATATATGATTCAAACAAATCCTGACTGCATTGTATCACACCAGGATTCTGTCTGTCTCTCTTCAACTCCCCTGGGTCAAGCCTGGAGAATTATGAAGAAGTCCCTCTTCTAACATTTCTTGAGCCCTCAATATAAGGTAAGATCTTTATTTTACTAGGATCTTTTCTTTTTTTAAAGAAACTTCTCTAGAGTTTCTAACAACATCATCGACAACCACAGCAATAAGAGCTACCAGGTACAAAGTCTTACTATGAGTTGGGCATTTTCTATGGATTATTTTCTTTAATTCAGATTATCTCCATCTTTCATCTTCTGAGACTGATTGCTCAAGATCACACAGCTGGACAGAGGTGGCATTCAGAACTAGGTGGTCTGACTCATGGGGCAGTGCAAAGAGCCAATGCACATGCAGGGGCAGCCACGCCTGGGGAGTAGGTTTTAGAAGACTATTGGAACTCACATGCATAGCTCTAGAATAGCACAAAGCCTGGTTAGCAAACTGGCTGTTGGTCAGCAGACAATTACCTGGCCCCTGAGAGAAAGAGAGGCTACACCTGTGTGTAAATCAAGTATTATGCTGAGCAGGCTGTTCAGCGCAGCAGTTACATTTTTTCCTAGTGAGACTCTGTGGATGAAGGAAGCAGCATGGTGATTTCCACTGAGACACCCTTTCCTTATCTTGCTGTCTTGGATCAGCACTTTGAATGCACCCTTGCTATAAGATGGCACAGGCTGCCCTAGTCTCTCTGAAGCCCTGGGGCTGCTGCTTTGAGAATTCCTGCACCAGAGAGGAGATTTATCTAGACGATCTTGCTGGTTTATTTGTTTAATCACTGACCAGATCTTTATCGGGGGGCCCATCTCAGGTCTGATAGGTGGTGCATGTTAGTGACACAACATACATCCCTGGAGTACAAGTTTCTTGTACCCTGGGAGTCTATGATTCTAACAACGTAGTCCTGTTCCAAGCAAATCAGAATCATCATTTGTGATTTATGTTTTCACGTGTTTATATCTTATTTACCCTTAACAGATTGTAGACTCTTTAATCCTAGAACTGTGCTGCGTATTTCTTTGGCATCCCCACAGCATCCATATCAGTAAATTGTTTGATTTCACTTGATCACATGAATTATGTCTTCTTACTGAATATCATATGTAATCCTATCAATATCCAGTTATAAAATTATCATTTGCCTTTTAAAATTAGAACTTTGCTTTCCTTTAGACTCCAGAATAAGTCCGCACCAGCTATGACAACCATGACCTCGAGAAATTACTTAATCCCCTTAAGCCTGAATTTTCTCATCTGTAAATATTAGTAGTGTCCAACTTTACAGAGTTGTCGTAAGGAATGAATAAAACATGAGTATTTATTTATAAATGCATAGTATTAAGCACAATGTCTGGCTCATGGTAAATGCCCAATTAGTATTTGCTAGTATTACTGTCATTGTTTTCAGTTAGTTGTAAATTAAGAGGAGAAATTCTAGAAATCATTTTCATAGTAACACCAATGAGAACCATCAAAGATACGTGCTGCCTCAGCATTATGTTTTGGAAAAATGTCTGCGATGCCTTTGTATGTGCTTAGTTATTTATTTAAGGAATGTAAACACATTTTAACACCTGCTTAATCCAAAAAATGTCATGACACATATCACTGTCAAGTTCCTAAGAAGTTACAGAAAAACACTATAGGAAGCATTTGTGTGTGTGGGTGCACATATGTAATTTACAAAAGTAACTGGGGATTATCAGCTTTTAGGAATTTCCCAGGCCTATGCTTCCTCCTAAATTGAGAAGAATTAAAAGTTAACCATCTACTAGAGCGTGAATTTACCAATATGATGGAGGCAAAGGCATCAGATGATGTTTAACCAACATGCTTTTGGGTCCAGGAGTTAAGCCACCCTTGATGTCTCACTTAGCCTGAATCTCCAAGAGCCACAGCAGTTCATGTCAAAACAAGCTTCGTGGGGTGGGATAGAAGCAGATGGAGATGGGGCCTGCAGTGCAGGAGAGCGCATGGAGTAAAGGGGCATGGTGCACAGGCAGAGATGCTTTTATAACTCAGGGTTTTTCCTTTCTTTTTCCTCCAGTTGTGCTCAGTAACAGAACCTCCCAGGCGAGGAACTGTGGTTAACAGGCATTGATCTGTGTACCAAAGGCAAGACCACAACCGATCAGAGGAAAGGACACGTGATTAAACAGTCCACTGCCAACTGGAAACAAAAACACAGGGCTAGCAGGAGGCATGAGCAGCATGGTAGATTGGAAAGAATAAGGCAGTGAGACTCAGAAGATCTGATCTGGGGTCCTAGCTCCAGAACAGGCATGGTATGCAACAATGCAGGTCACTCTCTGAGCCTCAGTCTGCACATCAAACAGAACAGGTTAGCAATTCCTAATCTGTCTCTCTCTTGTTCTTTCTATTTCATAGAGAGGCCCAAATTAAGATCCTAGATATGAATCTTCCTGCAAAACATACAAATGCAGACTTGAGTTATCATGTGGCCAGAAGCAATGCCCTCCTGGAGTCATAAAAAAGTATTAGCCAAGGGCCTGAGCAAACCCATGAATGATAATGAATCAGACTGAATGATGACAACAAAAGTGAAAAAAAATCCCTCGAACAAAAAACAACAAGCATGTTACAATCTTCCATACCCTCTTAAAGCCACTGCTACTGCTGAACCACTCGTTGAGGTTATATAATGCCCCATAAAAACCAGCGCAGTCATTATCTTCCCACCATGGGGAAACGCAGCTCCGCTCCATGCTTTGGGCCACAGGCATCCGAGATGGAGGCCATTTCTCCAAGGCTAAGCTGCTAACCTGGCGTACACTGCGTTGCCACAGGGAACCTGGCAGCCAGCACCTGCTGCTGCAGCTGCAGCCCAAGCTTCCCTGTTGGCAAACTCCAAAAAGCATTTTGTGAGGTTGGCTGCAGGGCCCAGTGCTGAGAGTGAAACTCCTTCCGGTGCCCTGTGGGTACAGTTGGCGGCTGGGAGGGAACACACTTCTTCCTGCATCCTCCCATGTGAGAACACGACTTCTGAGGAGCCCTCATTACAAGTCATGTTGCCACCACAGCACACGGTGGCAATTGCCTCCCCAGTCTCCTGTTCGTTCATCTGTGAAAGCCAGCTCCACGTGAGGCACCATGTCCTGCTCCACAGCCAAGGGGACACTAGCTGTTCTGCTGCCTCGTCTTCACTCTTCTGCTGCTAGAGCTGTCCTAAACACTCATCAGCTTCAAACCCAACCTAGACAGCAGAGAGAGTGCAGGGCTGGGCTTCCTCCTCCCCACCTGGCTGGCTCAGTGCTAACCACTAATCCCACACCAGGAGTTGGGGTCTGCTCTTATTAGCTTATAGGGCAGTCACAGCCTTGCCTTTACCTAGAAGAATGAAAACCATGGAGTTCTGGGATTTATTTTTGCTCCCTGCTTCATATCATGATTGTTTCCATTTCTCTGAAGAGGACATTGAGGCTTAGATATCTGAACTATTTTGCCTGAGGTCAGAGCTAGTAAAAAGTTGGAACCCAAAGTAGAAATCTGGTCTATCAAACTGCAGAGTCCTTTTTCTTTCCATCTCTGCAAACTGCTTTTCCTTTTGAGAGAGCAACAGCATGGAATCTTCAGCATCATTACTTCCCTAAGGGCAGACCCTGGGCCCTTATTCTTGGAAGTACATCTGGGTTTAACTCTGATACATTCATGAGAGAAGAGACACAAATCTCAGGGTAAAATTTCTGTCAGATTCATGATGGACATACATGGTCTTCGATGAAGACTACACATCATTTCAAAACTCGGCTTCTGGTCAGACCCCTCAGGATCCCCGTGAGTTATCACTGAGACTTTATACTTATTGATATATACTCAATTCCCATGAGATTGATGAAGAAAACCTCTTGTCCCCTAGGGACAAGATAGAACTGGGTTTCTGCTGCTCATACCACAAGAAAAAGGGGGCAAATCAAATAAGGATATCTAGAGAGGTGTCTTGAACTTTTTCTGAACCCTCATTGCATTAGCATATACTGGAGGGCTGTTGATTTCTTTGGAAGTCCTGGGAGGCTTCAGGGACTCACAGAGATAATGTAAAGCCAGCTTTGGTATCTCAGGAGCTCTGAAGAAGCCCTTGTCAAGCCTCAGGAAGCTCTGGAGGCATTACTGGATCATTCCTTCAGAAGGCTTGGGGCAAAAACTTGCCTTTTATATGACTTCTGGGCTCTGGATGGATAGATCCACTCTGACCTGAGGTGGGTCAGCCCTGGTTCAACTGGATGCATTCTTCATCCTCAGAATAGCTTCAAAGGTTACTGCATCATGTTAGATTCATGAAATGGTTTGGCCTTCACAAAGAGACAGAATATGGCCAGCTGACTCAATTCTGAAGAGGAAATTCCTCATTTCTGAGTGTTCTTAAGTAGCAACATCTCCAGGTTAAATGTGCGAATTAATCCCAATGATGGTAGGAAAACTGGGAAATGGAAAAAATTCACAGCTGTGAGATGGGAAAGACCAGATGGGAAAGATCAGGAGACTGCGTCCTGGTGCAGAGGATTTATGTGGGTACATCATGGAAGATGGTAGGCAAGGTACATAGAGAATGGCCTGGAGGCCTCATAGGCTTTATCTAGTAGGCTCTTGGGAGCCCCTGTAAATTTTCACACTGGAGAATAATAATCAAAGTGAGGCTTTAAGCATTACTGGAGATCTTTTGTTCCATTTCATCAGCAAACCCTCAAGATGTGTATTGTTTTCTAGCAAGTACATTTAGAAGAAGACAGAGCAAGACAAATGAAAAAACACCCATCTAATACAGGATGTGACTGCACAGGAGAAATGAAAGAGATAAAAGTAACAGTTGCATAAAACAAATATGATCCATTGACTAGGAGTGGCTGGAATTGGAAACTGATTCAGGAAGAGATATTGTGGGCCAGGCAAGTCGTTAGCTCAGGAGTGAGAGGACTGAGGGTGGAATGTTAACTTTTCCACTAGCAGCATGGTTGAGTCAGCTTTCCCAACTTCACAGTTTATACTGAGGAGGTTTATAACTGGGGGAAGTGGGGCATATTTTGACAGAACTTCTTAAATGATAATCTCTCGCAAACCAGCCCTCTACAGCTCCATGGGAGATGAGACCCTGAGCTGGACAGACCATATGTTTGTGGCTCTGCATTGTACTTCTGATCAACCAAGAAACTTGTTATGTGCTGTAGAGTTCACTTGGTGCAACAGAGGATGTGCGAATATAAGGCAATTCCTCTTCTTGAGACCTTAAGGTTTAGTTGCTATTGTGGGTTGAATTGTGTCCCCCTAAAAAGATGTATGGTCTTTTAACCCCTATTACCTCGGAAAGTGACCTTATGTGGAGAAAGTCTTTATAGAGTAATCAAAGTAAAATGAGGTCTTTAGGGTGGGCCCTAATCTGATATGACTGTTGTTCTTATAAGAAGAGAAAATTTTGACACAGGCCTGTACACAGGGCGAATGCCATAAGAAATGAAGGCAGAGTTAGGGGCGATGCATACATAAGCCAAAGAATGCCAGAGGTTGCCAGCAAACCACCAAATGCAAGGAGAGAAGCATGGAACAGCCTCTCTCAATGTCCTAAAAAGGAACCAATTCTGCAGACACTTTGATCTTGGACTTCCAGCCTCCAGAACTGTGAGACAATACATTTCAGTTATTTAAGCCCCCAGCTTGTGGAACTTGGTTACTACATCTCAAACTGATACAGTTGCAAAGACTCTGAACGAACCTACAAGGAACAATTAAAGAACAAGCTAGTAGGAACAGACATATATGAAGTAGGGGTGCTGAGTAAATGGGGGAAATACGCTGGTTGAGAAAGATTTTTGGCTGGGCATGGTGGCTCACGCCTGTAATCCCAGCACTTCAGGAGGCCAAGGTGGGAGGATCATGAGGTCAAGAGATTGAAACCATCCTGGCCAAAATGGTGAAACCCTGTCTCTACTAAAAATACAAAACTTAGCTGGGCATGGTGGTGCATGCCTGTAGTCCCAGCTACTCAGGAGGCTGAGGCAGGAGAATCACTTGAACCCGAGAGGTGGAGCTTGCAGTGAGCTGAGATCATGCCATTGCACTCCAGCCTGGGCAACAGAGTCAGACTCGGTCTCAAAAAAAAAAAAAAAAAAAAAAAAAAGGCCGGGTGCAGTGGCTCACACCTGTAATCCCAGCACTTTGGGAGGCTGAGGTGGGCAGATCATGAGGTCAGGAGATTGAGACCATCCTGGCTAACACAGTGAAACCCCGTCTCTACTAAAAATACAAAAAATTAGCCGGGCGTGGTGGCAGGCGCCTGTAGTCCCAGTTACTTGAGAGGCTGCAGCAGCAGAATGGCGTGAACCCGGAAGGTGGGGCTTGCAGTGAGCCGAGATCATGCCACTGTACTCCAGCCTGGGCGACAGAGCAAGACTCTGTCTCAAAAAAAAAAAAAAAAAAAAAGGAAGATTTTAAGACTTCACGGAGGCAGGAGGGCTTGAGTCAGGCCTGGAGTACCTTTGAAGGCTTATTGCCCGATTTGGTGAATCTGCAGGTGGTTTTGCATTCTGTTCCCTCTGAACACTGTTACAGAGTCTGCAGCTCTTTCCCTGAGTCATATTTCACAACTCCTCTTTTATCCAGTGTATACCTTCTGGATGCACTTAGAAATTCTTTCCCAATTTTAAGAATCTGTTGACCCCATGGTCTTATGACCCTATTACAGGCATCATCCTACACCAAACCCACCTTCTGGCTGGTGGGCTGAATAGTCTTCTGTTCAGTTTTCCCACCAGAAAAATGATGACTGTATCTCCTTTCACTTACCTTGTGGTGAGTCTAAGAATGGTTTGAAAAGCACCTTAATTTGGGAGACTTTTAAGGGTTAACCATCAAGACTCTTGTTTTAGTAAATGCCCAGGGAACACAATGTGACTATGTAGTACATGAGGTTGTATTTTCTTCCTATATATTATTTTTCTTGTGTAGTGATGATGGTTGGCATCTCTCTTGTCATAATATTAGTTTCATTCCTTCACTGAGATGCTGCGCCAAAGCCCTTATAGGACTCTGCAGATCACTTGGCTTCTTCTACTATTTACTTTTAAAATAACAATCACATCCCATGAAATTCCTTTGTCCCACACCAGCTATATTTCTGGTATGTTCCCTGACCATGATGATGGAGAAGCTTATCAGGATCACTCCCAATGTCAATTAATGATGTTTTAAAAAATGACATTGGGAGTGAAGTGAAGAAAGCAAACCATTCTCTAATCTTGGCAGAAATGTCAGGGATTGAGCTTTGCCGTTCAGAGACTCTGCATGGTCCAGCAGCCGAGGGAAATAAGCTCTCACCCATGAGTGAAGCCTGTGATTCACTGCCTAGGCCTGTAAATAGATATGTTATGAGCCAGAAACACTGGGCCTGGGGCTGCCACACTCTCTGCCTAAAAGATGGAGGAGTGGTGGAAAGGCTGTCAGGTGGGCACCAGGTTAGATCTCAGGACACCTGGTCCTAACCCTGTTTCTTTTTCATTTACCTGAAGAGTTACCCACATTCTTATAATTCTTGTTTCCTCACAGGTAAGATAAACAGAAGAGACTCTTCTACTCTGATATTCTTTGATTCTGTAACAGGCAGCTGGTTACACAATAGAAAGTGAAGTTTACATAAACTTGGACAGTAGAGATGCTGTTTCTTCTACACAGTGCATGTGAAAGGATGCATCACACCCAAGGTACAATGAGGCCAATCATCACGCCAACCATCGGTGTAAAAAAGATGAATTTGGGATGCCAAGGACAACATCTACCTGGAGTATTCCGTTTTTATGGCATGAATGGAAGAAAACCACAATAATTGGTCCCCATACTAAGTCATGCTCAAAGAAGGCAGAAGTGCATATATTTTGCCGGGGCTATGTTCACACCTATGCCATATGCTACCTTGGTGTTCATCAGGTGAGATTTATTCTGGTGCAGGATTTCTCCACTTCAGCACGCCTGACATTTAGATGAGATAATTCCTTGTTACAGGGTAGGGTAAAGGCTGTTCCACGCCTTGTAGGGTATTCAGCAGCATCCCTGGCTTCTACTCACCAGATGCCAGCAGAAGCCCCCACTTAGCTGTAATAAATGTATCTCCAGACATTGCCAAAAGTCTCCTGGTGGGGGGCTAAATAAACCCAGGCAAGAATCACTGGCGTAGTGGGATACTATCTTACGAAAGGACTACCCACACCTAAGTCATAAAGCACAGTGATAAGAAATGTCACCCTTCCTGGAATTTAAAAGAGAGTCACCACATTTAGATTACGAAGGTCAACAGACATTTGGGTGCCTATGCAACTAGACCTTGTGAAGATTTAGGAAAAGAAAAAAAGACTTTCAGATTACTGCTGTTTTTTTTTTTTTTTTCCCATGACATTACTATTCTTCCAGCATCTAATGTGGAAAGAGAAGTGAAGTCTTTTATTGGACTCATATGAGGATGGTTTGGCTATGGAGATATGGGCAGGCTACTCGCTCGTTCACATGTTTACAGTGGGAAGTGCCTCCTGTCCTCGAGGCCATGCCTAGAGTAAATATTGCCCATGTAGCTGGTTCATGATGGTGTTGGGTGGCATAGACTGCTGTCTAATCATGCTCCTTGAATAGGACAAAGGCCCACTCAGTAGGCTTGAACTCACATACATACATTACTTGTAATGGAAGAGGGTAATCATGAAAAGCAAACTACTTATTGCAACGATATTGCCATTGTTTAAATGTCACTTGGAGTTTGAAACCAATAGAACCAGATTGTGAGCCAATCAATAAAGCCCAGGGTCCTGTATGCTCATGGATGAGGAACTAAAAAATACACAGATTCCCTAGAATTGTGCACAAGTGATTTTTGAAAGTTTGCATATTTTTGTTTTCTCAGAGGATGAGGGTTTTCTCTGATGAATAATTTTAAAAGAAAATATACCAAAATCTCTGGAGATAATTTCAGAAATATTCCAAAGTATTTTGAGCGATGGCAGCTTTGTGGAATGTGATGTATCCTTTTGAGAAAAAGACCTATTTGTTGAGTTTGGCACATATCAGTGTATTTCTTAAATGGATCAATCTAATTACTAGTTTCTCACATATACCAAGGTGCTCAGCTCCCACCTCCACCCCAACAACCCAAGTTCTTAACTATCAATCCTCAAAGAGGTGGTGAGTAGTTAAGAAGACCCACTGTTTCCATTTTTAGCCAAGTCTACACTGTCCCTTCTCAGATTACATTTTCAACTGAGCCCTTAAAACTAGCCTGAAAGGGTAAAACAAACGAACACCTTTCTATATAAAGAAAACAATCTCAATAATGTCTCTTCAGATGAGAGAGTTGCTGAAGTTTGAGCACCTTGGAGAAGGAACTGCAAAATGCCAGCAAAAGTGGAAGCTACAGGTTTGAGGGCGAAGGCACCCACCAAAGGCAATAACAGGCAGTGCTTAGAATTCGGCATTGCCCTTGGAAACATTTACATGCTTAAAAATATAAATATAAAAGATCGAGGGTGTGGAGGGAGATAAGAAGGAAAACAGAAGAAGAATGAAAGAACTGTTCCATTCCTGGCCACCATTAATACCACCAAATTAAAATAAATCCCAAATGAATAGGACGAACAGTATTGAGGCAAACACTGAATTCCAGCAGGGACCAGGCCTGTGTTGTAAAAACAGGACCATGTGCTTTAGGAGGAATGCTGTGTGCTCAGCCTTGTTTATAACACGGCAAAGGATTCAAGAATGGAATCTGTTCCTCTTGACAAAAAAAAAAAAAAAATGGTTCTTCTCAACCCTTGCCCTCCACCATCTTCCACTCTTTGCCCTTTTCAGATCGCAGATCTGAAAGCTGGGGTTCTAGGGTGAATTTTTGAAATGCTCTGTTTTGGCCTGTTTTCATCAGCATAGCTAGAAGGTGGAGAGGGATGGGTGGCAGGGCAGGGAGCCAGGGAACTGAACTGTGGGGGAGAAGGCTTTGTTTTTTTCAAAGAGAGATCAATGTACGGAAGCGAAGCTTTTCTGAAGGAGCTTTCCAGACTTTTCGGATCTGTGGTATTTTCAGGCAGGTTATTATTATGATTATTATTTTGGTGGGGGAGCCTTGGATAATGCATGAGATCTGGAGATTCAAAAAGGAACAGCTCCCTCTCACTCTGTGGGATAAAATCCCACCCTGACTTTATTCTGTCTTAAGTAAGTTTCCTGAGGATCCTTTAGTCTCAGTATGAGTTAACCGAGCATGAAGGTAGTGCAGTGGAAAAAGCATGGATTTAGGGGTCTAAGGTCTTTTCTACCTCTTCCTGGTTGTGGCATCTTGGTATGTTACCTGTCCCTGCAAAGCAAAAAGGAGAAGGGTAATATCTTCATTGCAGGAGTTTTGCAAGGCTCAAATTAGAACACATCTATAAAGTAATGAGCAGCAGGCCCAGCACAAATGGTACAAGAGAAATGGTAGGGTCCTTCCTGCTGCTCCTCCTCAAAGATGGGCCTTTTCTACAGTATCCCTAATATTGGAAGTTTAAGTTCTGCCTGAACACAGGCAGAGATGAACAGCTCCCCACCTCTTCGGGCAGCCTACTCTGTATAGGTAGCTCTACTTGTTGTTAAGCTCTTACTGGGAGTCAGTATTGGCTTTCCTCTATTTTCTACTGACATAGAATACTGTCATTTAACTGCAACAACACAAACAACTAACATTTATTGTGCATTTACTTTGTATACTGGCCTAAGAGCTTTTCAGGCATTATAGAATTTAATCCTTACAATACTCAATAAAGTAGGAGTTAATATTGCCCTCATTTTACAGATGGGGAAACAGGCTTTGAGTGGTGACAAGACTTACCAAAAATGTCTTACTCAACAAGTGGAAGAGCTGAGACTTGAACCCAAGTCACTGTCAGTCCCAATTCATGCTGCAATTCCAGACTACACTGCTGTCCTTGGTAGGGCAAGCATTTAGTGTGTTGGATTCGGAGGAGTTATTCAGCAAATGGAGAATGAATGAATGAATGAATGAATGAGCAAATGGATGAATGAATGAATGACCATATCACACATACTAAGGAATCATTCTATTTGCAAAGTAGTCAGGACCTGGGCTGTTTCAACCTCTATTTTGTTGGGGTCCCACTTTCAATACATCCTGTCCTCATCTTTATTGCTTAGGCTGTCTTCGTAACTCAGTACTGCTTTTAAGGCGACAAAAATGTAAAGCATGCACTCTGTCTAGTACAGAGCTTCCTAGGAGTGTGTGTGTGTGTGTGTGTGTGTGTGTGTGTTGTGTGCATTCCCGTTGATGTATGGCTCTAGTCACACAGATTTTTAGCAGCATCTTATTTACTGTTTAAGGTTTTCATCATATTCCCTTACAACTTCTCTGCTTTCTCTTCCATTTTTTCCAATGAAAAAATTATAAGCTGAAAAGCTATGGAATTTTGGGAGGCTTCCTTATCAAGCCTAAAATATACATGTATATTTTTTATTTTAAGAGTATATTTAGCACAATTTAGACAGACACATTTTCAACAGATTTGGTGGTGGTGATGGAGGAGTGGGGCTTTGCAATGATCCACAGACCTCTAACTGCAGTCTCCAACCTCCCCCTACACTTACCATGCCCTGTTTCCAGGCAGGAACATGTTCAGAAGACCTCAGGGCAATACATGGGCTGCCCAACATCCTGGCTGCTCACTATAGCCCCTGTTCTGTCCTTGGGCCTAGCTCTCACACCTGGGCTCTTGCTTTTTCCTTGTGACCCTACCTCTGCCTAATGACTTGATTCTACTAACATCAGTGTGTTTTTGTCTATCCAAGTTCAAATGTCTTAGTGCCTAATAACCAAGACCAGCCTCCTCTTTCACCCTCTACTAAGGATAGGTGTCTTGGCTCAAAAGCCCAGTCTAGACAACTTTATGCCAAATCATATCCCTCTTAAACATCACCTGATTTCCTTTGTTGGCATTCATGCCAATGAGGAGGTTAGAGTGCACTGCTACTAGGACAGGCTGGTGTGCCAACAGTTCACTGTCATATAACGTAACATTGGACTACAGATGAGAAAATTTTGGAAAGAATAATCTGTGGTTAAAACAAGAAAGACACATGATTTTTGTGTTTTGCTTATTCTCTTTCTTTTGATTAAACATCTTAATTCGGCTGTATTTAATTTCACTATGATCAGTCACGAGCTCTCTTAGACTGTAAACTACTGGTGGCAGGGCATAACTATTATCTTATTAGTTTCATTGTCAATTATCCAGCATTACATGATTCAGAATTACATCCTTAAAAATAATTACGTGTGCTGTTGGGGGCTGTACATACACAGAAAAATTGAATCAACTGGTATGAAATGGATTCACCAGGTTTAGCTGACTTTAGCAATGCAGACAACATGATATCTATTACTTTCCTGTTTTGCTATGAGCATTAGTAAGAAGGGTCGTTGCGAGTTATCTCTGAGGTGGTTCTGACTTTGTATCTTATTGTGCCTATGTGGACAAAGCACCAACTTCATGATCTATGCCAGTGACATGGATGTACTCTGAACATATCCCAGAGTTTTTTCTTCAGGTATCACTCAGTAGACAAGGTTAAGACCACAGACTTTTCACCTTCCCATCACGCACACTGCATAATATATAAAATGTTAAGAACAAAACAGGAGTGATTAAAATGAGATTTTTCTACTTTCAAAGGGTCATTCTTATGCTGGGTTCTGGAGGCTCTTCAATGCTTAACTGTCAAAAAATCATAACTTCCTGGAAACTTTTTTTTCGCATCCTGGGTCAGCCACTATAGGGCTGAAAAGGAATGTGACACATGAGGACTTCAGATTCTAAATAACTAATAACCTGACTAGGGAGACCAGACTATTACCCCTAAGGTTATCATCCGATAACTTGGAATCACACATACGTGAGTCTCATAGTGGTAACCAGAGCACCAGGAGTAAAAGAAAAAAAAAATTCTGTGAGCTCAGACAGTAGGACCTGCTTTACAGAAGAATGAGGCATTAGTTGAGGCCAGAAGGATGATCAGGATTGTTTTCTGTTGTTACATAAGAACCAGACGGTTCTACATCCAAATAAATAAAGTTAACATTAGTAGCTTAAGACATCAGTAGCTCTGATTCCACTGGGTGTCTAGAAAGCTCTGTCCATGTCTTTTTGCTCATCAAGCCATCAAACCTGACATGTCAAAATGGTAGAGTAACAAGTGTTTTCTGTTAGGGCTATTTTAGAACTGTTTCTCATAAAACAGCAGTGAATAATATTGTTTATGGAGTTCTAGTACTGTAGGTGGGTACACCATAAACCAACATCCCTGTGGATTTACTTCCCCGTATCCAACCTTCCCCAACATCATCCTGAGTGCTTAACTTCAGACTGCTCCACAGCACAGACAGGAGGGCAGAAGACACATTGGTGGGTGAGCATATTTCTACTGCATCTTCCAATTGCGGCCTAGAGCGCTATCTACAGATCTAGCTGTATATGAAAAAGGAACGGCAGTCGTTGAGATCAGCGCTGGAAGCTGTGAATACAGCCAATATGTCTACTGAACGGTACATATGTTTGACTAGAAACAGACACATGGGTTTATGTGTATACAATTTTATTCTGTGCAGGGCAAGTGAAATCTCCGGGGTCTTTAATGCTCACCACTCAACCTTGAAGAGAAAAGCTCTGTAACTGGCCCAAGGTTGGGCAGAGGTCGCCACAGAGTCAAGTATGGGGCAAGTGCCTGGTGTGAGGAGAGATACCCCGGAAACGGGGCTACCACCCCACTCAGGTGTTTTCCATACACAACTGTGACAGCTAGAAATGCTCCTGTCAAGGGTTAGCTTGGCCCTGGATTCCATGTTGTCCTCTCTGCCCCGAACCATCATTGTATTATAACAAGAACTTTCTCACCACAGTACCCACCCACTACTGGCCTGGCTTATTAAAAGCCCCAAAGAACTGTAACGGTCCCAATCTCCCTTCTCTTTAACTAGAACAGGGGCTGCTAAACGGCCTCTCACTGCCTTTTGCGTGTGGTGCTAATTAACATGATCCAAGTTACAATATGTGCTAAAGATTCCAGTTTTGTTACTTATTTAATGAGCTTCGTGGGATTTGAACATGAGGCTCAAAGTAGCAGGGGAAACCTCATAATTAGTTTCAATTACAAGAAGTTCCTACGCATTAAGACTATTTGATGAACTGCAAAGGGAAGGAACTACCGACCAGATACAAATCACTAATTTTGTTTCATTTATTATTATACTTATTTTCTTCCTAATTAGTGCTGATTGGCTTATGATCCTAATTAATGCAAAGGAATTTGGAATGGTATACAATGGTATGGCTTAGAAGATGCCAGCATGTACAACTGCTAAATTATTGCTAATTGTTATTTACATGAGGCCTGGAAGACTAAGTAATGCAATGCCTAATTAGCATTAAAGATATGGTATCCATTTCCAATTTACACTAATGCAATGGAGATCAAATCATTAGTCTAAAAACCTCGATCTTTAGATCTCAAGAATTGCTCCATTGTATAGTGACCTCTACCTAAGGGGAAACTGTTTTGTCTTCAGTTGCATCTTGCCAGGGCTTGGCTAGAACTTTGCAGAAAAGTTACACAGGAATACTCAGCATAACACTGGCAATGGGCTGCAGTATTTAAGGATTAGAGCTGGGAGCCACCTGGCAAATAGGCCAAGCATAAGGCCTGGGTTTCTTCCAATGCTGGAAGGTGTGTGTGCTTGCTGGAGAGTGCAGTCCCGAGATGGCAGGTTTCTGGGAAGGCCTAAGGCCATCCTGACATCATGGTCCCTATGAGTGATATCTACAGAGGACTAGGGAGGCCTATTTTGAAGGGCTGGTGGCTCAGCTAGTATCATAGGGGCAGATGCTGTCAGCCTGATGGGGGATGCAGTGACACAAAGAACAAAGAGATGCTCCTGGAACTGGGAGACCTACACTTCAACTCTCTTAGTCCAAAACTCTCCCAAGATGTTCTCCTCATCCCTGATTACGCCACCTGTGTTATGGCAAGTGTTTCCCCTCTTTCTCATCTGATCTTCCCTAGTCAATAAAGAGTCTTGAAGGAAACACTCTGGGATACTCCCGTCAGCTGAGACCTGCCTGTACCCATCTCACTGCTTTTTGCACAGGAGTGTCCATTATTTTGCCTTTTTCCTACCCTTTTTCTTCCACTAGCCTCATATCTTTTCCTTCTTTCCCTTTGTCTTCTCCCTTGCCTCTGCCTTAATCCAGTGCTCTGTGGGCTGGAAAAGAAGAGTATAGGAGTAGCAGCCCAAAGATCTGCCTGACTTGATGTTACAAGACTCATTTCACCTCTCAGGACTTGAGGTTCTCCATCTTGTAAAATGGAAATGCTAGTACCTACTGCTCTATCCCTTTCCCCCAGAGTATGTGGAAGCACAAATGGGATAACATATGGGAAAGCCCTTTGGAAATCAGAAAGTTCGATATGAATGGGGAGGATTCTGAGAGTCAGTTTAGCAGTTTCATCTTCATGGGTAGTTTTTCAGTGCCTGACAGAGTTAAAATCCAGTCTGTAAATACTTCCTCTTTCACTGTCAGGCCTACACGTGGACAGAGAAGCACTCCTAGAGGTGACTCCACAGAGCTGAATGGAGGCAAGGAGAGAAAGCTGGCTCTGCCCAGATGCCTGAACTCCACCCCACAAGTTCCTCTTCTCCTAAGTACCTTGTAGATGGAGAGCCTTGCTGTATTGACAATCTGGCCCCGGGTGAGCAGGCTCTAGTCTCTGTAATTCTCTGAGACATTCTTTGGAGAAGACTTTTCATGTGCCCAGCAAATATTGCTCCTGGCTATCAGACTTCATTGAAACATGTATTCTCTGCAGCCTCATAAGTATTTTATACTTTTTGAGAGAGAAGAAGAGAAAAGAGGGAGGGAGAGAGGAAGAAACAAGAACAGTAGCTACTTGATGTTCAATAGACATAAACCCTGTATTGGGTTTTTGGGGTAGCTTCATTTGAATTTCACTGTGGACCTGTTGAAATTTGATTTCTCAAAGTTGGTAAAAACATTTTCCTAAAAAATATCAGTTCAAATCATTTGGTAAGTGTTATGGCCTATATGTGGACCATAAAATTCAGATGTTGGAAACAAGCCCCATTGTAACGGTGTTGGGAGATGGGGCCTAATGGGAAGTGTTTAGGGCCCTGCCCTCATGAATGGATTAATGCTGCTATATAATACAACAAGCGCTCTTGGGAGTTGGTTTGCTTTCTTCTGCTATTCTGTCCTGTGAGGAGACAGTGTTCATCTTTGTTTTTTACCTTCCACCATGTGAGGATGCACCAAGAAGGTCCTTGGCAGACACTGATCCCAGCATCTTGATTTTGGACTTCCCAGCCTCCAGAACCATGATAAATAAATTTCTGTTCTTTACGAATTACTAGCAGCATAAATGGATGAATACAGAAATGTTAAATTATCTATGTACATTTTATACACACACACACACACACACACACACACACACACACACACACACAAAAGCCTGGACATGTACATTTTAAAAATGTGGTCTTCATATTAAGTCTGCATATTCACATTTAAAATGTACATTAAAAATGTAAATAATGACTGGGCGCAGTGGCTCACGCCTATAATCCCAGCACTTAGGGAGGCCGAGGTGGGCAGATCACGAAGTCAGGAGATCAAGACCGTCCTGGCTAACACTGTGAAACCCTGTCTCTACTAAAAATACAAAAAATTAGTCGGGCATGGTGGCAGGTGCCTGTAGTCCCAGCTACTCGGGAGGCTGAGGCAGGAGAATGGCGTGAACCCAGGAGGCGGAGCTTGCAGTGAGCCAAGATCGCGCCACTGCACTCCAGCCTGGGCAACAGAGCAAGACTCCATCTCAAAAAAAAAAAAAAAAAAAAAAAAGTAAATAACATGGTCAGTTGTCTACTGCCACTCAGCTTAAGACACATTATATTGCCAATACCTTTGACACTCACATGTGTGTTACTCCCAACATGCAAGAGGTGCCTTTGGGTAAACTTAAGAAAAGTACCTTTTTCTTCCTTGTGAGGTGAATTCCCACACCTGGGCAAAAGGCTTGGGAGTATCTTGAAGGGCTGATATTTAGCTCTAATTACTCCCTTGGCTGGAAATCCTTGTGCAATATACAACCATACATGGCAACCCTGCCCAACCTCCTTTCTTTGCAGTTTTATCATACATATGGATCCCTGAATAGTATGTTTTTTCATATTTTTGAATTTTGTAGATATTGGGCCATGTATTCTCTTGCTCAACATGCTATTTCTAAGATTCAGCTGATATGTGTAGATGTGACTCATTCATTTTCTTGGATAACAATCTTCTTTTGTATGGATATTCCACCATGTACATATCTACATTATTGTCAATGGGCAACCAAGTTGTGTCCAGTGTTCAGCTATCACAAAAAAAATTTTCCCTATGAGCACATTGGTATTTATCTTCTACACATGTGGGCAAGAGTTTTGTGAGAACAGACATGGAGGAATGAAACTGTTGGGTAAGATGTGGGAAATGTGTATCTTTAATTTTACTATATAATGCCAAATTGTTTTTCAAAATTTTTGTGTCAACTGGTATTCCTCCTAGCAGAATAAAAAGGAATTATCATTAATCCCATAATTCTTTAATCCTTAGTATTCACAGATTTCCATTTTTGCCAGTGTGGGTGATTGTGGCTTTAATTTGGATTTTCCTGATTGTAATTTTCCTGGATTACAAGAGTAATCCTATAATCTGATTATAATTTTCCTGGAATAGAATCAGGAAAATTACTGAACTTTTTTTTGTGTGTGTTCTCTCATCTAAAATACCTTTTCATTTTTTTTACCCAGGTTTTTTATGTAAAAAAGTAAGGTTGAAAGTCTTTTCTTTATTAAACTCTAGCAGTTCTTTAAATATTCCAAATTCTCCTTTTTTGGTAATATAAAATGCAAATATTTTCACAGTTGATAGGCTATCATTATCTTTTTTATGTCTTTTGATAAACGAGTTTCATTAAGATAGTCAGATTTATTAATTTGTGTGATTTGCCTTTTTGTCTTAAGAATACTTTCCTATTCTGGGGCCATAAAGTGTTGCTCTATATTTTCTAAAAGGACAAAGTTTCAACTATCACAGTTAATAATGTAATCCATCTAAAAGTGGGTTTTGTATATTTTAATATGTGGTAGGGTAAGTCCTCCGCCTTTTCTTCTTCTTTAAGAGATCTTAGTTATTCCTATAACTTTCATGTAGGCTTTTTATATTGAGTATAGAATTATCTTACAATGTTCCAAATCTGCTTGTTGAAATTTTGACTGGAATTTCATTAAAATCTATAGATAAATTTGAGGAAAATTGATACTTTCATAATGCATCTTTCTATTCATCAACATATTTTTCTCAATTGTATTTTTTAATAAACTTCAATAAGACTCATTTTTAAAAATGAAATCCTATATGTATTTTGTTAGATGTATTTCTAGGTATCGTATTACTTTTTGTTCTTTCAAGTATTCATTTCTATACATCAGCAATAAGTAGAAAAATATATCAAAAGGATTTTCTGTATTTAATCACTTTTAGTCTTATACTTTTATTAATTTTGATAACTTGTTTATATATTATTTCTGGATGTCATTGTAGTCATATCATAAGAAAATAATCAGAGTTTTATTTTTACTTTTCCAAACCTTTTATTTTTAATTTGTTTTACTTTCCTTAGCTTACTGGCTGAGACCTGTAATGTAACTTTGAATAGATGTGAGAACATTGGGCCTCTTTGCCTTGTTTCTGATAGTAAAGAGAAGGCTTTTAATGTCTCATTGTTAGGTTTGGTGCCTACTGCAGAGTTTTTTCTTGATATCTCTTATTAGGATAAAGAAGTTTATTTTTATTCTTCGTTTGCTGAGAACCTTTGTCATAAATGAACGTTGGCTGTTAGTGAATGACTTCTGCATCAATTGACATAATCATTTGTCTTTTTTTCCTTTGTTCTGTTAATATGGGGAATTGTATTTATCTATTTTCTAATGTTAGATCAAAATTGCATTCCTGAGGTAAATCATAGTTGAAATGTATCATCTTTAAAATATATTTCTAGATTACGTTTGTTTTTATTTTGTCTGGAATTTTTATATCTATCTTTATAGGTACACTTGGCCCACTATTATTTCTTTTTTCTCATTCTGTGTTTGAGAGTGATCAATGTTCCATCCTGAGAAAGTTCTTTCTTCTATAATCTAAGCAAGTTTGTGTAATAATGGAATTCTTGGCAGAACTAACTGTAAAACGTTTGGACCATTTTTATTTAAACGATTTTTAAACTATTGATTCTATTTATTTAATGATTAAAGGGAAATGTGGGTTTTCTATTTCTCCTTGAATTGATATTTTTAAGTTATATTCTTTTCCCAAGCTATGTCTGTGCCATGTAAGTGTTCAAATATGTTGACATACAGTTGTTCCTAATACATTAGTCTTTTCATCTCAATTGCATTTGCAATTACATACTTTCCATAATACTTTTTCTTTTTACTTCTCTCCCTAATATTTTTCTTTGCATTCTATCCTTCCCCTTGCTCCTCAACTATTATTGCCATAATTTTATCAGTCTTGATCTTAATCATAATTTTAATCTTGATCATAATTTTTTATCACTTGATCTTAGCCAAAAGGCTGAGAAGCAATTTTTTAAAAATCAATCAGTCTTTAAAAAAAATGTCGGCTTTATTGATCCTCTCTACAGCACCTGTTTTGCATTTTACTGATTTGTTTTTATCTTTATACATTCCTTTCTTCTACTTTTTTTGAGTATATTCATTTAATAAACAATTTCCAATTTCTTAAGTCATATGGTAAGCCTTTCTTGTTTTAGCCTTTCTTATTTCCTAATGTAAATCTTTAAACTTCTAAATTTCTCTCCAAGAATCAACCTAGCTGCAGCCTGCATGTTTTGACATGTTGTGTTTTCACTATTATTCAGTTCTAAATTTTTTGACCCATGAATTAAATATAAGTGTTTTCTAACTTCCAATGATTTGGGGCTTTTAATGTTATCTTTTGATTACCGGGTTTAATCTAATTGTCTTTTGTTAGAGAATACAATCTCTATGACATTGACTCTTTGAAATTTGTTAGGCATGCTCTATAGCCCAGTATGTCATCAATTTTTATTATTGTTCTACATGTGCTTTGTTGTATTTTCTATTAGTTGGATGTAGCACTTATGCGTGTTTATTACAATTAGATTTGGAAATTGCTTTTCTTTGATTTGTTATATTCTTACTCATCTATGTTTTGTTTGTTTGATCCATTACTGAGAAAGATTTGTTAAAATGTTCCATTCGAAGATCAAGTTTGTGAATTTCTCCTTTGTCATCTTTACTTTATATAGTTGTAAACTATGTTATTATGCACATATAAGTAGAAATTTTAAAATATTCTTGGTTTTAACTGAACATTCTATCATTTCAGCTGTGCTATGACCCTTTTTATAGTCAATAACTTTGTTTTAAGGAAAAAGACATTAAAGACTATTTTGGATGGTATTTATATAAGTATACAAACTTTCTATTCCTATTTATCTATTTTCATACCTTTTCAGTCATATATTTCCATATATTTTAGGTATATGTTTTACAACAAGCATATTTCTAGATTATAAATTTGAAGATCCAATCTGGCCTTTTTAAAGCTTTTATGTTTACTGTTATTATTATTTTATTTCATGATTTATATTGTCCAATTTTCCGTTTCTTGTTTCTTCCTTTTTTTTTTTTTTTTTTTTTTGTGAGATGCAGTCTCGCTCTGTCACTCAGGCTGGAGTGCAGTGGCGCAACCTTGGTTTACTGCAACTTCCACCTCCTGGGTTCAAGCAATTCTCTCGCCTTAGTCTCCTGAGTAGCTGGGACTACAAGGCACGTGCTACCACTCTCAGCTAATTTTTGCATTTTTAGTAGAGACACGGTTTCACTATGTTGGTTTCAAATTCCTGACCTCAGGTGATCCGCCTGCCTTGGCCTCCCAAAGTGCTGGGATTACAGGCGTGAGCCACCACTCCCATCCCGTTTCTTCTTTTTTGGTTTCTTTTTTTTTTTTTTTTTTTTCTCTCTCTCTGATGGTTTGTAAGTTATACCTTTAGTTCTATCTGTTTAGTGGCTAACTTAGATATTATAGAACCCAAATTTAATGTAACAACATGGAAAGTTAATACCTTTACACTTTTCTAAAACAATAAGGCAACTTTTGAATATTTTAACCTGATTACTCCTATTTACATTATTATTTAGTACTTCTATGCTATTCCTAGTATTACAAATTGAACATTATTTTTAGTGTTTTGTTTTGTAGAGCCAACGTGTGTGTGGGGGGGTCTGTGTGTGTGTGTATGTTTTTTTTTGGTTTGTTTGTTTTTTGTTTGTTTGTTTGTTTGTTTGTTTTTTGAGACAAGGTCTTTCTCTGTTGCCCAGGCAGGAGTGCAGTGACATGATTATAACTCACTGCAACCTTGAAATTCTGAGCTCCAGCAATCCTACCACCTCAGCCTCCTGAGTAGCTGGGACTACAGGCATGCACAACCATGCCTAGCTAATCTTTTATTTTTGTAAAGACAGGGTCTGATTATGTTGCCCAGGCTGGTCTTAAACTCCTGGCCTCAACTGATTCTCCCACCTTGCCATCCTAAAGTGCTGGGATTTCAGGCATGAGCTCCTGCCCCTGGCCAATGTTCAAATATTTAAATATAAGTTTATCCACATTTTTTTCTATTATTTTTGTTCACTATACCTTCTCACATCTCCAACCTTCTTTCTCGAAAATATTTTGTCTTTCTGCAGTATACGCTTGGGAAAACTCTCTTTAGGTGGAGTCTTTTGGTAGAAAATACTCTCAGTTTTGTTAGACTTAAAACATTATTCTTGCGTTTGAAAGATGATATTGCTCTGGATGTTTCTCTGGCTTCACAAGTTATTTTTCTTTATATACTTTGAAGATAGTTTTTAACCATATACTAGATTTCATTGTTACTGTTGAGATGTTGGCTAAAAACCTAATGATTGTTTGTTTTGATGGTTATCTATCTTTTCCTCCTGGCTTTTGTTTGATTACAGTGTGTCCACTTAGATAAATTTTTTTTTTTTTTTTTTTTTTTTTTTTTTTTTTTTTTTGAGACGGAGTCTCGCTCTGTCGCCCAGGCTGGAGTGCAGTGGCGGGATCTCGGCTCACTGCAAGCTCCGCCTCCCGGGTTCACGCCATTCTCCTGCCTCAGCCTCCCAAGTAGCTGGGACTACAGGGGCCCGCCACTATGCCCGGCTAATTTTTTGTATTTTTAGTAGAGACGGGGTTTCACCGTTTTAGCCGGGATGGTCTCGATCTCCTGACCTCGTGATCCGCCCGCCTCGGCAGATAATTTTTTTTTAATCCTGTTTGGAATTTCTTGGGCTTTCAGCTTCTGAGGATTGATGGCTTTCATCAATTCTAGAAATTCTTAAGGATTACATATTCAAATATCCTTTTCACTCTATTCCTTTTACTATCTCTTTTCTGGAGCGTCAATAAAATGTATGAAAAATCTGTTTTTTAACTTATGATTCTCTTAACCTTTGTTTCTACTGTTTTCTGTCTATATTACATATAATTTCTTTGGATCTATCTTCCAGTTCAGCAAATCTCTCTTTAGCTATTCCTAATTTGCTACATCATCCATCATTGTGTTTCTAATTTAAATTATTATGTATTTCATTTTTAGACTTTCTATTTGGGCAGTTTTCAAATCTACCTTGCCATATTTCATAATCTGTTGTACTTATTCTTTTGATGTTCTTCTTTACTTTTTAAAACATATTGAGCTTACTTATCTTGTAGTTGAGGGGATTCATATTTTTCCAGATATAGTGGGTCTAATTTTACTCCTTGTTGCTTCTGCTGAGTCTTATAAAAACTTGTTTCCTCATGTATTTTGCATTATCATATTTTATCATGATTTATGTTTTTGGCATTTCTTCTATGAGAACTATTTGAGTCATGGTTACTAAGTGCATTTTTCCAGAGATAATATGCACTTCCACTTGTTAGGTGCCTAAGGGTTCCACCAAACCAGGAGAATTTTAAACTAAAATTTTCATTTGGTCATTTGTAGTCACAAAGCAAGTACCTATTTTGACCCTGCTCCCCTGACCCCCTATTCATATGAGAACTGTCTTGAGATTAAGATTTCTCAGAGGTTACTGGCCCCTGCAACTATAGTGAAGACTATGATGGGCTATATGCTATTTCAGTCTTTTACTGAGGGTTTTGCCTTATAAAATACACTCTTTGAAAGGAATTTTTGGTCATACATCCTAGATTCCATGGGAATTACATTTGTTTTCTCTTCCCTATAAGCAACCAAATAAACCAAACAGTCTGAACATCCAGAAATAGGCAGATAGCTGCAGAAAAAGCCCATCAACTTTAAGGCTAGCTACCTCTTTGTATTAGAGGTTTCTTGTCAATTTTAGCATCTCAGAACCTGTACCCACATTTCTAACCTGAAAATACGTGTAAACAGATATCTTACACCTCATTCAGCTTTTAAACATTTTATATCAGAAAGGTTTTGAAGTATTTCTTGCCTGCTGTATCTTGTAAACAGAAACCTTTTATATTATTTTAATCCCAACGTCAATACACAATGACCCACTGACTTTTCTCCTTCTCCATTATCATCACTTATTTGTTCTTAGCCTTATTCAGGCAACCTGAAATTCAACTAATTAACTAGAGATGCTATATAATAATGTACAGTGTCTACTGAAAAGTCATTTTTAGCTTAGTTTTGTAAATATATCCTATGATGTGAATTTTATGCCGCTTTTCAAATCCTAGGTCGAAAGTTTTAAACATGATATTTGTGTCCCTTCTTTTCCAAATCGTATGAATGTGTATATATTTCTATTTTTTCTACAAAAGGGTGCATACTTTTCAGCAGATTCTAAAAGAACTATGTAGCTGTAACCTTTTAAAAAAAGGTTAAGAATTGCTTATCTTAGGAGAATATCAACAATTAAACAGGTTCACATTTATAGGAGAATTCTGGAAACTATGCCTGGGAAAAGGGAATGAAAAAATATCTCATGAGAAACAGTATATATAGCTGTATCTATATATGTCTGTCTATCTAACTGTAGATTGATCTATTTACATATAATCAAACACACATGGCCACACTCTCATACATACAGGCACATGCTGCTGTGCTACAACATAATAGTAAACAGGGTGAGAGACTAGGATTATTATCAATATTAAATTTGTTTTAATTATGTGTATTTTTCCACAGCAAGCTTAAAGATAATAAACTGCTTTATCTTCACGGAGAACCAAACCAATCATTGCTGAGAAACCTCTGACAGCGCTCCTATCTAAAATGGGTAATTCTAAACTAACATTACCCATCTTGACCTCCCGGCCAGACTTGGCTCCAAGTGATTTGGCTGTTTCCATAAATCACATCTTCCTTTCAAAGGCAAAGACATTTCAGATATTTAGAAGAATGTGGCAGGGCTTGAAAGAATTTCCAAGAGAGCTCCAAAGCATTTTGAGCAGAGGCAGCTGAACCAGAATCTGCATTGTCTAGTGATTGTTATTGATGGACAGGCAATAATCCTAATTGGGGGTTTGCGTACCACTGACTTCATGAGTCTCTGTGTTTTATGCTATCTTATTGCTGTCTGTCTCAAACATGTGTGACTAGAGAGTGGTCAGCAGGAAAACTCTGGGGGCTCTTCTGGAGAAGGAGCTTTAAATACAGTCATACATGGCATAACATTGTTTTGGTCAGTGACGGACCACATATATGTTAGTGGTCCCATAAAATTGTAGTGAAACTGAAAAACTCCTAAAATGCCTGGTGATGTTGTAAGCCACTACAATATCATAGAGGCTATTACACAATGCTTTATGCAAGTGTTTGTGGTGATGGTGGTATAAACAGATTTGTTGCACTGCTAGTCATGTGTAAGTTAGCACATAGGACTAGGTACGGTACATAATACTTAATAATGATAATAAACGACTATGTTACTGGTTTTAGTTACAATACAATACAATACAATACTATACTATACTATACTATACTATACTATACTATACTATACTAACTATTGTTATTTTAGAGTACACTCCTTCTACTTATAAAAAAAAGTTAACAGCCTCAGGCAGGTCCTTTAGGAGGCATTCCAGAATAAGCAAGGCATTGTTATTATAGGAGATGACAGTACCATACGTGTTATTGCCCCTGAAGACCTTCCAGTGGGACAAGCTATGGAGGTGGAAGTTGGTGATATTTATGATCTTGATGCTATGTAGGCCTAGGTGAATGTATCTGTTTGTGCCTCAGTTTTTAACCAAAAAGTTTAAAAGTAAAAAAAAAAAAAATCAAAATAAGAAAAGGCTTATAGAATAAGAATATAAGAAATATTTTGCACAACTGTAGAATGTGTTTTAATATAAGTATTACAAAAGTGAAAAAGTTAAAAACAACTTAACCTTATAAAGTAAAAAGTCACAGTAAGCCACATTTCATTTATTAATGAAGAAAGAAATTTTTTTATACATTTAGTGTAGAGCATTTATAAAATCTATAATAGTATATGGTAATGTCCTAGGCCTTCACAATCACTCACCACTCACTCACTGACTCACTCAGAGCAACTTCCAGTCCTATAATCTCCGTTCACAATAAGTGCGCTAGAGAGGCATACCATTATTTATCCTTGACACCGTATTTTTGCTGTACCTTTTCTATGTTTAGATACTCAAATGCTTACCATTGTGTTACAGTTATCTACAGTATTCAGTACTCTAACATGCTGGGCAGGTTTGTATCCTAGGAGCAAAAGGCTACACCATATAGCTTAGGTGTGTAGCAGGCTATCCTATCGAGGTTTGACTAAGTACACCATGATGTTCGCACTGGGATGGAGAGGTCTGGTTACGCACACCAGAAGAAGCAACATCATTTTGTAGTTGTTCCTTAGCTACTCTCTGCCATAATGTATATTTTTCTAACTCACTTTAAAACTAAAAATCTATAAATTGGTTGCTCTTTCCCTCTGGGAACAAGACTCTAGTGGAGTATTGAGTACTCTGGTTCTTGGCTCCAAATATTGTTTCTAAATCAAAAAGTCTTACATTAGCTTCCCCTGCAGGATCTCTGTGCCCTTCATTGTAAATCTGTGAGGAAATCATGGTACTTTTGGCAATGTAGCTGGCTAAAGGTTGAACAGTGAAAATGAACAATGGAGAATTCATAGCCCTAAAAGCAGATTACAAGTAATCCTGCAGATACTAAATGGTGGATTACAGAGTGATTACTGACAAATTGATAGACTGGTACCTAGACACTGTAAAAACTAAACAGTTGTACTGTAGATTTAAGTTAAGAACATTTAAAAGAAGAAAAAGAATCATTACTCAAGTAACTGTGCCCTTGCGTGAGATTCATATGAAATAAATAAGACTGTGCTCCTTGGTTGATTCCACAGCTTAAAATACTTCAACATTAATAAGTGTATTAAGCCCAAGCCAGAATTATTATTACTATTATATTATCACATGTACAGTTGTCTGGGCCACTTAAGACAGAGACAGAGGAATAGCATAGCTCCAGAGAAATAAAATCTGAACAAAACTAGACTCTGAACAAGTTACAAGTTATCTGAAAATGGAAACAATAGTACCTACTGCTTAGCTCTGAGGCACTGCCCATTTCTGGCAAATTAAGCAAGTAAACTTTTTTTTTTAAGACTTTCTTGTCAATTTTAGCATCTCAGAACCCCTACCCACATTTGTAACCTGAAAGCACATGTAGACAGATCTCTTACACCTCATTCAGTGTTTAAACATTTTATGTTCAAAAGGCGACAGTCTCTGTCGCCCAGTCTGGAGTGCAATGGCATGATCTCCGCTCACTGCAACCTCCGCCTCCTGGGTTCAAGTGATTCTCCTGCTTCAGCCTCCCGAGTAGCTGGGATTATAGGCGCACGCCACCACGACTGGCTAGTTTTTGTATTTTTAGTGGAGATAGGGTTTCACCATGTTGGCCGGGCTGGTCTCGAACTCCTGACCTCAGGTGATCTGCCCGCCTTGGCCTCCCAAAGTGCTGAGATTACAGATGTGAACCACTGCGTCCGGCCTAAGCATGTAAACTTTGAATTATGTAAACTTAAAATTCGTGCCTTCTCTGCAAATTAAGCATGTAAACTTTAAATCACTGCAAGGTACATTAGCAATGATAATAATTAGTAACATGATAACCAACCAACTCATAGTGCCTCTTACATGTCAGGCAACATGACAGAAAAATGCTTTAGAGGTGTGACCTCATTTAATCCACACCACATCCTGATGACATATAATAATAATGCCAACATCACTTCATCATTGTACATCATTCTGTAGTTATAGCATATATGGCAGGGGTCCCCAAACCCAAGGCCATGGACTGGTATGCTGTTAGGACCTGGGCTGGACAGCAAGAGTTAAGCGGCAGGTGCAGGAGGAGTGAGCATTACCGCCTGAGCTCCGCCTCCTGTCAGATCAACAGCAGCATTAGATTCTCATAGGAGCCTGAACCCTATTGTGAACTGCCCATGTGAGGGATCTAGCTTGCATATTCCTAATCAGAATCTAATGTCTGATGATCTGAGGTGGAACAGTTTCTTCCTGAAATTATCCTCCCTTCTCCGCACCCCACTCCCCTGCCCTGCCTGTCTGTGAAGAAATTGTCTTCCACAAAACCAGTCCCTAGCACTAAAAAAGTTGAGGACCACTGATACATGGTTTTTGTTTTTGTTTTTCCCAAGACGGAGTCTTGCTCTGTCTCCCAGGCTAGAGTGCAACCTCAGCTCACTGCAACCTCTGCCTCCCAGGTGCAAGCAATTCTCCTGCCTCAGCCTCCTGACTAGCTGGGATTACAGGCTCATGCAACCACGCCCGGCTAATTTTTGTATTTTTAGTAGAGACGGGGTTTCACCATGTTAGCCGGGGTGGTCTCGAACTCCTGACCTGTGATCCACCTGCCTCAGCCTCCCAAAGTGCTGGGATTACAGGCATGAGCCACTGCACCTGGCCTATATGGTATTTTGATTCTGTACCTTTTCTAAGATGGCCAGGTCAGGAACAACAATCTTTTGACAAATGCAAAATTGAAGTTGAGAAAAGGTGAGTCACTTGTTCAATGACAGACAGCAAACAGATATTTAGTCTCTGGGTTCTTCCCAAAGTTCCATACCATCACAGACCAAAGGAATGGAGTGGCAAGCAGGGGGTTATTTAACCAGGTGATGGGCTCATGGCTGTTGCCAAGCCTAGAAGAAAGCACTCAGCTGGCATGAGCTGATTACCATTTCTGGTGTTACTCAGCAAGAAAAATAAGGCCTGCTGCTGCAGCAGGAGGGACTGAAAATGAGACTTGAAAATCTGCTCCTACAAGAAGGGCAATGGGACAGTGGTTAGGAGTATGGGCTCTGGAATTGGGCTTGGGGCAAATCTTGGCTCTACTCCATGTGGGCTCTATGACCTTGGAAATCTACTTCTTCACTCCATGCCTCATGTCCCTGATTTGTATAATGGGGGTAAGAGTGTCCCTAGTTCTTAGAGCTGGTTGGTGGAAAAATAAAGTTATGCATACGAAACACTTAGAATAGCACCTAACATTTCACAAGCCCTCAAATTAATTATTATTGGAATGAACTTGACCATAACAGAAAATGCATCTGAAGGAGGCTACGTGTACCTGTTTTTCCCCAATCACGTTTTGATACGCACAAAATCTGTCTGCTTGAAGAAATGCCTCCAACTCTATGATTCTATAAACTAAAATGCTTCTGTTCATGTTCTCTCTCCTCTCATTTTTCAATGTTCATAATCATGATTTACTCAATTGGCCTGGCTTCCACTGAATAAGTTACCTACAAGGCCTGGTGGTCTGGAGGTTGAGGGTCCACAGGAAATATTAGACAGGGGTTTTCGGTGACTTCTCAGGGGGCCCACATACCATAATTGCAGTTATAGTCAGGGCTGAAGTTAAGCATCCCATGACCTTGTAAAGTCCCTTAATTGTTCTAGGCCTTGGTGTCACCATCTATAAAATCAGCATAGAAACACGGCTGCCCTCAGGCCAGGGACTGGGTTTAGCAGAGCAAACTAGTACTGAAACCCATGACTCCTCACTAAAGCTTGGAGTGTCCCCCATGATGTCATACTCACTTCCAAGCCTTTAAATGTAGAAGTCAAAAAGGGTTTTAAGATTAGCCTTCATAAACCAGCAGAAATTATATGACCCACTGGGAACAGAAATAAAATAAGAGGAAGCATCATATATTCTGCTGCAGAAGAAATACATAAATGATAGAGCTTTCAGTCTCTATATTTATCTATGTTGATGACTACTTCGCTTATCACTCACTAAATCTGTTATTTTACTTGTATGGATAAACTCAAAAAGCTATGCTCTTGCTTGATTGAATATGCTTTTCAACAACTCATGACAAACTCAGAAGAGGAGGGAAAAAAATGCAAGTCGAACCAGAGCCATAAATTTAAAAAGAGTTTAGGCAGGGAATACCCTAAATGATATAATAATCACAGAATCATCCAAATTAGATGTGGAAGCATGGAGCTCTGGCTCTGGCCCCCTGAGGCGACTGCTCCAGGAAGCCAAGGTGTGTGGATCTTCCAGCCGGCGGCCCCTGCCTCCCCAGCCCGGCACTCTGCCATATGCTTGCTTCCCAGGCTTTTTGCTTGTGCGCATTTCAATGATGCTACCATTTTCCTCACCCAATTTGTATATTTTACACCTGTATAGGATAATGTTATTGGAAGTGTCATTTATTCCAGAGCTGTGAAACCACAAATGGTGACTTACTCTACAGCAACTTCAGTTCACACAATCAAGCAATTGAGAGGCTTTTACTACCTTCAACTCCACCCCACCTTCCCCAAACTTTCGCTTTATGGGGTGTTTTTTTATGCTTCCTACAATAAGCTTGCTCTGAATATAAATGCACATTTCCAATGTATATGGCACTTTTGAACAGCGTGAATAGAAAATCTTGGAAAGATGCTACAGTGAAGCAACTGCAAACGTTAATACCCTGTTGTTTTTACTGCTAATTAGAAACAAAACACAAGTTCGACCTTATTGTAGGCTAATCAGCTATTAAAACTAAGGGCTTCTTAAAAAAAATCAAATCTGGTTGCCTTCTTTAGACATACGAAAAAGCGGGGGAAAAAGAAGCAACCAAAAGGGGGCACATGCTTTAAAATTCTTCCCTTATTCTTCTCTATGCCGATGTAGATTCACTGAGTGGTTCTGATGTAAAAGGTAAATGTGGGCAAGGCAGCCAGTAGTCTCAGGGCAAAGATGTGGCTGCCATAATAACCCCTGGATGCTCTTCTCTTGCAAAGTCCTGTTATTGTCAGAAAGATGAATTCTAAAACAACTCTATATTGTGCAATCTGCAGATTTTATTGACAAAGGTGTCAAGTCCCACAGAACTGAAAGTTGTTTCCCTTGTCATGAAATAAATAAGCAGGTTTGCTGGTGCTTCCAGCTTTATTCAGTTTGCTTAGATACAAGGTGACTGTAAGCATTGATTCCGTGTAAGACTGGATATAGATTTTTTAAGGGAGGTACATGTTCTGGGAGTTAGAGTCACCTCCTGAAGCCAACTGGCTCTGTAGCTTGGCTCAGGGATCCAAGGAGAGACAGAAAGAAACTGCTGGAACCTGAGAGATTACGGTGAGAGTCGGGGCAAGTGAGCTGGCTGCAGTTTTGGGCCTCTGCCTCAGGGATTCACAGGATGTTACGGCTGGAATTGAGGGCCTTGAAGATCACGCAGAATTATGTTTCTCAAACTTAAGGGTGCATCGGTTTTTAATAGATTATTGTTCTCCTGCTTCAGAGGTTCTCATTTAATAGGTCTGAGATAAGGCCTGAGAATTTGCATTTCAAACAAGTTCTCAAATGAGGCAGATGCTATTGGTCTGGGGACCACTTTAACTTTGGGAACCACTGATTTAATGCAATTCTTTCTTTTTACAGATGCATAAACTGAGGCCCAGGCAGAAGTACTGATCTGCGAAGGCCAAAACCAACAGCCTGTCCATGAGAGCTAGGTCTAGAAGACCCATATTTCTTGCTTTCAAACCTGGGCTCCTACTGCTTCCCTAGGACCATGCTTTGCAACCTCTTACCCTGCTACACATGACCATAACCTTAACCTAGAGCTGTGGAAACTGTTTCTGAAACTGGCAGCAGGGATGGGCTCTTGTCTTCCTGCTGGAGGCCTGCACCTTCTGTGCCTTCAGTGAAGGTGAGCAGCCCCAGTGCTTGAGAAAAAGGAAAAAGCCTTTCAAGGCTCCTCAACCTCCCTGCCTCTCCCTCCTCTGACAAAGTTTCCGTTTGTAAGAGACGGGAGAGGCACGGGAGGTCGGGGCTATTCAGAACTGAACTTGGTTGTATTATAAAGTAATGAGTTTCTAGAGACTAGATTTTTTTTTTTTTTAAAGCAGAAGAATGTGCGAATCAGAGAAACTACTTGGGGCTGGATGACCTCTAAGCTTTCCTCTAACTTTGAGATTCTACGATCTATGAAATTGGCTCTTATAATACATATTGTAGTAAAATTTCCTCATTTCCAACCCTACTAAACCATGGTTTGTGACAAGACGCAAGTTGTAATCAAATAATGCTGAGCCCTAAAAACAGTTTACTGTGCAAACTAGCTATTTCTAGTCTTATTTCAGCAATCAATTTATAAAATACATGTCCTGACACCACTATCAAAATATTCCCAGCTCACCCAATCACTCTACATCTTCTCAATCTGCTTCATTCTATACTCAGTACTTATCAATATCTGAGATCATATTATAGGCTCCTGGCTTTGCTTATTGTCCGGTTCCACAGAAACAAGAATAGAGAACAAAGCATCACTTCTCGTGGTCACTGCTCTAACCACGACATTCAGACAGTCTGGGCACACAGTGACACTGGATCAACATTTGCTGAGTTGACTCCAAAATTTCCATACCTCCAAATTTACATCCACATGGGTTTTCAAACACATGAACTTAGTTATTAAGAAGGAACTGCTTTTTGTAAATGTATTAAATGAGGAACATGAATGAAGAACCAAGACAGTCACATGTTTCTGCTCTGTGAGCCAATATGTGCAATAGATGGTGTTAAGAAAAAATAAGGAATATTCAATTGCATAGAGTGAGTTTTCTTGAGCCTTGACCATATTTCGTTTCTCTGAGAGCCTCCATATGTAAGAGTTATTTGTGATTTTTATATCAGTGTGGACCATTGGTTAGCACTTAGTTCTGGAATACTTTCTTCTCAAATTCTTAAATCAAAATGACCAGCTCAATCAATGACTCAAAATTTCAGATTCATTCAACACACAAATACATTACCCCTGTATCCCAGTAGAATCATACAGCTTTGTGATCACTTTCATGAGCCAAGCTTTACTAAATTATCTTTGAACTTATGGAGGATAATACTATACAGAAAATTTCATTGACTACTATTTTATTTCAAGATTGTGGATTGAGCATCGAACTGAACGAAATGTTATATGGATACAGCCAGTAGTACACTGAATTTCATTACAGTAAGGCAGCTCCTTTGAAATTATCCTAGAACAAAGGGCCAGGCAAATATGAAAGGCTTAGGGGCAAAGTTAAAACAGACTGCTTCCAGGAATACAGTTTTAAAGCACAAAACTTTTAAACATACTGGAGTTGACCTCTCAGATTGCAAAGGGAAGCAAATGCAGATTCGGTGGGTTGGGCCCCTAATGGCCAAAAAGCCCGTAGAAGTCCTCTCATGGTGTTGTGGTAGCAGTCACCAGACAGGAGAGGAAAAGCCTCCCTGGGCTCTCAGAGGTCTCCTACTCAACCTCTGTAAAATAAGTGAGTTGTTTAAATCAGCAGCTTGGTAGAGGAGAAAAAGCACCAACTCTGAAGTCAGCCAGATTTGAGTTCGAATTCTGGGTCAGCCCCTTGTGAGACACATGATTTTAGACAATTTATTCAATTCTTGAGGCTCAATATCCTCATCTTAAAATTGGGATAATTGTGTCTGCACAATCTTTAAGACATCCGGGATCATTAAATATTTTTTTTCAATGTAAAATGGCATCACGTCCTGTAGCTTTTAAAACTGAGCCAATAGCTCCAACTCACTGCAGGCCATCATGGGCAGCCACCCCATGTCTGCAGTGCAGGAAACAGAACAGGGCTTGGGAAACATACATCTCTATGTCCATCTATAAAAGACTCACTATGGTTGGTGTTGCTGACTTTGTTAAGAATGACAGTAATGCAAGCTTCCATTTTGACATTCAGTAAGAGCCCTCATTTGAAATATTGTCTTCTCATCTGTTAAATCTGTTAAATGGAGCTAATCACATTTAACCCAGTCCACCTTGGGCAGAGGCAGATATCATAAGAATCATGGCAGATAAAGCAGGTGAGTATAAGTTAATACCAGGTAGTATAATACTATCAGGATTAGATTCCTATTGCTCACTCATTTGGGCTTCAGTTTATTTGGGCTTTGTGATTAATATCACTACAAGATATCATGTAAAATGTTATGGTTTCCCCCTGCACGGGCAGACAACTTATCCCTGGGCCCAGCTTCCAGTTTCTCTCCTTGATCACTCTGCAGTCGGAATAAAAAAAAGAAAATGGCAGGAAATAAATGTGGTGAGGGGCATCTTAGAAATCGGGGCCTGTGATGGTGAACTCTGTATTGACGCTCTTAAAATATGGGCCTGTCCTAGTGTTTTATGTCATCAATTGTGACTGTCAGTCTCCTTTGCAAGCTGAGGAATAATGGAGCTATGTTTTTTCCTTGCTCTTCCCAACCTAATGTTGGCCTGTGGGCTGGTTGCAACCCTGGCTGGCTGAGGTGGGAGGATGGATCTGTTTTCGGAATATGGGAAGTTTTATGATGCTGTGTAGTTATCTCAGATTCAAGAATAGAAAGAGCACAGGCCCCAGAGCTGAAAAATGCACCATGCCGCTGAACTTTCTGATAGATGAAAACTGTTGGGGAAGTTGGGAAAGATTTTACTAATTCACCAGCTCTCCTTATATCAGTAGCAAGCAAAGATCAGTCACTCCTGAATAGATATAAGGGGGAGATGAAAAGGCTGGAGGGCAAAGTGAAAGGTGTTCTCTCCTCTCAGGTGGGTCAGACTCTGGGCAGCAACTGCAGAAACACCCATGTTTATCGGCCACATTGGCCTCTGTGAATTGAGCCTGTCATCCCTAAAATCTGTCCCAGGCTATGGGATTATTCTGGGAAACAAGATTGTAACTTCTACCAAGGAAACATAAGAAGCACAGCGATCTACTAATAAATCAGAAGACAATTAAGGTTAGAAAGTCAATGTTCAGGCAACACTGAGTTCTGAATTAAACCAACATATCAGGGTAATTCCAAGTCTAGTGCCTGGAAGGCAGCATTTTATTCACAATCCAATTCATCCATCAAAAAGCATTTCCCCACTCGTGGTCCCTCATTCTACAGAATGATTTGGGACATTTGCCAGCCACATCCAGCTTTTCTGGCGGGTGCTCCTTCTTGATTGTACATTGGCCAGGGTTTATAACCAAAGTTAGATCAGGCTTATCTGCCCTCTCTCCCTTCTTTGCTCCTTTTTTCCCCCTTTCCCTAGAATATATCAGTTGTCCACACATACCTTCCGCATTTCTTTTTTGATATCTATCCAGAGTAGACCACAGCATGCCCAAAAGACATTTCCATGAGCTCTATCTGGGATCAGAAAGAACACATCTGGTGAGTACAGAAGGAAACCTTTTCAATGCCATGGGGGTTGGCCCCACAGTGAAGGTTAAGGACCATTTCAGGGCTGGAGATGGAGGAATCCTCAGAGGTAGTAAGAGTTGCCATATATTGATGATTTATTACAGGTTAGAAACTCAATATGTTCTTTACATATATCAACTCTTTCAATCCTGACAAGAAGTCCCAGAATAGACACAATTTTCCCCCATTTTAGAGATACAGAAACTGAAGCGTATAGTTCTTAAATTATGACTCTATGACTTACCAACAATAATAAAATATAAATACATGAATACTTTTTGAGCACTTCCTATATGCCAGGCTATGTTCTCAGCATCTTCTATGAAGTCACTCCTTTAATTCTCAGAACACATCTATGCCTCTCTGTATAATTAATCACATATTACAGACAAAAGGGCTGGGGCACAGAGAAGTAAATAACTCACCCATATCATCCAGCTAGTGAGTGACAGAGCTGGGATCCAAGTCTGGGAATTTGGAAGCCTGTGACTCTAATAGCTACTAACTATAACCATGATCATTTATTTCCCTCCTTGCCCTGAGCAGTATCTTTGCCCTGAGGACATGTACCTGGGTCACCATTCTAAGGCCCCAAACACGGGATGGCTCAGTCATGTGCTTCTGAGTTCTGGTGCCCAGACTAGGCACAGCAGGGCGGATGAGGGCCAGTTTACTTCCCAGCAGCCTGCCTTTCCTGAGTTTACACCAGACCATGCAAATCTTTTTTAATACTGGCTTTTTCTTTGTGGTTTATTTATTTACTCACTCAGGTTCATTTGCTTTGGAGCTTCTTGAATGTCAGAGCTTCATATCTCAAATGCGAGCCAAGCTTTGGCCTTTGCAACAGCCCAGGGTTAATACGGACTGTAAACAAGGAGCCTCCAAAACCCACGGCGGCTCTCCTCTGCTGTTCCTCAGCACCTGCCGCCTGCTTCCTGCTCCAGCACATTTCCTGGGCCTTGTGCAAAAGGGGACTTAATACTGTTGAGAAGCTCTGGTGTCTATGTGCATAGGAGTATGAGTCTGTGTGTGTGTGTGTGTGTGTGTGTGTGTGTGTGTGTGTGTGTATCCCTCCCCAAAAGCTCGACTTACTAAACACTGAATATACATGCACAGTCTGCTGAAGGTGGCAGTAGGTATTTTGAGAAATAATTCCTTAAGGTAGACAGAAAGTAGAAAGAGCCCCAGGCTTGCAGACCTGTATTCTGGTCCAGGCTTGGCCACTACTGCTTCATGTCAGCAAGGACACTTAACCCTCTGAGCTTTGATTTTGGCATTTTTAATTTTAGGGGATTAAATTAGCTTAGTATTTCCCAAACCATCTTCTGCAGAATGTTAGTATTCTTTGATAGCTTAATGGGTGGATTTGGAGAAACAAGAGTTGTGCAGTCAGATAAATTGGGAAAAGATGACTTTTCCTTTATAGATAGATCCATATCACTCCTCATTATGTTGAAAGCTATGCGAAGTTATGTAGTAATCATATATTTTTGCTTATTCGAGTATTTAATATTCTGATAATCAAACTCTTTTTTTTCACAGAACACCTAACAATGCTTCTTGGGGTGCTGGATAATGCTGAATTAGTTTTAGGATATCAAGCTGTCCCAGGTACAGTATCTTCACTTTGTTCACTGAGTTCACTTACATTGAGTTCACTGAGTATCGAACCTCAGTAATTCAATGCTTACTACACTTATTAAATGATGGAATTGCTAACGTGAGAAAAACTATAACTGGCATTAAAAGTGAATTTCTTTTAGTGTAGGGCAATTAATTGACAAGACTGTAGAATTGAAGCCTAAATTCCATCTCTATGTAAGTAGTGAATGGTCAATGGTCAATGAATGTTCCCCACAAGTAAGACTGTTAACAGTGCCCTGCGTCTAGTAGAACTGCAGATGCAGACAGGGTTTATTATACCCTATTCACAGGTTCTTAATCATAAATTTCTTTCTCAGTGCAGAAAGACTCTTAAGGCCAGAGAAGTGCGAACATTAAAACGGAAGAGGGCCTCTCTTCTTGGATCCGAAAATTTCTAATCATATCTTTGTACCCCTTACTGATCTTTACACACCTTGTGTGGCATTGATAAGAGGGCCACGTGTATAGAAGTTAATAAAGAGGTGTTGGTCAAATCAGATTTCAAAAAGTGCCTTTGTGAGGTCTACATGTTCACAAAGGGCAAAAGAACAATAACCTAGTGTTTAAAAAGAATCACTCACAGGCCAATTTAGTAAAAATGTATCCTATTTTTACTTAGGTGTCTTTGTTTTGTTGCTTTCCCTTTTCTCAATGTAGCATATTTTATACATAAATGGAAAGTGAAATTCATACAGTGACTGTGTTTTCTAGGTAAAACTGGTCTGCTTTTGACTCGTCTTGCTCTTAATATCATGAGAGTTTGGGATGTTCTTATTTTGTTTTAAAAAGATGTACTGCCTTTCTCCTCTTTTAAATATATACAAATATATATTTGCGGTTTGTTTGGGTTTTGTGTTACCAGGCTTTGGTAAATCTAGTCACCCACCTGTGCACATGAGTCCACATCAGTCATTTGGGGAGGTCTACTGGATCTGAAGCAGGGAGCCTCTCTGGCTTTTAGTTTAGAACCTCAAATCCTTTTATGCAGTGAAAACACCATAGCAGGTGAGGGTGAATAATCCTAGACTCCTCCCTCCAACTCCCTCCTCTTTGCCTTTCTGCAGTCCTGCAGTCTCTATCCTCAGCTACTCTCATCTCCCTCCCCTCCTTGCCAAACTTACTTAGCTACCTTGGTTTTGAGCTTCGGAATCTCTCGCCTGGATTATTGTAGTTGCTTCCCAGGTGGTCTTCCTGCTTCCCTCTTCCCTCTGAGATATATTCTTTATTCTTCTGGTAGAGCCATGGTTCTAAAGCAATGCCACTTAAATGTGGCCCATGACCAGGGCCCATACACAGGCTGTTATTGGCCTATGATAATTATGGAAATTGAGTGGAAACATTTGGAAACTTTCATAACAATGTGATCAAATAATTTTATATTCATACAATCTAATCATAAGCAAATTTGAATTGTATTTTGTAAGCCACTGCACTTTATTTTTACTTCATTTTTAAAAATTTTCCTTTTAATTAAATTTTACATAGGTATTGACCAGCAATGAATTAGGGAATGGAAGAAGAAGAACAATAACAAAATGGTTCTGGACTACAGTCTGACAAGCCCTGTCCTAAGGCACGACTCAGAGAATATTAACCCCTACTCCCCCCTCTGCCAGCTTAAAACCTTTGTGTGGTATCCGAAAATGCAGTCTTAACAGTACCAACTCCTCTGTGTGGCGTGTCTGCCCCTCCTCTGTCTGCCTCTCCACTTACCGCGGCTATCCCTGCACATCATGCCCCATGAGGCAGCCCTACCAGCATTTTCTTGCCTCTTTCAGAGCTGTTTGCCTCAGGGTTCCTGTCTTTCTTCTCACTGCTGCTCTGCCTTTATCAGCTCTTTTTCTATGTCTAGCCATCGGGCCCTCAAAACTTAATGAAATGCTGCCTTTTCTAGCCGTCCAGGAAGCATTGATGACTCTATCCATTTGCCCCCAATGGCCCCACACTGTCTCAGCATCAAAGACATCACAGTGCCCTTCTCTGTTTCTAAGAGCATCTCTCTCACTTGGAATGGCAGCCTCCAGAGGGCAGCAACTGCATCCTTTGGGTCTCCATATATTAGATTCCTTGACACAAAATAAGTAGCTGCTTAATACACATTTGTTTGAGGCTAGCATTATCCTGATACCAAAGCCTGGCAGAAGCACAACAAAAAAAAGAGAATTTTAGATGAATATCCCTGATGAACATTGATACAAAAATCCTCAATAAAATATTGGCAAACCGAATCCAGCAGCACATCAAAAAGCTTATCCACCATGATCAAGTGGGCTTCATCCTTGGGATGCAAGGCTGGTTCAACATATGCAAATCAATAAACATAATCCAGCATATAAAGAGAACCAACGACAAAAACCAGATGATTATCTCAATAGATGCAGAAAAGGCCTTTGACAAAATTCAACTACCCTTTATGCTAAAAACTCTCAATAAATTAGGTATTGATGGGACGGATCTCAAAATAATGACAGCTATCTATGACAAACCCACAGCCAATATCATACTCAATAGGCAAAAACTGGAAGCATTCCCTTTGAAAACTGGCACAAGACAGGGATGCCCTCTCTCACCACTCCTATTCAACACAGTGTTGGAAGTTCTGGCCAGGGCAATCAGTCAGGAAAAGGAAATAAAGGGTATTCAACTAGGAAAAGAGGAAGTCAAATTGTCCCTGTCTGCAGATGACATGTTTGTATATGTAGAAAACCCCATCATCTCAGCCCAAAATCTCCTTAAGCTGATAGGCAACTTCAGCAAAGTCTCTGGATACAAAATCGATGTGAAAAAATCACAAGCATTCTTAAACACCAATAACAGACAAACAGAGAGCCAAATCATGAGTGAACTCCCATTCACAATTGCTTCAAGGAGAATAAAATACCTAGGAATCCAACTTACAAGGGATGTGAAGGATCTCTTCAGGGAGAACTACAAACCACTGCTCAATGAAATAAAAGAGGATACAAACAAATAGAAGAACATTCCATGCTCATGGGTAGGAAGAATCAATATCTTGAAAATGGCCATACTGCCCGAGGTAATTTCTAGATTCAATGCCATCCTCCTCAAGCTACCAATGACTTTCTTGACAGAATTGGAAAAAACTACTTTAAAGTTCATATGCAACCAAAAAAGAGCCCGCATCGCCAAGTCAATCCTAAGCCAAAAGAACAAAGCTGGAGGCATCACACTACCTGACTTCAAACTATACTGCAAGGCTACAGTAACCAAAACAGCATGGGACTGGTACCAAAACAGAGATATAGACCAATGGAACAGGACAGAGCCCTCAGAAATAATGCCACATATCTACAACTATCTGATCTTTGACAAACCTGACAAAAATAAGAAATGGGGAAAGGATTCCCTATTTAATAAATGGTGCTGGGAAAACTGGCTAGCCATATGTAGAAAGCTGAAACTGGATCCCTTCCTTACACCTTATACAAAAATTAATTCAAGATGCATAAAGACTTAAATGTTAGACCTAAAACCATAAAAACCCTAGAAGAAAACCTAGGCAATACCATTCAGGACATAGGCACGGGCAAGGACTTCATGTCTAAAACACCAAAAGCAATGGCAACAAAAGCCAAAATTGACAAATGGGATCTAATTAAACTAAAGAGCTTCTGCACAGCAAAAGAAACTACCATCAGAGTGAACAGGCAACCTACAGAATGGGAGAAAATTTTTGCAATCTACTCATCTGACAAAGGGCTAATAGCCAGAATCTACAATGAACTCAAACAAATTTACAAGGAAAAAACAAACAACCCCATCAAAAAGTGGGCAAAGGATATGAACAGACACTTCTCAAAAGAAGATATTTATGCAGCCAAAAGACATGTGAAAAAATGCTCGTCATCACTGGTCATCAGAGAAATGCAAATCAAAACCACAGTGAGATACCATCTCACACCAGTTAGAATGGCGATCATTAAAAAGTCAGGAAACAACAGTTGCTGGAGAGGATGTGGAGAAATAGGAACACTTTTACACTGTTGGTGGGAGTGTAAACTAGTTCAACCATTGTGGAAGTCGGTGTGGCGATTCCTCAGGGATCTAGAACTAGAAATACCATTTGACCCAGCCATCCCATTTCTGGGTATATACCCAAAGGATTATAAAACATGCTGCTATAAAGACACATGCACACATATGTTTACTGTGGCACTAGTCACAATAGCAAAGACTTGGAACCAACCCAAATGTCCAACAATGATAGACTGGATTAAGAAAATGTGGCACATATACACCATGGAATACTATGCAGCCATAAAAAATGATGAGTTCGTGTCCTTTGTAGGGACATGGATGAAGCTGGAAACCATCATTCTGAGCAAACTATCACAAGGACAAAAAACCAAACACCGCATGTTCTCACTCATAGGTGGGAATTGAACAATGAGAATACATGGACACTGGAAGGGGAACATCACACACTGGGGCCTGTTGTGGGGTGGGGGAAGGGGAGAGGGGGGAGGCATAGCATTAGGAGATATACCTAATGTTAAATGAAGAGTTAATGGGTTGCAGCACACCAACATGGCACATGTATACATATGTAACAAACCTGCACGTTGTGCACATGTACCCTAATACTTAAAGTATAATTAAAAAAAAAAAGAAAAGAAAACAAGCCCAGCCGGGTGCGGTCGCTCAGGCCTGTAATCCCAGCACTTTGGGAGGCCGAGGCAGGTGGATCACTTGAGTTCAGGAGTTCGAGACCAGCCTGACCAACATGGTGAAACCCTGTCTCTACTAAAAATACAAAATTAGCTGGGTGTGGTGGCACGTGCCTGTAATCCCAGCTACTTGGAAGGCTGAGGCAGGAGAATCGTTTGAACCCAGGAAGTGGAGGTTGCAGTAAGCCGAGATCGCCCCATTTCACTGCAGCCTGGGGAACAAGAGCAACACTCTGTTCCAAAAAAAAAAGGCCTGTGCATTTGTAATTATACCAACAGTGATGTATTCTATTGAAAACCAACTAGAATCGTTGTAAACAAAATATGAAATAAAGGTTGGTATACTATAGGTGTTCAATACATTAATAATAATCATTAATAACCACTAACATTTATGGTATATTTTCTATGAGTCAGGCATTCTGCTACATATAGGTACATATGCTACAACTTTATAAGCAGACACACCCCGTGAGTTACTAACTACTATTATCTCTATTTTGGATTTGCAAACACAGGCAGAGGTTGTTTAAATCACTTGCACAAGGCTGCCTGGCTGGATCTCTTTGGTCAGTCTCTTTCTTTTCCCATTTCCTTTCGGTGATAACTCACTGTACTAAGTCAGAGCCCATCATCACCTTTTTGGCTTGAGTCCCTGAGCAAAGCCACTGGGAATGCTCCCTGAGGACGTTATATGAGTGCTCAGCTCATGGGGCTATGATGGTCAAAGGAGAAAATGCACATGAATGTATTTTGAAAAATATGTCACTATCACGGAGCAGCCAAAATAACCAGATAAGGAGAATTAGGATTCTTTGACTCAAGGGCAGCAATAGGTTCAGGACATCTGCTTGCCTATGTGACCTCAAGTGGACATTATTTGGGGTTTTTCCAGGTGCACCTACACCTAAGGCCACACTGCTCTGCCTGCTGCAACAAAGTTTAAGGGGAGTGTTGTGTAGGTGGAATGAGGAGGTCAGCTATACACAGAAGAGGAGGCAGTGCAAGAAGCGGTAGAGTTTGATCTTCAGAATCATTTCACTTTCCAAACAATCAGGAGGATGTTGTGAGGGGTTGGGTAAAACTTCCTCTAGGCACAGAGCTATTAAATCACAGCTTCCTGGAGTTGGTACTTGGTGTAGGAGGGACAGATGGGGTTTCACAAATAAAGTCAAACCTAGAACCTAGCCATGGAAGTGCGCCTGCTTTTCTTGGGGCTGTTTCTCTAGCATGCCCTCAGCAGAATCAACATGAAAGGTCCCAACCTAAAGTCCCTCCTTTATTTGCATAAGAATATCTCTAAATGCTGAGATTTATAACTTCACAGGAAAGGCTTGGGAAGGAGGGAAAAGCTTAAAAGAACATTCTGTGTAGAGTTATGATGCTGCCAACAGTTCGTGGGTTGGACAGGGCACTGCGTTCCTAAAGATTAGACATAACTGAGGGCTTTTTCTTCTTTTTTAATAACAAGGAAATACAAATCCTCCCCTCTTGTCAGACTCTCAATTCTTCAGACGTTTTGTATCATTTTCCCCATTCAAGAGTAGCATTGAACTGAAGGGAAATTAGAAAAACTGCAGCTTTCTTCCCCCGCCTTGAAACCAAAGGAATGTAAAGATATCGAGTTTAGCTTTCTAATTACATTTCTGAGACTTCTATTTTTTAATGAGAGAAAGAATTTCAGTGGATATGAGGAGAAAGCACATGTTTTTGTGATTACTAGAATTTTGGTGGTTGGTATTTTATGAAAATGCCACAGAGCTGTAGCAGGAGGTATAGTAAGCATTCAGAGTGAACTCCCACCCCTGACTCCCACCAAAAAGAAATGTCAGCAAGAAATCCGAGCAAAGGAGTTATTTTACTTTTCACATGGAATAGAACAGAGATTCTGAACTGTGAAAAGAAATTAACAGTGAGAAATGTTTTGATTTTACACATGTTCCAAACCACCTCCTCCTAGCATGCAGGCTATTCCTGGATGACAAACAGGTTTTGGTTGCTGGTGTGTCTTGCTAGTGCACTCTCAAGGAGCAAGTCATTGCAACTCAATCATTCAGGCAGGGATTTGAGAAAAACTCACTGTTGCCTACTTGGGAAGAAAGAATTTATGAAGCCATTGAGACATACAACAAAATTGAAAGATGGTCTGGAACTACTTAAACCATCAAGGTAAGTAACAGTATGGCCATACTAATCAGCATAAGACACAGTGATCACTATGCCATTCCTTTGCTCCTAGTGGTCTCCTCTTGCTGGCAGCGCCCTCTCAAGGCCTACTACTTGGCAGTCCAGGCTGTCTGATAAGGCCATGCTTTACTTAGCTGGCTTCCCCCCAGGTCGTCCACATAGATGAATTTACCACTGAAGTACAGCAGATCATGCCCACTATCCAGCTTCCCTTTCCCAAAACTTATCACATTGAACCATTTAATTATTATATTTGCTTTTTCTTCTTCTTGTACATCTACTAATAGACTATAAAATCCATGAGTACAGGAGCCCTATCTTTTATCTTTCTTGTTCATTCTTGTATTCCCAGGAATTGTGTGTGTGTGTGTATGATGAATGAATAAGTGCAATATTTTCTCAAAGAACACTATACATATATATTCATATTTTCCCTCAATGGTTCCTCTTTATTCCCAGTGTACCTAAATCCAACCAATTCTTTAGGACCAGGTATGGTACCATCTCCTTCATGGAGCATTCCATATGCTAGTCTAAAAATGAACTGTCCTTCTTTACCATCCTGCTGAGCAATTTGCAGTTCTAGAATTAATGTTTTTTTTCCACTGCATTTTCAAACTTATCCACAAGGTAGACCTCCATCTACCAGATCACAAGGAGAAATATACAAAGAACACAGGTACTTAGTCATGAGGCAAAATGCTAGGATCTTCCTCTCTGCAAGGTGTTCTGAGAGAGAGAAATGGCATGTGCAAAGCCAGAAGGTGTGGGAGAATGTGGTACTTGCATTCAGAGAAGAGCAAGAAGTTCCCAGGGGCTGTGGTGTGGTGGGGGAGGAATGTCTAAGACTCATAGTGATTTGACTCTGTTGCTGGACGGGCCACATGGAAAAAATTAGAAGTAATGTGGGCAGCCCCTAGAAGCAAAGGCCAGCAAAAGGCCTCAGACCTAAAACCACAGGGAACTGAGTGGATCAACAATTAGATTGACCTCTGAGGTGGATCCTTCTCCAGGGCCCCTAGTGAGGAACACAACCCTGACCACACCTGATTTCAGCTCCGTAAGACCTTAAACAGAGTACTCACCTGTGCCCACTTGACTTCTGACATAAGAAGTGGTGAAATAACACGTTTGCATTGTTTTAAACTGCTAAATCTGTGGTTTGTTACAACAATGATAGAGTACCAATCCACATTTCATTATTTTTCTTATCACTGCATTTTTATGGCTGGGGTTAGCAGATACATTGGTCTACAAAACAAGTGCTACTGAATAGTCATACACATTCTTGCCGTGACAGTCCCGATGCCAAGGGATGGTGATGACTGCCCTTTCCAGAGAATTCCCAAGTTCTACGGATAATGCCTACTCAGTGAGCTTTCCGTTATCTTTGGGTGAAATGTGTATTTTGTTACTTATCCACCATAACGGTATAATCCTGACACCTTATCTTCATCATGAACTACAACTGTGGTCCAGCTAATTTCTGCCTTTCCCTGTGTGATTCAGAGTTGGATTTAACTTCATCCCAGTAAGAGTGTAATTGGGCAGGAAAGCCTGCTGTTTAAAGAAGACTTCTATACCAATCTGTTGTTTTGTATTTTCTGTTTGAATATATTATCTAAAGTGGAAGTGAAAGGAAATGAACATTATTGACAACTATATGGTAAGTGGTGTGCTGGATGCTCCTGTGTATATTTTACCCTTCTTTGGCTCTCATAAAACTCTGTGTGGTGGGTATTAACAGCTTCATTTTTCGGGCTAGGAAAGGGACATCTAAGAGCCTAAGTTGCCCAAGGTTGCACTACGAGCAAGTGGGATATTTAGCATCCAAATCTAGATCTGAGTCTTTAACTCCTGGGCTTTCTTTGCTCTACTAAGCTGCGTTAGAAATTGTTCAATTTATTCTTAAGTTAGTGCTTCTTAAAGCATAAGTCAGGAAATGATGGTGGTCTGCAAGGATCAACAGTCAGTTGGTCAGTAATATCTGTGCTCAGCACCATCCTAAGGATCGTATAAGCTATGAAAAGGGTATGACATGACTGCGATTCTCCTACAACTCAAATTTGATTTGGGTGAATAAGACATCCCTACCTAATATAAAGGTAAACAATATAAGGCCATATAAAAATAAGCACTGAAATGAAAGTGAAAATATTAGTTACATCAGAGAAGCAGGGGATGCCAGAATGGGTAAGAAAATTAGTAGGTGAGATTTGCAAGCCAGATGGAAAAGGAGAGGAAGTTTTACATGAAGAAGCCGTGTGGTGATTGCACACTCAGGTAAGGGGCTCACTATGACATTTTCTATAGGATAAGGAGGAGATTTAGCAGGACTCATAGTGAGGAAATACTTGAAGATGATCAGGAAACAAGGTGAGACCAGCAAGAGTGGATAATGGAGGGTCTTTTAAGCCAGATAGTTTTAGACTTAATGCAATAGGAATTGCTATTTCTGCATCTGACATCAATTATTCATTTACTTATGGCTGCCTTCATAGGCGTTCCATGAAAAAATATTACATTCTTCTTTTTCTGTTCCAATAATTAATGTATTTATTTAGTTAGAGCTGTAAGGAGAGACAGATGCAATCGAGCTTTGTTTGATTATTGCCCAAAGGATCACTGAAATGAAAAATGAAGCACAGAGTCACTGCTCTGGACCAAGAAGTTGCAACCCTGGCATGGCGGAAGGTAAGCTCATGTGAATGAAGTGTTTCTGGGGTCCCAGGGACACTGTAGGTGGAGCTGACATTCCAAGCTGGGGACTCCAGGGAGCCACTGTTAGAGATCTCATCACCAGGGAAGACATTCAGAAACAGAATTCTCCTCTATAAGACAGATACTGCAGTACACTTACCTCTATCACAGTTGAAATTCAAAAATAATGGAGGAAGACTGAAAGAAAAAAGCTATTTCAGCGATGTGAGCAAACTCTCTGTGATGCTTGCATTGTCCATGGAGATTTAAGAAATCTCCTGGAAAATTTTGTTTTCTCCTTTGCCTGATCCTTTGTGCAAAAGTTTAACTTGGAGGATATATAGATGTGGACTTACTGGTTGAGGAGCAATGGAAGAAAAAACAAACAGGGGAGATGCTTTTTGAAATGGAAACTATTGGCTTTATGATTTTATCTTAGGAATTTCCATAGATATACTAGGATATTTATATAATAAGCAAGCATAAGGAATTCTCTGGTGATAAGCCTAAAATTAATAGCAAGTGCCTTCTCTCTAAATGCTCTTGGTATGAGTGATGGCAACACTGACCAATGAGAGTATCCATAACTTGATTTGTTCTGAGTGATCTGTGTGTGTGTGTGTGTGTGTGTGTGTGTTTGTGTGCATGTGTCTGTCTCTGTCTGTTGTATGTGTGCGAAGTGAGAGTGGTAATTGTAAAAGAAACTGGCTGATTACATTTTACATTGCTGAGGTGAAGTTGGAATTTCAAACTTTGAAAAATTTATTGCCTTCCCCCTTGTCCAATTCTGATCTGAGAAGAAACATTCAACATTCAGTGATATTCAAGAAAGATATTTGGCAATTGTCTTCAGCCCTAATTTGTCTCCTTCTCAGTTAATGTCCTGAGACTTGAAATCTGGTGGAGATTTTAGTTAAATAGCACAATCTAGAAATCTGTATGATTTTCACGCCCAATTCCTCCTGCATTTATTTTTAAAATGTATCCCCGTTTGGATAATGACACAACATGCAGAAGGAAAGGTTATCACGAGCAAATCTGGGAAAACACTTAAGAGAAAACTGAAAAGACCTGGCAACCATAGTGGTAGTGGAGAAAAGAGGAGGCAAAGGACAGGGTGTGGCCTGGGGGGAGCATGAGTTGGTTTTCCTAAGTTAGGCTGGAGAAACGGCAGATTGGAACAGGAAGCCAGGTGAGTGCTTACCATCAGCTGGGGACCTGTGCATTTACATTATCATGGTGGCTATTTCTGGGCAGTGGGATTGTAGGTGACTTTAGTTTTTTTCTGAATTTTTCAAATTTTCTTTATTAACAGGGTTTTTTTTTTTTTAAGATAATAAAAACGTTTTCAAATAATTCCATGTTATAGGTTTATAGATGGGGAATCCATTTTTATTGTCCTTGCCATTGGGACCTCAAATAGAAAAACAGTATTTAGCACTAAAAAGGTGAATTATTTAGTGGTGGATATACTGACACAGACTTGTAGGACTATGACACATGTACTAAAGGATGACAAGGTGTCCCTTACATATTTAGAGCTGCCCAGGCTGGTTTCAAACTCCTGTTGCCCAGGCTGGTTTTGAACTCCTGGGGCCAGTTTGGTCTCCCAAAGTGCTGGGATTACAGGTGTGAGCCACTTTGCCCAGGACTATGTTTTACAAATATTAGGCACTCAATAATTTTAAAACTGTGATTAGAATAAAGTAAAAATATAACAGCACAAAGAAGCATATAAGAGAAACCTTTTTTGCCTATTGGTCTTACTTGCAATATAAGACGTGACAGATAGGCTTCAGATAGGCTTTGAACCACAGTTTCTCCAGCCTACATCCCAGTTCCTTGTGGACATTCAAACTGAGATGAGGTATCCACTCTAACAACTTCCCAAACTTCTGAAGTGTAGCCCAAACTCATGGATCTCTCTTTTGTTTTTTTTTCATGGATCTCTTAATGACTTGCTGCTCCATTCCGGTTTTACTTTTAGTATATATAACCCTTTTTTTTTTTTTTTTTTTTTTTGAGATGGGGTCTTGCTCTGTTACCCAGGCTGGAGTTCAGTGTCATGTAGTGGCACAATCGTGGTTTCCTGCAGCCTTGAACTCCTGGGCTCAAGCAGTCGTCCCACCTCAGCCTCCCAAGTAGCTGGGACTACAGGTGTGCACCACCACACCAGGCTAATTTTTGTATATTTTTATAGAGACGGGGTCTCCCTAAGTTGCCCAGGCTGGTTTTGAACTCCTGGGCCCAGGCAATTCGCCTGCTTTGGTCTCCCAAAGTGCTGGGATTACAGGTGTGAGCCACTGTGCCCAGTCAGCACGTAGCATTTTTAAAATGCAAGTTTTTGAATGTTTACCAGTAGGTGGGTAAAGCCCCTTAAATTGTAATTAAAAAAAACAAAGATTTAAATGTTAGTTTTAGTGTTTTGTAATTTAGCAAATAAGAATATTCTTGTGCACCACTTGTGTCTTCCTTGTGATTTTCAGGACATTCACGCTCCATTCAAGTTCTCTTTCCCCAGGTGAGCTAAAGGCTTTGCGCACAGAATTGACATTAGACCCTGGGCTTGGCTAACCCCAGTTCCAAAGAGCTCCCTTTGTATGTAAAATATCCTATTTTTAGCAAAGACTAAATTGCCTATTAGTTAGTGCCTTATTCTGGGCTCCTCTATTTAACCCACTGGCAAGAGTTCTTTAGGGATAACTTGGAAGGTAAGTCATGCTACTGGCCTGATCAAATACTTAAGAAATATAGTGGGAAAAATGGCAGTGGGGGTTGGGAGGATGCTAGGAAAATTCCAGGATACTTGGGATCTAGCACTTTTTCTGAACAAAAAATGGCTTGGTCACGTTGGGTTTTGATTTCCTTGGCTGTCGAGTGGAAAAGCAACACCTATCTGCAGACCCCACTGGATTTTGAAGATCAAATGAAAGTAAGGAAGTACGCTTTGAAAAGCATAACACCCTGTTCAGATGTATGGGATGACTGTGATGTAGCCTCAGGGAAAGCTTTTTATCTCTGGGTCCTCAGATCCTCCATCAACAAGGTGAGCCCCATCTTCTTATTGACTCACTGCCCAACTTTCTCCCCAGCCCCCGCACTGAAGATCATGGAAACCACAGCAGAGGCAGCTCTTGGGACTTGCCTGCTCTACTCTGTTGACCTCACTTAATGCCTCCTTCTTCTTATCCAGCTTGTTCTGAATCTCTCTGTAACAGGACAGATACCAGTATCAACTTGCATTTACAACATGCAGCTTATTTCACTGATAGTTAGTTTTGGGGTTTCTTTTTTTGTAGAATGGGTTTTGATTTCTAGTCATTAAGTGCATAACTCCCATTATTCTCGCTGATTGCTTTGTGTACATGTCTATATCCATCTCTTGTCTCCTGATGGCTGTATAAGGTCATTGAGGACAGGCATGTTTCTTGGTACTTCATCATTCCACTCAGCACCTAGCACCAAGCTCAAAACATCTCACACTCAGCACCCCTGAGCATCAATTGTATCTTCCCTTCCTCTGGGAGGCAGTTCAATCCCCTCTTCACGGTAGCTGTGCCTCTTAAAAATCCATCCCCACTCAACTGCTAACTTCCATCTAGCCAAGTGCCTTCCTGTACCCCTCAAATATCTTCACTCATGCTGCTGGAGCACTCACTGTGAACCTACTCTCCAAGCTTCTGCCGCAAGACTTTGTCTTTCACTGAACACTGTTATCCTTCCTGATCCTGGGTCCCCGCAGCTCCCATTGTTGGCCAATGAGTTAGCATGGATTAAACTTGGTCTGCATTTATTCTCTGGTTGTTTTACGAATGCTAACTTAGTCTCTTTCTTGATTTTTCTTTCCTTCTGGTCTCCCTAATTGTCCCTGGCACTATGCTATATGCTGGGTGACCAAAGACCTCTCAATCATTTTTAAGAGTGCAAGTTTTTATGTACCAGCATGTATATTTTATTCCACAATAGTAAAAAGCTCTGTAAGACTGACAGTTAGGCTTTCATCTATAATCCTTTGTACATGGCTCAGTAACAGAACCATTTATTCGAACTTGTGATAACTTGTTCATTCTTCCATACATTCACAGATGCACAGCAAACACCCAAGGTACCACAGAAAGGAATTTTCAAATAGTCATCATATGATCAAAAGCTATGTGCCTGTGTGTCTGTGAGGCAGGGAAGGGGGAGCTGACCTGAAATCTCTTACCTCTTTTCAAATACTATAACCTTTACCTTTTCTACACATGGCCTTTTTGGCCTTATACTATGACATGTGGAATGACATAGTATAAGGGAATCTGGCATTGTGTTTCTGCTCCTAGAATTGGAGAAACTTAGACTTAAGGCCTATTGAGAATGGAAGTATCACTTCTCATCAAGGGCTGACTTCACAAACGTAGTCTTCTTAGAAGCTGGGGCACTGCTAGAACCACAGCAATGTTTTCATTTTCTGCACCTGCAGCCCCCATTCTCTCATCATCCACTTATTCATTAACTCCTTGCCATTCAGCCTAGGCACACAGTCCACGAGGCTCCAAACATATGAGACATCAAATACATAATGTTTAACATTTCTGTTGTCTTCAGGGTCACCAATATGTTCATGCATATTTTCATTTGTTTTCATCCTCCATAAACTCTGCATCTTCTGGCTCTGCTGATCACTTCTTTCTTCTTAAATTCATTCTCCAGCATTTCTGGCATTCCTTCTCTGCATCCTTCCTGGTCCCTGCTTCCTCTGCCTCTGTGTTTAAGGTGGGTTGCCAGGTCATCTCTTCCACCCTCCTTCCTTCATTCCCTCTGACTCTCTCCTTGCTGAATCTCTAGGTCTAGCTCTGCACAGCACTGGCAACTGCTGCCTAAGCCCCTCATCATTCTGGACACCAGCTGGGTTTCCGCTCTGATTTCTAGGATTCTGTTCATGTACTCCCACCCTCTCAGTGCCTGGAGGCAATACATTGGAATCACCTTTGACTTTAGCTAGAGAGGGAAAGAGATGAAATCAAGGATGGCTCTTTTTAAATATATTTTTTGCTTGAGCATTTGTGTAACTAATGATGCCTTTATGATTAGTTATAATCCGGGGGTGGAGGGTGGAGGAGGAAGGGCAGGTGGGTACAACCTAAACAAGTAAGTGAATAATTACAACACAGCATGAAGAGTACAGAGATGAGGTAAGTTTGCCCAATTGAGGTTAGGGAAAGGGAGTGGTCAGGGAAGAAAGATAAAGTATAATCTGGTCATTTTATGGCTTTCACTTGTTTAAAAAGTAGCTTCTGGCCAGGCACACTGGCTCACAGCTATAATTCCAGCGCTTTGGGAGGTGGAGGAGGGAGGATCACTTGAGCCCAAGAGTTCAAGACCAGTCTGGGGAACAGAGCGAGACCCTGTCTCTACAAAATTAAAAATTAAAACAAAAATTAACAGGGTATGGTGGCATACACCTGTAGTCCTAGCTACTTGGGGGCCTGAGGTGGGAGGATTGCTTGAGCCCAGAAGTTGGAGGTTTTAGTGAGCTAGGATCCTGGGTGACAGATATTCTGTCTCTAAAAATAAAATGGAACACAATAAAATAAAAAGTGGCTTGCCACTGCTCGCTTGATTAAGCACAAGCCTCGGAGTACGGGAAAAAGACCCTCTAGCCCCTGACCACAATATTCTTTCCTCACTTTATCTGCCAATGTTCCCCAACTACAGATCCAAACCCCAATAAAACGGCACTATGGGCTGGTCACGGTGGCTCATGCCTGTAATGCCAGCATTTTAGGTGGCCGAGGCGGGAGGATCACTTGAGGTCAGGAGTTCAAGACAAGCCCGGCCAACATGGTGAGACCCTGTCTCTACTAAAAATACAAAAATTAGCTGGGCTTGCACCTAGTCCTAGTTACTTGGGAGGCTGAGACAAGAGAATGAACCCAGGAGGTGAAGGTGGCAGTGAGGTGAGATCGTACCACTGCAGTCTAGCCTGGGTGATGGAGTAAGACTGTCTCAAAAACAGAAACAAAAAAACTGCACTATGCATGCTTTCCCAAATATTTCTTGGGTGTTTCCACTTACATACCTTTGTTTGCATGGCTCCTGTTCTAGGTCATGCTTCCTACCCCATCTCTCATGACCACCCTTACCATCTCCACTCTCCCAAAGTGTCTTGTATCATTCAAGACCCATCTTACATGGTGACTGCTATGAAGAGTATTTCCAGGTCCCACCTCTCCTCCCCCACTGAGAACACAGCAGTGGCTCACAAGTCACTTGGACAGCCCTTGCTCTTTCTCTGTGGCTTTCTGATGGCTCTTGCAGTTGGCTTTGTAACATGAGGAGCTGCTTGCTGGTTTCTTCCCCTAAATTATAGAGGTCCTCCTGGATTGTAGTCTCTTTGAAGGCAAAAACATTGAGTTACTCATCTTTGATTTCTTTCTGGGATTGCAACAAGCCTTATACATACTAGGCATTAAATAAATCATTAAAAAATGTTGTCTTGTCCTTATCATTTTCCCTTGAATTCAGACAACTTGGATTAAGTGCTATACTGGCTCAAGCCTAGGCCACAATTTTAAAAGTATTCATCACTTGTTCTTTTTATAGAGTAAGGAGATGGTTTTCTGGAGTTTCCTTCCAAAGGTGCCTTGCTTATCTCTGCCCAGTGACAGCCTTCCAAAGGCATGCTTCCTGATTTCTCCAGCCAAGAAAGGATCCATATTATAGCAAAGCCAAGTCTGTCAAAATTGTAACTTCTCTGCACCCACACCTGAATCTGCATAATTTCCCAATCCCACAGAGGTAAAAATAAAAACTTTCACCAGGACACGAGAACATTTGCCAACTGTGGGAAGATAAATGGCTCGGGGACTTCAAACTCCAAAGGCAGAATTGCTCCATTTCTGATTTCAATGTAGCAAAGGATATGCTGTGAGTCTCAGCTATTTTTTTTTGTTACGTTGCTACAAAGTTATGGGTTATATCATTTAATTTGATTAATTCTTGGTTTCCAAAAGGAAACCTTAGGAGGAAACTTGGGAGGCTCAATAAAATAAGTATGTGCAATTGTTAAGACAGGAAAGGAAAAAAAAATGACTTCCATCAGAGCCCACAAAGATCATTTCCAGTCCCAGACATGGGTCCCCAGAGATAGCCTGGAAACCAAATGATTGTCAAAGAGATGCTTACCTTTTACAACAGCTCACAGCAAAGGAAAACATATAGCTTAACATCTCTCCCATGACTCACCTTTCTGTTTTTTTCTTGTATTCACTCTCTCTCTCCCTTTCCCTGCCCTTCTCCTTGATGTGAAGCTTCCCAGTCTGAGCTCTTCACCCAATTAAATATGTATCATTAGATGAGTCACTTGACCTTCTTAAGCCTCAGTGTGCTCATCAGCAAAATGAGATGTTTGTACTACATTATTAAGATTTATTTAATGCTGAGTCTAAATACAAATCCAAGTGTGCCCTGTCTGTTCCCATAAAAATGTTCATATTTGTGTTCTAACCTATTTGTGTCTCAGATAGTGACTATGTTTTCAGCCAGTGGGACTCAAGCACTAGGAGTTCTACCTTTCGCAAAGGAGAAATCCAATGGCTAAGTGAAATGGCTGGAGCTAAAGATGAATGGGATGAGTCTCATAGATTAATATACAACCAGTGGTACCTGTTTTCAAACTTCATTGAACAACTAACTATTTGGTCAACATGGTCAATAACTTGGATATTTACTTTGTAACTACTGCCTGTACATGTGTGCAGGGGAGTGGTGTAGATATTGAAATTCCATTGTATAAATTTGAGTCTTTTAGAATCTTCAACTATTAGGTCTGGTCAGAACCTTTATGGTCATAGTCCCATTTTGGAAAACTGAAAGTCAAAAAACAGAAGAGGTCTTTCAGCTGGTTAGTGTGAGAGATAAGATTTGGACAGGTCTTCCTAACCCTACTTGAACTCCACAACAGCCATTAGCTAATTAATCTTTCATTTCCTCCCACAAGAGGACTCAGAATTGGACTTGGAATAAGGTTAAAAAGATTATATTTCATCAGCTTCCCAGGTTTTACTCTCTTTATTCCTGGTCTTAATTTTCTCCTCCCATTAGTCCTCTTCTTCCTTTTATTCCATTTTAAGGAAATGATCCTGAAACATTTCCTTTGTATAGTTTTCATGACATTTCATCCACGTGGCTAATTCCCTCATCTGGGTGACTGCTTGGAGGAGGTTTTTGTATTATTTTTGGCTTGGGCATTCATATCCTGCCAGTGAGTGACAGCAGAGACTGCCTCCTCAAATTTCCACAGTGCTGATAAGAGGAGTTGGCAAAGGGCAAGAAAGAAGCTACAAGGAGAGGTGGAGGGGGCCAGGTGCCAGGGAATCCAGCTACCTACATGGCAGAATTTGGATATCTGAAATGTGCTCTCAGAATCAGTTCTCAGAATCCACTCATCATGAGGACAGTACTCAACATTCGGGGACTTGGGATGGCTACCTTCTTAACAATGGCACTAAACTAAGAGGTAACACATGTAGATTCACTCTTCTCATTTTTTTTTTTTAATTATCTGATAGGAGCTTGAACAGCAGTTGTCATGAGGTCTCAGTATCTGGCATAAGTTTAGGTCAAAGTATGCAAAGATTGTTTCCAAGTGGTCTGAATAGAAAATGTCACTCATCACTCTTCCACCACCTTGTGAAAACTTGGCTTTGAGGGCACATGGCATCATTCTGACTATGCATTGTCACCCCTGGAGTATGCATTTGCTCTTCTGGCCCTCTGCTAAATGTTAGTGTGCAAGAGAAGGCAATGCCTGCCGACAGACAGGCCCAAATAGGAGCTGATAAGGCTTATACCAATTCTGAGATTGCACCTTCTCACTATTTATCCATTTTCTGGTCCCAGGCAAGCATTTTTATAAACGGACATTTAGCAGATGGTATGCATTTAGAAAACAGGCCAAAAGAGCTACTGCATTCTGAAACCAAAAAAAGGAGGCGTAAAATACAGAAAAATGGTCAGAAGTCTGTACTGCATCCTAGCCCTAGGTATGTTAGAAGTGGGCTAACAAGACAATGCAACCATCTGCTGGGCAGGGAGAGAAAGAATGAAAGATTTTCCAAGCAAGAAAAAGGAAATGGAGTGTGCAACTGCTGCTATTGCTAAATAGGGTCTCTAATTCCTCTCTCCATAATGGTAATGACTTACGTTTAGATGGTATCTTTCATCAGCTCTGATCTCAGGGAGCACTCAAAGCCTTCTCTTGACTCTGCTTCTAATTCTCATCCTCAACAGGCTAAAAAGGATGACATCTATATTTATACTGTATCTATTTTAGAGAAGAATAGCTCATGTGAAATAGGACATTTGGATGCTAAGGAAATGAATCAAGTGTGATGAAGGAAAAGGTGGAGGGAGAGAAGTTGTAGAAAGTGCAGGTGCTTATTTCCAATCATGACCCTCAGAACCATCCAGCTGAATAGACACCTCCACTCAGATAAAGTCACTGAAAGCTCTTAATGCATCTAGTAAGCTCAGCTTCATCTCATCTGCCTCCTGTCTTTTCATGGAACTTGGCACTCTTCAGAGTCTATCACATTAAGGTGAATGCTCTTCAGGGAGTCTTGACAAACTCTGACACTGGATTCTATGTGATGCTAAAGATATTTTTCTCTCATGCTTTGGGGGCACAGCCATGAAGGAGACATTCGAGATATAAGCAATGAGAGGCTAAGGCTTGGAAGGGAGGGGAATAAGGGGGAATCTGGTCTGTCTTAGTAAGAAACTTAACAAGATATGCAGGAACATCAGGCATAGCTCATATAGATGTAGCAGCCACCAACAATTATGATTCATTAAAGTTCTGGGAAAAAATAACCTCATAGAGGACAGAGATAGAAACAAAGCAGTGGCAAAAATAACTCAGAGTGCTGGATTTCAGTAAGGACAGAGGTGGAAGCTCTGTCCATGGTGTCTCCAGGCTGATATTCAGAAAAGGTAAGGCCACAAGGATTCCTTCTACATTGGTCAGGAATTGAATAAACGAGTGTCTTCTTTCCTTAACTATTCTCTTTTGTAATCATCACACAATCACTGTGCAGATGCCTTAGGGAAGGGTATGTGATCTGAGGATGAATGGGATTCTGAAAGAAAGGGCAGAGGTGACATAGAGGAGCACTGGACTGGGCACCAAGAGCTGTGTTCTAAACACAGCTTTCACTAGCTTGGTGGCAGGCAGGCAGTCAAGGTTCAGTGCAGCAGGCAAAGTTCTGGGCTTAGAATCAAAACCAGTGGTTTTTTGAACCTGGACAGTTCTCTTGATCTCTTTGAGCCTCAGTATCCTGATCTGTAATATAGGAATAAAAGTACCTGTCTAATAACATTGCACAAAGGGTGTTACACAAAAATTTATGTGAAATGGCTTTAAGAATGGAAGCACACTATACACAAGAGGTCTGGCCCAACCCCATGAGTTACAGATGGGCAGACAGTACCCCAAAGAAGTGGAATCCCATGCCTAAGGGCACACGGAGAATTAGTAACAGAGTTGGGCCTTGTATCCAGTTCTTCGGGTTGAATCCAGCTTTCTTTCATGACATTGTCATGACACCTATTTCTTCCCATCTCAAGTGGCTGGCTGAAGATGAGATGAGATGGGACAGGGATGAGGAGGAGTTTTAATAAAGTGATGAATGCGATATAAATGCAAGCACATGAAAAGCAATATAACTAGAGTGGGGGCACACAGTGACTGGACGTGAACCCCAGCTGGGAAATTTTATGAAGTCAACCAGCACTCAGCAACACAGCCTGGCCACAGACAAATCCTCGTAAAATCGTTGAGAAACCTAACATGCAACAACGTCTGGTTTTAGCTTCTTGAGGTCTTGCTCCTTGGGTCTGTTAAGTTAGGATTTTTGCGTGTAGGTTCTTAACAATTACCCCTCACCATTATTTTCTAGCTAAATAAGGCTCATAAAATTACAAAAATAAGAACATCTTCTGTCCACAGCTAGTGTAAGTCCCATGAATCAGTTTCATCATGCTGAAAGAGATCAGTTTCTCACATGTCATGCAAGGTCAAGGTAGTACCTCCTGCCCAGGTGGGCTTAGCCTGCACTCTGCATAAAACCAAGCACCTTCAACAAAGTCTGATGATGAGAAATGATGAAGCCCAGATGAGCACATCCACTTTGGGCAGACACAAAGTGTAGGTCATTTATTACCTTTAGTAAATGCAGGAGATGTGACTGCTAATTGGTTTCTTCATTAACCAAGGAGAACATCTACCACTACAACTCACAGGCTAGTGGCAATCTGGGGCGATCTTTAAGTGGTTTCTACCTCATAATCATATTTCTTCCTGAAATCTGCTGGCCTAGAAAATGTCTCTAATTCTTCATGAATAGACTATTCTTGCCTTCAGGAAATATGGGCTCCCTGGGAAGGGAGAGGACAGGTGAGTGGTACACATCATAAACAGAAGTGAAATGCTACACCAAACCTTAAACATGGATGATTGGTTTTTAAAGCCAGGCTTTGGCTGGAGGGTTTTATACTATTTGGGAACAGGGGGAACACAAGAACTGTTTTTTTTTTTTTTTTTTTTTTTTTAGCTTCTGCAACTCCTAGGTAAGAAGTTTCTACTATTTTCCTAATAACTAACTTCTCTGGTCTTTATAGGGGTCTTATCATATATGATGTAAGGCCAGGGTCAAAGGGATACTTTTGCAGAAATGTGAGGCCCTAACAGCAGGGAAGGATTTTGTGTGGTTGGGGAGGTTGGCAAGGGAATTCTGCCAGCAACTGACAAGGAATAGGATCCTTCTAGTAGCAACCAGCATTTCAGTTTAAATTAGTGAGCAAAATCCCTTTCTAGTGGGCATGCAAAGAGACACAGTTATAAGGTCTGCTGGAAGCAGGAGGCACATATCACCTTCCAGCCTGCCTCCTTCCACTTAGTGCACGAAAATGACAAGTATCTGAATGTAGTCAAGTTTTCATTTTAGGGACCTGCCCAGGACAGCTTATCAAATGCCCATGGAAAAAAAATGGAAACAATATGGCCCAAGGCTGTGGCTACCTGATGAGTTAGACTTCAGGATTCACTGGTCATCAGCTTCTAATGGCTCTGCAGTAGACTTCTCACATTAGATGTGTGACTTGTGGAGCTGGCATGCCAGATAAATTAGCTAGTCATTTCCTCCCAGGCTTGGCATTCTTGGATCTTATTAGTATTCCTAATGAGTTTTAGAGGCTGTATCCAAACAGCAAACTGTACCATTAGATCAGATGAGGACCTAAGAACAGCATCTTTAATAAAAAGCATAACCATAGTGGGCACGACTGCAGCCTAGGCAGCTATTAGGGTTATGGCTTCACAGTTTCTCAAACAATGGCTCCAGGAGAGAAGGAAGATAGTAAATACCAAGTAAACAATGTACAAAATGTGCAGCAAACTCAAATGTGCAAGGAGACCCATTTTAATTTGATTCCCACCTCTTTGCAAACTAGTGAACACAATGTGCCACAGATGTGTCTGAGGTGCAAAGCCCAGCAATGAAATAACTTGATAATCCATTTCTGAAGAAAAACAGCCTTACCTGGAGACATGGAGGAGTCATAAGAACTTCTCTCCTTGCGGTTCATCTTGAAGGCTTGGATGTCCTTTTCCCTGTACGTTCCAAAGCCTTCATAGCTCCTCCTTTTACTCCCACTCACGTCACTGTCCCACTTGTCATTCGAAGGGTTCATTTCACTGAACACGTCCAGGTTCTCTGATCTCGTGCTGCCACCATCCCCGCCACTGCCAGAGTATCTTTTCGTGCATGAGTCCACAGGCTCACTGCTCAAGTCTCCTTTTTCCTTGGCCTGTGTCCAATGCTGGGCGTCGGAAAGTGACAGTGTAGACAGGGTGTCCACCTCAAAGTTGTTCTTAGAAGCTTTGTGGCCGGCTTCGCTGTGCTGGTGCTTCTGTTTCTCCTTATGCTTGTTCTTCTCACTCACCAGCGGGAGCTCTTTGTCTGCGCTACTCAGCCGCTCGCTCAGGATGTGGCTGGAGAAGCCTGTGGCTTTGCCTGCAAAAAGACCACTCAGGTTGTCATGGGTCCCTAGGATCCGGTCTTCCTTGTGCTTATGCTTGTGTTTGTGTTTCCTCTTATGGAGCCGACCACTGGACAGACTGGCACTGCCTACCTTGGGAGGGTTCAGAGAAGGCTGCATGTCACCAAGGCCCATGCTAACAGGTCCCTGCAGGTGTACTCCATGCTTGGCTTTATGCTTAGCTGCACCGGACATCTTTACGTGGGAGTTTGTGTGGAACTGAGGTGGTGGCACTGTTGGCCTCATGAATGGGGAAGCTGCTCCAAGCGTGTGCGATAGGTACAAAGGAGCTGGGTACTGACCGTAATAACCAAGGTTCATCATAGGCATTGATGTGTAAGGCATTCCATAGGGTGCATAGTAACTTCCACTGGGAATAGGGTAGCTGAACCCTTGTAAAAAAGGCACCTTTGTCATGGTGTCATTGGTTTTTGCAGGCCTACCACGCTTCTTCTTTGACTTCAAGTCTGAAGTCCTACGAAGATAGAGCAACGGGTCATACTGGATATATGGCACCGGGTAATAGTGATCAAAATTAATCCGAAAAATGCTGGGATATGGATTCTCGTGGTAGAAGGTGTAACTCCGGTGGGAGATTCTGAACACTTGGAACTTGGTGATTAGCTCCTCCAGGTCTGCCAGAAACTGGAGGTCATCGCGGTTTTGCAGGCTTTTCCGTTTCCTCTTGTGCTTTGGCTTCTTGAGGCTTTCGTGGGCCAGAAAGTTGTCCACAATGAGATGCTTTTGCCGGTGGCCATGCCGGTTCTTTGTGCTGGTGTCGGACGGAATGGCCTCCGGGTTGTCCAGGGAGCAGAAATCAAAAGAGTACCTCCTTCGGGATTCTGAGCTCTTCTCCGCTTGGTCAGAAGTGCTGTTGTTGTCTGTCCCAATGCCGCTGTCGCTGGGGATCGTCTCCTCACTGTGGGACTCGCTCACAGGGGACAGCGTGATTTCCTTTAGGGAGCCAATCTCGCACAGGTGTGAAGGGGAGTTGGCCATCAGTCTGGGTGGAGACAGCTTCCAGGTTCCACTGTGTATTCCCTTTTGGGTTTTGGTTGGAAGAGCACTGATGGGCTGGAGATTTGGCATAGTTTTCAACTCTGAAAAATTGGTTTCAGTGCTGGCAGGGCTCAGGTTGCCATTGGACCCACCTAACTGTGTTGAAAGTGGGTGCATAGCTGCTGGTGAAGACGCCACAAGTGACTGAAAGTTGGAAGGCACGGCTGGAACATCCGGCTGGCTAGAAACAGGCCTGGGGTGCTTGATGGCTGTTTTGGGTTCTTCGGATGGGGGTGGCAGCTCTGCTCTTGGCTTCCTGCCCCGCTTCTTGCCAATGTAGATGGTTCCCCTCTTGCTGACATTAATCTGCTTGCCCAGTTTGCTTTCAATGGCTGCTGCCCCAGGGCTGGTCTCTGGGGGAGCTTTTGCCTTCAGAGCAACGCTGCTGGAACAGGACAAGATCTGATTCAAGATGTTTTTCCTCTTGAGTGTCTTCATCTTATTGATAGTTTTGATGGTCTTCTTATCCAACACGCCGAGCTTTCCAACTTTCTTGTGAAATTTCATCTCGCTCATGGGTTTGTCCTCTCCCGGCACTAGCTGGGCCAACTTCGCTAAATTGCGTCGTCGCTTTCTTTTCTTAGTGCCAGGAAACTCTCGGCTGATGGGACTGACGGGGCTGGTGGAAGTTCCCTCATGAATCGTCTCGACTGTGAGCAAAGGCTGCTTCTTTGGTCGTCCCCGCTTCTTTTTGACTGGAGTGATCACAGTAAGACTGTCTGTGTTGGTGTAGAGAGGGCTGGATGGGGTGATGGGATATGCAGACGGGGGCTCCAGCATCAGTTTATCAGAGGTGGCCATAACTGCCTCTCGAAGCATGGTGCTAGGTTTTGGTTTGCTGCAAGTCCACCTTCGTTTTGCAGCAAATTTTGGATGCTGGATTTCTGGCAGCTTTCTGGATGGAGAGTGATCTGTGCACGTTGGAGGTGTCATGACCATGGGTGGCTTCCGCGGCTTAGACACACCTCCTGGGATAACTTTCTCAGCATTTCCACCAGTTTCAAGGCCAACTGAGGGGGACTCATTCTCTATCATTTTACTCAACTTAGGGACACGGGGATCCTTCTTATTCCCCTCAGAGTTGGAAAGTATCCTGTTAACTACTTCACTGCTCATGGTGATTCCAGAAGCCAAGGCTTTCTCTGGCATGATCTTTTCCACCACCGCTTTAATGGACTGTCTTTTTTTCCTCTTATGGTTGGTTGGATCCAGAGAGGGTGCCTTGATGGGGATAGTAATCCGGACATGACTTGAGTCATTTTCAGGATTACTGGCAGAACTCACGTTCTGCCTGGCTGGTGATGCCTCTTGGGCACTATCTGCGGAATAACCTTCCCTTTTCCCTTCTGTATTGTCAAATGCTTTCTGGGCATTCTTGACCCAATCCAGGTCTGGGTTTGGTATGGTCTGACTTATCACATCTTTTTTACTGGACTTTTTCTTGCTGCCCACCGTAGGTGGTTCTGGGGGCTCCTTTGTACCTCCTCCATCTTGATCCACCAAGGGCTGAAGCCCGTTGCACTCAGCAGAGCTGCTGGGTGGGGCTGGTGAGCTGTGGCTGCTTGGGGATGGAGCCACACCTCCCAAGAGCAGATCTTTGTTATTGTTAGACAACTGACTCCACGTGTTCCCTGCACTGCCTTTCTTACCCTGGGCCTTTGCAAAGGAAGCCACGGGCTCAAGAGCGGGGATCTTGCTGGTGCTTGCAGTTTCTCTGCCAGACTCTGGACTGATGAAGCAATTCTGAGTGACGGGTCCGCTGTCAGAGTTGGTGGACCAGTCCATGTGGTTCTGGCTGCTGCTTTTTTGCTGGTGCTTTGGTTTTAAGGTGTCACCGGTGAAGTCCTGTGGGAGGCCCGTGTCATAATGGAGAGTTGAATGTTTCTGGGGCCTCTCGTAAGCCTAAGGGTGGGTGGAGTGGAGAGGGAGAGAGACAGAGAGAGAGAAACAAAGATGAGCATGTTGAAGCTACTTAATATTTGACATCAAAAGTCTCAATGATCTGAAAGTTGGAAATGAATACCGAAATGAACAGCCACCTTTAATTTTAGAATGTCTTACAGAGGTTTTCTCAATTGCAGTAGTAAAGATGTATTGCACTGGTTTTGAACATCAGTAAGCACATTTTAATTGTTGTCTTTTATCCCTAAATAACAGGAATCTTGACCTACCTTGATTTAATGCAATCTTTAGAGACAGGAGGGAGGGGACACAAAGGTCACTTAGCCCAGTGCCTTTTTACATTTTTACATGCTATTTTACAAGTGAAGAAGCTGAGACCTGAACAATGGAGAGTCCTGCCAAAGATGGCAAATCCCAGGAGAGAATCTGAAATTCCCGACTCCCAGTGTTCTTTCACCTAACTCGAACAGTCTCTTATTTCTGTCCCTGCTTCTCTTCGAATGTATGTCTTTCCTCGCTTCCTCCTGTTCCAGTTCATTTCAGCTTGTACTTTGTCTTAGAGCTCAACATCTCTGTACAAGTAGCTCATCAGGAACCACTGTAACCAGTAAAAACAGCCCAGGTTGAGGAATTAAGGAGAGAAGTATGAAGCCTGCATGGGAAAAAGTGGGCCAATCGAGGGCACGGAGAAGAAATGGAAGAAAAGAAACACACAAGAATTGTCCTAAGCCTTCAAATCCTTGTGGACTCTAGGAATGTTGCTCTGTTTGGGGGTTAGCATGCAAAGAAATCCTTAAACTTCGTATTACGTACTTATTGCTTTCTTGAGGAAACTCTTGGATAGTCTCAAAAGCAACCTTGAGTCTACTAGACAAATGTGTCAGGAAAAAAAAATAGTTGTCATTCAAGATCACTCCTCCAAACTTTGTCAACTGTGTTTCCCCTACATTGATTCTAAAGGAATGTCTCCAGAATCTTTCTCAGGACTGACTCTCTCCAGCTAAAATAAAAAGCTGAACATGTTGCTGGAGGCACAACATAATCAGTGTCTACAAAACCACAATGAGAATGGATAGTGAACACATCGTTTGGAGATATTAAAGCTACTTTTAATAAAAATATGCTTTCACTGTTCCAGATGAATTTTAAGCCATGATACTAGTTCAAAGTAGTATTCCTTAAGGTTTATTATAAGCCCAATTTATACATAAAGTAGTAAACTTACAGGATGCATTAGCCTAAGAACTGTTAAACAGAGAAAATATTAGTAAATTAAAGAACCACTCCAGGAAGTATATGATGACTGGCTTCATGAATTTAGAAAATTTTAGCTGGTAATATCTATCTATCATCTATCTATCTATCTATCTATCTATCTATCATCTATCTTTGTATATCTCATTTTATCTCTATTTTTCATTGAAGCTATAGAACTTATGCTTTATAGGAAAACATGTCTTACAGCCCCTGTTAAGAGTCAAAACACAGATGGCATAAAGCATTACAGGGACAATTCAATGCAGTCATGAAACCAGGATTTCCTTCACACTAGTTTCTGGAATCCCTAGGGTTATTTCCTGCCTCTCTGATTTTGTGAAATCCTGTTTATACTTACAATATTTTGTAAGCATCATGAGATAGTTTCCTCAAGTGAAGCCTGCAAATACCCAGGAGAAAATTAAGAAAACAATTTAATTTTTTAATTCATCTTGCAACTTATAGTAGAAACACCACCATCAACAACATATAGAGAATTAATCCGACCACTTGAGGGTGTTTACTGGCATTACTGCTGTGGACATAGGCTGCTATTCCATTTTCAGCAAAAACATAGAAATCTTATTCGTGGCATAAAATATTAAGTGCCACTTACTTATCTTTTATGAATCAGGGCATTGCTAGTTTCTATTTATGCTTTGGAAATTAGCTGGCACTCTGTGTTTACTAACAGGATCACAGGTCTAGAGGAGCTCTTGGAGGCTAAGTTCTCTGCTCCTTAGGGTATCAGTGTATGATTACTCATACTGGAGCACCTTGAAGGTTAGTGGGGGTGATTATTAAAAATAACAGTGGGATGGCTGGGTGTAGTGGCTCACGCCTGTAGTTCCAGTACTTGGGAGGCCGAGGCGGGCAGATCACCTGAGGTCGGGCGTTCAAGACCAGCCTGACCAACATGGAGAAACCTCATCCCTACTAAAAATACAAAATTAGCCAGGCTTGGTGGTGCATGCCTGTAATCCCAGCTACTTGGGAGGCTGAGGCAGGAGAATCACTTGAACCCGGGAAGTAGAGGTTGTGGTGAGCCGAGATCGTGCCCTTGCACTCAAGCCTGGGCACCTGGGCAATAAGAGTGAAACTCCGTCTCAAAAAAAAAAAAAAAAAAAAAAAGTGGGACAAACGGTGTGATTCTTTTGGACCTGGGTAAAACAGGACTTGCAGTGGCCTTCTTTTTTTCCCACCTCTACCACCATCACTTTTCTAGTTCTGGGCACCAAAGTCCACAGAGAGGCTCCATGGTGACGCTAGGCCAGGATCTTGGGCCCTAACTCCTACCGTTTTTTTCTCTGCTGTTCCATTATCTTACTCTTGGTACCTAACAGAGTCCCTAATTAATGTTTTTTTCGTGTTCTGGCTTCAGCTCAATCCCAGGGAGACACCCCTACCTTATAGAAATACCCCCATTATAAGTTTTCATGAAACCATGTAACTTATCTTTGTTGCACATACCATAGTTTTAGTTTTACATTTGATTTGTGTGCTAACTGAATTAAATGCCTGTCTCCCCTTCTTGCTTGTATACACCATCACAGAAGTACTAGGCAGAGCACCTGGCACACAGTAGGCACTCAATAAACATCCACTGAATGAATGAAGAAGCATACATTTTACGACAGGTATTTCATTTTGTCAATAGTGAGATCAATGATCTATGTATTGCAACATGTCTGCAAACACGGTCACTGCCTTCAGCCTAATTTCTTATTCTCTGTATACCTCCTGTATTTGCCACTGCCTCCCATAAAGACATCTATCACAGTCTTTATACTGCTAGGTGGCATTTATTTGTGTACTTTTCTGTCTCCTTTTCCTAGACTATAAGTACTTTGAGGTCAGAGACTTATCATCTTATCCCTAAGGCCTACTACAAAGCCAAGCACCCAGAAAGCTCTCGATAAGTGCTTGTTAAATAAATAAATGGATGAGGTGCCTATTACCATGGCAAAATATACAGCTGCACACAAAAGACAATACACTACTAATCTGTCATTTGATGATGGCTCCTAATGAAACTGGAACACTGAAATGCCTTACGTGCTAAACAAGAAATCCTTCCCAAATACTTAGAGATGAAAGGAGCTTATAAGGTAACTCCCCTTCAATGCAATTTTTACTGTTAGTTCTCCCCATCTCCTAATTGTTTCACTTTTCAATTAACTCTGCCTTTGGAGAAGGCCATGAGACTGTCAGAAGGGTGGATTTCACCCTAGCAGTTGAAAGGTGGGGCCTGCTCACTTACGCCCAGGGCAGACCAGCTGAGAGTAATACAGTTAAGCATGCCCAGTCCCTAGTGCTTCTCTGGACCACTGCCTGATCCCATTGTTCCTACCATTTCAGCTGCAGTCTGCCCTGCTGGGACTGCTCAGCAATCAAAGTGCAGGGTGGACAAAAGGGAAGCACAACAAAGGATCAGGAGTAATGGGGGGAATGGTGCTTTAAGATCTTCACTCAGCTGGGCTGCAGAGAAGGGGCAGGGAGGACCCAGAAGGAGTGCTTTCTAAGAGGTCCAGAGAACAAGGCCTCCTCCAGCCTTGGCTGATAGCTATATCCCATTACAATGCGCTTCATCTGTCAGCCATGACATATTATATTCACAATAGTGAGGCTGTCATTTCCAATATGTCCTTTGCTGAGAACTGAGCACTTACTCCATCCAGACAGAGATGGATAAGGCAAGCCGCAAGACAGGCGAAGCACACATCACAGCCTCTGCCTCCCATCCTAGTGGTCTGGGGAGATGATATCTTATCGGGCTCCCTGACTCAGGTCTTTATTAACCTATGCACCACATCTCCTTTTTCTCTTTAGATTGAGAGTTTTGGGGTTTGTTTTTGTCTTTTTGATAAGGTCTGAGTCTTTTTAAGCCTTTATACCACCCTCAGCCCTCAGCAGAACTATCTCCTAAAACAGCTAACATGTGAGGGAACAGTCAATGACATTCCATATTGGGCACACAGTTCTGGTGGAAAACTTTCGATACCAAACTTAGCTTAGCACGCTTCATGGCTGCCTGGCTGCCTCCCACCTCTCTCCCCATTCCCAAGAGTTGATTGTTTGTGAAATTCATGGCAGTTTAAAAGGTGTGGCTCACTTTTATAAGAAAAATGTTTTCCATGTACATTGAGCCTAGGTCGAATGCTTCAGTGAAACTCTGAAAACACTAGGCAGATTTGTGCTTACAGTATTTCTTCATGGAAGCAAGTTCTTCTGTAATGTAAAGAATTCTTTTGTAAAGTAGATAGCTATTCTCTCCCCTATAAGTTAACTAAATAATATACATTTAAAGTGTGTGCCCACTTTTTGATGGGGTTGTTTTTTTCTTGTAAATTTGTTTGAGTTCTTTGTAGATTCTGGGTATTAGCCCTTTGTCAGTTGAGTAGATTGCAAAAATTTTCTCCCATTCTGTAGGTTGCCTGTTCACTCTGATGGTAGTTTCTTTTGGTGGTGGGCGGGGAGCGGAGGGATAGCATTAGGAGATATACCTAATGTAAATGACGAGTTAATGGGTGCAGCACACCAACATGGCACATGTATACATATGTAACAAACCTGCATGTTGTGCACCTGTATCCTAGAACTTAAAAGTATAAAAAAAATATAAAAAAATAAAGTGTGTGTAAGTCAGGTTTCTTTTTAAAAAGCACTTTTTAGTTTATTTTTCAAAACAAAATTAGATCACTGAGTAAAATCTTAAAAGTCCAAAAAATGGGAAGCAAATGAGTGACCTAGCCTTATCTCAGGCTTACCTAAAGCAAAGTTTATTGCAAGGAGATGAGAAGATGGTGATTTGAATCTAAGAAAAAATCACATAACTCATTAAAAAAAAAGAAGCCTGACTTTGTGGAAGATAAACTACTCTTTTGGGTTAGCTATGTCTGTGCTACTTTCTGCTGACATCAATAATTTAAATTTACTGTTTGTAAGATATTTGGGATTACATGAGCAGGAAAATATGCCTGGGTATGGAGCAATGAGGGAGGCCTCATCTCTTAATTTGGAACATGGCACTTCTCAAGATGTGGTCCTAGATTACCGTATCAGAATCACTGAAGGTGCTAGTTACAAATACAGATACTGGGGCCCACTGTAGACCTACAAACTCACAATCTCTCAGGGAGAGAATGAGGCATATGCATTTTAACATGCTCCTCAGGAGAACTCTGATGGACAACCAAGTTTTAAAACCACTAATCTAATGTTTTAACACCACATTTCTTCTCTGGAGTAGGGCCCTTCTGTGGTTGCTATAACATTCACAGCAATTTTTGGTGATAAACATGCAGAACCAACCACCATAGGCCTGTTAGGATATACAAGTTAGCAACACCGAGCATTCCTGTTTTGCTCTCTGAACTCTCCGTAATTTACATAGTATGAAACTCTAACATAATTCCCTGTGTAGGTATTCCAAGTGAAGGTGAGGTGGACTGAAGAATCAATGATTTGAGTGGATAAGAAAGGACCAGACAGGCCAGGCGCAGTGGCTCATGTGTGTAATCCCAGCACTTTGGGAGGCTGAGATGAGTGGATCACTTGAGGTCAGAAATTCAAGACCAGCCCAGACAACAAGACAAAATCCTGTCTCTACAAAAATACAAAAATTAGATGGGTATCATGGCGTGCACCTGTAATCCCAGCTACTCGGGAGGCTGAGGCAGTAGAATCACTTGAACCCAGGAAGTGGAGGTTGCCATGAGCTGAGATCGTACCACTGTACTGCAGCCTGGGCAACAGAGAGAGACTCTGTCTCAAAAAAAAAAAAGAAAAAAAAAGAAAAAAGAAAGGACCAGGAATGCTGGTGTTCATGACCTCCCACTGTGGGATTCCAAACCCCTGGGGAATCCTGGCAGGCCATCACTGAAGCTAGAAGCAAGTGCTCAGACCTCAGCAGGAGCTGAGTGTGGGAGACAAAGAATGCAACCACAAGCTGTGTGACTAGATTAAAGGTTCCCAACTCTGGCTGTATGTTAGCATCAGCTAGGAAGTTTTGTAAAGATCAACATACCTGAGATCTGACCCAGCGTGATTAAATCAACATTCTGGACGTGGAACCTGAACAGTAGTACTTTTTCAAAGCTCTCAGGTGATCCCAATGAGCAGACAGAGTTGAGAACCACTGGATTATATCAAAGACAGGGTCTGGGTTAAGGACTAGAGAGGCTCTGATATTATCAAGAGATGTTCCAGCTCAGTGGCTTTCAAATGTGTTTCACAAAGTCCTAGGATTTTGCAAAGACATTTCTGAACTGTAGCCAGTGAATGGGGCAAGAAAAATGTTTCAGACCTTCCTTTTAACCCCTAAACCCCCAACAGAACAGACCAGCCTAACAAGGGATTTCATTTGAGAGACAGAGATAGAGAGAGTGAAACGGTTCTGTCATTTAATTTAAAACAAAACTGAAAAATTACCATTTATGCTCATGAACAGGAGGAATGCACATTCCATCTTTTGCTGAAATTGTCCCAAAGCTTATCTCTCCTTAGCCCAGTTCATTCCTGCATTTGCTACTGGTAGTTGTGAGAAGAATGTCACTACGTATCTTTTTAGTACCATGATCTTATGATTCTTTGATTCCAATGGACACAGAGAAGCTATCCAGCCTCTAAACGAATATGAAGTTTCCAATTAAATATGTAAACTGAACCCATCCTCATATTCTGTCACCCTGGGAATTCACCTGGATGTTATTCCCATAAAATTCATTCTTATTTGCTATTTAGGGGCCGTGGATGATACTAGAGCACTTCTTTTACTGAAGGTGGTAACAGCTCATACACGACAGAGGGCCCTACCATATACCTCTTTGAGTAGTAAATAATTCTGCATAACTCAAAATAATCACTGACTTGATTTCAGCCATGATAGAGTAATAGGTAGTAGACGTAACCTTTCCATGGAGATAAATATAAAACTAACTAAACAAAATATATGAAATAATTGTTTTCAGGCACTAGACAATAGACAACACAGGCTGAGATTCTAGAGAAGGGAAACTCACGAGGTTCCAGAGTAGCCCTAGTTTTCTGCCTGGGGGTACTTTCTAAATCTGGGCATAGGGAAGAAAAGCCCAGATAGCTGTGACTTCACTGGGAAGACAAAACCAAGATCAGAGTTTGGGGCTCCTGAGGGAAATGGAATTTGCAGGTTAGGATACCTGAGAAAGGGGAGCTATGTAGAAAGGAACTCTAGAAACCTTCATAGGGATTATCTTAAGTATCTGGAAAAATTTTAGTCTTCACTTGAAGGTAAGATTTCACAAAGCCTAGCAGAGATTAGCTACTGGGGGCTATCAGCTAAACATAGAGTCCTTAGGTCATATAGTATTGGGCAAGGTTGGATTTCTCACCAGACAGAGTGGGGAGGCTTCAATGAATATCCCAGGCATTCAGCTGAGATCTCAGAAATGGTACTCCTTAAGAGCAGAATTATTCCAGCTCTAGAATAAAAGCTACTCGAGTCCCTCACTAACAAATTCTGAAAAGAACTCTCGATAGCATAAAGCTGATCTGCCAATAAATTAACTGCTTATCAGAACAAAAGTCAAAACTCTTTAAAGAAAAACAACAAAATCAGTTTATATAGCATCCACAATATCCAGAACACAATAAAAAGCTTACTAGACAGGCAAAGAAGCAGGCAAATGGGACCCACAATCAGGAGGGTAAAATCCAATCCAAGGCTCTCCAAACAGCTACTATGAAAATGTGCAAGTATTTAAAAGAAAAGATACACATAATTGATGAACATATGGGAAGTCTCAGGATCGCAACGACTACACTAAAATAATAAAATGAAAATTCTAAATCTGAAAAATACAATATCTCAAACAAAAAAAAAAACTCACTGGAGTTGCTTAACAGATTCTAGGACATTGCAAAAGAGAAGTTGAGTAAACATGAAGAGAAAGCAGTAGAAACTATCCAAACTGAAATACAGAAGGGAAAATAATAACAAGAATTAATTATAATAATGGAAAAACAGTACCTCACTGATCTATGGAGCAATATCAAGAGGTCTAACAGACTGATAATGAGAATACCAAAAGATTAGTGTATACATATTCTCATAGCTAAGAAGCTCAACGAATCCCAAGCAGAATAAAAACACCCATGAAAACCACATCTAAGCACACTGTAGACAAATTGATCAAAACCAAAAATAAAGAGAAAAAATTCAAAAGCCATCAGAGAAGAAAGAGATTATTTATAGGGGTGCAAAAATAATGTCTGGTCACACCTGTAATCCCAGCACTTTGGGAAGCCAAGGGATGGATCACTTGAGGTGGTCAGGAGTTCAAGACCAGCCTGGCCCAACATGGTAAAACCCCGTGTCTACTAAAAATACAAAAAAAATTTAGCAGGGTGTTGTGGTGCATGCCTGTAATCCCAGCTACTTTGGAGGGTGAGGCACAAGAATTGCTTGAAACCAGGAAGTGGAGGTTGCAGTGAGGTGAGATGGCGCCACTGCACTCCAGCCTGGCAACAAAGTATGACTCCATCTCAAAAAAAAAAAAAAAAAAAAAAAGTCTGACTTCTCATTAATTAGAATATAAACAAGAAGACAATGAGCCAACATCTTTAAAGTACTGAAATGAAAACAAAACAGTCAAATTTATATATCCAGCGAAAATATTCTTTAAAAATGATGACAAAATAAAGATATTCAGATAAATAAAAACCGAGGGAATTCATTTCTCGCAGACCTGAATTACAAGATATGTAAAAGAAAGTTCTTTAGGCCAAAAGGAAATGACACCAGATGGAAACTGAGATCTACATGAATGAATGAAAAGTGCTGAAAATAGTAAATATATTGGTGTATACAAAATATTCTATTCTTGTTAAGATTGTTAAAAGACAAGTGACTTCTTAAAGCAGAAATAAGATTTTAGGATTTATGACATTTGTAGAAATAAACTCCACCACAACAATAAAACAAAGAATAAGAGCGTACATATAGAGGTATACATTCGTAATCTTCTTATATGTGAAGGGATGTAATATTAGTTCAAAGTAGACTGTAATATTTTAAGGGTACGCATTGTAATCTCTACAGCAATCAGTATTAAAAAAAGTTGCATATCTAAAATGTCAATACAAGGAAACATATGGATTACAAAAAAATGCTTGATGACTCTAAAAGAGAGCAGAAAAAAAGAATGAAAATGGGAAAAACAGAAAATACAAGCAACATAGTAAACTTAAACCCAACAGTATCAGTAATTATATTAACTCTAGAGATACCAAAAATAATATACTGCAAGAAAATAAAAGGCATCTTATCAGAGTGAATAAAAAAGAAAAACTGAACTATATGCTGCTTATAGGAGATACACTTTAAATACAAAGACAGCTTAAAAGTAAAAGGAGGGAACAAGACATACCACACAAACACTAAACATAAGAATGCTGTAATGATTTTATTAATGTAAGGAAAAATAGGCTTCCGAGTAAAAAGCATTCCCAGAGATAATTATGGACATTTCAAAATGATATAGAGTCAATTTACCAAGAAGAGACAATCATCCTAAATTTGTTTGTCCCTCACCATAGAACTTCAAAGATATAAAACAATAACTAAGAGATGATTCCACAATTAAAGGTATTTTAACACTCCTCTCTCAGTAATTGCCGAACAAATTTCCTAAAAAATCAGAAAAAACCCACCAGAGGTTTCATCTGTACTATCAACCAACTTACCCTCACCCAACAACTGCAAAATACGTTTGTCAAAATATGCTGTGCCGGTAACAAGCAGGAATGACCAGTGAACACATATCAATGTCTTCAAACATTATCTGCCATCAAAGAAATGTCAATTAAAACCACAATCAGATACCATTGCACATTCACTGGGATGGCTAAAATGAAAGAGACTGAAAATAACAAACGTTGACAAGGATCTGGAGCAACTGACACTATCATACGTTGTTGGAGGGAGCATAAAACAGTAAAAATCACTTTGGAAGATCTCTCAGCATGTCTTTTAAAGTTAATCCTGAGACCCAGCAATTCCACTCATATATTTACCCAAGAGAAAAGAAAACATACATCCACAATTAGACTTTTATAAAAACTTTATAGCAGCTTATTCAGAGTTGTTAGCACCTTGAAGCGGTTCAGGTGCCAATCAAAGGCAGAAAAGACAAACTCATCTATAAAAGGAACAAACCATGGACACACCCCACCACATGGATAAGCCACACACATACACATAATCATGCTGAGCCAAAGAAGCTAGACCCCAAGATCCACACTGTACCATTCTGTTTATATAAAGGTGTAGATCAGGCAAAACAAATCTATTATGATAGGTGTCAGAACAGTGGTTGCTTCCAGGGTAGAGTGTGGTGGGGACCGGGGCTGGGAAGGGCTGGCATGGGCATGAGGGAGTTTCCAGTGAGTTATGGATGTACTTTGTGTCTTGATAGGAGTGTGAGTCACACAGCTGTGTACATTTGTTGATACTCTTTGAACTTCATATTTAAGATCTGTACATTTCAGTATATGTACATTTAACCTCAATCATGTTAAAATAATCAAAAATGAGAAATCCATTCAAAAATGATGACTATGAACTCCCTATATCACACACACACACACAGGCACAGAGACACAGACACACACACACACACACACACACATGCACACACTCCAAAGCCAAGCAGCAGAAAGCAGGGGCCTTTTCTTTCCAGTGAAACATAGGGCGGCCCGCAAGCCACTCACTATTTCCCCTTCCCAGATCCTCACTCTCCCCTCTGTGCAGAGATAGCTGACTGAGTTGATCTCAAAACAATAGAGCCCGAATCAAGAAGACAGGTGCTGGTGGCTTCTGTAAACACCATTGTTCTCTCCTCTCCTCATCCTGGTGTTTTCCCTAACCTGGGCCACCAGGGAGAAAGGTGAAGCCCGTGTCTCCACCCCAGCCACAAATTCACCTTCCTCCGAGGTAAGGAAGGAAGCTTGACAAGAACCTGGCTCACAAATCAAAGTTAACACTGCCCCGCCTCCTCTGTAAATCATGTGAGATCCATCTGGGTAATGGCTCCTCCAGTGTAATTCCCTATTAAGAGGCTTTATCTGGAGAGATAAGCAGCTGGTTTCCGTGTCACTAATTGCTGTCTGCTGTGATTTTAAAACATCTGCACCATTGTGCTCTTCATTTTCATATTCTAATCACCCTGAAACTTGAAAAAGGTACATCATTGATTGTTTCTATGGGTTAATTAGTACACAGTCTCCTTGTAGAGACAATTTAGAGGCAGCCAGAACCTCAATCAGGAAGTTTGTTTTAAAAATTAATAACATCGGCAGTGGCTGGAGGGACTGTCACGTTCAGGGACGTCTCAGGACGCTCCTGGTGGGGGAGCCAGCCTTTGTTATCCTCCCCAGAGGAGGGAAGCCAACAGGGTTGTGGGGCCAGACAGCAGGGAGTGGTGGCACAGAGGAACGCAGGGACCCAGGACGTGGCTTGCTCCAGAGTGGTCCTGACCATGGTGTCTGCCCCCTCACCTCCCTCCCCTGCTCCCCCACTCCCTGCTTCCAATTAGTGGAGTCCCTTTCCCTGTCAGCACAGATCAGGACTTTGCTGAGGACGAAACAATATCTGGAGCTGAGAGGAATGTGTCGAAGTGATAAGAACATGAGAGATCATTTTATATTTTAAAGTCTGTTCATTGTTCTCTTCCCCCTCCACACTTCAACTATGGGACGGGGGAGAAAGAGAGGAAGATTGGAGTGTAGAGGAAAGAGCCAGACCAAACCGTGGAGTGAGAATTGGAACCCAGCACTGCTCATATTCAGAGCGCACAAGAGTCACCTGGGGAATCTGCCGAAACGCAGATTGATTTTGGAAGTCTGAGATGGGGCTGCAAGCGTGCATTTCTAATAAGCTCCCAGGTGGAGCTCAAGGACTAGCATCTGAGATGTGCCGGTCTTCTCCTAAGACCTTGACCAGACTCACTGTTCCTGGGCTCTAAGGAGTAGCTGAAAGGCTGCAGTGTGGTGGGGAGGCTCAGGTTCTGTGCCTGGGGTGGAATCTCAGCTCTACATACCATTCACTAGACACGTCACCTGACCTCTTACACCTGAGCTTCCTTGTCTAGAAACTAGCAGTAGTGCCTATCTTTTTTTTTTTTTTTTTTTTTTGAGACGGAGTCTCGCTCTGTCGCCCAGGCTGGAGTGCAGTGGCGGGATCTCGGCTCACTGCAAGCTCCGCCTCCCGGGTTCACGCCATTCTCCTGCCTCAGCCTCCCAAGTAGCTGGGACTACAGGCGCCCGCCACTACGCCCGGCTAATTTTTTTTTGTATTTTTAGTAGAGACGGGGTTTCACCGTTTTAGCCGGGATGGTCTCGATCTCCTAACCTCGTGATCCGCCCGCCTCGGCCTCCCAAAGTGCTGGGATTACAGGCGTGAGCCACCGCGCCCGGCCAGTAGTGCCTATCTTAAAGGGGGAGTTGAAAGCATTAGAAGTTGAAGACTGTCAAGTATTTAACACAGTGCTTGGCCCATAGTAGGCATTATATAAATATAGCTATTTTATTCCCATACTTTTCAGTGAACTGCTTTTCTGAAAACAACATCCAGCAGAAATAGGGTCTAGGGTGGAGACATTAACCAGGGAGTACCTCATTTAAACTCAGTTGGGCATTTCTAGCAATCATTCATTCTGGTCACCCTCTTGGCTGCTGTCTCTCACCACTTTCTGCTTTCAACCTAGCCTAATGTTCAGAGCTTGAGATCTTCCTGTACAGCTTCCCTCGGGGCTACCTGACAATATGCAGTCATAGAGAGCTCACTTGTGCACAGATTACCTTGTTCTACCTCTTAGATATCACTTTCCTGTTTAGAGATGGAGTCTATCTGCGTGTCCTTGGATGGCTCTGGCAAGCAGAGGAGACAGGCATCCCTTTCTGTGTTGGCTGGCATCCGAGGACCAGGTCACTGCAACTGAGAGCAAACGTGCCCCTAGAAGAGACTTCCCAGCACCCCCTCCTATGGCTGTTTTTAGCAGGCTTCCAGGGGCTTCCCCGTGGTCGAGACATGTGTACTGGTAGGGGAAAAAATTATAAAAACTGGATTTTCAATTATGTGACTTACAAATAAAAAAACAGCCTCTCAGCAGTAGAGCTGGAAGCCGACTTCAGAAAACTTACTGAAAGAGAGAGGTAAATTAGTGTGGAGCTGCAAGGTGACCACTTCAGAGACAGCCATGGGGCAGGCTTGGAGGGGCTAATTGGAATGCAGTGGCACTGCTGCATCCTTCCAGAAGGGACTTGGTGGCCTCCAGATTTCACTGTTCAAGTGCCGAGGACCCGCTGCCCCGGGATCCCACTACAGCACCACGGCTCTGTCTTTTCCAGCAGCAGCCTCTGCCCTCCCTGCTCAGGCATCTGAAGGTCTCCAGTGGGGTCCTGGGAGCCCTGGGCTGGGCTTCTGAGGGATGAAGCCAAAATTAGGGTGCAGTCCTGATTCAGATACATTCTGCAGTAGGAAGGCATTGAGGGACAACTGCAGGCTCATCCTGATGGAGAAGAATTACAGGGAGCAACATTTCAGTTTTAAAAATGTTTTAGCTATTCTTCACTGAGGCTTTGTTCTCCATGCTACTCCTCTCAAAAAAGAAAGAAACATAACACATTCTTGTCTCCTCTTTGAGAATTGGTATCTTACAATGAAGGGGCAAAATTAGTGTGGTGGAACATTCACGTGTGAATGTCCTATCAGTAAAAACCTGTAGCCCCTTGAAAGGCAGGGCATGCATGGCAAGGGATTTGAGAAGCCTGCCTCCTGGAGAAAGTTAAATGAATGAGGAGAGAGGATCATTAACCTGGCCAAAAGTCATTTCCCATGCTTGTTTATGGTTAAGAATCACCAGTGGCCTCTTCTAAATACACAGCTCACAAGGCTCCCCTTCTGCACATGTGGAGTCATTGTTCTGGGTTGGGGCCCAGGACTCTGGTGTTTTTAACAGGTACTTCTAGAGAGCCTCTTACTTCAGCCAAGTTTGGCCAACACTGTAATGCAAGGGTTTCTACATGGGAGAGCTGAAATGAAATTGTTCAGCTTTGTCTCAGGGTGGAGTGGGTGCAGGGAGACCAGTGAGAGACAGTCATGCAGGCAGAAGCAGGAGAGGGTTCCAAGATTATGCACCAAGATTATACCTAGCCTGTGGGTATTAGAGGAAAAAGAAAAAAATAGATAAGAAAGAGCAGAGGAAAAGAAGCATCCTTTTCCTCTTTACCGCATGTTTCCCTTTTTTCCTTTATATTAATGCTTTTTACTGCCAAACTGGTGTTTTTTGCCATTAGGGCTAAAATAACCGTTGATTATAAATCAAGTCTAAAATGTCAAGAAAATGCTGAATTCATCTAAAATTCCAGCTTTTAAGCTTCCCATGAACACTGTGAACTGCAAGCATTTGGTGCCTCACTCATTTAGTGTAAGTCCCCTCTGAAAGAAGTGACCTCACAGAGGCTGGTGGGCAGAGCCAGGATGACTGGCCTTGTGGGTGGAGTCTGAGCCTTGGATTCATTGCCGCTCCTCCCTGTAGTGCTGCAAGAACAAGTTCATGTCCTGATGGCTTCCCATCACAATGCCTCAGGTGCAGTGGTCATGTGGGTCCCCATGTCAACCCATGGCCACTGCCTTTGGAATCTCCTATATGTGCCCCTGAACTTTCTCTAGGATTCCTGCTGAAGATAGTGTGGCATGTGTCACTTGTGGACTGTCTTCCGTCTTTATTCTGAGAGGAAATGGGGCAGGAGTGTACAGCAGTTAGGAGCACAGACTCTTGAGCCAGCACAAATGGGGTCAAATCTGAGCTGAGTCCAAATATTACTAGCTGTGTGACCTTGGGCAAGTTGCTTTACCTCTCTGTGTCCCACTTTCCCTATCTGTAAAACAGGAAACATAATATAGTTACCCTTAAGATGAGGTCAACAAGTGAATCAAATAATCTATGTAAAGCACTTTGACCAGTGCCTGGTGCCTGGTCAGGGTTACACTAGAGTTTCCTACACAGTGGGAAATCTTGGGAGTGCATTGAAACTCTGGAATCAGAAAAACAAGTTCGAATCCCAGCTTTGCCTCTTACTACCTATGAGAACTGAGGCTCGTTACTTATCTTCTCTACTTCAAAAATGGAGAAAACAGGCTGGGCACAGTGGCTCACACCTGTAATCCCAGCACTTCGGGAGGCCGAGGAGGGCAGATCACTTGAGGTCAGGAGTTCAACACCAGCCTGGCCAACATGGCAAAACCCCGTCTCTATTAAAAATACAAAAATTAGCTGGGCATGCTGATGTGCACCTGTAATCTCAGCTACTTGGGAGGCTGAGGCAGGAGAATCGCTTGAACCTAGGAGGTGGAGGTTGCAGTGAGCTGAGATTGCACCACTGCACTCCACCCTGGGCAACAGAGCAAGACTCAGTCTAAAAAAAGAAAAAAAAAAAAAAGGGAAAACAACAGCACCTACCTGATGGGGTTGTGTTAAGAATTAAACAAGACAAGGTTGGTAAAAATGTTATCACAGGAGGTTCCAAGATGGCCGAATAGGAACAGCTCCATTCTATAGCTCCCAGCATGAGTGACGCAGAAGACGGGTGATTTCTGCATTTCCAACTGAGGTACCAGGTTCATCTCACTGGGGCTTGTCAGACAGTGGGTGCAGCCCATGGAGCAGGGCAGGGCATCGCCTCACCTGGGAGGCATAAGGGGTTGGGGAATTTCCTTTCCTAGCAAAGGGAAACCATGACAGACAGTACCTGGAAAATTGGGACACTCCCACCCTAATACTGCGCTTTTCCAATAGCCTTAGCAAATGGCACACCAGGAGATTATATCCCGTGCCTGGCTCGGAGGGTACCACACCCACGGAGCCTCACTCACTGCTAGCACAACAGTCTGAGATCAAACTGCAAGGCTGCAGCAAGGCTGGGGAGGGGCGTCTGCCATTGCTGAGGCTTGAGTAGGTAAACAAAGCATCCAGGAAGCTCGAACTGGGTGGAGCCCACGGAGCTCAAGGACGCCTGCCTGCCTCAGTAGACTCCACCTCTGAGGGCAGGGCATAGCTGAACAAAAAGCAGCAGAAACTTCTGCAGACTTAAACGTCCCTGTCTGACAGCTTTGAAGAGAGGAGTGGTTCTTCCAGCATGGAGTTTGAGATCTGAGAATGGACAGACCGCCTCCACAAGTGGGTCCCTGACCCCCGAGTAGCCTAACTGGGAGACACCTCCCAGTAGGGGCCGACTGACACCTCATACGGCTGGGTGCCCCTCTGAGATGAAGCTTCCAGAGGAAGGATCAGGCAGCAACATCTGCCGTTGTGCAATATTTGCTGTTCTGCAGCCTCCGCTGGTGATACCCAGGCAAACAGGGTCTGGAGGGGACCTCAGCAAACTCCAACAGACCTGCAGCTGAGGGTCCTGACTGTTAGAAGGAAAACTAACAAACAGAAAGGACACCCACACCAAAACCCCAACTGTACGTCACCATCATCAAAGACCAAAGGTAGATAAAACCACAAAGATGGGGAGAAACCACAACTGAAAAGCTGAAAATTCTAAAAATCAGAGCACCTCTTCTCCTCCAAAGGAATGCAGCTCCTTGTGAGCAACGGAACAAAGCCGGAGAGAGAATGACTTTGACGAGCTGAGAGAAGAAGGCTTCAAATGATCGGTAATAACAAACTTCTCTGAGCTAAAGGAGGATGTTCAAACCCAATGCAAAGAAGCTAAAAACCTTGAAAAAAGATTAGACAGATGGCTAACTAGAATAAACAGTGTAGAGAAGTCCTTAAATGACCTGAGGAGTCCTTAAATGACCATGGCACGAGAACTACGTGATGCATGCACAAGCTTCAGTAGCCGATTTGATCAAGTGGAAGAAAGGGTATCAGTGATGGAAGATCAAATAAATGAAATGAAGCGAGAAGAGAAGTTTAGAGAAAAAAAAGAGTAAAAAGAAATGAACAAAGCCTCCAAGAAATATGGGACTATGTGAAAAGACCAAATCTACATCTGATTGGTGTACCTCAAAGTGATGGGGAGAATGGAACAAAGTTGGAAAACACTCTTCAGGGTATTATCCAGAAGAACTTCCCCAACCTAGTGAGGGAGGCCAACATTCAAATTCAGGAAATACAGAGAACGCCACAAAGATCCTCCTCGAGAAGAGCAACTCCAAGACACATAATTGTCAGATTCACCTAAGTTGAAATGAAGGAAATAATGTTAAGGGCAGCCAGAGATAAAGGTCGGGTTACCCACAAAGGGAAGCCCATCAGACTAACAGCGGATCTCTCAGCAGAAACTCTACAAGCCAGAAGAGAGTGGGGACCAATATTCAACATTCTTAAAGAAAAGAATTTTCAATCCAGAATTTCATATCCATCCAAACTAAGCCTCATAAGTGAAGGAGAAATAAAATCCTTTACAATAAACAAATGCTGAGAGATTTTGTCACCACCAGGCCTGCCTTACAGGAGCTCCTGAAGGAAGCACTAAACATGGAAAGGAACAACCAGTACCAGCCACTGCAAAAACATGCCAAATTGTAAAGACCATCAATGCTAGGAAGAAACTGCATCAACTAACAAGCAAAATAAGCAGCTAACATCATAATGACGGGATCAAATTCACACATAACAATATTAACCTTAAATGTAAATGGGCTAAATTCTCCAATTAAAAGACACAGACTGGCAAATTGGATAAAGAGTCAAGACCCATCAGTGTGCTATATTCAGGAGACCCATCTCACGTGCAGAGACACATATAGGCTCAAAATGAAGGGATCGAGGAAGATCTACCAAGCAAATGGAAAACAAAAAAAAGCAGGGGTTGCAATCCTAGTCTCTAATAAAACAGAGTTTAAACCAACAAAGATCAAAAGAGACAAAGAAGGCCATTGCATAATGGTAAAGGGATCAACTCAACAAGAAGAGCTAACTATCCTAAATATATATGCACCCAATACAGGAGCACCCAGCTTCATAAAGCAAGTCCTTAGAGACCTACAAAGAGACTTAGACTCCCACAGAATAAAAATAGGAGACTTTAACACCCCACTGTCAACATTAGACAGATCAACGAGACAAAAAGTTAACAAGGATATCCAGGAATTGAACTCAGCTCTGCACCAAGTGGACCTAATAGACATGTACAGAAGTCTCCACCCCAAATCAACAGAATATACATTTTTCTCAGCACCACATCACACTTATTCCAAAACTAACCACACAGTTGGAAGTAAAGCACTCCTCAGCAAATGTAAAAGAACAGAAATTATAACAAACTGTCTCTCAGACCACAGTGCAATCAAACTAGAACTCAGGATTAAGAAACTCACTCAAAACCGCTCAACTACATGGAAACTGAATAACCTGCTCCTGAATGACTACTGGGTACATAATGAAATGAAGGCAGAAATAAAGATGTTCTTTGAAACCAATGAGAACAAAGACACAACATACCATAATCTCTGGGACACATTTAAAGCAGTGTGCAGAGAGAAATTTATAGCACTAAATGCCCACAAGAGAAAGCAGGAAAGATCTAAAATTGACACCCTAACATCACAATTAAAAGAACTAGAGAAGCAAGAGCAAATACATTCAAAAGCTAGCAGAAGGCAAGAAATAACTAAGATCAGAGCAGAACTGAAGGAGATAGAGACACAAAAAACTCTTCAAAAAAATCAATGAATCCAGGAGCAGTTTTTTTTTTAAAGATCAACAAAATTGATAGACTGCTAGCAAGACTAATAAAGAAGAAAAGAGAGAAGACTCAAATAGACACAATAAAAAATGATAAAGGGGATATCACCACCAATCCCACAGAATTACAAACTACCATCAGAGAATACTATAAACAGCCCTACGCAAATAAACTAGAAAATCTAGAAGAAATGGATAAATTCCTGGACACATACACCCTCCCAAGACTAAACTAGGAAGAAGTTGAATCCCTGAATAGACCAATAACAGGTTCTGAAATTGAGGCAATAATTAATAGCCTACCAATCAAAAAAAGTCTAGGACCAGATGGATTCACAGCTGAATTCTACCAGAGGTACAAAGAGGAACTGGTACCATTCCTTCTGAAACTAGTCCAATCAATAGAAAAAGAGTGAATCCTTCCTAATTCATTTTATGAGGCCAACATCATCCTGATACCAAAGCCTGGCAGAGACACAACAAAAAAAGAGAATTTTAGACCAATATCCCTGATGAACATCGATGCAAAAATCCTCAAAAAAATACTGGCAAACCGAATCCAGCAGCACATCAAAAAGCTTATCCACCACGATCAAGTTGGCTTCATCCCTGGGATGCAAGGCTGGTTCAACATATGCAAATCCATAAACATAATCCAGCATATAAACAGAATCAAAGACAAAAACCACATGAATATCTCAATAGATGCAGAAAAGGCCTTTGACAAAATTCAACAGCGCTTCATGCTAAAAACTCTCAATAAACTAGGTATTGGTGGGACGTATCTCCAAATAATAAGAGCTATTTATGATAAATCCACAGCCAATATCATACTGAATGGGCAAAAACTGGAAGCATTCCTTTTGAAAACTGGCACAAGACAAGGATGCCCTCTCTTACCACTCCTATTCAACACAGTGTTGGAAGTTCTGGCCAGGGCAATCAGGCAAGAGAAAGAAATAAAGTGTATTTGATTAGGAAGAGAGAAAGTCAAATTGTCCCTGTTTGCAGATGACATGATTGTATATCTAGAAAACCCCATCATCTCAGCCCAAAATCTCCTTAAGCTGATAAGCAACTTCAGCAAAGTCTCAGGATACAAAATCAATGTGCAAAAATCACAAGCATTCCTATATACCAATAACAGACAAACAGAGAGCCAAATCATGAGTGAACTCCCATTCACAATTGCTTCAAAGGGAATAAAATACCTAGGAATCCAACTTACAAGGGATGTGAAGGACCTCTTCAAGGAGAACTACAAACCACTGCTCAATGAAATAAAAGAGGATACAAACAGATGGAAGAACATTCCATGCTCATGGGTAGGAAGAATCAATATCGTGAGAATGGCCATATTGCCCAAGGTAATTTATAGATTCAATGCCATCCTCATCAAGCTACCAATGACTTTCTTCACAGAATTGGAAAAAACTACTTTAAAGTTCATATGGAACCAAAAAAGAGCCCACATTGCCAAGACAATCCGAAGCCAAAAGAACAAAGCTGGAGGCATCACACTACCTGACTTCAAACTATACTACGAGGGTACAGTAACCAAAACAGCATGGTACTGCTACCAAAACAGAGATATAGACCAATGGAACAGAGTAGAGCCCTCGGAAATAATACCACACATCTACAACCATCTGATCTTTGACAAACCTGACAAAAACAAGAAATGGGGAAAGGATTCCCTATTTAATAAATGGTGCTGGGAAAACTGGCTAGCCATATGTAGAAAGCTGAAACTGGATCCCTCCCTTACACCTTATACAAAAATTAATTCAAGACGGATGGATTAAAGACTTAAATGTTAGACCTAAAGCCATAAAAACCCTAGAAGAAAACCTAGGCAATACTATTCACGACATAGGCATGGGCAAGGACTTCATGACTAGAACACCAAGAGCAATAACAACAAAAGCCAAAATTGACAAATGGGATCTAATTAAACTAAAGAGCTTCTGCACAGCAAAAGAAACTACCATCAGAGTGAACAGGCAACCTACAGAATGGGAGAAAATGTTTACAATCTACCCATCTGACAAAGGGCTAATACCTAGAATCTACAAAGAACTTAAACAAATTTACAAGGAAAAATCAAACAATCCCATCAAAAAGTGGGTAAAGGCTATGAACAGACACTTCTCAAAAGAAGACATTTATGCAGCCAGCAGACACATGAAAACATGCTGATCATCACTGGCCATCAGAGAAATGCAAATCAAAACCACAATGAGATACCATCTCACACCAGTTAGAATGGCAATCATTAAAAAGTCAGGAAACAACAGGTGCTGGAGAGGATGTGGAGAAATAGGAATGCTTTTACACTGTTGGTGGGACTGTAAACTATTTTAACCATTGTGGAAGACAGTGTGGCAATTCCTCAAGGATCTAGAACTAGAAATACCATTTGACCTTGCCATCCCATTACTGGGTATATACCCAAAGGATTATAAATCATGCTGCTATATAGACACATGCACATGTATGTTTATTGTGGCACTATTCACAATAGCAAAGACTTGGAACCAACCCAAATGTCCATCAATGATAGACTGGATTAAGAAAATGTGGCACATATACACCATGGAATACTATACAGCCATAAAAAAGAATGAGTTCATGTCCTTTGTAGGGACATGGATGAAGCTGGAAACCATCATTCTGAGCAAACTATCACAAGGACAGAAAACCAAACACCGCATGTTCTCCCCCATAGGTGGGAATTGAACAATGAGAACACTTGGACACAGGGTGCGAACATCACACACCAGGGCCTGTCGTGGGGTGGGGTGAGGCGTGAGGGATAGCACTAGGAGATATACCTAATGTAAATGACGAGTTAATGGATGCAGCACACCAACATGGCACATGTATACATATGTAACAAAGCTGCACATTGTGCATATGTACCCTAGAACTTAAAGTATAATTATATATATAATGTCATCACAGAACACATTGGAAGTGTTCAACAAATGTCAGGTATTACTAGTCTCCTTTTAAAAATTAATTACTAGTATTGACACCCATCATAAATGCAGTTACCCACTAACAGGGGTACAGCATGCTGCACCATTTAACCCTAGTCATCCCCACATCCCTTTTGGCAACAGTTCTAGTTCAAACTCCTGATCGGTGATGCCAGGTCTGGGAGAGGTCACTGATAACCACAGTGACAATAACTGCTTTGAAGAGGAGGCCAGCCCAGACCTGGCTCTGGTTACTGCCACATTTTGATTGGGCACACTCACTGGCTGTGATTCTGCAGTTATTTCGGGCCAAATAGCTCAGCCTCAATCTTCTCTGCCTTCCTGGAGTATAGATACCTTAAGATTGTTCATCAGTTATCCAGGAGTTGTGAAATGGACACACCTTATCCCCTTTTCTTAGAGAGTTTTGTCTTTTCCTCTATCAAAATATAAAAAGCTAGACATTGTATATTTCTTGAAGCAGTGCTTTGGGGTGAGGGTGCTGACATGCTATAGAGTCATGGGGACAAGATGAATCACATATTTTCAATGATGAGCACTGGCGCCTGTCTGTGGGCAGTTGCTGTCATGGAATGGTGACAGTGAAGGTTGAATGTAGGCTGCAGAGCTACATTAGGTCATAGCCTGAGGCATCTGACTCTCTTCATCAGAGAATCATTCATTAAACAAACATATACATTCGGTGGCACTATAGACGAGACATGGTGCTTTTGTAAATATATGAAATCTTAGTTGTGAAGGACGTTGGAGACCCTATTTTACAGATGAAGAGATCAAGTCTTAAAAGACTAATGGATTGCTTAAACTCAAATGGATAATCAGGGCCAGAACTTGAGCCACAGTCTCCTGTCTCCAATCTCAAGCTACCCCTCCTACTTTCCCTGACAGTAGCCCTTCCATCAGGAGACATGTGAAAAGCACCCTCATAAAGCCTCTGGGCACCCGGCAAGCCCATACACTTTGCTGAATCTTTCTTACCTATAGAACCTCTCCCAATAGCTCTGGATTCTTGAACCGACCTCCAAGGAAAGACTGACCTGAACCTGAAGCTTTTGCTTAGCTTGATGGCTTGACTATCTCCTGCAGAATTTCTTTTTGTTGTTGTTGTTGTTGTTGTTGTTTGTTTGTTTGTTTGTTTTTAAATCAGTTCCTTGAGCATTTCTGGTTAGACAGCTTGGTGTGGATGATTTTGGTTGCTTCTTAAGCAGGCCCCTTCTCAGACACCTGCCCTTCTAATCACTGCCCTATTGGCAGTTGCTCTGAGGACCTCTTTCCTTGATCCACTAGCTTAACCATGTTTTGGGATAGGCACTTCTGGGAATGGCATTCAGAAATTCCCTGAATCCAAGAAGAGATGGGGCACGAGGAAGCTGGGAGGGCCCCTGAGGGACCACTGTGTCATGCCACGAGGACACTGCATCCCCAGTCAGGGAAACATCTTTCTGCGGCACTTCCTGATGATGCAGCACTAACCATCAGACAAAATCATGCAGGGAAAAGCTTTCTTCTGTGGCCTTATGGAAGCTTTAGATGTATTAGGCCTTTTTTCTCCCAGCCTTTGATAATTATGCACCAGGCATAAGGCTTTTAAGACAAAGGCATGTTGCAGCTGCAGGTCAACAGAAACCACCTTCCATAATATCGACACTTCGGCCAGGAACAGTGGCTCACACCTGTAATCTCAGCACTTTTGGAAGCCAAGGTGGGGCGATCACTTGAACCCAGAGTTCAAGGCTGCAGTGAGCTATGACAATGCCACTGCATTCTGGCCTGGGTGACAGAGTGAGACCCCCCTCTCAAACACAAATAAAAATAAATAAAATGTAATATCTACATTCAGAATCATGCCTCAGCCTTGCCTTACCCTCACTGTAATGTCCCCAACAACTTCCCCCTTCCCAGCTGAGGGTCTTAATTTTATTTGCTCTTTATTTAATGTATCTGCTTTTTACTTTTCACTCACCTCTTAATTAGTGGCATGACCTTGGGCAAGTAACCTAACCTCTCTGGGTATCACTCCTTCTTTCTATAATAAAGAATTGATCACCCGGCTTCTCCAGGTTGCCCTGAAGTCCTAATGGATGTGAAAACATTTTGGAAACCAAAAAAAACTATATAAATGGAGGTTATTGCTGTTGTTTGTTATTGCTTGGTTGAGAGAACTCTTCTAATGATTTGGGAAAGGCAAGAATGCTGAATGTACTCCCTGTAAAATCAGCATGAGATGCTGGGATAAATTAGGATAATGTTTAGTATAATCTTTAAAATCATATTATTTCTACAGACTTTCTAAGGACTCCTGAAAACTCACTACCTTCCTTTCCTGTCTCAGCTGAAAAGGAGGGTTTGGGAGAAAGGAAGGAGAACAGAAAACAAAAACAACAGCCCTCCCCATTCTGGCAGTAAACTTCTAGCTCCAAAAGCAGGTTTTATTTAGTGTGCTATAAAAATAGTCATTTCTCCCATCATAAAAGTAGCCTGACTATCCAGCCTGGTTTTTCTGCAGTGAGTCTGTGAGTTGAGTGGGTCCCAGCTCTGGTGCAGGCTACAGCCTGTCCTCTCTTCTTGGATCCAATCTCCTTCCCTTGCAGCCCTGTATTTATACGGGGAAATGAAAGGAGGTTCTTAAGTATTTTATTATGTGTGAATTTTCAGGGTGAAAAAAAAACATACATTTTTGGAGATGGAACTAAGATTTAGTTGTCTCTTAGCTTTATGGTTACTGCCTCATGGGTATGTACCCAACAGCTTGAGCGCTGTGGTTTAAAAAAAAAAAAAAATCCAGGCAGAACTGTAGCAACTTTCCCAGCCATTAAACGAGCCCTGGAAAATTTAGCTCATTCTCGTGAAAAAAAAAAAAAAAAAAAAAAAAAAAACTCACACAGGATCAAGAAGGAAAAAGAGCATGGTTGGAACATGGAGAGAGGCTGCCTAAGCTGGACACGCCTATCCTGAACTGCCGTCCTGCTCTGCTCTCCCTGATCTTGAAAAGTGACTATGCTCTTCTGAACCATCTGGGAACACATTTGATGCCACATAGGAGGTGATTTGCTAATGGGGTATCTAGCTTAATCAGTTATCCCCAAGGTTGAGGGTGGGGGATGAGCAATGTACTTTGGTTTGGGAGTCTATTTGTTACTAAATAATCAGGTGAGTTGGCATGGAAACAACCCTAGGGTCTATGGTGTATTTCTAGATTTCTTCTGAATAAACCCATCCTCTGCCATATTAGCAAATTTGACTCCTAGAATGCAAAGGCAACTCAAAGCACAGGGGGCATGGTAGGAAAAGCATATTAACAAACCTGGTTTCTAGTGCATTCACTGTTCCTCTGAACCTCAGTTTCCCCATTAATATAATAAATAATAAAGTGGCTAATATGATAAAGGGTATACACAGTTCTACTCAGCTGTACCATTATAAATACTAAAATGCAACTATTCTTAATTTTGGATTAAAGATGGAGTAAAAACTTCACTCTTCAAAGCTCTAAATACAGTACAGGTCATTTTCCCTCTCTAGCCATTTCTTCTAGAGCTCCCCTGCACTGACTCTACACCAAGCCCTAGGCTGTGGATGACATCTGACTCACTGATCCCAGAGCCTGTTTATCAGAGGGAAGGACAGAGTGACAGGAGCCTGGGGAACTAGAATCACAAAAGTGCCTAACCCCCAACCTGGCATCATTTATTAACTAGATGGCAGTTGCCCTCTTAGTGCAAGCTGAACGGAAGCCACAGTCTCAAGGGTCCCACATCTACAACTGGGCCATCTTGATGTTTTCCTGTTTGTGTCTGTCTACAGCCAAATAAAAAGATGACTGTAGGGATTTTTCTGAAAAGCAGAAAATTTGGCAAGAGAAGGAAAAAAAAACGGACTGGAGTGTGGGTCTCCCTGGCAGCCATGGGACTTCTGCAAATGCACCTCAACACCTCATTCTCTTTACCCTTAAGCAACCACCATGCTGGCTCATTTTCTCATGGGCATCTGCTATCTTGTGTCTTCTAGACTGCACACACTCCTCCAGGTAGCATTAGGGCACTGTCAGGAGGAATATTATGAAAGTTGTGGGTTTCAATGTACTGCATAGCTCATTTTCCATAACAACCAATTCTCAAAGCTTTGACCAGTCATAAGGGGAGGTTAAGTAATCAATCATGTCCATAGATGGAAGAGAAGCAAAGTGTATCAAGATAACTGTTTAATGTTCAATGCTGAAGCTTCCATGCTCAGTGGTGTATTAACTGCTTAATTCTACTTAATTTTTCCCCCAAATGGAATAACCCTGACTTTTCAGCTGGCTCATAAATGCATACTCTTGGCCATGGAGATAATTAATTTAAAGAACATGGCTGGCATAGGACAAATTTTTCCCAAGTAAATGGCCAAATGCTTGTGAATCAATGCTCTACAAAGACTCAACAACATCAGGAGACTTGCCTGCTTATCCAGGCAATACAATGTTAGATCTCTGGGTGATTCTGGACATGTCTAAACTCCCTGACTTCAGTTTGTTCATTAGTTAAATGGAAATTCTGTCCCCTGCCTATGGAATACTCAGTCATGTTGCTCAGGAGGAAAGGAGTTAAAGTTACACAAATGGAATTGAGCTGAATGAAACTCACACCTTTTATGCAAGGGAAGTTCCATGTTCTTCAAATGCCCAGAAGGTCATATTTTTTTGACCCTCAGTGAGTCACTTCATCTCTCTATGTTTCCTCAAATATAAAACCATATGGTCAGATGAGGTGATCCCTGAAGCTGTCAGTACTGCTATTCTAGAGATCTGTAATATCATGACACCATCCTTCTTTGCAACGTAGTAACCAACATGGCAGCTGGCAGATGCAATTAGCCAAGCGGCTCTTTTCAAGGCTAGGTTAATCCATGGTTTGAGAACCAACCTGTGGAATCTCTGAGCTCTGTGTTAGTTATCTCCCAGAGTGGTCCCTGACACTCTTCTTCTCATCCCTTGGAGGATACAGTGGTCTCTGTAAGTGCCTATCATAATGCTTCTGCTTCTCCAGCATTCTACAACTGACACCATCTTAAGTTAGAACCTGCGCCATGTAATTAGATTTCCTTGCTACAGATGCTGTGCCCCTTTAGCTTGAAAGGAGAGAGACACTTCACCCAGAGATGAGAGGTTAGCAATGCTGTGTGTCTGCTCACTAGTGATCACTTCAGCTAGGCAAGAAAAACTCTGTCATTAAAATGGGGCCTTTGTCCTCTCAACAGCTGCTCCAAAGAACTGGAGAAAAGAGATTTTTAACTGGGCCACACAAAACTAAGATTCTAACCCCACTGACTTGGGAGAGCAGGAAGCAGGAGATAATTACTCCAGCTCTTTATAAAGGTAATTTGCAACACCAACACTTTACATTCCAACAATGACTGTAGCTCACATGGTAACAACGGATGCAGCAGAACACATCTCCCTTCCTAGAACCTCAGTGAAGTTCATGGACATGACCAGAATATAGTTTATTAGAAAGACCATCCGTTTTGCAATTTTGCAGGTGCAAGTTCTTGTTCTGGCTCTAGCTCTATGGTTACTACATGTGAGATTTGGGGCAACTTACTTACCAAAATCTCTATTCCTCTATTTGCCTATATATAAAATGAGCATGAGAATGGCTTACACAGTGAGAAAGAAATGAGATACTGGGAGAGCTAACTCATATTTTTTCCATCTCTTCCTGCGCATGCGCTCCTTACTATCCTAATCTATAAGCACTTGGAGAATAAGGAAACCACTTCAAGCCACTTTATTTTATTTTTACATGCAAAGTAACCAAAATGGAATATTTGGGTATCTCTTATGCTTATACATCTTTGTGGCTACTCTGATTCAGGAATAGAGTTCAAATTCCTCAAGCTTGGCCAATTGGTCCTTCTAATCTGACGTCTGGAAATACATGGGTCATAGTAACCACTCTCATCACAAAAGATCCTACATGCCTGTGACATGAGTTGTGGAGTTCCTTGTGCCCTGGAAAGCCATTTGCTGTGTTACTCTTGCTTGCCTTGTTCCAGCTGGGAAAAGCCATCTCTGATGCCCCCTCCTTCATAAAGCTTCATGCTGACATTTATCCCTCCGTCCCCTGGGCCCCCACGATACTCATTCTGTATATCCTATAGGGCTTAGCACAGTCAGGCTTACAGTACAGTTACTTGCTGCTGCCCTCCCTCCTGGACTGTAAATCTTTTGAGGAGATCCCTTACAACATTTAGCGCAGATCCAAGCAATGACATCTGCACTGACTATGATGATAAAAAAAAATTGCAGAGGCATTTCCAAAGGTATAAAGCACTACTGAAAGCAAAGTATTTTTGTTCTTTTGATTATGGGTCTCCCCCAGTGCGCTAACCTTCGTTTGGGAGAACTCCATGCTTCCCTTCTGCTCTGCCTTTAGCCTCTCCAACATGGATGATCTAAGACCCACTGCCACTGGAACCTCAACCCAGTTCCAACAGGCAGTGTCCAGCCCCCTGCTCAGGGCTCATAAGGCTAAGCTCAGAGAAATTCAGCACTTGACACCCACTAGTCAGTGATTCTGGAGACTGCTGGACTATCAGAATGAGAGTTCAACTACCTTATGCTTCAAATAGTCTTTGTAAGTTGTACTAGCTGGTCTGGGAGTTTAAGCATCATTTATTACACTGTAGTTAGGTTCTTCACAACTGAACTGCCAGTAGACTTTAGGAATTTCCTCCTAAATCAATGGTTGACTTTATGAAGAACAAAACTATTGTAGAATTTGAAGATTAATTTGAGAATTAAAGTGCTTACAATTGATGTAAACTGATTACCTCCTTTTATGAATAAAGAAACTGAGAACCAGAGAGGTCATCCAGGTAGTTAATGATAAAGACTGAAATCGAGGCCTCAGACTTGTCAGTTCAGCGCTATTCCAATTACACCATATTCCTGTAATTATTACTAATATTTTAGTAGATGTGAGAACAAAGGCAAAAATTGAAGAATGATGGCAGGGCAAGCAAGTCATTTGCAAAGAGGTAAGGTGACTATGCCGATGCCAGTAGCTAGTTTTTAATTAATCTATCAGTATACTCTTAAAGCATAAATTGTGGGGAAGCCTGAGTGGAGGAGCTTTCCATAGACTCCCAGTAAGTAGCTGTTGTTCTTGAGGGCTCTAACTCATGTGATAGGGACTGTTGTGGCCACTACTGGCAGAGGCTGAAACCACAGTGGACAACCACTGATGACTGACAGCCACCCTTATGACGATGGATAAGCACAGAGATTATTTTTAAACCACTGGGCTCTTGTTTTTCTCCCTTTTACTAACTCGTCTGATCTTCCTGCACCCCTCACTTGCAGGATTCTCTCTTTCTTGCCGGGCTTAGCCGAATTACAATTAGTCTGTAAGTTCTCACACCCAACTCCAGTCCATTTTCTCTAGTAAACATTCTTTTATTTAGTTGTCCATTCAACAAATATTTTTTGAGCAAAAACTAGATGCCAGATCCCATTCTAGGATACACGGATGAGTAGGGCAGTGGTTTAAATGCTTTTGTTCCCTTCCAAACCCAGATATTGGAAATTTAATCCCCAATGCAATAGTATCTAGAGATGGGACTAATCCATTTCGCCCTCATACATGGATTCATACTCCTATGGATAACAGGCATGCGAGAGTGGGTTCACTCTCTCCTACTCTTCTGCCATGTGAGGACATAATGTTCCTTTCTGAGGGTTGCAGCACTCAAGGCACCATACTGGCAGCAGAGAGATCAGGTAAGTTTCTTGCATCTTGACCTTGGACTTTCCAGTTTGAAGAACTATGAGAAATAAATTTCTGTTCCTTATAAATTACCCAGTCTGAAGTATACTCTTATAAAAGCACAAAATGACCTAAGACAATTAGTGAACAAAACAGCCTGCCTGCCCTCATGAATCTTACATTCTAGTGGGGAGAAAGGAGATAGGAAAACAAACAACCCAAAAACTATGTTTATATCTATATGTGTGTGTGTTTACACAGACAGAGATATATCTGACATACATACAAACCTATATGTAATATTTAGATACAAATTCATGTATGTATATGCATATGTGTGTATATGCATATGTATGTGTGTATATGTACATACAATACACATATGTATACATATATATAATATAATAAATATATATTAATCAAATGGCACAGATTATTAAGGAAAAACCAGAGAGGATATGGGGACAAGCTTAAAGACGGGGGGATCTAGCCGGGCATGGTGGCTCATACCTGTAATCCCAGCACTTAGGGAGGCTGAGGCAGGTGGATCACGAGGTCAAGAGGTCGAGATCATCCTGGCCAACATGGTGAAACCCCATCTCTACTAAAAATACAAAAATTAGCTGGGTGTGGTGGTGTGCACCTGTAGTCCCAGCTACTCAGGAAGCTGAGGCAGGAGAATCACTTGAACCAGGGAAGTGGAGGTTGCAGTCAGCCGAGATTGTGCCATTGCACTCCAGCCTGCCTGGTGACAGAGTGAGACTCTGTCTCCAAAAAAAAAAAAAAAAGATGGGGGGATTTGATTTAGACAGGCTGGCTAAGGATACCCTTTCTGATAGAGTAACATGCAAATGGAGACCTAGGTGAAATGAGCTCTCACATCTCTAAATAGTTTCTACCTGCAGAGTCAGAACCCTATGGTTAATTCCTTAATTCTCTTAATGTATTATATTTTTGTTCAACAAATATTTACTGAGCACAAACTATGTGACAGACCCTGTGGACTAGATGATGACCACATGGCAGAGAATGGAATGGACATGGCTATGCTTTCGTGGAGCTCAAGGTCTAGTACAGGAACTGGCATCCTTAACCACATGAGTGTGAAAAGGGCACTGGGCCGAGCTATGCTGGCTTTGCTACTTCTTTATCTCCAGCAGAATCCAAAGTGGGACTGCTATAGATATTAAGCCCCAGGAGAAGAGTCTGCTGGAAGTTGACATATCTCTGCAAAGTGCTCCAGGGAAAGGGGAGTTTCCCCTACAGTTCTGTTGAACTGTCATTTGTGGGGTCCATCCCAGTGGCAGTGCACATAAGATCATCACCTCAGATTTAAAGTTGATAACTAGAACACAAATTCTCACATTCTCTTGCCATATTATATAGTCAAATGTTTTTATGTACATCTTCTTTTGTAAACATTCTAGCAATTCTGTGCACTAGGTAGAACTGCACGAGAAGGCTAGAAGTGGAAACATTCACAGTTGGAAAGGACCTTTGAGGATATCTGATCCAACTTTTTACCTACTGCTGGGTTCCTGTCCTCAGCATTTCAGAGCAAGGGCCACCCATCTCTGCCTCAACATCTCTAATGACAAGAAACCTATGATTATGAGGGAAATCTCTTCCATTTCTTGATAGTCCAATGGCTTGTTAGTGGCCAGGTAGGATAAATTCCATGTTTTCTAACTCAGAGTCAAGTGGTCTTTTCACTGGGATCCTCTCCTGGAAGGCCGCTGCCGAGGAAGCCTTTCATGGAGAAGGCCTGGCCTGGGGAAACCTACGCTCCAGGTCACTCCAGCTGAGCCTGGGCCCCTCTTCCTCAGGATGAGGTGGTGGCTCCACCCCAGTGACCCTTGCCCCATAAGTGCATGTTGCCAGAAAGTATAACCAGAGCATTGTGACCAGATCCAAAAGTAAACACAGATAATGCAGAGGAACAGGCTGTCCCGAGGATTATTATTTTGAAGTAGACTATATGTGGGGGTTCATTTAATCCAATTGTCTGACAACTGTTTATTGAGAAGAAAGTATGAATGGCTCGGCAGCACCGGGAAGGATTTTGGCTTTCAGACATCTAATCTACTAAGCCCTCCAAAATACAAACCGAGGGCGGCATGCTGTGGGAGGGCCATGGTGAACAAGTCCATTTAAGGGCACATGAGCACTAGGAGGCTTTTCTAGGTGAGACACAAGCTCGCTGTGGTGGGGGCTGACATGCTCAGGGCTTCCTTTCCCCTTCTATTTCCTTCTCCAAACCTGGCTCCCGGGAGTCCCAAAAGTCATGGTGAGTAGTAGAGTCATCCCCTTGAAGCCCAGTATCCCAGAGCCCTGCCATGCACGGGCTTTGAGTGCTGAAGCCAAGGACACAGAGCTCCAGGGCACCTCACAGCCTTTGCTGCATGAAACAGACACTGGCAGGCTTGAGGACAAGCTGGAGAGGGTGAGGGAAATGCTGAGGACTCAGAAATCAACAACTCGAGGAGGCAGAGCTCCAACCCTCCTGCTGGGGGTGGATGGGGAGGCATCAGAGCATTGAACCCCTTGCACATAGACAAGGGAAGAAGATGAAAGAAAGACAACTCACTCAGTAACTGTATCAGAGAACCACAAAGTCGGGCATTTAGATATAACTTGGTCCTGGGTTAAAAAAATTTTAAAGCTTTGTAACCCTTGGTTGAAATAAAATCACAGCTGGAGCATAAACAAATAAAGAAAGTAAAAGCTGAGTAACTCTGGGATCAGAGAGCTGGAAACACTCCCAAATATCCTGCACCAAACTGCCTCTCCCCAGGCAGTGACCCTAGAGTGGGCCCTACACAGCACTTGGAAAGCACTGTTCAAAAACCACCAAGTAAGACTCACCACCTTTTCGTTTTACAAATAAGGAAACTGACATGCAGCAAGTAAGGGCTTCCAGCTCACCTGTCTCACAGGCATCCTGGTGCACGCTATTCCTATCCCACACAGAAGGTTGAGAAGGGTGTCCTTTCCCTGATATCTACTCAGAGGGACATTCAGGAGGTTCTCTGGAGAATAGGGCTATCTCCAAACAGCTACACCTATTAATTTCTTTCCCTGATGGGGTTCCCCAGAATCAATTAATAGGGCATGGTGAAGTCAATGAATTGGCAGGCTGGACAGCAGCCATGCACTGATGAGGTCTGGGAAACCAGGGAAGCGGCTTATTTGGCAAAATCTGTGTTACCAGGTTCAGGGAGGTGGGGGCCTTCACTTTCTGGTACCATTTTCATTTATGTTATCCCTCATACCACCCAACATCCCTGTAAAGTTCATAAGAGAGGAAACTATGAGTTCCATTTTATACTTGAAGACAATGTAGCAGAAAGAGTTCAGATGACTTGTCTGAGGTTGACAGAATGAATAGCAAAGTTGGGAGTTAAATATAGATTTTCTGACATAGTTTAGGACTCATTCAATCTCATTATGCTGACTGCTCAGAAAATATTCTCTCCGTGTCTGGGCTGTTTCTTGGATACTTTATGCCGTATTCACCAAATAGGGCAACAACAGTTCATGCTGCCTGTGTAAATAGAAGGTGGTGTCTCAGTCTAAGATTTCACTGTGACCTGGGCTGTAGCAATATTTACACAAATTAAGTTTAGGATATTTGAGAGCTTGAGAAGAACTTAATAAATATCTGTGGAATGAAGGAAAGAAAGAAAAAAAGGAAAGACAGAAACATTCATGGGTGGCAGGCAAAAGATTGTCCTCTATGGGAAAATTCCAAGGAACCTTTCATCAGGCAGCATTCCTGGTCCCACAAACTCCAGCCAGCCTGAAAATCGGAAATCAGAAAAGAAACAGATGTTTGTTTGGACTAAGAGTAGCATCAATAAGAAGGATGATTTGGAAAGAAAAAGAGAGTAGTTAAGAGAAAACTTTTTTTGAGACAGAGTCTTGCTCTGTCACCCAGGCTGGAGTGCAGTGGCATGATCTCGGCTCACTGCAATCTCCTCCTGCCAGATTCAAGAGATTCTTGTGCCTCAGCCTCCCGAGTAGCTGGGACTACAGGCGCGTACCACCATGACTGGCTAATTTTTGCATTTTTAGTAGAGATGGGCTTTCACCATGTTGCCCAGGCTGGTCTCACACTTCTTACCTCAAATGATCTGCCTGACTCGGCCTCCCAAAGTCCTAGGATTACAGGCCTGAGTCACTATGTGTGGCCAAGAGAAAACTTTTTGGAAGAGTCTAGTCTTAGATTTGGAGCTTAACTGACATCACTAGTGTGTGATATGGAACATCTAGTCTCTTTGCCCCTGCCCTGTTTCCTCATCTGTAAAATGAGGATCATATTATAACAGTCATCTCATGGGGACAGAATAAGATTAGAGAAGTGGAATACTTTGCCTAGGGCACACAGTAAGTCGTAGCAGGTGCCTGTACTTGCCTCTTCCCAAGCATTTCATTTCACTGCTTTAACCACATTCTGTTCAAGTAAAGCCCTGCTCTGGTCCTGCCTGGAACCTTCTCTGAATTCTTTATTGCTCAGCCGTCTCTCATCTTGCCCGTCTGACATGTGATTACTATTAACAGTCAATACTGCACATTTGAGTCCTTAGTTGTTAGCTATTATTTTTATGTGTTTTTGTCTTTTTTCTTCTAAACAGTGCTCTGAGCTCTTTGAAGGCTGAGATCATGTTTGCTCTTATATTCCCGTGGTGTTTAGCATAGGGTTGCACACATTGTTAAGTGCCCTGTGTATACTTATTAATTGACTCACTGATTAGTTGAATGACTTGTACCCTCCATTTGCTGCCAAGATCCTTTAGCCTGGAAGAAAAGATTCATAATTCTTCCCTGAGCCACCAAATAAAACCCCATACTTCCTTGGAGGATCAGTCCTTAATGACATTTCTGAAGTCAGGAGAACTGCTTGGAAAGCTGGTGTCCTGGAGCATAATGAAGTGAGGGGAAATGCAGTGAGCAAAGGTTTCCCTGTGATTTCTCCCAAGGATGCCCTATTATATTAGGGATCTTTGATCACCAAGTTGGGCACGCAGTAGGCAAAATTTCTTCATTACGAATTTCCACAGTTATATTCAAATCAATATAAAACACATATTTAAGATGCAGTAATGACATCAGTTGCAACCTGAACCATTAACTTAGTAAATTTTAGTATTTTTAGATAGACTCTTCTGCTTGTCTATGATCTGTGAAAGTATTAAAATAAGCGTTGATTTTAAAAGCCACAGCTTACACCAGCAGCCAGCTGAAAAGCACCTGTCCTCAGGACGTTGGCTTGGGTGGAGTCTTGGGGTTGATAGAGCTCCAGGAAAGCTTGCTGCCAAAAGCACTGGTCTGGGAATTGGAGTCCTGGGTTCAAGTCCTATTTCTGTTCCTATAGTACTTCATCTATAACATGAGGGGGTGGGTCACCTTGAACTTTCAGGCTCCTTCCAGACATTAACCTTCTAAAAATCTCACCTCAGTCTAAAGGCTGTGTAACCAGTGGTATCCATCCTCACCTCTTCCTACCACCTCCCACCATCATTTGATTACATAGACTATTGCATGAAATGTCTCTCCTTCTATTAGAATCTAAAAGGTGATAGTCACTCAAAAAGTGAATAGAATGCCAAATCCATTCGTTTACTTCCAGTCTTTGCCTGTCATACAGAGAAACTGTGACTTTGATCCTGACCAGTGAAAACAACCAAAGAAGACTAAAAATAAAACTTCAATCTTTGATGTTGACATGGCAAAGCAAAATATAATGCACAATTTCCCCAATAGCTCAAGTACGTTCTGTGTTGCCTAACAGTAGAGTATTTCCTAGAGGGCAGGGCATAGCCTCATTAGTCAAGTTCTGTCTTAGGCCAGTGTGTTCATAATCAACAGCTAATGGTGATCCCCACATTCTCAATGACACATATTCCCATCCCAGGTAACTCACGACACTGCAGTTTACTTTGGGTTGACACCTGTGCAAAGAATGTACAAATTGCAAAGGAAAACACACACAAAGAGTATGAAAGAAAGGCGTGTCTGGGAGTAGAGACGATGGGAGTGCCTTCTGCAGCTCCAGATATTCTACACTGAGTCTAGGGCCTGTCCCCCAGCTAAGGACAAAAGCCGTGGACACTGACAGACCAGGTCTGAGCCTCATCCTGAGTCCTGCATTATTATTATTATTATTTGGCTCACCAGAATGGCAGTCATGTTTGGTATTGCAAAAGGCTGAGAAAGGAATTGAGGGATAGTGAAAACAAAAAATAAACCAATGAACCAAGCCTTTTCAGTAACTAAAAATGGAATGAACCCAGCCATGTTATGGCATCAGCCTGATCTTTCCACAGTTGGCTATAGTCACTGTGGGCCATTCAAAGATGCCTGAGAGACCACATTGAAAAGCCAACATACATACAGCTCTGAGCTGCCCAAGGCAGAGATGAACACACTTCTCACTACTCCACCAATACAAGGAGGCTTCAGTTTGGACCGGTAATGGTAGCCAGTGTGAGCTCCTCATTAGAGTGCAGGGAAACCACTTTTGTTACTACTGTAGCCCTTTCCAAGGACATCTCCTTCTGTTTTCCAGGCCCTTCGTGCCCTACATGTTCAAGTTGTACCCAGCTTTAAGTCCTGACTCACCTCTAGTCTCTGCCTTCTGTGAAGCTGGCCCTGCACCCTCTATGCATGTCTCTGCTTTCTCAGGACCCTCACTGCATGCAGTCTGAACCAGAGAGTTTACACTTGAATCTAACCATAAGAGGTAGCCAGGAGGACGGAAGCATTGATCTAAGGATGGCAGAGCAGAAGGACAGACAGGAGAAGACTCAGTCCCTGGTGATGTAATGAAACTGCCTCACCAGTCCTGACATGCTTGCCCCTGTACTTCCATAATCAAAAGAAAACTCAACTTCTGTCTTGCCCGAGACTTGTTCTGTGGGCGTATGGGAAGCTGAACTTAACCTTCATTGATGTAGAAGCCCATCAATGTACATTTATGAAGGAAAATTCCCCTGGTAATCTGCTGGATCAGGAAAGGCAGATCTTAGGGCTGAGTCAAAATGGGCTTAGAGCAGTGGGTTTCTCAAAGGACATTGTCTCCTCTTTTAAAACACTCAGTTTCCTAGCTCCAGAACTTGTGGTTCCTGGGGGATAAAAGCCAAAGCTGGAGGGAGGGAACTTTTTGGTTTGTGGTTGCTGACACTGAAGAGAGGTGCCAGAGCCAGACCTCAAGAGCACCGGGACGACACAGGCACCACCTGTCCCCACTGCATCCTTGGTTATTTTTGAGAGACAAGGCCAGTAACCATGAGAGAAGAAAGAAGGAAGGGAGAGAGCAGAAAAGGAAGCAGCTAACTGACTGCTTGTGTACACGATGGTGCACAGAGGAGGGGTAAACATTCTCTGCACATAGAAAAGTTACTGTAAAGAAAAGTTTCTGGCCAGGCACGGTGGCTCACGCCTGTAATCCCAGCACTTTAGGAGGCTGAGGTGGGTGGATCACCAGGTCAGGAGATGGAGACCATCCTGGCAAACACGATGAAACCCCTTCTCTACTAAAAATACAAAAAATTAGCCGGGCATGGTGGCAGGTGCCTGTAGTCCCAGCTACTTGGGAGGCTGAGGCAGCCAGACTCTGTCTCAAAAAAAACAAAAACAAACAAACAAAAAAAACAAAAAGTTTCCTTAAAATATGTAGACAGGTGTGCTCAGTGAGCATCAAGAAATAAAGTGGGCTTTGAGAAGGAAGGCAATCAGTAGCATTTATTTCACAACATATATGGTCCTCTACAGACTCAACTTAATTAAATTTCATCATTCCTTGGATGATATTGCTACAAGTTCTAGGAGAATCAAGTAAAATTCAGCACTTCCAAAACAAACATCAATTGAGCTATCATTATATGCCTTGAACATGGTCTTTCTACTTGAAAACTTTCATGTTTAGTCGAGTCAAAACCCAACATTTATCAAATAATAAATGTTTGATCTAGAAAAAGACTAGATCATCTAGAAAAAGACTCTTATAATAAACCTGAGCTACACTTAAAAGGAAAGTTCAATGCCACTTCCCTCAGAAACAGACTCCATCTTCTCACCCCTGCTGGAGGTTCTCACTTCTCCTCCAAAACCACTAGCATTTTCGTTATATCTGTTATATATTAATTGTCACCTACTGCCTTGAAGTTTGTGCCTATGTGTGTGTGTGTGTGTGGGTGTGTGTATGCAGGAGCACACACGTTTGTACCTTCTCTCTTCCACTACTGTTGAAGTTCCTTAATGGTAAATACGAAGGCTTACACATCTGTGCCTCCTCCACAATGTTTGTCCCTGTCCCTGGCATGTAGTCAAGTGCTGGTAAATATGGGTTGAATGTCTATTAGGGAACAGGTATGGGGTGGTGAATAGCATATAGAGCAGGACCTTTCTGATGAACGATTTCATTGGAGAGCTCAGAGGGCTCCCTGGGTGAGGTTTGGCAGGGCTAGACCTGTAGTACAATTTAAGCAGACAAAGCAGAGTGAGGAGAACATTATCACCTAATGGTGAGACACCCAGAGGGTGGCCATCTTTTCTATAACTTGGATAAAATGCTATTCAACTGGAGACAGGTGGCTGGTAGGCAGCAGAATCAGGGCATCAGGATTTTGGCTTTTTGGGTTCTAATGTGAACGCTGTTGAGTGACTTTGGAGGTCATTTCAGTTCCTCTTATTGGAGAATATCATTTGCAGGACGAAGAACCAGAGTAGTGGATTTCTAAGGACCTTTTCAATTATAGGTTGGTGCAAAAGTAATCGCTGTTTTTGCAACGAAAAGTAATGACAAACCCCACAATTACATTTGCACCAACCTAATATAAATTCTCTCTCAGTTATATACTCTAAGACAGGTTCCACTTATGGAGCTAGTAGTATTTCAATAATAGAAGCCTCAAAGAGCTAAAGATACACCATAGAAAATGAGGGTAATCATATTAGACCAAGATGACTCATCACAGATACAACATTTTCAGGTAAGGGATCCTCCCTCCCCCACTCCAAATTTGAGCCAGGTCCAATGGTCTTTTTATTTTATGGAAACTGTTTCTCACTTTTCCTTTCTTTCCCAAAGAAATTACAGCCTGTGTTACACAGCACTAATGCATGTACATACACAAGGGGGTATGAAAATCAAAGTCCTATATTGATACCCACAATTTCCCTGGCCTTCACCTTCCATAACTTCAGAGAGTGGCAAGTTAGAATAATGTAGGGTGGATGAAAAGGGTGTGAGGGGCAGGGGGCAACCAGAGGCCTGTACACTTGAACACATGGAGGGACCAGAGGCTGATTTCCCTGTGGGGAGGCACTAGAGGAGAGCTAAAAGTAGAAACAACCCTACCCACTATTAACAACATAAAATGAAATCAGGAGTTCTTATGTACGCTTACAAAACAAAGTAAAATAGATAAAACCCCCTCTAGGTTTTTAGTATGACAGGGCAAGAAATTTAGTTTCCTCTGGGGGAAGAAAAGGGTTGCTCATGAAGATGTTAAGGCCTTCCAATAATGGAGACCCAGGATGCTGACCATGGGCAGGACACTGGCCCGTATCACTGACATCAGGACATTGCTCATATCTTTGCCTGATCTTTGATAAACATGGAGCAGTTTCAATTCAGTTCAACTCACAGAAGGGGAAATAGGTTGTACAGACAACAGCTTCTTTCATCTTCCTGACTCCATCAAAGACATAAAGGTTTGGAAAATCAGGTCAATCCAGATTTGGTTTCAATGGAGCTCTGAGGTAAGGAAAAATGCTAAAAAACACCTTTCTTTACCTGGTCATCCCTCCGCTCACCCCTTCGCCATCTCTTGAATGAGTCAGTCATTGCTGTTTGTCCCTGAATGGTGACCTATTATTATAGAACAGCAGCAATGTGTATGATGGTTACATCATGAAGGCCATAGGAGGGAGTCGGCATGTTTTTAGTGAGAACCTCCTGCTCCAGTTAACAACAATCTCAGAGAGGAAGAGGCATGTCTCGGCATTGTCAATGATGCCAGTAACCCAGACGGCGGGCAGTTCTCAGCCTTCAGAAACACCCATCCGATAGTTATGGACTCAGGTGCTGACTTCTTGAAAGAATGCAATAGGAATTCATAGACAAGAAACCATAGTGTAATCTACGGAATCTTGGAAGGTGCTTCCTTGAAGAAATGAAATTAGGCCACTGCTCTTAAGAGTCTTAATTCCTGAGGGTTGTAAGCTAATTCTGTGATTCTCCAAGTATAGCCAAATTGAGAAAATGCTATTTGAGCTACAGAGACAAGAAACAGAAGAGGGTTGACATGGTATAGCATGGTACGTCTCGGATCAATCCTGGACATACTCCCCTTTAAATATTTATAATTTTGACAAAATACATAACCTGTCTGTGCCTTGGTTTTGTCATCTGTAGAATCAGGATAATAATAACTGTGCTGACTTCATATGAAGGTAATGCATAGCATAAGGTCTTACTTTCAGTGAACGTGAGCTAAGATAACTGTGACAGTAGCATCGGTTACTATAAATAGTTGGGACAGGAGAAGAGAAAAAGCTGTGGTTTGATTGCTTTCTGCTTTAGACTACTCTGAGCCTAGCAGCAGAATTGGTACGATACTCCCTCCTAAGTTCAGAGGACAGACTGAATGAGAAAACCTCAGAGCCTTGGACCTTGGCCAAGATACTCTTCCTTGTAATCTTCATCACTCTGAGTTATATTTGCAGTCAGCCAGGAGAACAAATGACAGCCGAGCAGACACCTACAAACTGGATTACTGGATTCTGGTCCATTCAAATAATGGGGCTTTCCAGCTAGAGGTGGAGTAGCAAGCAGGAACACATTTTCTCCTCGGCCTTGCCCTCCAGATACCAGCCTCTGAAGACAAGCCACTTTCAGTCTAATTCTCTACACACTGCCAGCAGTTAAAGAAGTTCCCCATTTCTCCTTACTCATCCTTCCTTTCAATTGCTCCTTCCTTCTCACCTTTCTGAGAGTAACCACATCCCACCTTAAGGTAGGTGAGGCCATTTTCCTTTACACATCTAGAATTCTTCAATTCTAACACAGGTACCTGGCAGTAGAACCAATCTGGTCCTTGTGTAAGCTGGGAAAGGTCACAGTTTTCAGTGAGTCCAGAGGTGTGATGATGACAATGCTAGGTTAATAAATATGGCAAAAATATATTTTTCTGAAAATGAGGATTAAAATTGGTTGAATTTTATAAAATGAGATAAACAATATAAAATGTGGATTTGAAATTAGTATTTTAAACATTTAAAGCAGAGTTATATTTTGGGGGGCTTCACAAGTACTCTACAGGACATGAATTACCAATCTTTTTAAATACGTGAGAAAATTGAGGCTTAGCAAATCTAGGAGAGCATTAACAAATCTAGGAGAGCCTTTCTACAGATATTGACAAGTTGACCCTAAAATTCATATTGAAATGCCATGGACCTAGAATAGCCAAAACAATCTTGAAAAAGAACAAGGTTGGAGGACTCACACTTCCCAATTTTAAAATTTCTACAAAGCTATTGCAGTCAAGAGTGTGACACTGGCATAAGAAAAGACATATAAATCAATAGAACAGAACTGATTGTCCAGAAATAAACCCTGATACTTATTGCTCATTGACTTTTGACATGGGTGCTAATATAATATAATGGGGAATAAGTCTTTTCAATAAATAAATAGTGCTGGGAAAAGCTGATATACACATGCAAAAGAAGAAAGTGGAGAAGAAGAAGGAGAAGGAGAAAGAAGAAAAGGAGGAGGGGCCAGGTGTGGTGGCTCACACCTGTAATCCCAGCACTTTGGGAGGCCGAGGTGGCGACGTGAGGAGTTCAAGACCAGCCTGGCCAAGTTGGTGAAACCCTGTCTCCACTAAAAATACAAAAATTAGATGAGCATGGTGGTGGGCGCCTGTAATCCCAGCTACTCAAGAGGCTGAGGCAGGAGAATCACTTGAACCCGGGAGGCGGAGGTTGCAGTAAGCTGAGATCACGCCACTGCACTCCAGCCCAGGTGTCAGAGCAAGACTCTGTCTCAAAAAAAAAATAAAAAATAAAAAAGAAGGAGGAGGAGGAAGAAGAAGAGCTGGAGCCCTGCTTTCTACAATACACCAAATAAATTCAAAGTGGATCATAAACCTAAAGGCAAGAGCTAAAGCTATCAATTTCTTAGAAGAAAACATGAGTATATTTTTTGACCTTTGGTTAGGCAAACCCTCCCCAGATATGACACCAAAGCATGAGGAACAAGAAAAATAATAAATTAAACTTAATAAAAAGTTATGCTTCGAAGGTCACTGGCATGAAAGTGAAAAGACACCTCATACAATAAAAGGAAAATTTTGCAAGTCACATATCTGATAAAGACTTCTATCCAGAACACATAAGGAAGCCCTATACAACAATAAAAAGACAACCCAGTTGAAAAATGGGCAAAGATTTGGATAGATATTTCTTTTCCAAAAAATATACATATGGCCAGAAGCACAGGAAAAGATGATCAACATCATCAGCAATTAGGAAAATGCAAATCAAAATCACAATGCGATGCCACTTCATACCTTCTAGGGTGGCCATAATAAAACAGATGGACGACAGAAAATGTTGGTAGGAACACAGAGAAATTTGAATCCTCATATATTATTACTGAGCATATACAATGGTGCAACTGCTTTGGAAAACAGTTTGGAAATTTTTTCAAAAAGTTAAGTGTAAAATTACCACATATCCCAAAATTCTGCTCCTAAGTATATACCCAAGAGAACTGAAAACATATGTTCATGCAAAAACTTCTACATAAATGTTCATAGCAGCATTAGTTACAATAACCAAAAAGTAGAACCAACCAGAATGTCTATCAGCTATTGAATGGATAAACAAAATAGAATATATCCATATGATGGAATATTATTCAGCCATAAAAAGAACAAAGTATCAATACATCCTACAGCATGGCTAAACCTTAAAAATACTATGCTAAGTGAAAGAAGCCAAATAAAAGAAGCCACCTATTGTTTGATTACATCTAGAAAAGGCAAATGTATGGGAACAGAAAGTAAGTTAGTAGTTGCCAGGAACTATAGAAAGAAAATGGGGTGTAACTGCTAATGGGTACAGGATTTATTTTGTGGGGTGATGAAAATGATCTGGAATTAGAAAGTAATACTGATTGCACAAATCTGCAAATATACTAAAAATCACTATTTTGTATCTTTTTAAAAGATGAATATTATGGCATGTAGTCATACCTTTTTAAAGCTGCTAGTAAAAACAAACAAACAAAAAAGGGTTTAAGAGCATTATCAAGGTCATACAATTATGAGCATGACCACCAAAACAAGATTACTTAAACTAGTCTAGTCCTCTTCTTGAGTGCATTTATATCCCCACCTTTGATTTCTTCTGTTGTGTTTTCTTTATTTCTCCTCCCTTGTTGAGTTTTGTCCTTTAAGTCATTTAATATACCTTCCAGAACAAGGGAGGGCTACAAACAAATAAACACATAAAATTAATCTAGTCAAATTGTAGTTCCTGACTCAATTTAGGACAGTTCCTATTACTGAATATTGAATGTTTTTCTTCTTAAAAGAGAGGAGGACATTTTTTTCTGTGCCTTGTCAGTTTCTCTCCTGACGAAAGTGAGCTATGAGGAATGGTTTGTCTAAAATTTTATCTTTGCTGGATATTTTCTCCCTTTGATTCTCACTTGTACTAGCTACACCAAAAGGTACTAAGAACACACAAACACTAAGGACAAACAGAGTAGGTGCTAGTCACTTTAGTGGCTGCTAGGACTACTATCAGAAGAGAAAAAGGATAGCCCCTAGTTTCTTTCCTGGAGCTTTCTACAGAGTTGTCCACAATACCACAATTCTGGTGTTTCAGGCTCCTCTTAATCACTTAAGTTCCAAGAATCAGACCAGTTCTGGACTTAGCTGAAAATGCAAAGATTTCCAGTGTCCCCTGGAGTCTTTACTTGGTATTAGTGAACCTATCCACATAACGCCTGGCTATCTGTAAAATAGGACTGAGGAGTTTTATCATGAAGCGACTGACCTTTCTAATCAGAACTGCTGCTGGGCCATAGGAAATGAAAGGGTGCCCAATAGGTGATTCTGACCGTTGGCTATGAGGACACCTATGGTAAGGGATGAGTGGCTAAAAGGTTGTGGAGGTAAAATCCTGAGCCAAAGCTCATGGTAGCACCAAAACTTTCTGGCATGGAGGCAAGGGGCTGGAAAGAGTTTTCCAAAGGTGGCTTCCTCCAATTATGAGGAAACAACTCCTCTGACAGTTCTCCCAGTCAATTAATTTTTGTGTGACACCTGTTGATGTTAGCTTCGATGCTGAAACCTGCTGTGACACAGTCACTTCTGAAAAGTTTGCCCTGTAATGAGGAGTCCTTGAATCAGAGGTGGAAGCGACCTTAGCTTAGAGGATACTGAATGCTGTGAATGTTGTGGCTTGTTGCAACATCCCCATTTCTGTCATGGCTGCAGCATTCCTGGAAAGTTCACCCAATTCTTCAGTGCCTTTAGTATCAGAACCCTTTTATTTCTCAGGAAATTCTCTTAGCACCCATAACTGAAATCTGGGTACTGGTAATTAATTTACTAATTAATTCCATCCAGACATAGTTACTGAGTATCTAAGATGTGTTAGACATAGTGCTAGGAGCTGTGTATAAAGTAAATAACATATACATATTCCGTATCCTTCCAAATTCTATGGGAGTCACCATTCAAGCTTCTGTAACCCTCCAGAAAAAGTCAGCTTCATCTTCTAAAAGGCTTTTAGCAATCACTGCATATTCCCATATCTTTTTTGCCCAGGACAAACATCTCCAATGCTAGTCATCTTCTCTCCCTGAACATGCTTCTTGGACTCCACTGAACTTGGTCTGTTCTTTTCTGTTCCAGCTTTGTTTTATTGAGGTTCCCTTTAATATGTGGTACCCGGACACCTGCTCCAGCTGGGTTGTACCAGTATGTTATCCTAAAGCTACTCACCTCTATAATTGTGGTCTCTTATACTTTTATTCATGGTCTACATTTTCCTTTGATCTGTTGCATTTTGAGGTCACCTAAAACTTCCTGTCGGAGGTTGCTAGCCCTTCATGAAAAATCCATTTCTTTCTGGAGTATACCACTAGATTACATTTGTCAACTCCCATTTGTTAGATGTGGCCACCAGAGATAGTTTCAGTGGCATGTGAGCAGAAGAGATGTGCCTTTTTTCAACCAAGTCCTAAGTCTTTAGAGGAATGAAAGTGCTCTATCATGCTCCCATTTTCCTATTTTGCCAACTTGATGCAAGAAGATAAGACCTAGCAGATGGCAGAACCATGAGGTAGAAGGAGCCTGGGTCCCTGAGTCACTGCATGGAGAAGTATTGCTTACTAGCCAGAAACATCAGGCCCTGAACCATCACATAGTTGTTAAGTCAGTCTAGCCTACCCTAACCACAGATGACCAGGTCTTTTTAAGATAAGCTGTTATCAAGTCAGATTCATTACAACCTGTGCTCTGTAATTAGCTAGTTTCAATACAATCACAGGATTTTGCATTGCTAAGTCTGTGAAAATTAGTTTCCATTTTGGGAGGTTTCTTTTTTTCTTATTGGTAATACCAACTTTATTGACATCTTTGACTATGAGAAAAACACTATAAAGAGGACATTTAAATCCACTGCATTATACTTACAAGAGCAGGCGAATTCAAAGCAAAATGAACAGAGGTGACATATGCCCATGAAACAAAAAGGAATATGCACTCACTCCCAGGCATAGAGCAACAAATAGCTTTGCATTTGTGTTATGTTTTGTGTGTATGTATTGTCAGAAAACTAGAAATCTTATGCATAAACAAAAAAAGTTAGTCACAGAGGAGTAATTCATTTTGCCCTTATTTTTGAAAAAGCGATAGTGTCATTGATTTTATAGCATGGATCCACACTAAGCCTCATCTCCAAAATAATTGTATTTCCTGTTTGCAAAATTCAATTCTGTTTAATTCATTCATTTATTCATCTATGTGTCCACTCATTGAGCAAATATGTATGAGTTGCCTGCTGTAGACTCAGTACCCTAGAAGATTTTATGTAAGATAATAAGAACTAGAAGATGTAGCTCCTGGCCTAAAAGACCTTTAATTTAATATGGAGACAAGCTATATATAAGGAAAAATAAATAAGATGTCAATTATTAAATAACAACATCAGACTATCAAATGAGCAATACAGATATTAAGTTTCAAAGAGTTCCCAGAAAGGAGATGAATAAATCAGTTCAATTTAACCACTGTGGTATTTACTGAGCACCTACTCTGTGAAATTAGATGAACTGGGTCTGATGACTGTTTGTGGTGAATTTCAATAAGCATTTATTTTGTACCTAGTCTGTGATATACCCTGGGGATGAAGATACTTGCAAGAAGCTCACTGTAGAGAAAAAGAGATTGTGTGATAGGTGTTACAATAATAATGACAGTTGTATTTGTCCAGCTCAAAAGCCCTGACTGCTTTATCAAGTTTTTGAGGGCAAGGACTGTGCCTTCCATTTCTTTGTTTCTTTCTCTCTCATCATCTATGTCATCCCCATAGAGTCATCTTGGACTCTCTGTAGATTGGTTTAAAAGCTGTCTCACAGCGTGGCTGGGCATTGTTCAAAAGAGAGTTTTCTTACTTAGTTGGCTGATAAGCGAAAGGGATCTAAGTTGTCAATAACATCAGATAATGATCTATTTCTCTACCTTTTCCCTGACATTTCAGGGCAAGCAAGGAAGACAAATGCCCTGAACTCCTTGTGTGGGCAGCAGGTGTATGCATGTTGGAGAGGCACTGCCCAGAGTAAGTGGGGAAAAAGAGCTTTATTTTATACCTAAAACCTATTTTTTTATGTGGAATAGAATAGGAACAGGTGGGTGTGTTTAGTGTCAGTAAATGCTTAACTGATGTGGAATCAGTGTTTATTTTGTGTGTGTGTGAAAAATGGTGACGTGGTTAAGTAAGGGAATTAAGAAGTACTCACTGAAGTACGTAGCAGTGGATGGTCATGCTTCCTGCAATCGACCTTTCAAATGGGCCAACAAATTTGATAAATTTGGCAAATTTCAGCTATATTTGAATCTAGGTAGAGGTATATAGATGTTCATTGTATTATTTTTTAAAAAAATATTATATAGTATTTAATAGCCATATTTGGCAATACAACATATATATATATAACATGTAAACTTTATCACATATATATGAAATAACTTTTTATTACCAATTTTTGAGATCCATATTTTCATTTATTGCTGAATTAATGAGGCACTAATAATCCCAATAACATAAGTCAGAATTTATTCTGAAAATACCATAAAGAGGTAAAAAGAGTTACTCAAGTATTCTTGCCTGCTAGAGACAGAATATCAATAGCATCTTTTTTTATAAAAAGACATGAACATTTATAAAATTGCAAAACATATCTTATATATTCACATATAAAATCATGAACCAATAATAATCTGGTATTCTTTCAAATTTTCTGTATCTTTTTACATTTTCATAGTAAACATTGGCTAGAAAATGCCTATCTACTGTGTATGATTTGGGGAGGGCCTGGTTGAATGCCATTCCCAGCCCACCCACCCCTGCCTGGCTCCACCTCTCTCTTGCACTAGCTGATATCTGAAATTCCACCATCAAGAGCCCCAACCCAATTTAGCTGGGAAGTTTTACTCTTATTAAAAGGTACATACATGAAACAATATTAGCAATTAGACTATATAATGTAGAAATAAATATTTAACACAGGTGCTGGTTAAGATAGGTTTGATAGGAGCAAAGGACATGAGAAGACACTATAAATTGTAAGAGACAGAGAGAGAGAGAGAGAGAGAAAGAGAGAGATATATGTAGTGAGTGGGAACAGAGTTCTAGGGCAGTGCTGTTCAAATGATGGCACTATTACACACCTGCACTGTCCAGCCACTAGCCACATCGAACTACTGAGTACTTGAAATGTGGCTAGTGTGACCCAAGAACTGAATTTTAAATTGTACTTAATTTTAATTAATTCAAACTTAAATAGCCACATGTGGCTACTGGCTACTACATGAAAGCATACAGCTCTAGACAGACATGAGCCTAGATAGGCAGAATAACTAGATTCTAAAATAAGTTTGTAACTGGGGAATTAGCACTTTCTATGGGAATTTAAAAGATGTGTTAAAATATATACTGGTGGGAAAGAAATTTAATAAAAAGTAGTGATTCTTAATGGTTTAAGAACCTTAATGGTTAAACATTTCTAAGAATGCTTGTCCCTGGGTAATATTTCTAACTGGTCAAGTCACAATTATTACAGAATGGATCTCCCCAGTATCAAGTGTTTCCCTATAGCTTCTATGTGCAGCATATTTATGCCCTAAGTGTATAATGTCTGGCTGTAATGACAGGAAAGGTTGGATTCTAGGGGTGGAATAAATCAAATCACTAGGATGTCACCAAGCCCACTGTGTGGGTTAAATGCTACAGGCAGAGGGTTGTGCCACCCATTCCCCACCTTCCCTACCTCCCATCATACCCAAAGCTTCAGCCAAAAGGAAGAAAATGCCTCCCACATGGCCACAGGCTGAAGTGCTGCCCCTCGGTGGCCAGAAGTCACTCATATGCAGGCAAAGATGATGTTAAGAATACAAAGAATCACAAAAAGACGGAATTCATTAGATGAATCTGTTTGGCTTCAAAAGCTAGAAGCTCAAAAGTCTATCTCCTGCTGACTTTATTTTTCTTTCAACTTTTCAATGCCATTGCTCCTGCCTGAACAAAGGACAAGAAAGTCCAGTCTCATCCCAGAATAGATAGAAGAGCACAGAATAGACAGAGCTATACACCACTGCAGGACTAGAGATTTTTCCTCATGCTAGGCAGGGTAGGGTAGAAAGAAGAGAACCCATCAAAGCAAGAGTTGGCTAATTCCCCCAACAAAACTAAATTAACAATATTAGCCCAAGTGAGGAAGCTGAATCTTCTCAGGGTGTTAAATTAAACAGTTTGTTCTGTTTTATATATTAAAGACCCATGTGTAGTTTATTGTTTTTGTGGAGTTAAATGAATTCACATGTTAAATTAAAAAGGTCGGGGGAGACAGGAGATTTTATTTGTTTCTAGTATTATTTGGCAGAGTATAAAAGTCCCTGGGCTTAGAATTGGAAGGCTTGGACTCAAATCCACACCCTTCCTGGTACCAGCCAAGTGCCCTTGGGCAATTACTCAACCCATTTCCTTCACTGGTGGTTGTGGCAGCCCTTCTCAAGCAGAGTTGGGAGGCCTTAGTTCCCTTACCCAGCGGTTCTCCAACTAGTGTGTGCTCAGAATCACCGGGAGGGCTGGTTAAAACAGTACTGGGACCAATCCCCAGAGTAATCAGTACAGCCTGAGAATTTGCCTTTCCAACAAGTCCCCAGAGGATGCTGATGCTGCTGGTCTGGGGGGCACACTTTGCAAACTAATGTTCTGTGGCATTCATTGTGAACGAATTTTTCTCCTATGAATCTAGAAAGGTACTAGCTATGTATCATCCTTGGGAGAACAGAGAAAATAAATCACTCAAATAATTTTCTGTAAGACTATTTTCTTATGAAACACAGGCTGGTTATGAGGATTAATGGAGAGAAAAGCAGAAAAGCTTTGAGGTGTGTTCACAACTATAAGGCAGCATAAAGATCACTATAATGATCAACAGTCAATTGATGGATTCTTCTTAAGTTTGTTCTCCAATTTAGTTTGACATTCTTGAATTTCTTTAAGAGCAGTGGTTCCCAAACTTGGGCCATGCATCAGAATCACTGGCAGGATGTGTTAAACACAGATTGCTGGGGCCCAACCCCAGAACCTCTGAGATAGCAAGTCAGGGGGAAGACCTGAGAACCTGCATTTCTAACAGGTACTAATGATGCTGTTGTCCTAAGATCACACTTTGAAACCACTGATCTATTCATCTCAGCTTTCTTTCTCTTTGGCTTTGCTACCTTCTAGTCCAGGGGTTGGCAAATTGTATCACCTGTTTTTTAAATAAAGTTTTATTGCAACACAGATGCACCCATTCATTATTGCATGATCTATGACTGCTTTCAAGCTACAGTGGCAGGGTTGTGTCATTGCAACAGCAACTGTATGGCTTGCAAAGCCTAAAATATTTACTGTTCAGCCTATTATAGAAAAAGTTGGCCAATTTCAGCTCTAGTCTTTCTCCTTTCCTTTAATCATAATATTTATTAAATATCTTATACTTAAAAAGCATTTAATATATATTTTTGTATTTTGTCATCACAATCATATAAATGAATTTTGGGTCTCTTCTACCTTAGAGGGATGAGTAATTTGTCCAAGGGCACATAGAATCTGAGTCAGGACCAGCTACATAGTTTGTGGAGATCAATGCATAATAAAGTTGTGAGGCCCCTTGTTCAAAGATTAAGAATTTCAGATAGCAAAAACCAAGCACTAAACCAAGTGTGAGATCTTCTAAGTGTGGGCCCTTCATTACTGCCAGCGTGGAATGCCCATGAAGCCAGTCCTGAGCTGAGTGGTGAGTCCAGTCCTGAGCTGTATGGTCCCAAGGCTTGGAGCTCTCTCCTACATGGCTGACCATACAGCATGGCCAACATGCACTGGCCTGAGGAACTATTGCAGTTTTATTTTGGAGACAGAATTGCCTTCCTTTCTTGTTAAATCACCAGGACCCCTTGCAATCCCCGGTTATGATCTCCTTTGGGGAGGAATGCCTCTCTCTATTCCCCAAAAAAGTTTGGTGTCTGGAAATTACTCGACAAATGTGACTATTTATTTAAAAATTTACTTCCTTTGTTCTAGAGAATATTTAGAGAATATCATTTGTTCTAGAGAATATTTAAAATGGCTTTTCAACACATCATTGGTGGAGTAGTGGATATTAATAAAGGCAAAAGCATAGAAAGACATTGAAGGAATTATTGTTTTAACTCTACAAAAGGAACAAAAAACGAGCAATAAAAACATTATACCTTATCTCACTGTCACTTAAAAATTCATGGAGGACCCCAGACTAGAACCCAGTATCTCCCGATATGAGACCCAGGGCTGTTTTCCAAACTTAGCAGAGAGTATTTCCATTTGGGCAATCCCTCAGTGTTGAGGTATAAGTGACAGCAGTTAAAAAACACATGGAAAGCCAAGCCAGAGATCATTTTAAAGAATGCAGCATCTCATGTTATTTGATCACTATATTCTCTGAGCATTTAATCCTCTCAAATATTTTACAATCACTTCCTTTAATTACAGAGAAAACACATTGGAGTGATGTGGGTGCTCGGGTGTGTCCCCTCCTGTTTCCTTCTTTCTGTTTAATCAAGAATTTGAATCACCTTTCAGCTTCCTAATCCTCTAATCCTAAAAGGAATTTACTCTGCTCCAAACTCTGCTTGGCAAGACTGTACAGTAGAACTCGAAGCCCTTTCATGAAGACTGGGAGAAGGGAGAGAAAATCCTGGAGGCAGCCTTCCTGGCTTCCTTCCCCAAACTCAGGAAATTGGGGCCCCTTGAGAGAATTGTCTTCCAGCTAGCATTTGAAAATACACATCTGGAAGCCCTCCATCAGATTTACCTGCAGGGCTTATTAAAATTCTAACTTTCTAGGTGGCTTCCATTCTAGCCACGCTAAATTAGAAGTTGGAGACAGAAAATTTGTCTATCCATCTATATCTCTCTATCTATATTTAAATTTTCCCAAGTGATTCTCCTATGTACCATAAATTGAGACGTGGCTAGCCATTCACATCCTCAATGTACATTCACTGTATAAATATATTACTTCCAGGAAACCCATTGGTGCTTAATAGTGTAACTCAATTTAAAGGTCATGAGTTATAAATATATAGAATCAAGTAGTGGTGTGGCTAAAAAGACCTTTGATCAATATGGGTCACTGCTGTGGGATCCAGAAAGAATGTGGAGGAACAATGAAACAGGCATCTCTCTATGGAAAGGTATGCTGAGTTACAAGCAAAGAGCCCTGAGTGAGTTTAGAGTCAGGGTTTCCATTCCTCAGAAGTCTGGGCACTATCACAACAATTACCATACACACCTACCTTTTTAGGACAGCTGATACTTCCAGTATTCTGATTTACTGTCTCTACTGAACACTCTCATATACTGGAAGTCTCAATACTTCAGTAACCAAGGTTTACCAACTCAACACTCCCAGAAGTGCACTAAAAATCCTCTATCACACCACAGGTCTGTATTTCTGGCTTGATGAATGTGGTCACCATAACCAAGAGAACAGCCCAAAGCTCAGATTGTCTTCCCCCATTAGCACTAGAGCTGTCTTCCTCCATCTAAAAAGATGGCCTCGTTTTGCCCCTGCACAGCTGCTCTTGTTCATATGCTGCCAGTTACACGGCTGCTCACTCTTTTCTATTTACCTATTCTCTGAGAGCTGGAACAGCATTTCCTAATTTTCTCTCCTCTCACAGACGCACCTGCAGTGTTTCCCACACAACTCAATTAATGCTATAAACTGGTAAAAGATGATGGCCCCTGCTTGATTCGAGGAACTCATCAGTAAAATGAGCCCGATGTGTCCCAGACCACATGCTGGGAGGAATACGAATTTGTAACACACCTTCTCATCAGCCCGGGTCGCTAAATAGGGCAGACTTTATTTTTTTTTTGCAGAGCCTCCATATGTTCGACTCACATGGATCAATAGAAGCACCATATTGTCTTCACAAAAGCTTCAGATCCTCACCCTTTCTAATATACAGAAGGTCCAGATTGTTTTTTCTCAAACATAGGGATGCCCCGAAGCTTCAGCTGACAGCGTGGGATAGGGAAGCAGCCCAAGTGAGTTATGTGGCCACAGACTGTGGGCCACACCTCACCAATTTGGGTTTCAAATGGCCCCCAAAGGACCCCGCAGAACTTAAAAGCAGAGAGATTCAGCAACTCTGGAGCGCAAATGCAATCTTAACCTCTATCGTGCTTTTCTGCAACAAGGCAGAAAATCAAAAGTGAGGAGTGCACAGCTGCCCCACCAGAAGCGAAGCAAAGTCTCAACAGGAGTGAGTCAATACACTCTGGGCGACAGCTGGGTAAACATTTCCGATCAACCCTTGCAGTTTTGATAGAACCCTGTGTGTGTGTGTGATGGTACAGTTGGGTGGATTGATGGCTGCTTAAATATCTGTAATCAAAGAGTACAGAGTAAGAAGGACATTGACAAACTGGAGAAGATAAACAGAAACACAAATAATGGTGGTTATCAAAGAAGAAAGATATCATAGGAGGAAAAATGAGGATATTTAGCCTGAAGAGTCAAAATTTGGATGTAGGGCTGGGTGTGGTGGCTCACACCTGTAATCCCAGCACTTTGGGAGGCCGAGATCATCCTGACCAACGTGGTGAAACCCCATCTCTACTAAAAATACAAAAATTACTTGGATGTGGTGGTGTGCACCTGTAGTCCCAGCTACTCAGGAGGCTGAGGCAGAATTGCTTGAACCCAGGAGGCAGAGGTTGTAGTGAGCCGAGATGGCACCACTGCACTCCAGCCGGAAAAAATCCAACAAACAAAACAAAACAAAAAAACTTGGATGTAGAGTGGGGAGGGTCAGGGATGATGTCTGTCTTCAAATACATCAAGGGCCAAGGCACAGAAGAATAATTAGACTTGTACAATATGCATAATTCCAGGAAGAGACTAATGATGAAAGTAGCTGGGAAATAGATTTCCGCAAAATATAAAATGTTTTCTGAAAATCAAAAATGTTCAGAAATAGAGAAGCTGCTGGAAATTTAAGACGAGACAGAATGTCCTTTTGTCAGAGAGTCCTTTATGATATGGGAAGTTAGAACAGTGGACCTCCAAGCCACTTTCCAATACCAATTCAAAGATTGTGTGCTGAGACACTGCCCCTAATCATCTCCCAATACCACCCCTTTCAGCCCACCTGTCAGGGGTAGGCAATGAAGTAACTGACAACCGGCAAAGTTAAGAGGATCAAATGTTACAGGTATGCAATACCCAGGAAGCGCTGCTGTGGCTCTAGATTCCTCTCCAACATTTTCACTGAGGGAGTGATCATGCTCCTATCAGGGAGTGTGTGTAAGGAGGGTGGGGTGAGCATGCGGGCATGGGGAAATGATTTTTACTTTGCCATTTCACTGTTACATCAAATCCCCTTTAAGAAGGTTTTCAGATTTGCCTCTCGATGTTAATAAATAGCTCATAATGCAAAAAAAGTGTCATTTTTTTTCTTTGGTTGAAATAAATAAAACAAAATATTTAATTTTTCCTGAAGAGAAGTCATTTAGTTCTCAAATTGCATGCTAAACCCAACATTGTTAAGTTAATAAGTCATCCTAAAATTCTGAGCCACCTGTCCAGTGGGAAGAAAAGATAGTAACTTATGAGATTACATCCTAACACCATTGCCACCTTCCCACTGGGAGGCAGCATGGGGTAATGGAAAGAGCACTTCTCTGTGAGTCCAACTTCCTGCTCCAACAACTTGCTATGGTACGTTCAGCAGCCATTTCACTTCTGCTGTCAAAGGTCACTGCCATTTTCTAACTCAACCATAATCACTCAACAGAGAAGACTGAATACCACTTGACTACACAATTATATTTGAGGACACACACTCAGGGAAAATGGGTTCAAAATGCATAGTACTCTCTACAGCTCTTAGATTTTCCCAATTCTCAATAACTTGAGTATTTGATGTGAACTCATGGTTTTTCAAACCCACCCTTCCTTCCTTCCTTCCTTCACTCCCTCTCTCCCCCCTTCCTCCCTCCCTCCTTCCCTCCCCCTCCCTCCCCCCTTCCTTCCTCCCTCCCTCCCCCTCCCTTCCTCTCTCCCTCCCCCTCCCTTTCTTCCCTCCCCTCCCCTCCCCTCCCATCCCCTCCCCTCCTCTTCCCTTCCCTTCCCTCTTCTCCTTTCTTTCTCTGCTTTCATTTGCTTTTTCTTTTCTGAGACAGGATTTTCCTCTGTTGCCCAGGCTGGAGTGCAGTGGCATGATCATACCTCACTGCAACCTTGAATTCCTGGGCTCAAGTGATCCTCCCACCTCAGCCTCCCTAGTAGCTGGGACTACAGGCACATGTGACTGGCTACTTTTTTTTTTTTTTAAGTTTTGCAGAGATAGGGTCTCGCTATGTTGCTCAGGCTGCTTTTGAACTCCTGGCCTTGAGCAATCCTCCTGAGTCAGCCTCCCAAAGCAGCCACGGTGCCCAGCCTCAATTAAGTTTTCAACAGTGAATTGGACTTAAATTGTCTTCTGTTTACAATGGCTGAAATCCATTTAAATTCTCTTGGTGGTCCTTTGTTGATTCCTGGAGATTTTTGTACTGTACTTGCCTCATTCCTACACATACTTTAATTGAATAAAATGGGAGAATGCATTTTCCCAAGTGCCTAAAGTGACTGTGGAAATAACCAGGGAGAGTTACTATTTTCAGTCTACAACATATCATATTCAGATACATATCATTGTGGACATAATGAATGGGAATTCTATATACCTATAATTAGTCAACATAATTTTCTTTTCCTCCTTATATAATGATTTTTATCTGAGCACCAAGGGGGTCCTTTAACATTCAAATTAAACTTCATGACAATCCAACAAGCCCAATATTACTACCTCAATTAAGGACATTGCTACATAGAAGGGTGAAAAAAAAAATGATCCAAGTAAGATGATCAGGAATACACATCCCTGTTTACTAGGGAGGCAAACTGCAAGTCTCCTTTGGGAGGAGCATATAAAACAAATTTATATTTACAATCGCTTCCTGCACTGCTGGCTAAATTGAAGTCATTTTGCCAAGATTCACTCAGAAAAAGAGAGTACCATTTCCTGCATTCTTTGGCTGGTTCTGGCGAACAACTTGGAGAGAGGGGAAGTGACCTGCTTGAGGTGATGAGTTAGGAATCTATGAGGCTGCTGAATGGAAACTCAAATGAAATTGGAATAGCTTTTTGTTTTTTATTTCAGCCCTCAGTCATCTCTTTTCACTCTAAGGTTCTTTGCTTGAACTTTCTGCTTAGTTGCAAGTTGTGCTCTTACTGGCTGCAGATCAAGAGTGGAGTTTTAAAACTAAAGTGTCCCCTCCAATCCCTGTTTAACCTTAGCATAAAGAAATGGACAAAGTTTGGTATATACAATAGATAGGCAGCAACTCTCAAACTGTTTTGACCGTATGAGAGAGATAAGAGATACACTTTTCATCATATTCTGTACACACACACACAAATAGGTATTTTTGTGTGCATTTTACACATGTTAAAATAAGAGTTTAAAGAAACAAAATTTGCACTTACTCTGTATGATGTCTTTTGATATTTCTCTCTCTCCCTCCCTCTTTTCTTTTTTCCTTTCTCTTGCTTATATTGACCCCCTAAATTGAATTCATAATGGGTCATGAATCTCAGTTTGTATAAAAGCAAAACAAAACAGCTTATATAAAGTTCAAAAATGAAAGACTTGTTACCACTTCAGGAAGGCCACACCGGGGTGAGGAGAGAACATTGATCTATCAGCCAGGAGACCGAGGTTCAATTCCTGTTGACTACTAACTATGTGCACCAGCTAGAAAGCAGGGTGAAGGGTATGGGCTGAAGAGCCTGTGTTTGCATCTCACCTCTCTCAGTTACAAATTGTGTGAATTTAAGCAAGTTACCAAACATCTCCACGCTTCCATTTGCACATCTTTCAAATGGAGCATTCATAGAACCTACCCCCAAGGGTTATTATGAGCATTTAGTGAGTTATTGTAGGAAAATTACTCAGAACAGTTCTAATGACTGGCCTTTAGTCAGTGGCCAGTAAATGTTATCTAGTACTACTTTAAATTGAGGTGACAGGATCTGTTCTAACCCTTGAAACTTTTCATGTAGGTTGCTCGTTCTTAAGAAGATGAGAAGGAATTAAATGAGGAGAAATGAGTCACAGTTGTTATGGAAAAGGGACTGTTAATGTCATTTGACCACAAGCTTTTTTTGAGCTAACAATGGTTGCTAAAATAGTCATCATAATCCTAGATGGCAGTAATTGAAATAAAAAATCTCAATAGAGGCTGCTAACAATCACCCTATATTGGTCAGGAAACATTTAATATACTGTTATTAAAGTCATGGAGCTACCAGAAGATTTGATTGCTTAGGGTCATGGAGATGCCAGAAATCTATTCTAGGAGAAGGTGAACAGAGCTAGGAGGAGATGAAGACCATATTAATAAAGGCTTGGTTGAGAAAATGAGAGGTGTTTAGCTTGGAGATGTGAAGATTTAAGGGAGTTCTGATAACTGCTTTCAAATGGTTGAAGTTATTGTGTGGATGAGGAAGAAAAATTATTATGTAGCAGTTACAATAAAACCAGTAGATAGAAGTTTCAATAAAATATATTTGAACTCTATACACAGAATAATTTCCAAACAATAAAAGCTGTCCAGCCACAAAATACATTACCTGGCCAACAGAAAGCTCTCCATCACTGGAAACTTTCAAGCAGAGACAAGATGACCTACTAGGTATGCCTAACTGATTTTTTGAATTGGTAACAAGATCAAATCACAACCTATTTTAGAGCTAAAATTCAACACAATAGCACAGGTAAATGGGCTTTAAAAGGCCTAAGCCATGTACATATGCAGGTGACATTATGTCAATGCTGTCTGCACCTGTCTGCACCACCTGGAGTGTCTGTTTAAGTCCTCAAAAACACATTTTGCTTCCCATCCTTAATTCCCATATAAGGCCATTCTCTAAGTTCTATTGCAAAACTTGGGCAGCCATGTAGCTCTCCACCAACGAAACAGCTAGGCCTTTGTGCAACTTCTCATCCATAGTGGAGAGCCAGTGGAATTTTATTTTTGTTTTGCTTACTTCTCTTTCAGCCCTTTAATAGCAAACAAACAATTTGGAGATAATTTAGGCTCCAAATAAACTCCTCACTCCTCCTCTCATGCCCAAAAACTGTCAAAATGTTTGAATGTAAAAGGATTATTCAGGATTCATTTTATAAGACATTTGAGCTTAATTTCTGTTGTTTCTTCTCAAAGTAGAGCACTTCTCCTCCCCTCAACTTTTGAGTCTGGGTTTCTCATCTCGTAGGTGGGTTTGATGAATATATCTGTTGATCATGTGCAAACTCCTTTGAGAAAATAAAAAGCAATGTTCAAACGTTCAAAAATAATGTCTTTTACAGTTCCTATTTCAAGACATCTATGACAAAAATCTCTGTGAAAGACATGTGACCTAAAGAGGAAAAAAATGCCTCCATTATACAGAAACTAAAATGGTTTGGCATTTGTGAAGCAGGACTCTGAATTGGTCAGATAAAGACGGAAAGGAACAGTAGAAGACTAAGCAATAACCCAGGAAATCTGAAAGGTATTTACAGCCAGTTGAGATCATGCAGGCCTCAAATACATTTTTTTTTCAGGAATAGAACATTTGCAGCCTGAGTTAACAGCATAGTTACAGTAGTCTTGGCTCACTTTTGTGGAACAGACTCACCCATGATGACTTTAGAAGCTGTGGCTGGTGCAAAGCCCCATTATAAGACTTTCACTCATGCCAAGGTTGGCTTATAATGAGGCCCAATATAATCCACCTCTGTCCTATATTCAGAGGTAAAATCTAAGCACTGCAGTGCCTTACAAGCAATAGGTACTTAATAATGTTTGCTGACTGAATGTGTATAATAAAATGTAGATCAAACCTAGATGATCAAATATATGAGTGCTTCTGTTTCATTTCATTTTGTATTGATGTGCCCCTCTGATATGGTTTGGCTGTGTCCCCACCCAAATCTCATTTTGAATTCTCACGTGTTGTGGGAGGGACCTGGTGGGAGGTAATTGAATCATGGAGGCAGGCCTTTCTCATGCTGGTGTTGTGATAGTAATAAGTCTTACAAGATCTGATGGTTCTATTAGGGAGAGTTTCTCTGCACAAGCTATCTCTCTTTATCTGCTGCTATCCATGTAAGATGTGACTTGCTCCTTCTGCCATAATTGTGAGGCCTCCTCAGCCACGTGGAACTGTAAATCCATTAAAACTTTCTTTCTTTTGTATATTGCCCAGTCTTCAGTATGTCTTTATCAGTAGAATGGAAACAGACTAATACCCCTTCCTTGTCAAATGTTTTAGCATTTAGTGTTTGCCAAGAACCCTAGACTTGGAATCAGAAGATCCATGTAAATTCCAATCCAGTTTGGTCACTTACTAACACTGTGAGCTTGGGCAATTCATTTAATCTCTCCATCCTCAGTTCCTTAGAGTTAAAAAACTTGAATGACAGTAACTGCCTTCATGAGGTTGCAGGTTTTATTCAAAAATAAAATGCAAAAATCATTAGGAAATTACTTTTTAAGCAACAAAGCACTCTCAAGTGTAAGACTAGGTGAAAAAATTATAGTCCACAGGTCACCTTCTTATTTTCCTTCTTCCAGGTGTAGGCTGAGGCTATTTTGAGGGATCCTCAAAATTAAATAGAGGAAATGGGCATATTTGTTTTAATAATAACTTGATGATATATCGTGTCCATAGGATCTATACAAACATCTCCAAATACTCCATCTTTGACCTCTAAAAAGATTCCCATGGAAGAGCCTTCCCCATCTGCTAGAGTTTCCTAATCAGGTGAAGAGAAATAGGACAATCTCTCAGATGGAGAAAAACCCAGGACACAAAAGAATCTACTGTTATACAGAACTAACAGCCCCTTTATGTTTCACAATGTCGTTCTTGTCCTGCTTTTCACATAAAGATTTGGCGATACTGCAGTAAGAAAACATAAAACAAAACATCCTTGGGGGTGGGGTGAGGGGTTTGAGGAGATGCTGGTCAAAGAGTTCAAAGTTTCACTTAGGAGGAATAAATTCAGGAAACCTATTTTACAACATAGTGACTATAGTTAATAACAAGGCATGGTATCCTTGAAACTTGCAAGGTATTGTATACCTGGAAATTGAAAATAGAATTTAAATATTCTCATCACAAAAAAATGAAAAATGTGTTAGGTGATGCAGATGTTAATTAGCTTGATTCAGCCTTACCATGGATGCATATATCAAAACATCATGTCGTACATCATAAATACGTACAATTTTAATTTGTTAATTAAGTAAACAAGTAAACAAAAATGCTGACTGAATTTAAAAATCCTTCATTAAATGTTGGGAAAATATACTATCCAATAAAAGGGAGAACATTTTTAGAGAAATAGGGATTGCAGAAGAATTTCTATTGGCCAATTATTTGTAAAAGTTGTTCACTGGGGCTTCCCCACATAGACGGCAAGGGTTACCAACATTCAAATTTATCTGTTCTTTCTATGTATATATACACATATATCTAAGAAAACTGTCTTGGGTTAATTGTATATCAATAGGCCTCATCTCAATAGTTTAATTTAACTATCTGTTAAGACTTCTGCAGCAGAATGCAACAATTGTGGACCTCAGTGTCAACACTTTCAGGTGGAGAGTCAGTGCAACTCACACCTAGAAGACACCATCACCACTCCCTTAGCAACGCTCTGAGCTCCCTAGAACAGAAGATGACTTGAGCATCCAAAGACAGTATTTCTTATGACTCTAGTCTACACTCCCCACATGACTGGGGCCAAACTGAACTCTGCAGGGAATCAAAACAGTCTAAGCTAACTGATCCAAGTCTTTTAGTTGTTTTTGGTTCAAAGAACAGGATTTAGTAGGGATGATAAATAAGGCTCTGATGGTAGCTCTCAAACTTTTAGAGGAAGAGTGGGCAACTTAGTACAAAGATAACTAACTTCCTCTTTTGATTCTTCTCCTGGTTTGGCAAGAAAAATGAAATGTTTTTAAAGCCACGGAGGTTTATGGTTGTCCCTGGAGATTAATGAAGGAATCAGAGAAATACTAAAAGCATTAGCAAAATTATTTATCTCTGTTTTGAAATGCTGAAGAAAAAGAAACCATGGAGGGGACTGACTCTACAAAAATAGGAAGAAAAACAAAATGTTTGCTAGGAAATATATTCAACTTTCAAGTAAATTAAGGCCTACAAGCAAATAAAATTTATTTGCTGCTATTTTTCCAGAATAAAGCAGAATGAGAGAGAAGCTTCCACTTGCTGGAGTGGTCAGGTATGTTGTTATTTGATACTACACTTTACATGTTTGGGAAAAAATAGGTAGGTACCATTTCAAACATAAATCAAGACAACTCTCTAGGCCTCAAGAAGGTATTAAAACTAAAGCAGTCAGCTGACTTGACTCCCAAAAAAGACTGGTTGTCAACTTTTTCTAGGCCCTCTTTGCACTTTTTCTTGCACCTCCAATTTACTAGCAATCAGTTCCCATTCTCTAAACCCCTGGGTAAGCTGTCAGTAGCATCAATGTTATTAATCTCTGTGGCCATGTCAATGACAGTCACTGCTCATATAAGGCCACACAGAGGATTCACATAATAGAGAGGTATTAGGCCTTAGTAGACAAGGTAAGTCTGGGGAAATGAACAGGCTGATTGTGACAGTTTTAATAAAAGCACAAAGCTTTCTTATCTGCTACATTTGCTTTGCACCAAATGGGAAGTGCATCCTTTTGGTACCAATTCAATTCATAAGGCTTGAGGGAAGATAAATCTTTAACTAAAGAAATGAGTGAACAGCATCAGCTTTGAAATACTACTTCTTGGGATCCTGAAAAAAGGCTCCTCCAAGCACTGACCTGAGCAAAACCCCTGGCTGTGTGTGCTCTAAAAGTGGTCTGTAAGTGACATTTTACTAGATGCTAAGAAGGGACCTTCAGGCAGGAGGAACTAACTAACTCACAAGGGATAAATTCCTTGGTTTGAGTTTTATTAGCTCTATTTCTCACCAATTGAGGTGCATGGCTTTAGGCTCAACTTATCCAAGTTGACTCACTGGGAACCTGGTGTAGAAATTGATCACCCCTCCTGGCAGAGACCAGGACCAGCACCCTGAAATACTCCATCCAGGCAGGAACTTGGAATGCCTGTCATCTGGGATGGAGATTGACTGCTCTTCTAATGTTTCAGTTCCTTATTTGATCCCAGAAAATGATTTTCTTGGTTGTCCAGATATTTTTTAGCTTGGCTCTACTGTCTTGCTCCCCAGTGTTCTCTCTGCCTCCCACTGAGCCCTCGTATTTTGGAATCTGGGTTCCAGGTATTTACAATTGGATAACCTGCTGTTGCTCCTTGACATGATCTTTGTTTGACCACCTCTGCCTAGGCTTTTGACTCCTTCTGGCCTTCCCCTGCTCTAATAAGCCCTGGGCATCCGGGACACAATTGGCCACTTGCTCACTACTTTCTGCCTGCCTTTTTCTGTTGTCTGTGGCCTGAGGATTTTACCCACTCTGAGTGGGTATCACTGATGATCCTAGCTTGTCCTTGCTCCTGTATTCTTACTCGGAAGATATTCTGTGGCCCTTGGCCTGAGCCTGTGCACACTACAGTCTGTTTTCCTGCCACTAAGGACTTAGTTGAGAACAGAGAAAAGCCCTCTGTTTTGTCATCTCATTATCAGAGCTGCCTTCTCTGCTCTAAGGGTAGGAGTCTCTAGTCCTATCAAGAGGGAAATTCCCAGGTAATCTTGTTCATGCTCAGAATAGCCAGAGATAGCTGTAAATACCTGGTTGGCTGGAACAATGTGCCAACCAGGCAACTGGGGACTTCCCCAGTGAGAACAGCAGCCCAGTAGATAAAGGAGTTGTAATTTCTGGGTGTGAATGACTCATGGCCTCCAAATGCATAGTGCTCAGCTCCCTTCAGTCATCAAACATGTCCCAAAGGCCCACTAGGAGCCAGATGCTGCATGAGCAATGAGAGAAAAAGGAAACCTCCTTTTATTGGGCACCTACGTTGTATCATGCACTTTACATTGATCATCTCTAATCCTTCCAGTAACACTCAAAGGGAGTTCATGTCCCCACTTGACAAATGAGAAAATGGAAGTTAAGTAATTTTCTGAAGGTCATACATCTACTAAGAGGAACCACACGATTTTAGAACCAATTCTATCTGACCCCAAAGTCAAAGTTCTTCTTAGATACCACACAGTGACACTACTCACTAATTTACCAATTCCTTCACTCATTCATTCAGCCAACAAGTGTTCCTGAGACACTGCTGCAAGCAAGGTCTCTGACAAGCTGAGTGTGAGAAGACCTTTTGCTAGGAATTCGTCACTTTGGAGGAACTCAGTGGGAAACTCTTTGGGACTTTACAATGCTGTTATCTTTGTGTGGTATCAAATGAAACAGTTGGCTTCCTTTTAACTAATAATAATAATAATAATAATAATAATAATAATAATAAAATGTACAGTCCACCAATCTTTCAAAAGGAGAAGTGATTGCCAAACTAATGAAAATCCCAAAGGTGAGTTTTTTCATTATTTCTGATAGGTGCTCATGTTTAAGAGGAATTGGATGTATCTAAAAGGTGACAGGGCCCTTCCTACAGAAATCACCTGTGCTGACCTAAGGGCTAGAAATTTTAAACATTGCTTTTTTACTTTAAATGAAAACCACCTTGACATATAAATATAAAAGTACACTATCCAACTAGGAAAAATATATCTAATCAAAAAAATAAGAAGACGAGAAAGAGGAAGGCTTTGATCCAAGTAAGTTGAGGAACATCTTGGACAAAGTGAAGATTTAAGTAGTTCATCAAGACGGCTCACTGTCCCAAGTAGTAAGCTCTGGAAGTGCTACACCTATATTGAAAATCCTTCATTTGTACTTCTCATAGCCTCTGGAGGTCTCATCTCTACTGGAATGGGATGGACAAGAATAAAATGCTAGAGGCTGGAAGGCTTCTGAGGCATCATTCAAGTATGCACCTCCCATGTGCTACATGAAGAAACTGAGACACACCGTAGCAAAGACACACTGGCCACATAGCTTAGTCCTTTTCTTGATCCCCCTGAATTTTTATTATTAACTTTATAACATACTTTGGGACATGGTCATGTTGTTTTCTAATTTTCCCGTGCATGAGACTTTTGTCCTTCCCAAACCATCCGACTATATGTTGCAGCCAAGCTATCCAGTAAAGCAGGTATGAAGCATAGTTTGTGGCACTCCACTGCAGTTCATTGAGAACTTAGGAAAATAAACTGCATTGAATATAAGACTCAAACACGGAGGACACAAGGAATAGCAGAATTGAAGCAACTCTCACAGGGTAAGTCACCTTGTTTTTTTTTTTGTTTTTTTTTTTTTTAATGAAATGGGCACATGTGAAGCTTCAGGACATAGCCTGGGAGCATGTTTTCCCTGTCTACACACGATCCAGGGTTGGCATCCACAAAATCTCAGCCAACATCTCCAGTCCACCTGCACTCAGGTTGTCAGTGACCTTGATATCAGTTGTGAAATGTTTACTTTCCGAGGTCTAAGGTTACAGCTGTTCAACAATTTTTAACTCCTCGATTTCGCCAAATAAATGGGAGTCAATGCCACATGGATTAGCTTTTTAATCCTATCAGGTTCACATTCCAGGGGATCAGTTTCAATGTTCATGTGTTACCAAAAAGTGGGAATCCAGCACATATTGAATTAGAAACACCTTAGTGATTGCGGTACAGTGTGCTTCCCAAGATATTCTGAAGAATATTACTGCTACAACATACTAACAGGTGTGCCAGGAAAAAAGGATTCTATGGCCTATTAAGTCCCTTTCTTGGGATTCATGTGCTCATTTACTTGTTAAGAGCTCTGAGAATATTGATAATATTCAATGTTGTTTTTTCTTTAACTCTGCCTTTGCCAAATCTATTTGATACAGATTCTTTCAAGAAACATCCATAACATTCCAGGAAATATGATTTTCAAAATGTTGATCAAGGCCATTTCACAGATAAGAAAACTGAGAGCTAAGGTTGCAAAGGGAATTTCTTAGAGTCAGCCAGGTAATGACAACTTCAGGTCTAGACGCCATTCTGATATCATGAAAATCTAAGGTGGTGAGCTTTGCCTGGTTTTAGCTCAAAGTGACAAGGTCCCATCTTTTTATGTGTGTTCATATAAAATAAAATCTAAAGACTGTATTCTAAAAGTGTTATTGGTGATCATTCCTGGGTAGGATTTAAGATGATTTTAAATTCTTTAATTTTAATTTTCCAAATTTTCTACAATACTTATGTATTACCGTAGTAATCAGACATATGTAATAAGAGATGCATATTTTATGTTTGTAGTAATATACCTAGACACTGAACTCATGACAAACTGAGAGACCCAGTTACCCATGCCATTTATTTTTGGAGAACAAACAAACAAACAAAAAACTCTTTGAGGTGCCAGCAGGGTCCAGTAGAATAGACTAGAAGAAGTTTTATTCAAACAAGAGTATTTTCACTGACACATTTGCCATGTGTCATCTCTTGGCAATCATCAAAACTATTTCCCTGATGGCATACTTGTGAATTACTCAGTTGCTGGGGATTCCAGTTCCATTTTTCCTAATGACCTTCTTCTGGCTTCTGAATCCAAAGTCAGTTTACAAAAGTTCTGGACCCAAAACTGGAAGTGAGGTTCATGGCCCCTGGGCTCCCAATGCTGCCATGAGAAGGTTCTGCTGGGACCAACTTTCCTCACCCAGGCAAAAGTGGCAAAAGCCTTGGGAAGGGTGGCAGATAGAGAGGACATATGGGATACACTGACTTGGAGAAAGGCCAGGCTGGAGAGGGTTTTACAATTGCATTTATTGAAAAAGCCCTCTGTTCCAGGCAAAGTGCTTGGTCCGTTACATGCATACTTAATCCTTCTTATGCCAAATGAGGTGAATATTGTTCCCTCCATTGCATGCATGAGAACACTGAGGCTCAGAGGAGTAATCCACCTTGAACAAGGTCATTGAGATAGCCAGTGTTGAAGCTGTGATTCAGCCTCAGTTCTCGCTGATCCTGTACCTGCAGAAAATCCTCTAGTCTACTGCCTTGCCTTTGGATGCTACTTAAAGTATCCAGAGATGGGGTGCTAACTAGGCACATGGGAGTGAGCTCATTTCGTTGCTAGGAAATTTCTCCGAAATAAACTAAAATCCGCCTCTTTCAATCAACTCCCAGTGGTTCTAGTTTTCCTTTGGGGAGCAATTAGTTTAGCAGAAGTGCTAAATCTTTTGTACATAAAAGAGAAATGTATGAAGATGCCATCGGTACATAATACACACTTCCCTGTTGTCTCATGACTGAACAAAAGAGGAAAGAGATGTTAGAGTGTGAGGACCTTGATTTTAAACCCAGTTCTGCAATTTCACCATTTAACAGCTGAGAATTTTTGGAAAAAAAAATTCCCTTAATCTGCCTCAGTGTCTTCTTTTGTAAAATGGAGTTAATTATCCTTGCCTATTTCACATTTCTAGTGCTCACCAAGTATAAGAAAGCACTTAAAATTGCTTCATAAACATAGGCTGTTTATTGTTTTATATCCTGTAAGTAAGTTTAGTGAAGGACCCTAATTGTTCCATGTATGTAAGGAAAGGCCCTCTGGCCATAAGTTTTAGTAGACGGTCCTGTACCTAGTGGAGATGAATTAATATGGTGACAGACAACCTGATTAGCTAATCTAGACTGATACATATTTAAGGAAAGTGGAGTTATTAGGATTAGCACAAGGGCCAACTTTCTCAAAATGGCATGCTTATAGCATATACTTATTTTAAAGACATTGTGGAGAAAGATGGAGGAAGAATATTAGTTGCAAGAACCGAATTTATGTTCATGGCTGAGCTACATTAGTAGCCTCTAAAACTGGCCTAGACTCAAGAGGGCAGACAAAGGATCACACTCCACTGAGATTGCTTTTGATAAATTGCATCTCAGAACATCTTTCTCATGGTGGAGGCTATGTTACCAAGTCAGAGATGTCCTCTGAGTTCATATGTGAACAAATGAATCTCCTTACAGACAAAGAGATAAATCACTGAATATTTTCCATTCCATGCTAATGAGAAGGCAGGATGAGGCAGCTCCATCTCTGCCATAGGTGGTGAAGTTACTGATGTTGGGTACATGTGGCAAGATTTGGTGCCCTCCCCTCCATTCACTGCTTCATATGTTATCTCATGATTTCTGAGAGTCTTTCCTGTCCCCAGTGTGTGCAGGAGACAAGCTCTGCCTCTTATCTGAGAGCCAGGAACATTATCTGAACAGGAGGTAGCTGCAGAAACACTGGTGTCAAACCAAATGCACTGGCTGAAGTACCTCTTTTTAGGGAAAACATACATGTGAACGCACACACACACCCCCGCCTAGAATAAATGATCTGCAAGGTTGCTGAAGCCTATAGCATGAGCCCTGCCATGCTAATCTGATATCCTATGACCTATTCTTCCTGTCTGATCCCATGTCTGCCTTCCCATCTAAAATAGGACCTGACCCATCCTTGTGAACAGGGAGCCCTCAGCAACAGCTGGGGGAAGGAGGGCTTGAGGAGTCCAAGAGTCACTCACTAGGAGGCAATGGAAGCTGCTTTTGAATTTGGAGAATTCTTTCTTTGCAGGCAAAGAGGCCTTTATCATAGGTGTGAAGGAGAAAGAGGCAGGTTAAAAAAAAAAAAAGACACAAAGGTTGCTTGTCACACAGCAGAGGGAAGAGAATAGCATCCCATTCTCCTTCAAGCTGTGGCCCCAGATGACAGCTGAGCATAAGTGGAATCAAATCAGCCTTTAGCGCTTCGTCCGCACCCCCAGCAGTCATAGATATAACTTCCACTTGAGCTGTCAGCCTGACCAAAGTGCTCATGATTAGCACCTTCCTGGACTGAGGGTATAAATGGAGAATCGCAGCTCACTCCTCAAAGTAGTGGCAGCCACACACCCATTCATTTCTATGGAGCCAAATGTAAACAAACAAAAAATGAATGTTTCTGTATACTCTCCAAATTTTGTTTTCTCTACTAAAATATTGGGGACAGCAGTAGATATCTCCCTTTTTTCTGATCTCTTTCCATATGTGAAATGATCTGTATGTTTGACATTCCACCAAATGATTCTCAAAGGGAGACAATGAAAACCCCCGCACCCCCATTTGTCAGTATTTAATGCTTAATGAACTCTTGGCAAGTCTCTCCGCCCAGAGCTACATGTTTGTTATTGCTGCTTAATGGTTATCCGTCCGACACTCCAACATGCCAAGAAGCCTTGCTCATTCATAATCAGAAATATATATTGATTAACTGGTTGGTTACTCTACAGAGAGGTTTTCTGGAGACTGTCACATTTACTAGAACCACCAAACCCAGCTGTGCTCTTTATATTTAAATCCCAGGCATTCTCCAGTGAGGGGCGGGGGCACTGGGTCCAGCCTGCCCCTGCCTCCATCTCAAAGATAATCTCCCTCAGCTGTGTATGAATCTGGATCTAGCGAAGGACATTCAGAGCTCTAAGCCTTTAGGTGCAAAAGATTCTCTACAAATGTACATTCAGGGTAAACAAAACCCATCAGGCCCCTGCAAGAGTCCGATGCCTGATTGCACTAAACACATCACGATGGAATCTGCAATTGGCAAAGTAATTGGCGTTATTACAGCTGATGGGGAATTTCTGATGCTGCCTGAGCTCTCCTTTGAAATAATACTCAGCCATTTAATTTGTCCAGCTCTTGTTTAGCTGATTGCTCTTTTCTGCTGGAGTTTATCAAGAATGAAATGTGCTGTCTCTCTAGATGCCTGCAGTCTCAGATTTCTTTTTGCCAGCACCCTCCCGTCTCCTCTTACCCACCCCTGCCTTAGGTCATTGTTCACAAGATGCCAATAAACCAAAAATGCAATGGGTTTGAGGTGGGTGAATCAAGCTCATTTAATTCAAAGCTGTCCACTTTTGATCCCACCTCCAGAGGTACCTGAACATTCCTGTTATACCATAAAATCATGGTGAGTGACAAGTAAACCTCCAAAACTTGATGGTCTTAAAATAGGCTCACAAAACTTGTTAACTCCAAAGATAAAATGTGTAGTAGGAGACATTTTTGATATGATCCCAAGGCCAGAAAGCATTACAGAAATGTCAGAATTTGTATACCTGAATTTTTGTTAAGGGATTTGCTTTGACCCCTGGGTATATAAGCAGCCCTAGAATAGGTCCCACAAATATTGATTGAGCATCTACTTTTTGCTGGAAGCACACAGACTGTATTTACACCATGCTTGATATAGTTTGGATATTTGTCCCCACCCAGATCTCATGTTGAAATGTCATTCTCAAACTTGGAGGTGGAGCCTTGTGGGAGGTGTTTGGACCATGGGGGCAGATCCCTCATGAATGACTTGGGCTGTCCTCTTGGTGATAAGAGTACTCTAGCTCTGAGTTCGCAAGTGATCTGGTCATTTAAAACATGTGGCACCTCTGCCCCTACTCGCTCTCTTGCTCCTGCTCTGGCCATGTGATGTGCCTGCTTTCCCTTTACCTTCGGCCACGATTGTAAACTCCCTGAGGCCTCCCCAGATGCCAAGCAGATTCCAGCACCACGCTTCCTGAATAACCTGCAGAACCATTAGCCAACTAAACCTTTTCTTTAAATAAATTACTCAGTCTCGGATATTTCTTTATAACGATACAAGAACAGCCTAATACAATGCTCACCCCATGTTCTTTACTTTGGGATTTCTGTTCCTACACATATCAAAGGCGGGAAGCCAAATTTAGCCAGCTGCATTTTCTCACAATACAATTAAGCCTGGCACAGACCTCTCTTTTTTCCATCAGCAAACTACTTGCCCTATCACCACGTCAACAATGGACTATTTGCTGGAAACAAGAGTTCTGCAGCCTGGATGGCTCTTTTCTGCAGATGCCCTCTCACTCCCCCAATGCCCCATTAAATCCAAAACCCATGTGCTTCTTGAATCATCTCTTATTTTTCATATGGAAGCAGCTGAATTTAGCGGTGTGAAAGTCATCATATAAAATCCTAAAAAATCCCCAAGTCCTAGTGCAGTCTCTCCAAACAGCCAAATGCCCTTTGGTCCAGTTCCTCACTGATGTTTCTGGGCAACCAATCACTGCACGTGTGAATCTTCCACAGGGTAGGAGCCAAAGTGGACCTCCAGAAATATGTGGAGAGGATTACTGGGCCTGAGAAAGTTGCTTAAATGAGGCAATACTCTGTGGTTGAATGAACTACTGATACATTTATTAAAAATCATTTTTAGTACCTTATAGCTATTCCTCTTCCATGAGTGAAAGATAAAATGTTAGTTCAGAAAGTGCTGTAGGTGGGAAGAGAAGGAAGCAGTCAATGAAGGCAAGTGTGAGGTGTTCCCTTCTCCTGGTCAAATGGCCCCTACGCATCCTTTAGCCTGTTCTCATCAGTCTCTGTCCTCCTCCTTCCTCTCCTAGGGCCATTCTCCCAGGACTACAGTGTTTATCACTGCTCATTTAAAATGGCAAGCATCATAAACAGCCTAGTGAAAGGTTAGGTGAATCTAGGTTTTGTGGGTTTCCTTTATTTTGTTTGTTTGTTTGTTTTTTCTGTTGGACAATCCCAAACTCTAGTAATATGGTCTTGGGAAGCTGAAATTTGTGCTCTAACCCTGACTTCAACAGTCCAAGATCAATTTCAATTATGTAATTTATAAGAGTAACAAGAATTACAGTGCACATTTATGGAGTGTTTACTAGATGCCAGACACTTTTCTATGGGCTTATCTTTTCAATCCTGTTCAAAACCCCATGGTAGGTATCCTTCCTCTACTAAGGATGACTCTGGCCATAAAAGTTAAATAACTTACAGAGGTCACACAGCTAGTACAAGTCCAACCTGTGATTCAAACTTATCAGTTTGGTTCCAAAATCATTGCTCTTAACTACCAAACTATAAAGTAATGGAAAATGTTCTCTGTGCTTGATACTGGATACAGCAAAGTGGGAGAGATTTATGTTTTGTTGCTAAACAAGCATCAATTTTTACTATTTATAGCTGTAAAGATTACAACAACATCACACAAAGCTTTCCCCTCCATGTATCATTGGCTTGGGTCACCCATTAGAAACATGAGTTCTGCCAGTAACTCTGGTGCATATTTTTAGGAAGGTGAGAGATGTACAAAGGAAATCATGGCAGAGCTGGAGGGTGGTGGAAGAGGATGGCCACTATCAGGGAAATATCCAAAAAATGCAGTAGAGGCTGCCTGCAGTCTTAACCAAGCCTCCAAACACAAGCAAGCAGATGTCTGCAAAAAGCCATGTGAGAGCTGCAAGCTGTTCCACTATGAGGGCCCCTCTCTTTTGGAGGTCTCTTGACACCTCTCAATGGATGTCTTTTGTTTGGTACAACATGGTAGGAAACGGGGTGAGTAGATAGGTGGAAGGACAAAAAGGTTAGAGTGGGAGCCAGGTAGTGGGGTTGGAAAGAACTAAAAAAGTGAGCTTGCTTATTTATTGTGGAGATGGGCCTCTTCCATCCTGAAGAGGGAGATTTGGAACTATCCTGATAAAGGAATTAAGAAAAAGAAACCTCTCAAGCTCTAAAGGTGGTTTGTGAATTTGCATTTACTATGCAGGAGTCATTCCTAGACCTAAAAATATATAAAGCACAGTCATGTATCATACTAACATTTTAGACACAGGAAAATATGATGCTGTAACTAAATCTAGTAATAAACACAGACATTAGAGATACAGTACAAAACATCAATAACCCCAGGTCTCAAGTGAGCAGAATTACAGGAGAAGTTTTAAGAAGCTCATCTTTAGGCCACTTTACCAAAAGGATTGAAGAGAAAAAAAAAATGAATGAAAAACTGAAGATGTAAAGACAGTGGAAAGATTCACAGAATAAGGAAATCTTTGGAGTCTCCAGGGATCATAGACATCATCTACTCCTACTCCCTCGTTGCTAAGGGTATCATTCAAAGTTACTTCAACCAGTTGGCCTCACTTTGTTTATATTTCTGTTCTGAAAAAATTGAGTTTAAATCAGATTTTGAAATACGACATCATATTTGAATATACTAGCAGGGATGACTTATACTGATTTCCTTGATCAAGTGGAAAAAATTTTCTGCATAAGAATAACCACCTACCCCCCAACACCCACCTGTCATCTATCAATTTTCTCACACGTGACCTTCTGCACATTAGGTTTGTTTTAAGTCAGGCCCACCTGCACACAGCCCTCAGATGGTCAGAATGTCTTGGAATTAAAAAACAAAATATTCACTGAGGTCTAGAGATTTAGTATCCCAGGAGAACTTATTAAGACTTCAGAATATTCCACGGAAATGCCAGACTTTCTGGAAAACACCTGGAGAACTTCTTTCTCCAGGACCAAATGCCAATACTGGTTAAAAAAAAAAATCCACTAAAAACACAGTCAAGGTAAGCAGTTCAAAAAATGTATACTTGTGGGAGGAAACTGTTGATTTCATGTAAGAAGAGTAAAAGTGTCAGTTTGGGCTTCAGTGTGAGGTGTATGTATGCACGTGGGCAAATATTTTTGTTAAAAATGCCCTGTTATTGTCACACGTCTGGTAATAATTAAATGGGTTTCCTTAGGAATTATGAGAAAAGATACACATTGTGTGCAGTTATCCTAAAAGTAGCAAGAAAGATACTGTTACGAGTGGAACCATTTTTTTTGGAGGGTGAACATTATTCCTATTACAAATATTCACATACAGGCTTGTAGAAGAAAAAGACAAATAAGGAGTCCAAATCCTACTCTTTTATTAAAACTAGGAAAGCTCAGTGTTGGTTAACTAGAACAGAGCTTATCAAACGATCTTTGATGAAGGACCAGATACTTTGTCCTTAATCCATACTTTTTGTGTGGAAACTTTGGTAAAATACTATAAGACAAATCCGTAGGAAAACAATCACATGCTTGGATATCACAAAAATGTCAAATTGCTATAAAAGTTTCTAAATGTATCCCATGGTGGACCAGCGACACACACTTGACAGGCCAGCTGTGGCTTGGAGCCCATACTCTGTATAGCATGGGGTAAGAGAGCAAAGATCCATGGCATAGCTGATACAAGGCAAGCTAGAAAAAAGGCCTAGAGAGTAAAGGCATGTGTTTCCTAAGTGATCGTCTGAGCAAGCAAACTCATGGGATCAAGCCTGCCCTGGAAGACAGTGAATGCTGCATCAGGGCCGCCTAATGCATTATCTCTTCAGGGCAGCATTGTGAAGCTGGATCTTTTTGGATTATCTTTTAGACCCAGAGAGAATGTCTAGCTAGCAGGCAGAGAAGATCATAAGCCCAAATGCTGTCACTCACTAGTTTACAATCTTGGGCAAGTCTCCATTGTTGAATGGAAAGAACAGGGAATGACCACAGGTGTGGGCTTTGCAGAATCCATGCGAAGTTATACTTCTTGTGCCCAGACTGCAGGTTCACTGTGAAAAGGAAGAGTGAGAGAACCGGGTTTTGCGGGGAATGGGTTCCGGGGGCATGAGAAGCACATGGCACGTTCCTGGGACAGGAATTGCTTTTTGAATGGGATGCCTTGGCCTCCTCTTCTCTTCCAGACTTCCTCCTTACTGGAGTCTTTAATCTAGAAAATGAGGAGGCTGACTTAGATTTTGGAGAGCTTCTGAAAATACCAATATCCAGACCCCACCCAGACCAATTCAATCCACACTACAGGGGTTAGGACTGGATTCCTGTATTTTTCAAACTGCCCTGATAATTCCTGTCTGCAGCCAAGGCTGGGAATGGCAACTTTTCTGGTCTCTAGTGTCTCGTTCCATTTTAAAATAGGGGTGTGGGGGTGTGGGAGGGTGTAAGGAAGCAGCAGCTGCAGGATTTCCTTATACACTGCTTTGCTTTGGGATGGCTCTTTCCTAAACAGCAAAGTAAATATTATGTGGTGAAATCAAAACAAGCAACCTGTATCCTCACTGCTGGCCCTGCCTACCTCTGTCTCATATCAGTTTCCTCCTCTGTGGGAGGGACAAACACCACTATGATTCTCCCTTTGAGAGTTTGGGGAAGGACAGGAATGAGAACAATAAGAAACTATTTGCCAAGGTGGAAGGATTCAAAATGCTATGCAGCAATTCCCTCTATTACTCAGATAAAGAAATTGCTTTTTCATGGCCCTTGTCAAAGATCAAGGAAACTCAATACAATCTTCAAAAACGAAGGTGCAGCCACTTGTCCTGAACTTACCAGTGGTCACACTGGTCTGTGTTCACTGTAGAGACAAATCTAATTCAAGATGGCGTAGCATAAGTGGTTAAGAATACAGATATTGGAGCCAGACTACCTGAGTTCAAATCCCACTTCTAGCACATATGGGCTTGGTGACCTTAACTTCCCCGTGCCTCTGTGTGCTGACTTGTAAAATGGGGCTAATGTTCCTATTAATTTTACAAAATGTTGTGAGGATTAAATGACAAAATACACGTAAAATTCAAAGAACATCTTCCGGCATCTATATATACTAAGTCCTTGGTATATGTGTATTGAGCCAAAAGCAGGGTGAACATGCATTACCACAAACTCCAGTTGAGTCTAACGAGGCTCAGTGCCCTGGAAAACCCAGAGCTTCAATTTCACTCCTTCTTTTTTTTTTTTTTTTTTTTTTTTGAGATGGAGTCTTGCTCTCTTGCCAGGCTGGAGTGCAGCGGCGCGATCTCGGCTCACTCCCCGATCTCGGCAACCTCCTCCTTCTGGGTTCAAGCTATTCTCCTACCTCACTCTCCAGAGTAGCTGGGACTACAGGCACGCAGCACCACGCCCAGCTAGTTTTTGTATTTTTAGTAGAGACGAGGTTTCACCATGTTGGCCAGGAGGTCTCGATCTCTTGACCCCATGATCCACCCGCCTTGGCCTCCCAATGTGTTGGTATTACAGTCAAGAGCCACCGCACCCGGCCCAATTTTACTCTTTCTAAGTGTTGATGCTGAACTTGTAGACAGCTGATGTCCATTTAGAGTTGAGTCAGATAATGGTGACTTTGTTCTGAAAAACATGATCAACCCTAGAAGAACAAGCAACCTGGTAACTCAGAGATTCCCTTTTACAAAATAAAAGAGCTGTCGGAAGACTCTCACTCCCCCAGTTGCCTTCCATTTCCCAGTGTAGGAATACCCATCTGTAGCAAACCAATACATAGACCCTCCTTGAAACATCAGCTGCTGTCACAGCCCCTGCCCTGCTTCAGCCTTCCTTTTCTGTTGGGAGATAAGCACAGCCAGGATTTCTCTCTATGCAGAAACTCCACAGTCATACCTTCCTAAAAAGCAGCTTCTCCTCACAGAATACTTTGGGGTTTGGCATTAAAACTTCTGGTTGAGGACTCATGGAACCCAGGATTGTTCTGCAGATGGTTGTGTCCTCTGATGATCTCTGAGTAGGACTAATTGTGGGGACTAAGGAAAGTGGAGTAACAGTTCATTTGAACAGGACTGAGCCTTCCTCCTCTGAACACTTAATCGTTCTTCCTCCAGGAATGAACACTGCACTTCTCGTGGGCCCTCACTTTGGTTAACAGCATCCCAAATTCTCTAGCTACTGAGAAGCTGCTGGTCCACTAATTCTGCCACCAAACTTTTTGGCATTCATCTCCTCTGTGATACCCCCACGGTCCTCAGCCCACCTTCATTCCCCCCTACTCCTTGTATGGACCAACAGCACAGGCTGAGTGCTTGATGCCCTCTTGGTTTCATCACGCCTTCTACCCATTGAGGAACCTTCATCTATCACAGTTCTGACTCTTCTCTGCCCTCAAACTTTCAATGCCTCCCATTGTCTTCAGATGGATTCCAAAAATCCAAATTCTGTTTCCTGATTCAGACAAATCAACTAAAACATGACATATTAAAAATGATCAGAAAAGTCTGAATATGGACTGAGTATTCGAAAACATTTAAAAATTACTGGTAATTTTGATAGATGTGATAATGGCATTGTGATTGTTCTATAAAAGCCCTTATTTGTTAGATAAGTTAATTAAATTTTTTATTAGTGAAATAACATGATGACTGGGATTTGTTTTAAAGTATACCCCCAAATAATTAAAATTAAAAACCAAAGTAGATGAGAGTATAGACAAGTTTGGAAAATGGTAACAATTGTGGAAGCTATCCCAGTGGCACGCTGGGGTGCAGAGCTGACTGTCAAAGACTTTGCCAACAGGTTGCTAAACCACTGGTAGCTTAAAATTGGTCATGATGGAGATATTTACACAACAGAAATTAGCAGATGCTACAAATGTGGGCTTTTTTAGCAGTATACCATTGAAACTGGGTAACAGGTACATGGGTTTATTATATTATTATGCTAACTTTTGTGTAAGTATGAAAACTTCAGTCATAGTTAATTTTTAAGCCTAATTTATTTTTCAGACTTTAAAAAAACCTATTATTTCATTTTCCAGACCTTTAAGACCTGAAATTTGGCCCCACTTTAATTTGCAAATAATTTCCCACGATGCTCTCCTCTGAGGCTCCACAATTAAACCACACCAAGCCTCCAGATGTACCTAAGCATCGCCATTGTTGTCTTAGCCTTCCTCCATGCTTCCCCTGCTCTGGAATAAGTCCACTGCCTCACTTTTTTCTCACCCATCCTGGCCCAGGTACAACACCACCTCTGCCGGGACGACCTCCCTGCTTGTTCCATAGACATATAATTTCTTCTACATTTGAATTTTCAATTAATTTATTCTGCACTTCTCTAATGGAAGAAACAATACCTCACTGTGCATTTCAGGCATACAATGCTACTTTCACATGCATTGTCTCATCAATGCCCATACTCTCTGTGAAATAAGCTGCACAACTCCTTTGCTTAATAAGGTAAATCAAGATCAAAGACATTAGGTAACTTCGTCAGGGTCACAAAGCTAATATTGGTGGCAGAACATTTCAGAATTGTCAACATCTGGGGAAGGGTCTGTGTATAGCTGGGAGCCCTACAGAAAGGTCTTCCATGGATGCCTGTTGAATGAAATGGCAACTAAGTGAGTGAAAGTTCTGTTTTCTCTGCACTAAAACATGTTTTCCTATGTGTTCTTGTTTACTCTCTTCTTATCTTCCACCACAGCATGCCCTTGACCATAGTAGCAATTGACATTTTAGAAACTCATTAAAAACAGCCACCCTTCATAGGTGGCCATTACACTTGCCCCACACTTGAAATAATACTCCATTTTGCCTAAAGGAAGTATCCTATTCTCTGAGACAACAGAGGGTTTATGTAGCAGGTGAGGACCAAATCCTTTAGTCTGTGCTTTCCTCTGTGGTGGACGTTCGTTGTCACATCACTGTTCCACCACTGTGGCTGGGCATGCAGGACCTGAGTCTGAATATGGTGCCCATGCTATGGCTATTTCCTTACCACATTCCCCCACCTCGTAAGCATGTGCACAAGCACGTGGGCATCACCCACAGGCACTTTACTGCAAAGTTTAAGCAGCCTGCACATTCTTGTAGGAACTGAGAAATAAAAGTAAATAAATAAATGCCAAGAAGCCTTGAATGCTCTTTGCATCCTGGATGAAGGCACTGGATGCCAGCGTTTGCCTTGGATTGCTCCTGGAGATCTCAGCCTGCAAAAGGAATGGGTTGTCCAGCAAGAGGGGGTAGTAAATGAATGATGGTACTAACAACTAGTGCAAGCATGGCTAGCTGCTGGATTTTCCAGTGTTGTGGAAAGCATGCAAACCAACAAAAAATAAGGTAACAAAAAAGCATATAAAATATTACCATTAAAAAAAAACAGATGTGTGTGTCTATGTAGAACAAAGATCGGAAGACTATACCCCAAAATGTCATTGTGTATGATTCTGAGGTGAAATGATAGGGTATTTTCTTTCTGATGGTTTTCTGTATATTCCAAATTTCTACAATGGACACTTACAACTTTTATATTAGAGGGAAAAAAGCATAAAAGAAAAATGCAGAGGAAAGCATATGGTTTTTGGGCTTTTACTAAAGAAAATTAGATGTCAGCTCTTATTCCTCTTAGGAATGCAGGGGACCAGACAGACAAAAGAAGTGAGGGTTCTCATTTCCAGTAACCCAAAGACTTAGAAAGGAGGGTACTCAAGTGTGTCTGTTGCTTCAAAAGGCAAGAACAGGATGTTAGAAGGTAAAAGGAGATGTGTTTGGAGGTAGAAGAGTCAGGGTGGGTTAGGTGTGAATTTCAGAAGCTTTTCCATCTGTGCCTTTAAAACTTGCTGAGAATAGTACCGCCTACCAGCACCAGGCCTGACTCTAGAAGAAGCTCTACCCTGTGGCCCGGAGGCCAGGCTCACCAGCCTCTGGGGAGATCACCACCTGCTAAAACACAATACCCTAGAAAACACGGGCTTTCAGGCTCAACCTGAAAAGTCATGTGTTTATTTCCAGGAATGAACATCGCATTTTTAGTAACCAATAACCATGGGGAGAAAGGTAGGTAATCACTTCCTTACCTTCCTCTTCTCTATCTGGAAGCAGAGAGAAGACAGAGACAAATCAACAGAAAAGCCAGCTCAATACAGTCACTACTCTACACACTTTCAAAATCATCAAAGATTTTGTAACTATCTTCCTTAAGAGTCTAAAGCAGGAACAGGCATCAAGAAAAACAAACAGAAAACCTCTACATTCAAGTGGTAAGTGGGCACCATGCAAAAGCTGAGAGGACAGATAGTTATCCCTGGGAGGGGTCCTCAGTGAGTCCCCTCCTGACAGTCAATGATGGGTCTTGGAGGGGAACACACCCATGCATTATTGTGTGGGACTCAGTTTCATCTGAAACCCAAAGAGAGAAGGGGAAAAATAACAACAGAAGCCAGCAGTTTGGTGCAGTGGGGCTGGAGGGGGCAGTGCAATGCCTGTGGACAGCTTTCTATTTCTGTTTTAAAAAGCACCCAAAAGGATGCTGTTGACCCGAGACACATCTGGGCCTTTCACTAGAGAATTAACTTTGATCTGGGCATTACACCCTGGCCACCAGTTTCCCAGGACTTCCTGGCCTCAAGAACAGGCATCCTGAGGAGTGAAAAATAGGCATTTATGTTTCTTGCCTCAGGGTGATGACACGCAAATGGAATAACATGGAAGGGCTGAACAGAACCAGAGGAGCGAGCCATCTGCACTGGAAGCTGTGGGGCTGGTTGTGGGGGAGGCTGGAAGCTGCCTTTCTAGGATAATGCCCTCAAATGTTATGCACGAACCTCAAATATAGCTAACTTCTCCTTCACTGGAAAGTTTGCTCTATTAGTTTAAATCTAATATCTAAAAGTGTAGGTCAACAAACACGGAGAGAACGTGTTCAGCTCCGAAGGAAACCATGCCAAAACCACGCGCACACACACAACTCCAATAAACTCAGTCTCTACCGGGTGTCCTTTTCAAGCAGTAAAACAGCACCACACAATTTCCTTTAATGTTATAAATTTTCAGATTAAAACAAAATATTTACCTGGAATTGCCACCATGTATGAGTGTAGGTGTGGAGGTGGGTGGGGTAGGCGGTAAATGTTGATTTTCTTTTGTTTTTGTTTCACATTCCCTTAGCCCAACTGGAAGTTTGTGTAAATATGTGAAAAAGTAATTAATTAAAGGTTTTCAGTGGTTGACAAAAAAGGCTTACTGGCCATCTCTGTCTAAAAACTCACTACTTTCCAGACAGGAGGATTAACAAGGTGAGATGACAACACCCCACACTGGTGTGCGAATCTATCTTTGATTCTCACCAACAGGGCCCTTGATTCTGTTAATTCTCTTCCTCTAGCCTCCCACTGTCACCTGTTCCTAGCTCTCTGTGTGATCTGGGGCCACTGTGCATCAGGACTGGGTCCTCAGGTTCCTCAGCAGTGAGAGGGTGCGCACAGGATGTGGCTCACATGGGAGAAGGGTAGGGAGGGTGCAGTGGGCTCCTGGATGTGAAACACCTTTAAAGAAGAAAACGTGCCCAAATACATGAAATTCCTGCAATTAGAAACATATTTGCTCGACCCCTGGAAGTTCGCTGCCGTTAGCTATAATTTATTTTCCCACAAAGGTACAGCACTGTGAGACCTTGAGGCAGGCACTGAGTTGAAGGGTGACAGAAAGTTTCATTTTGCAAGGGGGACAGCGGCAGGGGCCAAGTCCCTTAATGATCACCTTTGGATTGATCTTTCTTTATGTACATGTTCTAACTACACCAGGCTCTATGTGAGCACACAAGGGCTTTTGTATAGCTGAGATTTGTGTGTATGTGTCTTTGTGTGGACTCCTTTTCCAGAGACAGGCAGGATGATGTCCATTTTCACCCCTGCAAAAAAGTCTCCAGAAAGCCCTTGCCTACATCCTCACACAGTTTGCCCATAGTAACCTCCAAACACCACTCTGGCCAGAGATAACAGTGGCCCATTTCCTGACCAAGATCAGCAAACCTCAACTGTCTGCCTCTGCAGGAGTCTGAGATTAACTTGGCTATCAGGCCTTGACTAGGAGGCATTTGCCGCAAAGATTACAGACATGCGAGTGTCCTGTCCAAAAAGAGAGAAATGCAGGGGAGAACCCCAAACCCAACCCACCCTCTGCCGCCATTGGTTTAACCCTTTCCTAAGCTGAATCCCCAACACTTAACATTCCGAGCATCTTGATCTCTATATATTTTTCTCCTATAGAATATTAGGAACGAAAGAGCAGAAAGAGGTGGTTTTGTCCATGCTAGAATGAGAGGAGCTGGAGGAGGAGAGCAAGCCACCAGGTCATTGTCAGTTAGCTAGGGAAAGAAGCTAGAAATCCAAGGTTCGGGTTTCTGTCCTGGCCCCAAAGGTGCTTGTTGACAACCAAACTCTGGATCATTTTACTCTTCCAAACTTCTTAAAAGCATCAGTGGAACTTACCTGTGGCTGAAATCCTTTGAGGTCACTGGCTGCAAGGTCACTGGCTGTGAGGAGCTGCAAAAGAATAAAGAAATTTTCTCAGTGACACTTTTCAGTTTGCATACAGTATCCCCACGACAACTGACCAGCAATGGACTTACCATAGCCTGGATGAGAGCTACAGAAGTGGGATCGCAGAAGGCAAATGTGAGATTTCTGGACTGGGAATCTAGGCTCAATGGCCTTCCCACTTTGTGCTCCATCTCTGACTTCATCACTTCTCTCTTGCTGCTCTCTCTAAACTATTTCTATGTGCTATCAGTTCTTCAGAGGGTCTTAAATTAGGAACCATGGGCTATGGATGGCCTTCATCAGGTCCATGGCTCCCTGAAATTGTAAGTATGTGTGAATCTATAGATGTATATATTTCCTTAGAGAGATGGGCCCTGGCTTTCTTCCTGCTATCAAAGTGGTCTGTGATACAAGAATTACTGCTTCAGAGACAAAGGTCCATCTCCTCTAAGAGGGCTTTTCCTTCCTTCCTTCCTTCCTTCCTTCCTTCCTTCCTTCCTTCCTTCCTTCCTTCCTTCCTCCCTTCCTTCCGTCCTCTCTCTCTCTCTCTCTCTCTCTCTCTCTCGCTGGAGTACAGTGGCATGATCTTGGCTAACCACAACCTCCGTCTCCCAGGTTCAAGCAATTCTCCTGCCTCAGCCTCCCAAGTAGCTGGGATTACAGATGCCTGCCACCATGCCCGGCTAATTTTTGTATTTTTAGTAGAGACGAGGTCTCTCCATGTTGGTCAGACTGGTCTCGAACTCCTGACATCAGGTGATACGCCTGCCTTGGCCTCCCAAAGTGCTGGGATTACAGGTGTGAGCCACTGCACCCGACCATTTTTTCTTTCTTTTTTAAACAAACAAAAAAAAAATCAGCTCAGTAAAAATGACCCTCTCCTCTTTACAGCTACATGTGACTCAGTTTCCCTTTTTCATATGTTGCCTATGATTTTATACACTATTTAGGATTTTATACACTATTAGGATTTTATCATTTATACTTCAAACAATCATATACAACATAAAAGAATAAAAGTCAGTTATATGTACTTTCTGCACCTCTGTGTTTAATCAATATTAAAGACTAAAGTTACGGTTTTAAATATTTTTGCATCCTTTCCAGGGTTTTGCACAAGAAAACATTAAATAAAAATGTATGATTAACTAGCAAAATAATCACATTCTTATAATAAATGCTGGGAAAGTGTGAGATAAAGAGGAAAAGGCAGATGCTTATTTTGATTCAAGGAGGGTGACTGCTAGCTTTGTTAGGCCTGGAGAGCATTTGTGAAAAATAGGAAAGACTTCATGTTTGCTGTAACAATGTTTTGTTTGGGTCAAGAAAGAGAAGAAATCATGCTGAGCCCCAGGGCCTCCAGCCTTCAGAAAAGCTCAACTGGAATTTTTAGCTTCCTTAAATGACTGCCAAAAATGGTGCTTAAGTGATGTTGAAGCTAGGATCCAGCAGAAGAGAGGTGGAGAAGGTAAAACCTGCACTGTTCCCCACCCCCCCATTCCCCATCCTGCAGGCTAGATCCCCCCATGTGGAAGGTGTCTTGGGGGCAGGCAGCACCACCCTGGTGGAGAGCTGGTTTGACCCCTCTGATGATAATTAAACAGCCAAGCCACAACACATTAGGCCACTTACTAGGAACTAAGGGTGAAATGTAATGATAGACTTTGTCCCTGCCTTAAAGGAACCTAAAGTTTGGTGAAAGAATCAGACATGCAGACATGTGTACATCAGTGGGAGCAGAGTGCAGTCAAGTGTGAGCATCAAACTGGGGAAATGAAGCAAGAGCAGTCAGGGTGGGCTTGTTGAAATAAGATGGAGCTTGCATTTGGCCTTGATTTCACATGGAAAGGTGGCAGGGCAACGCACTTCAGGTGGGAGCAGGTGCAAGAGCAAAGATGTGAAAAAGGAAATGGCCAATCCTAACACACCTCCATTTGCATCTGTTAAGTGCCAGCCACAGCCGACCTTAAGGAGAAAGGTAGGGAATTAGGATACGGTGAGGATCACCTGGGTGGCTGGCATACTGGGTGCTGCTTTATGTAATTTTTCATTTTTAATATTCACAACTCCTTCATGAGACAGAAAGTATCTCCTCTTTACTGATGGGAAAATTGAGACTTACGAAAGCTAAGTAACATTTTCTAGGTTTCACAGCTAGTACATGTATTTGGGATTTAAATCCCCAACTATATTTTCCCAAAGCTCATGCTTTTTCCTCTATAATAAAATGCGTCTGAATTATAGCACACTGGAGACCATTTGTTGAGGAGATATGGCACGGGAAAAAAGCTGAGTGCCAGAATATTAGTCAAATGAGCCACAGAAAGTAACATAAAGCATGTATCCTGGTGAACAACCCTTAACTAACTCTTCCTTGCAGAAATGCTTGTATTTAATTGATAATGACCATTTATCCATCTGAATTTATCAGTAAACCTTTACCTCTAGCTTGAGCTGGGCATAAGATTCGTATGGAGCTGGAAAGGACGGAAAATAAAAGGCTGGGATGAGGTACGGGCATGAGAGTGACCTGTGCAGGAACACGCCCACCAACATGTGTTAGTATATTGGAACCAGTGCTCAAATTCTCCAGACCCTGGGCGTGCAGAAGGTAGATATCTTCCTAGTTTTGTTTCGTGCTGTTGTGTGTATTTTTACTCGTCTATTTTTCACCTAACAAGAACATGCCCAACAAGACCCTGTCTAAAAAGACGATGGCTTCTATCTTATGTAAATTTTGCATATCTCAATGTGTTGAGAAGAGTCTGGACATAAAATTATCACTAAATAACCTGTTTGTCAAATGACTTAAAAGGAAAATGGAAATATTGTCAGCCCAGAGGTGAGGACCAGAATACCTAAATTGCTGAGCCTAGAGAACAGAAGTGTGAGAGGCAGGCTTAAGATATCTTCCAAGCCAACAAAAGGAAACAGCACTCAGCGCCTAGCATGTTTCCTGTGTGAAGGAGGCACTCAAATATTTGAATGAATTAATCAACTCAGGCACTGGGGACAAGCTCTTCTCCAGCCACTACAGGTTTTACTAGAAGAATATTGGGTGGTGTTTCAGTGTAGAAATTGGAGGTTAAATTTAAGGAAGAACAATATAAAAGGGAAAGAAGCTGAATGGTGAATAAATCCATCACCAGGGAGAGATAGTGGTCTCACCCCTTGCACTGGTTGAAACAGTAAAATGTTAAATGGGCCCATCCCAGTTCAGATGTGTTAGTGCATCTGATGATGTGTGGGAGGATACAGGGATATAATGTCAGGGATGGAACTCAAATAACTTCTATCTGGATTCCTTTATTTGGGAGATTTGGAATGTTTAACTCACAAACTAGCATGCATTGAAGGTGTTATCTGACCTGGGAAACAACCAAAGGCAAGGCTTGTGACATCTCACAATGCGTCCTGAAAAAACGGTATGTACAACAGTGTGTCTTTCCTCACCATTACGTCACAACCCCCTTGCCTTTCTGGCTTTTCTGGCCTTCTGCCTTCCTGGCCTTTCTGGGTTCTAACCACGCTCTAACCAAATGCATGGGCTGTTGGGCCAAACATAAACCCTGCATCTTGAGCACTCCCCTTTTCAAAGCAGATTATTTCCCATAAGTCTACAAATTACACACCAAGGGATGGAGAAACAGCTGAACCTCAGGCACTAATATATGGTGCTCAGGTGTGGATCAGAAATAAAGGAAAAGATCACAGACCACCTACATCAGGATATCGCAAAAGAGTTCCATTCTTAGTGTCAGGGCCTGAGGGAGGCAGTTGGAGGTCCCTGGAGAAGAGGAGAAAATCATTGTGTCCCCAGTGGGCTCAGGAGCCACCTCTGCTGGGAAACTGGGGTGAGAAAATGTGTAGACAAAGGGCGTGCACTGTGCCTGTCTCTCTACCTTCACTCAGAGTGGCTCTGCTTTTCCCTGGTTCTTGTATGCGACTTCAGTTGAAAACCAATGTTTGGTACTAAAACATACCTTAAAACTCCAGACTAAGTCCTTATTTTGCAGAAGAAGCTGATAAGTGACATTTTCAAGATCACATTGCTAGTTAAAAATAGGATTGGTTAAGTCTGCTAACCCTGAGCACCTCTGCAGAAATCTCCACTCGAGATTATATCTGTCCAATCCAGCGCTGACAACCAGACATAACTGGCTGCTGATTTCTACCCTAAAGCTGGGATAGATTTGCTCAGAAATCCAGGGGAAATTGAGGCATGGGGAGGAAGTACACATGTCCCTCCTCAAAGCCACTGCCTTGAAAAGCGCACATCCTAGACCCTTCTCTACTGCCTCTCCTGCTTGAACCCTATCTCCACTCCATCCCATTGGGAAACAGTTCACTGCTCATGGTAGCCTTGTTGTGTCTAGGGTTGAGGGGGATCCAAGACAGGGAGGCAGAGAGGGAGTAAAATGAAATTCGCCATGGCCCTAGGGACTCCAATCAGGCTGGAGTTAATGAAAAGGATCCTGTCTTTTCCCAGGATGGCTAAATGTCCGCACCGCTCCCAGCTAGAGGGTCGAGAGGGTGCGGGGTGCAGAGGGCAGACAGAATTACATTTAAAAGGCAAAGGAAGGAGAAAATTCTTTCATCTCCCTGGTGGAGCCCGGCAGTGTTCCTGGGGCCCTGCTCAAACCAATCTCATTCCTGACATGTCTTGCTGCTCTCTGGAACAGTCCACATTCAAAATATTAGGAGGATGACCCTGCCTTCCATTTGTTGAGGAGCTGCAGTTTCTCTCTTGGCATAAATTCAGGTTGCTTTCTTATTTTCTCTCTCTCTCTCTGAGCTTGAGGGCAGGGTTGGAGAACAAGGAGAATTGAAGGGAGATGAAGGATGCTGTGGGGTCCTAAGGAGGTGAGAGTAGAAATCCCTTCAGCTTCCTAAGCAGCGGCATTCTGCTCCCTTGTCTTTTTCAAACTCTGTTCTCTGAATGGGATTCTCTCTTTGCGTCTCCCACCCAAAACTATCCATGGTACAGCTGCCACTAGCATTCCCTTGTGACCTCTGTGAGCCTAAGGCTGTCCCTCCAAACAGCTGCCCTTCTCCCTGCAAACTTCTATAGCTTCTAAACCTTCACACAGGAGGGGAGGAGGTGACTCCATTTTTTTCCCCTCTGTCCTCCTGCCCCAGGAACAAACGTCATGTCCCCTCTGCTGGCCCTTTATCAAAAATGCATACTCCATTTGGATAGAGTGGGGCCTCACATACCCGCACCAATTGCTCTGGCTGAACCCAGATGCTTGCATCTGGGAAGGGGGACACTGACACAAAAGGCAGGGTGTGGGTCATGCTGAACATCTGGCCAGAAGGATCTTATGCAGCTGGACAAGCTGAAGACTGGTGGCCCTGGGGATACTCCAAGTCATTTGCTCTTCCCAGATTATCTCCTTTCTTATGGGCCAAAGCAAAGGATGCTGGCACATGAATGGACAGATGGATTGATGCATAGGTAGCTAGGTAGGTAGGTAGAGAGACAGAGTGAAGATGGCTTTGGCGAGAACAAATGACCCATTTTCAAATTTACCCTCAAAGGTACCATCCTTTTGTTAAGTAAGCCTCCTACTTCACCTCTCCTCTTTTCAATCTGCCCTCATTTCTATTTGCAATGTAGGAAATGAATCTTTTTCTCCCTCTTTATTTCGTAAAGTGTTACTCACTTCTTACTTTGGCTCTAGAATGGAAGTTGAACTCAGGCCCACCACAACCTTTCAACCCATAAAAAAGTTCAGAACAGCCTACGGGTAAGGAAAATTGTTCCAGCAAGCCGAGGCAAACATCTAATCATATGTGTGCAGGGGGCTGCTTGAGATGAACTAGCCCCACACTCTCCATTGTAAATGGCAACTGAGGCACAGAAAGATAAAGTGACTTACCCAGTGGAGAATCAGAAACAAAAAATCTAACTGTATGTATGCAACCCAAAGAAAGTTTCTAATATCCAGCCATACTGGGTACTGGGGACTCTGAAACAGGCAGGAAGAATTGTAAGATATGTCAGGGGTCAAGACAGAGAAAAGGAAAGGGGTCTAAGGAGGGCTTCTACCAAGCAAAAGGCTCTGAAATGACCAACCATGAAGGAGACCACAAATCCATTGGGACCACAGAAGGAAATCTGGAAATTGGAAAATAAGGTAGGTAAAATGGAACCAATAGGTTGCTACTCTTTCCAAGGATAAGTGAAACACTGTCATACAAAACAGCATTGGACTTGGAGGGAAACAAACAAACAAACAAACAAACCTCTGTCATAGTCCTGGTTCTGCAACAACTCAATATGGGATCTGTCATGGGATCATTTACCTATGCAGGTCTCATTTTACCACCTATGAAATGAATGTCATTTTCCCTTTGGCCCTACCCTGCCAGCACCCTAAAGCATCCCTCTCACCCCAAGGCTGGAGAAAAGATGGAGGGACACCATCTCCTCTGTCCCCTGAAAATACACACCTCTAAGAGCTTGTTTACACTTTGTGGAAGAATTCCTATTAATAATCAGAAGGTCAGAGGGGAGGACAAAGAGATAGTCTTGTACTATGGATCTGTTATTGGCTTACAAACAGGAATTTGGACAGATGGCCACTCAGACTGCTACATGAGTTCCCCATTCCAGTGAGGCTGAAGTCAAATCCACACCCTAGCTAACAGTAAACAATCTTCCAATTCAAAAGGCATTAGTTCAAATGGCCAAGGCATTGGGGTGGGGGTGGCAGTGGACGGGTAGTGTAGAGACCGCGGGGGTGGTTTCCCACCAGCCTAAGAAGCAAGTTATATACTCAAAATTGCCATCCTAGCTGAACTGTGTCCTTTTGCTAAATCCTCTCAGCCTCATGAAATTTTAAAGGTTAAACCTGAAATCACTGACACCTCCAGTCTTAATTTTAGGCTCCCTTCTTAAAGAGCAACAAGGATGACTAATAATAACTTTGTACATAACTCCAAGCAAGCCTGGTCTTGATTCCTTATATTTTTCTTTTATTGCTTCTTTAAATGATGGGGTTCTAATATTTACAGGTGAGATCTTTAACAAAATCCCCCAGATATGGAGCCAAGAGAGCTTTTATATATATTTTTAAAGACTCCATGTGTAACCTTGGCACATACAACCCATACTCTTACAGTGGTGTGTACATTTGCTTGCTGTCCAAGTCATAGCTATTTCAACTTCTGGGTGGAAATGTCTTTAATCCTCCACCTTTCAGATTGAAGAGATAATTAGAGACCACATGAAAGACGAGACCTCCAAATGCCCTGATATAGACTCACTGAGATGATGAGTCTTGTTTTATGTTGAACTTAATGAACCCAAAGAAACTTATTTGAACTTAATGAACCTACAGAAGTTTGTCCCACCCCTTTAAAACTTGACATATAATTTGTTTTAGATGCAAGAAAACTGGATTTTATGTAGGGCATCTTCTGCGGTTTTTGGGTGAGAAGTTTACATAGGTAAATCTGGTAGAAACTGGTGATATGGATGTTAATATCAGCATTTATTAATCATTTCAGTCAAAAGTGGCTCAAGAGACTAAAGTAGTCTCTGGGGTTCATTCAGGATTAGTAGGTGATAGAATGTATTTGAGCCTGGCTTGGCTAACTCATGTTCTTTTTCACTACATCATAATATCTTATGAGCCTCTGGCTACCTTGGGTATGTATACTGTTGGGAGCTCTATCAGGTTGTCCATGTTGTATCTAACATTCTGAAATGAATGATGAATAAGAAATCCACTTTGGGAGGCCGAGGCGGGCAGATCATGAGGTCAGGAGATTGAGACCATCCTGGCTAACACCTCATCTCTATTAAAAATAAAAAAAAAATTAGCTGGGCATAGTGGCAGGTGCCTGTAGTTCCAGCTACTCGGGAGGCTGAGGCAGGAGAACGGCATGAACTTGAGAGGCGGAGGTTGCAGTGAGCCGAGATCACGCCACTGCACTCCAGCCGGGGTGACAGAGCAAGATTCCGTCTCAAAAAAAAAAAAAAAAAAAAAAAAAAAGAAAAGAAAAAGGAAATCCACAAGACAGTGGTTTTCAAACTGTGCGCTAAGAAGCCCTGAATTTCATGGAAGGGCCTTGGGGATTGTGAGGTGAGTGAGAGGCACTGAGGTGGGAGTTCCAGGCTCTTAACCCCTCTTTATTCAGAATAACATAACTTTTACTGGTATATTGTATTGGACTTCCATGTTAACATCTATTTAAATTAAAGCTTTGTAAAAAATAAATTTGGCAAATCCATATTTTAACAGAGAAGGATACTACATACATGAGCAAGCCATTCTCAGTGCTAATAGAATTTACCTGGGGAAAGAGAATTAAGCAGCTTATCTCTGTAAAGATGCTAAGATAGTCGTCTCCTACTAGGAGTGGATTGAACACATGACCAGACCTCATTTTAAGACCGTACTGCCTTTAATATGTGCATGAGTTACTCATGGGGAAAATGCCTTCCCTTTCTTTCTTTATACTTTTTTTTTTTTTTGAGATGAAGTTTCACTCTTGTCACCCAGGCTGGAGTGCAGTGGCACAGTCTTGGCTCACAGCAACCTCTGCCTCGAGGGTTCAAGCAATTCTCATGTCTCAGCCTCCCAAGTAGCTGGGATTACAGGCACGCGCCAACATGCCTGGCTAATTTTACATTTTTAGTAGAGATAGGATTTTGCCACATTGGCCAGGCTGGTCTTGAACTTCTCAACCTCAGGTGATCTGCCCACCTTGACCTCCCATAGTGCTGGGATTACAGACATGAGCCACTGCGCCTGGCCAATCTTGCAGGCAGTATGCCTGCTGTCTTCATCTGAAGTTCTGCAAGCTACATGTTTTGGAAAGAACAACTAATGTAAGAAAAGAGGAAAGAGCTAAAGATATGTTGCTTCTCAGGAGCACAATCTGGGTTGTAGGTCCTTTCCTTCCAACAAAATTAAGAAATCACATTGCAAGCATCTGTGGGCTGTTTCCAAAGTCCGTAAAAAGCCAATAAAGGAGGATTCCCTCCTTGAACATATGCCAAGCAAAGCTGGGTGCTGAGGGAATATCCACCCTCGCTTTCCTCTTCTTCTCATCATTTACGGAATTTCTGCTTAGAACTGACCAGATGATCTGCTCACTTGGCCCAAGATGAGTATCAAAGCTTTCTAATTCATCCCCTTGGTGAATCCCAGGAAACTGATTTAAATCCCTGGGCTCACTCAGTGGCAGAGAATGGAAAAGTCAGAAGGTGCTTGTTTCAGAGAGTATCTGAGCACCGAAGTCAAAAGCTCTGCTCCTCAGCTTAGTGGAGCCAATTTGGCAGAGAATCTGGGTCCCTCGGCCAAATCTGGAGCAATTAATCATGATTACAGGTGGGCATCCGAAAGGGATAAAGCCAGGCAGAACTCAATGAACTGAACCTTGTAGTTGCAGGTATTCATAACTTTTATAATTGTAAAAGTTGCAGGAAAAATAGGAGAATCTCCTCCAGAAAGCCCACCTTGAACTCTTGGCTATTATAATATGAAAAGTCACTATGATTTTTCAGGACCTACTTTTGCCTGTTCTTCTGTCTCAGGACCTACTTTAGCCTGTTCTTGTACCAGGTAGGTACTTTAACTTCATTATCTATCTTAAATTTCACACTATCAGTGCAAGATAGTATTATTTTCTCCAGTTTATAGTTGAACACACTGAGGCTCAAACTGCTTAAATAACTCACCTAAGGTTATGACAGCAAAAAGTGGCAGAACTGGAATGTGGACATAGCTCTGAATCATGGAAAGTCCAGTTCTCTGTCTCAGCCATCCATGATCCCCTTGGGAATCCCTTCATGGAAGGTTGCTATCTCCCTCCCTACTCTGCCAGGGAGGCAGCCTGGTCCCCAGGGACATTGGTACCACTGCCAGCCATGCCTCAGGTGACTCACCATGCAGGTAAAAGTCAGACTTTCCATTAGCCCCATGCAGCCCCACAAGATAGGCATCTAAGGTATTGTCTCTGCCATCTTGATCTCCCCTTCAAATTTTTCTAAACTCAAGCTGACTTTGTTCAAAGGAGTTTCATTCCTAAATCTGGGTGACCAAAGGATTTTGTACTATACACTGCTATGAACATTGTTAATTATCATGTGTATCTTCTCTCCCCAAACAAGTTTACCCTCTGTCCCTTCCCCCTCCTTCCCCCAATCCTTCCTTCCTTCCTTCTTTCCTTCTTTCCTCTCTTCCTTCCTCCCTCCCACACTTTTTTCCTTCCTTCCTTCCTTCCAGCAATGGCATGCCAAGTTCCAGACACCATCACAGATGGTAACCAATAATGGGAAGGAGATAGTTGCATCCCAAGAAAGAGTGATATCATGATCATATAGGTGGGCAATTATTACTTTTAATAATATTAAAGTGTATTATAACTTTTAATAATACAGAGAAGTAGAAAATCCCAAGTAAGCCATCTCTATTACCACAGGTATGAAACATGCTATTGTTTCATCTTCAAATCCAACACAGCATGAGATCTAGAAAGAGCACAGGTGGCAAGAACAGTCTTGTGCCTGACAGAATGAAGGAGCTGGACAGCAGGATGCAGGGCCTTCAAGGAAGACAACTATCTTCACCAAAGAGAAGAGAGGTGAAAAGCAAGCTCTTCCTCTCCTTTGCAAAAAACAACCTTCACAAAATAAATATTTTAAAATATAGTCTTTGTCTATCAAATACTTCTGCTAACAGTTTTTATCAGAAATATTACTGAGTATTTTCAAAGACATTAAATCAGGTTATTTGCTTGTTTATTTTAATTAGCCAACTGGAACTTGCTTGCTTGTATGCTTTGCCATTGGTTGAAATGAAAATATCTTTGAACTGCTATTTGAAAACTGTGCAATCAATTTGCAATCCCTTCCACAGATGGCCCTGCTCTTGCATTAGTGTTACTGGCATTGCAAATGCCAGGATTCGGTCCTGCCACTCCTTAGCATTGGGAGCTCTTTGAGGACTGAGACAGCTGGCTGTTTTCAAAATGATTCTTCACCATTGAAGATACTCTGCAGAATCTGCCACAGCTTCTAAAGATGCTCTCAGTGCATTAGGCAAACAAAACATCCTTGGAAAACAGGACTAGATTCTTCTCATGACAACTTCCAAGGAAGTCTGGCTCCTTGGCATGTATACTTCCTCGTCCTTTGTTAAAAATCTCCCTCTTGTGTTTCATACCTTCTGGAAACAGCTTCTGGAAGCAGCTGTGTCGCCAGAAACTCTCCTTTTCTGGGCTATGTATGTGTGTATTTGCGTCTCATACAATCCTGCCTCAACCAATCCATTTGCTAAAAATAATCTCCATGATTTCACTCTCAAGAACTCTGTGCTCATCTCACAGAGGTATCTGGAAATGAAGGTTTTCTTTATGCCAAAACATCTCAGTCAAATGTGGATTAGATCTCCCCAGACCTCTTCTCCAAATAAGATATCCTTTCATTGTTCTCCCTGAACTCACACGTATGCTTGACTCACAGTCTACCCATTTTTGGCCAAACCTGTCCAGAATTTCTGGCTGATTCAGTTGGGGGATAGCTCTCTATACATTGCCCACTGAGACTGAGCAAAATGAATGTAACACACAGATCCTACATCAGCAGGACTGGAAGTAGCTGCGAAGTTAGTCTGAAAGCCCTTTAGTAATCACATGCCCAAACCCTTTATTTATAGCACAAAGAAGGGCCCACCGAAGGGACTGGCAATGTTCACTTTTGCAGACACACTCAGCAATTCACTAAAAGTGCAACCTTGAGCAAGTCATATCCCTGCAGACCCTTAATATTCCCCACCTCTAACATGAAGAACTCTGTACAATCCTTTCTGATCTGACAGCCTTTGAAACTGGATAGGCTATGGATGGCTCTGACACTCACCCAAGGCATTATCAGGCTTCATACACCTTGTCTATTACTAAAGGGAGAGATTACCTAGAGTCCACTTGAGGAACAGATAACACAACAAAAGTGGTGGAGTGGTAGGGCTCTTGACGTAACAGGAGTTGGCAAAGCCTATCTGTATCTCTAGGAAGAGCCATGCCCTCATCTCTCACTGTTCTTTCATAGAAGAAGAGGTTTCATGTTTTCTCCACAACCCTTTCTACTTAACTCTAGTTTTAATAAAGAACCCAGTATTCGTCAATTATACCACAAATGCTGTGCAACTATTCTCAGGATTTCTGTTTGTGCTTCACTTATAACTAGATAAGAAAAATTGGAGAACTCAGCTCTTTTGATAAAGAGAAATTCCAGATCTAGAAAGTAGAGGTGAGGGAGGCTCATAATTTGGAGAGCATAAGAACCGTTGCTACACGGGGAGCTATACAAAGCAAGGGTGGCTCCAGGAAAGAAGAACATCAAGAAAGTGGAAAAGAATACCAACTTCTTTCCCCTCTCTTACCTTTGCCATATCGCAATGAAAGACATGTGCATGTTAACAGCAGTGGCCATTCTCTCTACTCACTCTAAGGCTTTCCTCAACCTCATAGGATATTAATAAGCACTCCAACTATAACAAACACAGCTTATTTCCACATAAAATTTACAAGAGTTTTGCAATAGGGCTGCTTTAAATATTTACCCTTTCAATCTATTGAGTGCAAATGGCAGGCATTCTTGATAATCAAGTCACAGGGAGTCTTGTCCTATTTCAAGATATAAAGCATTTTTAATATAACAAAAGTAGTAAGATATGAGATTGATAAAATAGCTTTACTCCCTCAACCTAGAAACATTTCAAAAGATGATCTCACATAATCATCCCAACAACAATGAAAAACAGGAAGGGCTGGAAACTTCCCTGCTGGTTTGACAGATGGAGGAAATGAGGCAAAAAATCGGGCAGTGACTTGCCCAGGGACATGCTCTTGGCTTTAGAAGTCTTAGCATGGAAGGGATAATCCAGACCAGCCTTCCTCCAATGCAGGAATTCCCTTTTCCACCTTTTCTGACAGATGGGAGCTCAGCTTGAGCACTTTGGGGAAGTGGCACTTGCTATTTTAGTGACACAGCAATAGCCCTTAACAAGTTCTACCTTTATGCATTTGAAATATGCCTCACTGAAACTTGTCTCTCTAGTTCTGGGGAGCAGGAACTAATTGCTTTTTTTTTTAACCTTCATGATCTTCCTGTGAAATAGGGAATGTGAACCTCATTCTACAGACTGAAAAAAAAAAAAAACAAGATGGATTAAGCAACAGCTTCTAGGCCCCATGACTGAAGTTAGATCCAAACACCAAAACTAGAGGACTCATCCTCTCCCGTTGCTCCCCAGTCCTGCCCGTAGGCACACGCTACAGCCTGTTTATTCCAGTAGCCAGCCTCTGATCCTTTGATGACACGCCCAGGCAAAATATCCCAAGTGCTTTCAACTTTTTCTTCTTGAACACGGATCGCAATGCCATCACTCATCATCTAGCTTATAAAAGCCTTCCCCTCAATGTGGCAGGCAGATCTGAGCACACCATGCCAGTGAGAGTAACTGTAACTAACCAGTCATGTGCTGGAAATTCTTCAACAACTGGCTCTCTGGGTGGGGGAATCACCATTGTGAGGCATTTGCCAATTTCCATAGTGTAAATACTCCCAAGATGTCAAGCTACTAGCCTGAAGTCACTGATTGCAGAGTTGGAAAGAGATGTGCCCATCTGGCTCTTGCCACCTAGCATGAGTTGGCCCCAATGCACCACTGGTGTGTTCATCAGCCCGTCCACTTAAGACATCAACTAGTCTGGAATTCAGTCCAGGTAACTTGTATGGAACAGGGCATCCCAACAACTTCAGGAATCACCATGTCCTCAGTGCCAATCCAGGTGTGAGGGTAGTCAGACTTTTGCACGGAGTTCATGTGAAAGATGCCAATGAATTCATTACATAAATATTTATTTTTTTAGGATGTAGGGAAATAGCAAAATGAAAACAAAAACAAAAACAAAAAACAAACAAATAAAAACCCCAAAACGAACCAAAAAAAAACCCAAAGTCCTTATTCTCAATGAGACAAACAATGAAGTAAAATAATAACAATAAACAATAACGATCATAACACTATAACCTGTTAATTATAATAAAAGAAGAGAGAAATAAAGCAGAAAGAAAAAGCAGAGTGGGGGATATGCTGCTTTAAATAAGCTGATCAGGGAAGGCCTCTCTAAGGAGGGAATGTTAGAGTGAAACCCAAATGAATGAAAGAAGGGAGTGAGCCATCTGGTATTTGGGAGAAGAGCAATCCAAAAGAGGAAATAGAATGTGCAAAGTTACTGACATGAATAGTACTCAAAGTGTTGGTGGAACAGCAAAGAGATTGGCACCCTAGAGCAGAGAAAAAGAGCAAGGGCAGTGGTAGGAGGTGACAGCAGAGTGAGGCCACATCACGTAAGAGCCATTAGGTCAGAGCTAAGAGGTATAGGTCATGGTGCATGAATGACTCTGAGAGATATGGGGGGTAATATGGAGGAGAAAAACCAATGTGGGGCACAATTTGAGATACACTGAAAAAAAGTGCCCACTGGCTGTTTTCTTAACAGCCCCCAGTATTTGCTGACTGATTAGCTATGGCATGAGAGGTTAAGACAGGAGTGAAGGACGATGCCAAGGGTTTTTGCCTAAGAAGTTGAAGAATGATTTTTGTTGACGTTGGGAAGATTGGAGTGGGTAGGTGGTAGGGTAGGCATGGTCAATAGCCCATGAACATCTTGGTTTGGCTCAGTGCTGGGAGCCTCAATGCAGAACACTAACACACAGTGGGTTTGTGGGCTGATGCATAGCTTGTCTTGGCTGCAGCACTACATACATTGAGGATGTCTTAGGGAAGGAGAATCAAAAGGTGTTTGGGATTGACCCACCTTGTAGAACACGTTGAGAAATCTGCATTATTAGGAATTCAAGATGTACCTGAGTAAATCCCAGATAAACGCAGTGAGTCTGCTACACCTGGACCTATTCCAGTGGGTCTACATGTCTGCGAGTTTCTTTGGAACTGAAGATTCATTTCCCCCTCTCATCTGCTTGCTACATTCATTCTGAATTTCAACTTTCTCTTAGGGAGCCCCTGCAAGTGCCAGGCCTTGTGATGCATTCTGGGGATACGCCAATGAACAAATAATATATAAGCCCTGCTCTCAGGGAACCCAAGAGTCTATTAGGGGAGACAGCATTTATTTTGAATATGAAAACCAAATATAATTTAGAGCTGTGATAAGTTCAAGAAAAAGTAATGAGAAAAAAGGTATGGGTAGGACAAAAGAATTAATGAAGACCGGTCTGATGTAGAATTTGAGAGTGGTCAAGGAAGGCTTTCCTGAGGAAGTGACAATAAAGCCATCCCCCAAAGGATGAGTAGAAGTTGCTAACTGAAGAGCTGTGGGAGAGGCACTTCAGGTAGATGGAACATCATGGTGAAGGCTTCTGGCAGGAAAAAGTAATTTGCACGTTGGAAGAGCCCCTGCAGTTTATAATGTAGAAAGAGGACTAGACTGAGGTTAAGACTCCTGGATTCTAATCCAAATCCTGTCATGACCTAGCACTGTGACCTTATTCCAGTTACTTATCATTTCACATATTCAGCTCAATTTATTCACTTGTGCAGTTAGAATGCAGATGGGGCAGTGTGTTCTGCAAAGTAACACATGCTTAGTAGCCAATCATACTCAAGTTCAGATATGAGCTCTTCTTAGAAGCTGAATCTCAAGTTTCTGTTTATCATCCATAAAAGGTGGATAACATTAGCTACCTCATAGGGATGTTTGGATGGGGATGTTTCGATGTCTGTAATGAGACAAAGGAGTCAGTGCCTCATAAATATGAGTTAGTCTTCCCTCCATCCTGTGATATCTTTAAGGGGTATGGCGAGGCTCAACTTAGACCACTAAAATGAGATCATCAGGAGAAGATACTGTACCACATTAACAGATGAAATTGTTGGTGTTAAACTTTGTACCCTTCCTCTCCCTTACACCTGGCCCTCTAAATCTCTTCACATGGGAGAGCTGTGGGCAATGCGGAGGGGCTTTGGCTATTACCATGGGCAAGTTGTAAGTGGCCACCTCAGCATAAGGTTGGCAACTTGCCTTCCTGGGCTTAGGGCAAAGGTGGGCAGGAGGTGACTGGAAATGTTGGCTCTTCTATGAAGCTTTTATTAGAAACAGGGAATTCCCCAGTGCTCTTTCAAACTCTTTTGGCCAAACATTAAATGCCCCAAGGTCAAATTTGTTAGTGCATCCACCAGCCCAGAGGACTCTTGGCTTTGGGGTTGAATTCCACTTATCTCCCTTCCCTCCCTTAAGCCTTGCAATTTAGCCAAGGCAGCTGCTCATACCTCATCAGCCCTTGAGTGGTTCAGTCTGTACACAAAAATAGACACACATGGCAATCACTGCTTTCATGGGGCCACCATTAGAAATTAGATACACTCAGGACACTCTCCAGTGAGGGGAAGGAGAAGCTGGTAGATGCTTACATGGCAGAATGACAGAGCTTGGGCTGGTCCCCAAAGAACCAGAATGGGTATCAAAGGCACCCAGGAAAAGCCATTTTACTTGCTTGAAATTCAGTTTCCTTATTTCTGAAAATAAGGTCCTCCAAATCCTGGCTAGCTCACAGGATTTGGGGGAAAATAAAATGGGATGGAGGCCATGAATGTGCTTTATACCTATTATACCAATAAATGATATTAGTGAGAATATTATTATCCCTACCAGCCCTGATAGATCACATGGCCATATATGGGGCATAGAGGAGGGGAAGAGCCCCCGGACCCTCTGGGGATTCATTTAAGCAGAGCAGCTGTTGTTTGACCCATGGCTGCACACCCAGCTTCATGGGAATACGGACGGACCAAGCTGCATGTTTGCAGCAATGGTGCAGAACGTGGGGGCACAACTGCCAGAGTATAGCATGTAGGTGGGCCATGAGGAGATCTCAAAAGAGGCTGAGGGCACTGAGGTTACTGATTTCAGGGCTCATGCAAGTTGCCTTAGTTTCCTCTGTGTCTCTGATCACTGCCTACCACTCAGAGGAGCCCCTGAAGGTGGTGGGCTGAGGGCTGGGCGGGGCTGATAGCTGCAGCCTACCAGCCTGTGCCTGTGCATCTCATTATTGAGCGGGGCTGAATCAAAGCAGCTCTGTGCAGCTGCTGTCCCATTTAATCCATTTGTAATCAAAAGTGATTAGGATGGATGCCTCGGTGCTGAGGTTATTGTGTGTGTGATCAAAGCTGAGGCTCTTATTCGCTTCCTAGAACCGCCTGCACCTGGGAGGGCGTGGAAGGCCGTGAGCCTGGGGCATGGGGCAGGCAGCTGTTGGCACTCAGAAAGAGGGTGGGCTCCAGGAGCAGAGCCCAGGGATGGCAAGTGTAGCCTCGCCGGTGTGAGGCTTAGCAACCTTGAGGAGGTCCCCAGAGAGGCCCATGGCCCAGGTTTCACCTCTGGAGGCTAGCATTCCCAACCTAGAGAATGGGGCAGATGGCAGACTGAAAGCAAGCAGGACTCATTCAATGTTAGACTCATGAAGGATTCTAACACTCTCTCATCTTATTGAAGAGGACAATGAGATCCAGAAAAAAAAAGCATATTATGTGCCTGGCTGGCACTTGTGTGTGTAAAAGGAAGGAAAGAGAGAGGGGAAAAGGAAGAGACCAGGAGAGAGAAAGGGACAAAGGAAGTCACCTGAAGTGATGCACAGCTGGTACAGAGACCGTGTAGGCTCATGCTGGGAGAAGAAAGAACAATAAAGATGCAAAGGTGGCCAGAAGAGCTGAGTCCAGGTGTTTTACCAGTTTATATGTTTCTTTTGACCACCACTTCTGGTAACTTTCTGAGTTGCATTTCCCTAAAACAGCAAGATCTCAGCCCAGACCTCATCCTCTATTTATAAACTCTGCCTGAGTAAAGTTTGATATCCCACTTCTCTGTGCCAATCCAGATCATAAACATCACTACCATCCAAATGAAGACTCACCTCCTACAGGAAGCTTTCCTGGGCCCTCCTTCTCTGAAATGGTCTACCATGTTCTATCTATGCCACTTATTTACCACTTAGCATATACTGTCCTTCAGATGGCTCTTGGGTTGAAGGGTAAATAATTCCTTTAACTTTTGATGATGATAATGATAATGATGATGATGATGACAATATGTGCCCCGCTTCATCAGCCAGACCAAAGGTCCAGAGGACAGCTGTTACATAGTGCACTTCAGGACCCCCTCCACACCTAACAGAATAGATCCCAAGGTTGAATAGATCCTGTGTCTTTGATAGGAGACTGGGAGCTCCTTGAAGGCAGGAGATAGGCATTTATGAGTATGCACCTGTCTCCAGAACTAAGCACTCTCCTTGGCTAGAATAGACAGGTGTCTACCAATTGGTGAATAAAAAACACAAAGGGTTTGGAATGAACATCTACTGTGATTTAATTTTGACATGGTCAGTGAGGCTGCCTAGAGGTCTGGGAAGCAGGAGAAGTTGGGGAACCAAGAAGCCAGGAAAGCTGCTTCTTTATACAAAGGTTTTTCAGAGCAAAGGAGTTGGGGGATTTTCCACCTATTCCTGATATAAGAAGCCATCTGGTGCCGGGTGCTGTGGCTCACACCTATAATTCCAGCACTTTGGGAGGCTGAGGCAGGCAGATCACCTGAGGTTAGGAGTTCGAGACCAGCCTGACCAATATGGTGAAACCCTGCCTCTACTAAAAATACAAAAATTAGCTGAGCATGGTGACGTTCGCCTGTAGTCTCAGCTACTTGGGAAGCTGAGACAGGAGAATTGCTTGAACCAGGGAGGCGGAGGTTGTAGTGAGCCGAGATCCCACCACTGCATTCCAGCCTGGGCAACAGAGCAAGACTCTGTCTCAAAAAAAAAGAAAAAAAAAGGAAAGAAAAGAAGCCATCTGGGCCGAATTAAAGCTTTGTACACATGACCTGGGTGCATGTCAATGCTGGGTGGGACTGACGACCCCCTTGAGTGAAGGGGAAGTCTAATCTCTCCACATGGACAAGAGTCCTTTGTGAGTTGTATGCATTTTTAAAGATCCCAATGGGTGACTGGAATGCAAATTCCATGGTATGTCATGAGTTAATGTTGCAGTTTTTATCACTGATTTAGTGCTAAAGAAACATTCCAGATCCAACTTTTGGACAACATTGTGGGGTCCTCTGCACCAAGAATGATCAAGTTTTGGAGGTGAGAGCCAAGGGGGAAGATTCAGGAACAATTTAGAAACATTTGCAATAGAAGCATATACTAAAAGAACTAATCTTTCTCTTGCTGAGTTCTATGTCATGTTGGAAGATAACCAAATACCCCAAAAGAATAAATAATAAATAATTACTCAGTATGGAATAGGTGACTGATTATAATAATAAACTTTTAATAAATGTTCACATGTGCCAGGTGCATCATATAAATCTTGTTTATTCCTCACATTTCTTTTTGTGAATAGACACCGTAATTCCATTTTGAAGGTATGGGATCTGAGGCTCAGTGAGGTTATGTCATTTGCTCAAGACCACACAGTTAGAAAGTGATGAAGATGAGAGCTGAACTCCTCTCTCTCTCTCTCTCTCTCTCTCATCCCAGTGCTTGTGGACTCTTCCCCATGGCCTTCATCACTTGTGGCTCAGTCACACTTCAGAGAGGGCGTCACGGATGTGCTACTGCCATGCAGCATGAACAGGGCTGACACACCCCGCACCCACCTCACCGCTTGCTCACTCACACTTCAGTGCCCTGCCAAATAGGGAAACCATCCCGGGCTCATACTGCTGAAGGAAACATTAGGGCATATTCACATCGAGTCCTCTTGTTTTACAGATTAGTGCACTGGAGTTCTAAAAGGTTAATCACCTGCTCAAGATTGTAAGGCTAGTTAGTGATAGGACCAGCCTTAAAACTTAAGTCTCTAACTCCCAGTTCAGTGCCATTTTTATTGAATCATGGGATCTGGGAATAGAACAGAGGTTGAGAAGTGGAGGTATGGAGGTATCTGTCTTTTTGGCATATCATTACACGGACAAGGCTCTACCTAAAAGGTCCCGAGATATTTTACTAATATGTTGTCCACAGAAGCATACGGGCTCTGTGCCAATTTCCTCCTCCCAGCAGCAGATGGGGGACGTTCTGGCACAGACATCCAGTCAGTACACAGCATGTTGCATCCCCACAGCCTTTACAAGGCTATGGTATTAGGGACTTGTAATAATAAATGCATGAGAATGGGGAGAGCAGGTGGAGATTTTCTTCCTTGATTTTTGGAAATCCACAATTTCAGCTTAATTTGTAATAGATAGTGAGTGTCAGGAAACTGACAACAGGGCCATCAGCTATTCTGTTAGTAATACTTGAGGCCATAGCACTTCAATATGACTAGAGCCAGCTGTGCAATGCACAGAGTGACCTCTGGCCCCATCCTTGGAGAAATGTAATTCTCTTCATGCCTCTTTCCGTCCATGGGGAGTTAGAAGCCAGACCTGCCGGAATCATCGGGAGGCTTCCGAATGACAATGCTCAAATAAGCGGAGATTATGCATTGTCAGAAATGTAATCTGCAACCCTTCTCATCTGTTTCATTGTGTTTGCATTGTTTAAGTTACCTCTCCAGGAAGAAATGAGACAGTTGGGGGATTTCTCTGTACTTGCACCTATAGATGAATTTATCTTCTTCATCTAAAATGCCAGAGGAGAAATTAAAATGTGGTGAGTTCACAGGTCTTCTAGTTTTGTGACTTCTAGCCCACGATATGTGTATACATGTCTCTTCTCAACACATATAACCCAACATGGCTTAGCCATGTGTATTTCCATATGAGCAAAGACAGCTTTTCTGCAGGCCACTTCCCAGCCTTTGATGACACTTCCATAGGAGGGCACAGACCCAGGTGTGCTAATCTGCTCATTTCGCCCCCTCCCCCATAACTCTCTAGTGGCCTTCCATCAATTGTAATAATATCTGTAATTTTTACCATGAGCTTTAAGGCCTTCCCCAAACTAGCTAAGCCTTGCTTACCTCATCTTTCCCACCCCTGCATCGCTAGCTTACTGGGCTTCAGCCACACTGACTCTTTGCTGTTCTTCTTACCCAGTAGTTTACAATCCTAGTTACTTGCACTATAGAATCACCTGGTGATTTACATAGGTTACACACACACACACACACACACACACACACACCTTCAGAGAGTAGAGATGTTAATTAAACCTATCTAGGGTGAGGTCTGGCCCTGAAGCATTTCTGAGAGTTTCCAGGGTCATTAAGATGTTGAGCCAGGGTTGAGCTTTCAGGCTCTTGTACTTGCTGTTTTCTCTGCCTGGAATGCTCTTTCCTGGGATGCCTGCCTGCTCCCTCCCTAACTTCATGCAGGTCATGACATGGCTCAGAAAGGCCTTTCCTGGCTAGAATCTCCAAATCAGCTTGTGTTCCTCTCCTCTAGCAAGATCTATCTTCTGGACCCGGCTTATCTTTGTAGCATGATCTCTAACTGGCATTTTATTCTATATTTGTTACTCAATTATTGTGTATCTCCCTTCTCCTACCCCAGTCCCATCCCATTTCAGTGGAAACTCCAGAAGTACAGGGACTTGTCTTGTTTTATTCAGTGCCCTACCCCCACAGTGCTTGACACATTGTAGGGGCTCAAAAAGTACCTGTTGCACAAAGCAATGCATGCGTGTCTCTACATCAGGGAGCTCTACTTTGTGTTTCTAGCCCTGGAGATGGGCTTGCTTCGAGCCATTCCCACTTCCTCACACAACTGCCAAGTTTGGATGCTCAGCCACTGACCCCCATGTTCTTCTGAGGGTTCTTTCTTTGCAGGTACTGACCAAGAGCTGACCCTGGATTCCTTCACTCATCCCAGAAGGCACGGAGGAAAGGATGGAGATGCTAATGTAATAAATAACCATCCAGGCACCGTGGCAGAACTGCGTAAGGCACTAGGCAGACAGGCATGACCTGAGTGTCTTCTGGCTGAGACTGGCTCCATTGGAAAACAGAAGGCCTCAGAAGTGAAGAAGCAAGAATTGGACTGCTAAACAGACCCTATGGTGAGCACGCAGACTGGCCCTAAACCATGTTCTAATCACTGTAGTGTTATGCCTATTCTTAACCTTCCTTCCCACAGGGTTCCAACTCTAACATATTTATAGGCTGTGTTTCTTCTCCTCTATCTAATATCATTCTAGTTTTCATCCTGGTGCATTCAGGAGGCCCTAGTCTGGCCATTTCAGTTACGTTTCTTTGCGTGACCGGGACCACCCCTGCCATTATAGAGCTCTCTGCAAAGGACAGCACCTTTCATGCACTCCCAGCCTCAGCCCCATGTGGAAAAGTTCTAGACAAGTTTGGGAGATGGTAACAGCCCTTGAGACTCATTCAATATATTGATTTGGAAAAGGAGAGACTAAAACTGATTTTGACTGGGATTTCTATAAAATATTGGTGGAACAGTTATTGAAGAAGTTAGGGCTAATTGGTAAGTATCTTTGGAGGCAGACATCCTAATCCCACTAGGCTTTGGAAGATTACTCTAGAATGTGGACTTGGTCATTCAACAAACACTTCCTGAGCACTGGCTGTTTACTAGAGCAATGGGTCATCCATGTGCAGGGCACTTCCCTATTTCTAGCTCAGGAAACTCAAACTCTGGCTGTGCCTAATCACCTGAGATTCTTTTTTAACATATAAGGCTCAGATATTTCAATTCACAGATTCAAAATGGAACTGGGCACATGCTGTATATGACTCCATGTATAGGAAATATCCAGAACAGGCAAATCCATAGAAACAGAAAGTAGATTAGTGGTATTCTAGGGTTGAGGAGAGAGGGAATGGAAAATGAGTATGAGTTTCTTTTGGGGGGTTGAAAGTTTCTGGAATTAAATAGTGGAGATGGTTGCACAACTTTGTAATACACCAAAAACCACTGAATTGCACACTTTTAAGAGTGAATTTTGTAGTATGTGAATTATATCTCAAGAAAAGATACTATGGGAGCATTAAACTTTAAAAATAAAGGAGCAAAACTAGATATCTGGATTATTTTTAAAAAATTCACAGTTGAGAAGTGTGGCCTGAGCTAAGAACCACTGTTGTTACTTCCTAAGTCATCACCTGGCTTCTCTGAGAGGAGAGACTGCAGCCCATTAAGGATTGAGCCATGGGCAACAGGTAAGAATGTGGTTTTCCATTTCAACATGAGGAGCCTTGAGTTTCCAGGCTGAGGTTCAGAGGCTTCTGCTCTCAGGCACCACCAGCCTTCCCCTCTGCTAGGCACAGAAGGAAAGCCAAATTCAGACACAGCGTCACACAAAGCCAGTTGCCCTCTTCTTATTTACCCTGGGAAGAGGTATTGCTTCCATCAACAGGGCTCGCAACCTGAAGACCTTGATAGAATTTCTACATCGATTCCCTCCCACCATCCCCCAGGCAGGTTTCCCTCTTGAGTGCAGGGTAGGTGGTAATTAATTAGAAGTGGTCTCCCTGGAGAATTTAGATAAATGAGAAAGTAGCAGTTAGGGGCCCGGCCTTGCATGGAACAAGCCCTAGAGAGAGCAGTGAGCCAGCTGCCCATGGGGAAAGGCCTGAGCTGCAGGGCAGAGAGCATCACGCCCCCTGGCAGTGCTGGATGCATGGAAATGGGCCAAACAGATGGGGGCCTATGACCCTAGAGACCCCCAGCAGCAGTCTTCCTCCTTTGAATTCAGTGCACTGTGCAAACCAACAAGGAAATTAATCACCCAGAGACCAGAGACTGAGTGCAGAAGGGCATCAGGCAAAATATCTTGGTACCCTAAATGGGAATTCAGCTCTCTGGCACCATGTAGGTTAATGAGATGAAGTGTGAAGCCTCCTGTTTCCTGGAAAGTTCTCTGTGTGTAAATTACTGCAGTCAGGCAGTTCCAAAGGGGCCGAGGGAAATGAGGAGAGTGGAAGGGGGCTGGATGGTTCCTGAGATTCCAGGAGATGTTACTGTGGAAGAACCATGACACAGGAACGTCATTTAACTGAGAGCATGGAAACTAACTTAGGGAGAAGTAGCATCATCTGGCCCAATAACCACACTCAATCAAACCTCTTCGGCTCTGAGTTTTAAAGAAAATGAGATCTCTGTCTCTTCTCTAATTACTGCAAGAGAACTCTGGCAATCACCCCATAGTGAAAGGGAATAGCCACATATCACTCTTTTGTGTCACTCAAAACAACAACAACAAAAACTCTTCCTCACATAATCACACCTTGTCTGTCACCGATTCCCATCAAGACCCTCCTCTCCATCAAGCCAATCTCTCTCCTGGCCCCAAGCATGAATGTGAATAGCACACCGTGTTTGAAAGCAAACTTTTCCTAGACTCTTGTCTACCGGCCTGATGCCAAGCTCAGCCCTCCTCTTTGTCTGGTGCAGGAAGCTTGTGTGTGCCTTGAAAAGCCTCCCTGGACAGCAAGAACTTCCAGCAATCTCCACTTCTGAACTTGGAAGCTTCAGTCACCGAGAACCCTCATGGAGGCACTTAGCACATGCCGCCTTGCTGAGCTGTCCACCTAATTCATGTCTGAGCCTGCCCCTCCCGCTTGTTGGTAAGAGCCTGCAGGAAAAATCCCATGATTTCTCATGATCGTGGGTGGAGGCATGATGAGGGGAGGCTTTGGAGCAATCCAAACTGACCTCCAATCCCAGCTCTGGCCTTATTAACTGTGCCTTTCTGAGCAGACTGCAGAATTTCTCTAAGCTTCTGCTTTAACCTCCTGCAACACACTCAGGTTCCACACACCTCCATGCATGGTCTCCAGAGCACACATCACTGCATAAGACAGTAAGAAGCAGGAAGTATGTCTCTCTAGTTGAAGTCAGAGCAATGCAGTAGGGTTTTAATAGTGTGTGTGTGTGTGTGTGCGCGCGTGTGTGCACGTGTGTGTGTGGGGTGGGGCAGGGTGGGGAGAGAAGGTGGGAGGAGAGACCCAGGAGAGAGAAGGAGGAGTTATATGGGGGAAGGGGGCTGATATTCCTCACAGCACTTGCACAAACTATAAATCAAACAGCACACAGCTGCTGATATCAAATATATTCTCCTTTTGCAGCACATCAAAAAGCTTTAATTAACAACCAATTTATTTGAGGGAGAAAATACGTTCCCTCATCCCAAATAACTGTATTATAAGGCAAAGAATAGATCCCATTTTCCATACACACATGTAAAAAAAATGACAGGAGTGAAAATTGAGCCTTTGGTAAAAAGATAAATAAAAATCTGGATCAAAGACAAAAAGAGTTTGTGAACCTGAGAGGGCAACTTGGCCTAAATGGAGACTTAATTTGTGGAAAATAACATCCTCTCTCTGTCTGTTGGGAGGACACTCTGATAAAGATGCCTGTGGAGTTTAATTGTGGTGGTTTGGTCCTGGGTTTACAGAAAATAGTCAGTGCAAATGCACTGAGACCCTCCCAAGCCTGACTGTGTGCCTAGCCTCACGTGAGAAACTGATGGATAAACCATGAATCACCTTTCCCGCTCCCAGGAAGCCATACTCCCTACTGCCTCCACATGCCTGCACTTCAAGGGTGGCCCCTTTGACTGGAGAGGCATGTGACCCACCAAGAGCCACCTGGGAGGGGTGCATGACCACTGTGGGGACCCTGAGGACTGCGGCTGGCCTGGAAGGGCAAGGCTTTCAAGCAGGACCTGAGAAATGGGTGTCAGGAGAACCCTGCTCGGCCACTAACTTCACCTGGCTCCCCAGAGGAGCAACTGAGGAGACTCGGTCTTCCCACCTGTGAAAGGAGAGAGGCTGCACGTTCACACAAGTCCTGTGAGGGCAGTGGGTCATCTGGGGAGCGGCAGGAACTCTCCAGCTGATGGTTGACAGAAGCCAAAAATCTAGTAGGGGTGTGGTGTGCATGAGTATGTGGGTGAGAAATCTCTTTATTTTCAAATGTTGACAAATTTTGGTAAAACACTGAGTGGTTCAAAGGAGAGATGTCTGTGGGATGACTGTGGCCCTCAGGCCCTCAGTGTGAGGCCTCTGTTCAAGTTGCAGCCAGAGGTGCCATGCCCCTCTCACAGTGTGGCTGCCTGGGGAGCTGTCTGCTCATCATCCTCCTTCCCAGGTCCCTCCCCTGCAGCTACTGCTTCTGAGCAAAAGAGTTGGCAGGCTACAAAAGGTCTGGCTTACTAGGGCCTGCATGGCATAAGAGCAGCTCTGGGCTGAGCGGCCTGGCTGCTATCGGTCTCTTTGGTTGACCAGCTGTCAGACCCTGGCTTTCCTCGTGTATAGAATGAAGGGGAAGCCCCAGGAGTCCCCCCATGGCTCTGCCAGCTCAAGGGTCATGGCTGATGACCTCAGCATCTTCCAGTGGTTGTGACTAAACAGCCAATGGAAATCCACATGAGGGATCAGGGCTGCATCTGTAACAGTTGGTTCCTCAGATGGAAATTGAGGGCAACAGGTAAGCAGGGTGTCCAAATGGAAGTCCACCCACAAAACTAGAGAAGTGTGTACTGTGTGGTCCCTCCTTTCAGCTTCCTCCCACACACCTCCTGCCTCTGCCACCCTTGGGTCTAACCCTAACAATCCATGCATTCATTGGTAAGCTGTAGTGGGTTCCCTTTTGCGAATCTGTAGACCATGCAGGACTCCCAACCAAAACCAGTTGGCTCACACATGATGGAATTGCCCATTCCCTGTGGGGCACTGTGGGATATTCTTTGGGGAAGGCACCAGATTGATGCCCTTCAGATTCTATGACCAGGGTAGTCACCTGCTCCACCTTGTAGTAAAGCTGTCCCCAGGGAGCAGGGCTGGGAAGAGTGAAGCTATAGGGCTTTCCTGTTTCAATAAAATTTGACAATTTACGGTAATTTGGTTGTGATTTAACAATGCTTTTAAAAGAGGAAGTAAATGGTTCATAATGTCCGGTGACCTATTTGCTCCTGTGTGCTTCACCAGGCCCTCCCCCTGAGCTGGTGCCCTTCACATGTCCCAGCCCTCCTGGGGAAAGGCTAGAGATGAGCCTGGGGCAAGCACGGGAAGCCTGATGCCCACCATCCAAGTGGCAACCTGCAATGTGCCTCATTTCTCCCTCTGTCTTTCTCAGTCCCTCCTGGACACTCTCTTCCCATTTCCTACTTCCTCGCTCTCTTCTTTTCTTTTCTCTTTACCGAACAATAAAAGTTGAATGGCAATGCAAATCTCAGTCTCTCCTTAAAATCCCCAGCCAGGGAGGCAGCATGTCACCCATATTTATGAGCTTTAAATGGCTTTTATCAAAGTGAGGTCGCACTAAATCACGCCCAAGCTGTCATAAGTACAAATGACTCGACATAGGCTGCAACAAGCCTTCGGGGAAAATTATATGATGTGCTGCTGCAGTTATGGTATATCACACAGGGAGCTCATATATTTCCACTGGCAAGGTAATCCGATCCTTCAGAGAACTCTAATAGGTGAAAAGAGGTGATAAGTCAGAGAGAATCACAAAAGGGGTGAGATGGTCACATGCCTAAGGAACGAGGGGCCCTTCCTTGGATGCTGATAAGCCAGCTTAATCATAGGAAGAAGGTAATTGATGGGATCTTAAATATTTCATGGGGATTTCCTTATTGAGAGTCAATCAATTAATTATGAGACTAGTTGATGAGGCACTGAACTAGCAGTCAAGAGACTTGTAGCTCGGGTACTACATGGAGTCACATGAGTTTGGCCATGGATGGTTTTCAAATAAGTCCACAAATTCTTTGGTACTCTTCCTCTCAAAAGGTGGAGCCTAATCCCTTTCCCCTTGAGTGTGGCTGGCTTTAGTGACTCATGTCTAGTGAATAGATTGTGGTGGAAGTGAGGGGTGTGATTTCCAAGACAAGGTCATAAAGGCATCATGACTTTCTCCATGGATAACTCGCTCTAAGAAAAGCCAGCTCTCTTGTTGTGAGAACCCAACAACTCCATGGAGAGTCCATGCGCTGAAGAACTGGAGGTCTCCTGCCAAGAACCGGGAGGAATTTGCCAGTGTGTGAATGAGCCACCCTGGAAAGGGGATCCCATAGACCTATCACACAATCAGATGACTACAGCCATGGCCAACATCTTCCTTGACTGCAACTTCATGAGACCATGAGCCGGAATGACCTAGCTAGGCTGCTCCTAGATTCCTAACTGATAGAATATCTGAGAAGTAATAAATGCTTATCGTTTTAAGCTACTAAGTTTTAGGGTAATTTTAATGCAGCAATAGATAGCTAATACAGGGTGATTAACTTAAACTCTCTAGGTATCAGTTTCCTTACTTTTATGTTAAGGATGAACAAATCATAAGTTTCCAACCCTGGCTACATATTAGAATCACTTAGAAGCTATTAAAAGCATTTAATACTCAGGACCTATTCCAGACCAATTGAAAGTGAGTCCCTGGGCATGGGGAGGCCCCAGCATTGACATTTCTAAAAAGCTCTCCAGGTGATTCTAAAGGTACTGCCAGAATTGAGTACCAATGAACTAGATGGGTTTTTTGTGTTCTAAAATACTTCTTACAATTTTACAAAACCCTTGGCAGTTTCAGGAACTGGGAACGTGAGAGTTGGACCATTTCTTCATTCCCATCTCCCTCTCATTACTCCAGATGCCTGGACACTGTCCAGGAGAGCCAAAGACAGTTTCTTTACTCCAGCTGGTGAAATCTGGCCCAAGACAAAGAAGTGTATTTTAAGATGTAAAATGTCATTACCATAAGGATGAATCTTGAGAAATAGGAAAACAGCCCAGACCTGAGGTGAGCTGGCAATTGATCAATTCCCTTATCCCACTGCATGAAGAGAGTTAAAAGTGGGCCATGCTTGGCTTAGCAGAGTCCTTTTGCAAAAGAGGTGTGCTATGCCACTAAGCATGAGCCCCTTGCAGAGGTAGCGCCATGTCACTGCTGGGATCTAGCAAGGGTAGTCATGCTGGTGAATTTGAGCCAAAAGGCATGCTGGCTCATTGGCTGCGAGAAACTAAACAAGTCAGTTCATGTCTCCAACTCAGGGTCCACATCTGTTAAAGATGGAAATTATATATTTGCCATGTTGACCTTGCCAAATGGAGGAATGAGACAATAAACGTTGTAAGCCTCATAAAGAGAAGTGTACACATGGCAGGGTGCAGGGTGCTCTGTCCCTAAATCATGAACAGCCATGGAGAGAATTCGACCATGCACAGGCCTCTTCTGGGGAAACAATAAACACTAAATGCATAAGTCAAATAAAATAAAAAGCAATGTGGATCAAGAAGACAACTTGTTCTCAGAATGACCTCCTTCTTACGTTTTCCTGCTCCTGCTGCTATCAAAAATTACATATCAATATGATTGTTCTCCACCTGCTCTTCCTAAGGAGGTGCAATCACATCCCTCTGTACTATTACTGGGCATTCAGCAAATATCAAGTCTGAGTCCTCCTTTATCTGTCCATCTATTCATTCCACAAATGTTTATCCTGTGCTTACTGTACACAGGTACCCTTAAAACCCATACAGGGAAGGAGAATGCTTATCCCATCTATCTTTCATCTCAGACCTCCACTTATCTGGATGCCCCTCTTTGGTCCTCTACCTGTTGTTATGCTGTTAGAGCCTAAGTAGTCTGGACACTTTGTAATACTGCACATTTACCTCAACCTTGGTGTTATTTCCAGTGCTGGCAGCTCATTCTGCACAGTATACAACTGGACTGCCAAGAGAATGGAAGATTCATAGCAGAGGGCACGTCCCATGGTTCTCCATCACATCTGTAACAATAGCTGAGAGTCCGGAGATGCTCAAAGAGCCAGTGCGGGCTAAGGGCAGCCTCGCAGCAGCAGCAGCAGCAGCAGCAGCAACACCCAGGTTTGCCTAGCATGCTGACTCATTCTTCTTCCTTCCCCATTCACACACCAGTCTGCCCATCCCCCGGGGTGACGGAAGTGGAGAAACAGATTAGACTTTCTATTTTGGCAGAATGTCTGCTACTTCCCTGGTGGCTCTTCACCCTGATCCCACCAAGGAGCACAATTTCTGGGGTTCATCTACACTCGTAAACTGTTTAAGACACTGCCAGCTGAGCATTTCAGGCCCTCCAGAAGCAGTGCTTCCCAGGTCTCTCATCTGTCTATCCTGTAATAGTTAATTCTTTAGAAAGAAGCAATGAGAAGGCTGGGTTTTTTTTTTTTTTAAGATATTAAGAGAATCATTCATTGCTGAGAAGTCACATCAGGGTCTCATCCTTCAAACCGACAGTTGAGTGTGTATCAGCCTGAGAGAGAGCCTGATTATTAGTTTTAAAGAGCTTATTTCATTCTCTTAAAAATGGGATCAGTTCATCTTTGTCACATCTGTCTCTGCATGGCTCCTGCATGCCACAACAACTGTCAGCTCCAGGCATTACGTTATTAAGGTGTAGTGTGGGGTGGGGCTGAGGGGGTCATTCTGGGTGTTCCTGTTTTCCGAAAAAGTGAGCAATGAGATTCAGAACGTAAGTAATTAAAAGGGTTGATTTGCTCACGTGCATTCAAGAAAGAGCTGAGAAGACAGTTTCTATCCAGCCCACCCCATACCCCATTGGTTGGAGAAGGGATGAACTGGGGCTGAAGCACTTTTCTCTTAGCGGCAATAAGCAGGGCCTTGGAGTAAACTGTCCTAGTAAGGAATGATGTAAATGGTACACCTGTCATAAGCATTTGTCACCTTCACACCCCAAGGGCTACCTAGCTTTGGCCAGGTGACAGATGTACAACTGCAGCAAGGGACCCAGATGTTCCCAGTATCTGGATAAAGAGCATCTTCATGGTGTCCCAGCTCCTTCCCATTCTGTCATGAATTACAGTAAGGGCTAAGCTAAAGTATCAGATCAAAAAAGGGTAGAATCTTCCACTGTTCTGGCATATATTGAAGGCTGTCATTCACATCCATAAGAAGACACTGCGCAGGGTGTGAAGCGAATACAGCTCAATACTAAACATCAATACAAAAGGAGTAGATAAGCAGTAAGAGACTCCTACTCTGAAATACAGGATGGATAACATGGAGTAGATAATAAAATGCTAAACTGAATATAGCTGGGTGTTAAATGTGGCTCACAAAATGTTTTAGAAGTGACTGAGGAAGCAAAAGGACAGAGCCAGGCATGGGCTGCTCCAGGCTGAAGGACTTAGAAGAATCCTTAAGCCTGGGATCATCTTCATTACAGAAAGGAGGAGGGAGACTCCACCAAGCATGGGTCAGCAAGAGAAAACAAGCCACAGTGGGAACGAGCCCTGAGAATTGTGGAAACATGGCCCACCCAGTCAGTTCAAGAGAATGGTGGGCAATTCAGCTGAATTCCTCTAGTGTGACTAGAGGAGATGTGTTTGCATATGTCTCTGTATACACCCACGACTGTAAGGCAGATAATCTGAAACGACAGATAATCAAAACATCCTTTAGTATATATCTATGCCCTGGAATTGATATGGATAGGTCAGAAAATGTAAGGCTTGCAACACTTTCCAAGAAATAATGAAATGCCTCTAAAGACCTGAGTCAGGAGGAGCTGGGCAGCTGTCATGCTCATCCTAGGAATGCATGTGTCCCTCCCAGCTCCTTCCTGCAGCAAATGGACCGCATCGCCTCTTAGGCTGAGGCAAAACACCTGCATTTTCCAGTGTGCTGAGGCTGAGCCTTTCTCCCACCCCATCCATGTGATGCAAAGACAGCATTTATGTGATGACTATGTACAAGGGCATATATTCTTAGTTTCTGCGGGACTAGAACATTCAATAGTCCTGTATCCGTTATCAAATAAAAACGATTTCATTAAATTTATTTTAATGCATTTAACATACTTCATACATTTATAAAGGTATTTAAATAAATGATTTAGAAAGAAAAAGGCTTGCTATAGATGAAATCACAATGTTGATAATTTACTAGCAAATAATTGAGTGTTGATACAGGGACTAAGACTAGCCTCCTCCAGGAAGCCTGACTGACCCTCCTCCAGCCAGAATGAAGCACTCTTATTCTGTGCTCAGTTCACACTTTCTACTTGCCTTATATGGACAGTGTCAGCTGAAAAAAGGAGTGCATAGCAAAGACTGCCCACCTTGAACAGGGACTTGTATCCTTGGCTCTTACGTGGTGTGGTGACCACCAGCACTGCTGGTTATGAAGATGTCAAACAAAGTCCTTAGCCCATGGAGCAGAGCCCTTCCTGCCCTTTGCAATCCTTGGTGAGGGCTGGAGTGTACAAACAACTCAAAACATTAGCATGAAAAGTTTCTTAAAGAAGAAGTGGAAAGAAATGGAGATAAAATCATGGCCCCATACAGTTGCAAAGAAAAAAAAATAGGGATGTAAGTGACAGGGCCCCAAAACTGCAGTGGCTCAAATAGAAATATAACAAGATGTCCTTGTTCCTCACAGGCTGGAACATGAGCAGAGAAGCTGCTAAGAACAGATCACAGCAAAACCAAACTGTTGCTGGAGCTGGAAGAACCAAGGACAAACACCTGTCCCATACTGCCCCAGTCCTCGGTAAGTTCATCACTGTGGAGTCCTTTTTCTCAGCTGCCAAATAGACAATTATATACCTGTGTAAGCCTAGAATTTCCCAGACTAGTATTGAGAAGCATCAAAAACCATGACGAAGAATTAATTTGAAAAAGTGGGCAACCCATGGTTGTCCAGAAACTTCAGAGCATTCTTCTAGACTAGGGAAGAGTCAGAACTCAGAATCCTAAGGAAAGAGTGGAGTGGAGTAGAGTGGAGCAGAGTGGAGTGGAGTGGAGAGGCCCCTGGACTCTGCAGCTCTGAGCTCCAGCACTAGCTTGGCCTGGCTGGGCCTAAGGGCACTTCCAGTTTTTCCATTCTATGGCTTTAAACAATCTGACATTTTTTCTTGGGCAGCAATAACGTTGAACCAGAGGTATGCTAGACAGAACCTAACTAGGGAAAAGGCATGAGACTCTAATAAAATGAAGGCAGCAGGTTAAGCAAAGAAAATAATGGAAATTTGACTGCAGTGTGTTTATAAAAAGCTGATATACAATTCAGTGTTTGTGGATCAAACTTTCCTGATTCGCTTGGTGGCAGAAACCAAATTGGAAATATGGAAAGCATGTAAATAACATTTACAATAAAAAAAAAAAAGCTTATAGAGAGTAAGGAAATGATGTTTCTGAATGCACTCTGAAAAGTTCAAAGTATCGTTCCAATGGACAGGATCGTTGTCCGTGGCCAAATGCTTCACGTGATTAGTTGCCGGATCAGAAGGCCAGGCAGGCTCCCCTGGCTGCAGAAAGAGGCCTTAATTCCAAGAAAGCTCCAGGACAGAATGCCTTTCCTCTTGAATAGGACTTGAATTTTCATTCTTAGACATTCTTACTCTAGGAGTTTTTGCCCTCAGGCCTTCTTTTAAAAATGCAAATGCTTCTAGGAAGTCTGCCACATTTAACTAATTCATTCCTAGGTACAGAGAACAGGTTGCCAAGTGGACACAGAGTTGGTCTGGAAGTCACAGCTTTGCTCTGGCTTGGCCGTGTGAACTTCACAAACAAACCACTTGACCTTTAGGGGCCTCAGCATCTTCCTATGGGAAAGAAACATTGAGCAGCCAGACAAGGTGGATCCCTAAACTCTAAAATGAGATTCTTAGACGTATTAAATGTAGGGTTGCCAGATAAAATATAGGACAATAGTTAAATTTGAATTTAAAATACTTAAAAATTCTTTTTTAGAACTATTCATGGGACAAAAAAAGTATTAGTTGGAGTCCTGTATTTTTATTTGCTAAACTTTTGCTTAAATCTTAATCAGATGGGCTTTTATCTGGAGAGAGATTTCAGCATGAGCACAGGCAGGGAATGGGAAAAAGCTGAGGGCAGGGAGCAAAGAGGACACAGTAGAGAGACTGTCAAACACGACGCTGCCTCCTTCACAAACCTTTGAAGGCTGGCTTAGTTTGATGATATTGATAAAATGCACCGCACCCAAGGGCCTCTTCGAGATGCAAGAGCTGTAGAGCCCCTCCCTTGGAGGGGAGTGGCCCCAGGGAGAGCTGTCCTGAGCACTGCATGGCTACTCCTCTGTGACCTGACCCTGTGCTGCTTCTCCCAACCCAGGGACCTTCCTAAAACAGGACTTCTGTTACCTCCCCTCATCCTTAATACTCTTCAATGGCTCCCTCTAGCTGCTCTGTAAAATCCAATCTCCCTAGAAACTCCAAGAAGGCCCATCTGCTCTGATAAAGATCTCCCTCCCCAGCCTAGTCGCCTGTCTGTCCCACCTCATACTTCATAAGCCAGCCATACCCTTTCCTCTTTCCTCTGCTTAGAAAACTGCTCCTGTTTCCAAGTACCTACAACTGCACCCTTTCCAGAGAACTGCCCTTGGCTCCCCTCTCCCTCCTTTTGATTTAACTCATATCCTTTCTTGTCCCTACCATGTCCATGTGGGCCTATGTTGAACAAAGGTATCTGGTTGTATTTTTAGTTTCTGTCTTGCCCCTGTTGGTCACTTTCTACACAACTCCTTGAGGGCAAGTAATTCTATCTTAATTCATCTCTGAATCTCAGTCCTTGCCACATCTCCTGACATTTGACGAGTGTACAGTAATTATTTGATTGATTAATCATTACATTTACTGGTCCCTGCTGATGGAGGACATTTGGAGAACAATTGATTAACCCCTTCTTCTCCTGCTCTGTGCCTCTTCTATAGCTTCCGGGGGCCACAAATCATCTCTGGGATTAGCCACCTTCTACCCATCCACATATACTCTTCCTGCTTGACAAACACTCAGGAAGCCCTCCTTTCGACTCACAGCTCTGAATTGGCCATTACCGTTTTATAATCTATACTGTCAGTCTAGTTCATACGTACTTAGCAATTAACCATACATTCCCAGGTGCCATGTCTTGACTTATTCACTGTATTGTCATTCCCATAAAGAGGTATCTCATTAGTACTCTCTCTATGCAAGGCTTAGCACCATGTTCTTGCTGAGGAATGAAGCCAGTAAATGAGGCCCCAGCCCTCTTGGGAGCTTCTGTGTGCAAGGTGAAACTGAAGGTAACCCATAGCATAGCTGAACCATCCTTGGAGATCTATATACAACGGATCCACACCCATTATCTCATGCTAAATGAGGAGTTTAATGCCTTCCCTGAGTTTCTACAAATTCCTGAAGTCCAGTCCTATGTTCTTATTTTTGATTCTCTATTCTGATGGAAATAAGATCTTCCCCCTTCCACAAACCTTCTTTTCAGTTTTCTACTCTGCCCACACCTACGTTAAAATTTTCAATCATTTCTTATGCAGAACAATTTATTTTCTTTCATGCCATGCCTTGCAGGCCTCACCTTTTATACCCAAAACCAGGTATTTGTTTAACAAAAGAACATACATTGTCCAAGAAGCAGAATCAAAGGCAAATCTTGTAATTTAAAAGATCCTTTATCTTTTCCCCTTTCCACTTAAAATAACTACTGCATGAATTGCTATGAGCCAGGGGAGCTTGGAGTAAAAAGTGGCCATTTCTGAGCCAGGAAATGCAGCATTTGCAGACCGTATTCTCTGGATTTAAGGAAGCTGACCCACCTTTGCATGTCTGCCTTGTGGGCAGGAACCACTGGGCACACTTCTAGCTCTCTCCTCGAAGGCATTGCTCTCTGTCTTGACCATTGTTTCCTGGGCCGTAATTAATACTCATCCCTATTTTGTCTGCCACTTCTGGTCCAGTTCCCAGGCCCATGTAATGCAGGAAGGCCAAAGGACAGACATGGGCTTTGGTACCCATGCCTGTACTTCCCAGTCTTCCAGACTCCAACAACCTCCCACTCCCAGGGACTCTCCTCATTCTTCCAACCCTCTGGTCACAGCAAATCATCACACTCCTACTTCTCGGAACACTGGAGGAAAACCAAGCTCTGCTAGGCTCTCAGAAGCCTCCCTTTCTCCAGAAAGATCTTTCCACCTTAAACACAACTGCTGCTTCCAACATTCTAAAAGTAAACTTGAACATGTGTCAGAAATACCTGGAGGGCTGAGCCCCACCTCCAGCATAAATCAGAAGATCCCAGGTGAGGCCTGAGATTTTGTACTTCTATCAAAACTCCAAGGTGATGGTGATACATAAGTGCTAGCCTAGGCACTTGGCTTACGTCATGCCCAGCCTGTGGGCTCTTAGACTTACCGTCCAGTATCTTAGGCCCCTAATCAGAGCAGACACTTTCCATCCACCTCCACTGTCCCCAGTAAGACACAGTGGCACAGTGGCTGGCCTTGGACCCAGAGGTGATGGGTCTAGGGTGAGACTATGCTCTAAGGTGCAGCCCTGGCCTGCTGCAGACATTTGTCCAATGTGATTAAAAATCAACTATGAAATGCTTCAGGGGCCAGAAGACTGGGAGAGCTGAGACCCGACTTGCAGAACAGCATGCATTTTGTGTAACTAGCCTAGATCGAGTAGTGTGTGGGTAGACAGCTGTTTCTCATTCAGGGACCAGCAGGGCCCAAGGAATGGGAAGCTAAGAACAGTGCTGCCCAGCCAGGCCCCTGTAATGAGAACCTGGTGGGCCCATCAGCCCTGCCTCAGAGGGGCAGGAAGAGATGAGGAAGGCTGGGGAGGGGGACCCAAAGGGCACCGAGTTTGGGGATGTCAGCATTACCTAGCAAATATCCTGATGCTAAGTGAAAAGAATAACTATGGATATCTAGTTCTGCCATGACTAGTTTGCATCCTGGGATTTGGAGGAAATTCAGCCATACCAAACAAAGAGCTAGAGGGGCTCGCCCTGACTGCCATGTTTCTCTGATGATGTGTTTCTGAGACAGTGGTCAGAGAGCCAGGGGCATCAGCATTTCCTGAGCACATAGTGAACATGCAGATTCCCAGGCTCTGCCAGGTCTTCAGAGTCAGAACCTCTAGGGGTAGCCCCGGGCCTGGCCTGGGATGCTGCATGCTACAAAATCTCCCTGAATAATGGTTATGTTCACTGATGTTTGACCAGGGTATAACTGGTCAGTGGCTTGAATCTGACCTGTGCTGGAAGCCTACACCTTTTTCAACTCTGTTTTCAAATTTATAAATGATGTCTAGCGTCACCTGATGGGCCTGACAGTCAAAAATCATAAAAAAGGGCTCATTCCTGTCCACTGTATCCAAAGACCACCTGTTCTCCAGAGCCAAAGGAGGCATGTTGCTTCTCATTCTTAGCATTTTAAAAATCAACCTATTTAATAATCAATAAATCTTTATTGAATACCAATTTTGTGCTTATCAGCCTATCAGGAGAATGCAAAAATTATAAGCCATGATCCTTGACAGCAAGAGTGAAAACACAGCAGGATAAACACAACTCAGTCCCACAGAAGGTCAAGGACACCCTAAGGCAGAATGCACAGCAAGTGAATGGGAGGGCAGGTCATGGGCGGATTTAAAATCTGTTACAATCAGTGTCACAATCACCTAAATAATATTTATTTTAATTCAGGAAGTCTACATGCCTTGTGTTACCCAGAACCAATAGTAACAATAGCCTTCATTTATAGAACATGTATATGGCACCAGACATGAAGAGTGTTCACCTTATATTACCTTACTCACTCCTCTTCATAACCTGAGGCGATAAGTACAATTATTTTTTAATTATAAATGAGGATTCTGAGTCATTTGGCTCTTAACTATTTGTCCAAGTTCACACAGCTAGTAAGAGATGGAGTCAGAACATAGTATTTTCATTGTTAGTCTTATGTTTGAAAATCATGAATATCTGAGTCTAATGTAATTAAATGTCAAACTTTGGCAAGATCATTGAAAGTCATAATGGTATCTAACCCAAAGGAAGAAAAGGTCAGCAATGTTTTCAAGAGTTAGGAATAAACCTCATGGAAGAGATGGACCTTTGGAGGGGAAATTCTGAAACTTGCTAACCTTAGATATCCCTTAATCACATGTCTGGTTTTATACAGGATAGTGGTAGAAAAATCTCTGGGAATCTCTAGGGAAAGTATTATGTCTAAAATAATCCATGAAAACAAGTCAAACTGAGCTCACTGTCTATGCTACACTACTCCACATCAGTTGAGGCCAACATAAGAACGGTTCATCATAGGCAATGTTCACAAACAGGCCTCTACTGGATTTACAAAGTTTACAACTGTGCTTATTTGTCCTTTTTTAAAAAAGAGGATTGCGAATAAAAACAGAAAAGAAAAGACAGCTCTATACAAGGCCTTCAGCACTCTGGGAAGTCACTGAGCAGAAAATTGAATTTAAGTTTCTCCAAATGATACATATTCCCCATCCTCCCAATGCTTTGTGGAATGATCCACTCCCTCTATAAGGCAGTCATGAAACCAAGGAAACACTTCAAACTGGAGAAAACACAATGTACTGTTTTGTGAATCCAGACTTTTGGAATCAATTCAAATTCTCAATGTATAGGGTTTCTACCCCTCCCCTCCCCCAAATAGTATACAGTAACCTTCAGTCTTCGTGCAACAGAATGTTTAAAACTTGTGTGTGGTTTTCCTGTATTCACTGTTTACAGAGGATGAGAATAAAATTGTATTCTGGCCAAGGAAGCAGAACAGTATCCCTAGTAACTCTGCTCTCTGAGAGCTGTCCCACCCAGCTTCCATCTGATCAAATCCCAAAAGTTTGCACTGCACAATCAAATAAGCAGAAACACCCTTCGTATAGGCAAAAAAGAGACAGGAAACTCCTCAGTGCAATTAGAGGACTTCCAAACATCTCCCCTACACATCTTCCCTTAGCCTGAAATTCTCCCTTTAGAGATGCTGCCAAGATTTTATAATAAAAGATGTGTAAAATTACATTCTGGAAAGAGCCTTTGAGATCTTCTAGGCCAGTCCTCAAATTGTATGGTTGAGTAAAATACCACCTTACATAAGGTCACTGTTTTGCACAAGAATTTAGTTTTTAAACTGCAGCAGCACTTCCCAAAGAGACTGTGTTCAGTAAAATGCTGGTCCTTTCTGACTTTGGGTCAAAATAAACGTCCCATGGTCAAATTAGTTTGGAAAATGCTGTGTGGATTACATCACCTCCCCTCTTCTCCCTTTTGTGGATTCTCAATGAAGATTAGTACACTATTAAAGATTCCAATAAGTTCTACCATCAAGAACCCAATTATTTAGTTTTTTTCCCCAAACTTATTTACCTACTTAAATTTTTTACAATATAATTTTTACTAACATGCAGAGGAATGAGTGCCTCTGTGTAAACCATTTGGAAAGTATGACATTATATCATAGTGTGTTCTCTCCTTCATGAGAAAAAGACCTCAAGAATACTATTTTATACTGATTCACATTAAGTTATTTAGAACCCATCAAGTCTCATTTTCCCCCTGACAAGAAGGGTTAGGCAATGGTAAATAATGTGGATACGTAGAAGGATCTGAGACATGCAAAATATACTTTGACAACAATCTGGCCTTGAGCATGGCCAAATTTTATAAGTGGGACTGTGCCACATCAAAGAGATTAAAGACAAGGACTCAATCAACTGACCGCTTTGCCCCTCCGTTATAGAATTTCATCCTGATTTGATTTTTAGAAATCTTATTTGCACCAGACCACTAATTTCTACTATAAGGTTCCTTTCCCACATTTTTTATGAGCAAAATAGCAGACACACAGTAGGTGCCTAATGATGAGTTGAGATTAAAAATGTCATGTTGCCGAAACAGAACTGATCATGGTCGGCCTTCTTCTTGATGGAAACCAGGATATAACTAGACTCAGGATTTCATTTTACTAATTTTTATTCATCTTAAGCAGTTTATTTTTTCAAAAAACATTTAAGTATTTTCCGTTGTTCAGCTGACTTACAAGTCTAAATAAACTCAGTTTAGATACACTTTATCAGCAAAATTTCGTCTTTTCAATAGAATTATACTTGACCAAAAAAAATTATTCACAGGCGTCAATGCAATAGGGCAGATCAGTAACATGTATACGATGTTCTGAGCTTGCAATCTTGAGAAACAAGAAGGTACACCAACAACCAAGTTTATAATAACACTTTAACGTCTAATCTGCGGATTCAGAAAACCCACATGGACCCAAACAGGGCTTGTAGTGGGAACCATTTCTCTTCACTCTAAGTCACTCCCACCATTAAATGGAGATTGACCTTAGGGAATTGGGAAGGAAACTTTCACTGTTTTTCACTCTTTTCCATTTATCTGGTAGATGTAACCAGAAAAATGTCTTGTCTTAGCATGAGCTACTTAACAAAATACCACAGACTGGGTGGCTAAAACAACAGAAATTTATTTTCTCCTAGTTTTAAAGGCTGGAAAGTCCAAGATCAAGATTATAGCAGGGTGTAGTGTCTGCTGAGAGCTCTTTTCCTAGCTTGCAGACAGCTGCCTTCTCCCTGTGTCCTCACATGGTGGAGAGAAAGCAAATGAGTTCTGTAGTGTCTCTTCTAATAAATGCACTAATCCTATCAGCTCAGGGTTCCACCCTTATAACCTTACTTAACCGCAATTACTTTTTCACTCTGAATACAGTCACATTGGGAGTTAGGGCTTCATTGTCTACATTTGGGTGGAAGGGAACACAATTTCCTCCACAGCAGCCCTGTAGATACAAAGCACAAGTCAGCAGAAGCTTCTTCTCTTTTTGTCTCTCCTTCCATCATCCACCCCCTTTCTGTACGACCCTTCATATTATACAGGATAGGAAAAACAGTCAATGTTCAAGAAATAATTTTCAAAATAATTTAAAACAGATTGGAATAGATAAAAAATATCTCATTCCCTCAGCTGCCCCTGAAATCACCATATTCAAAGAGACATCAAGTTCAGTAGTATCTGAATTTTCATCTACTACATTGAATAATGACTGATGGTTCAAGAACCATTGCCAGAGCTGTCAAGACAGCACATGTGGCAGCTCACAGATCCTGAGTCCCTTTGTTTTCATTGCCATGTGACAAGGCCATGGATAACCTGTTTCACCGCATTTCAACATAACGGAACTTCCTAACTGGAGATCCCTGGGGCCCTGTCAAGAACAATCAGCTACATAAATTAGAGACCACTGTGCTGATCTTTTTTTTTTAAACCAGTGACTTGAAGACAACAAAGGGACATTTCAATCATAGTTTGAACAATGGCAATATTAAGTGCATAGTGTCACGAGAAGAACACTTTGAGAAGTGAATACATTTATGTGAATGTATAATAAAGTCAAGTTTGTGTTTTGAAAAGCTAGTCTCTTAATCTCTCTTGCTTTGGACAGCAGTGTTACCACCTTTCTTAATTTCAGATCATCAATAAAAGGTTCTGAGCATGACTAGGCTTGAATAGGCACTGGTTGGCCATATTTTGCTTTTCTTACTTTTCTTCATTTCCCACCTAGGGAACTACAGGGAAAGTGTGGGTACCCATGGCAGAGCTGGTTGAAGGCTTAACAGGGTCAACAAATGTGGCACGTGCAGAGTGTACAATACTAAACCTGTGCCATTTTCAGAGACTATATTTTGACTATAATGCTTTGATCGCCTAATGTTTCTATAAAGTATGCAGTTTCTCTTTTGGTATGAACTTCCTCACCCAAGAAGAATAAGGTTTGTTAACTCTAGCTGAAAATGCCAGTCCTCCATGGTTTGATTGATAAGGCTAAGGCCCAATATACCTGCATCTTCCCAAACCCTAGCATAGGGGCAAACCACAAAAGACCGTCAATGATATACATTTGATAGTGAAGATGTATATGTTGCAATGAAGAAATGAGTGAATGAGCTATCATGGGGGCTGTCTGACATGTCAGCTCAATATTCAGAACCGACCTATTCCAAAGTCTAAGAACAACAATCAATATAATTTCTATTAAGAAATTTAGAGCAAAGAGAATGAACTGAATAACACAAGCGTGTCTCTAATGACACGTCTATGGGCAATTCTAGTCTAGTGAGGAAGGGGATGCAGTTAGAATCCAACTGTCCCACCATCGTCACAAGCTTTTGTTTTTGTTTTGCTTATTTTTCTTTCGGAAACTATATTGGGAAGTTCCTTAATTAGAAGCTCCCTGATTTCCTACCATAGAATCTAGGAGAGCATTTTTTTACAAGTTTCTTTTCTTTAAAAAGAAAAAGACATTTGTCATCAAATAGAACATGTCATCACCACTAGTGAGCCCTATGCTTATGCTACCACACTGATTGCATCATGAACTGAGGTACTTCAGTAAGCATTTCTGGGGCCAATCAAGTGAGGGAGAGAAGCTCTCCCATGGCATTCTTAGCCTGCATTGGATATAAAGAAGAAAGCTCAAGAAACTGTAGTTTCCCTCTGTGGCCCTTTTGTGGGCCCAAAGCAGCTATTAAGGATCCTTGGTGTTCCTGGATTATGTGCTAAACAAACCAATGTTTGAACCACAGAAGGGCCAGGCTGAGGCTGGTCTGGTCTGCAGGGGCCTCCTTTGTTTGGGGGTTGGAATCATTCCTTGGTTCCTTTTCACTACTCCTCCCCACCCGCAGCTCCTTCCCCTCTCCCAATTCATTCTTTAAGAATTTATCCTGCTGCTTCTTTAACTCAGCATGTGTCTGGGCAGATGTCCAAGAACGCTCCCTTCAACAACGACAACAACAGGAACAGGAAAAAAAAAATCCTCCACTTCAATTCAGTCCTCCCTGCTCTTGCTAGCTCTCCCGTCTCTCTCCTGGCTTTTAGCAGCTCATGATTGATAATGCCCCCAACTCTCTCACCCTGGGACTCCACATGCCTTTCTGCTGAACAACACCTTCTCTGTGAGGCAACCTGGGAGCCCAGCCACTGGGCCCTGGAACCCCCTTGGGGTCTTTTGAGAGAGAAAAAAAGAAAGGCCAAAAAGGGGCCCTAGATGGGGGCAGACCCAACAGGTACAAAGCCACCAAAGAGCTGAATGCAATGAGCTTTTGTGCGAGGGCCAGGGACTGACGGAGGTGGAGAGAGGCAGGAGAGGCGAAAAAGGGGTGAAAGGGCAAGAGGGTCTTTCCATACCTCTTTGCCACCCATTTCTTTGCCCCAATGAATGAGAAAGGCAACCACAGTGAACCTCCAAAGGACCAAGTATATTTTGAACCAATGAAAATCATTACACTAGAACTTTCCTTTGAACTCTATTGGCCTCTGTTGACCTTCCTTGAGAGACGACATGACATTTTCAATCACATTTAGTTACAAAAAGATTCATCTAATATTTATTGAGAACCTACTAAATTCCAGGTATTATGCAAGTCGTTTGCTTATGCATTTAACTCTTGAAACATCAAGGTACTAGTCACTCTTTATTAGCAGATGAGAAAATCGAGGTGTAGAGAGATTAGTTCCCTTATCCTGTATCACACAGTTAGTAGGTGACAGTGTTGGGAACTGAACTCAGGTCTTGTAATACCAAGGACCATACTTATTCCGCACTACTCTGCTGCTACAGTAAACTTTGAGAAATAAAAGAAAGACTGAATGAAGAGCTCCCGGCAAAGACAAGGACATTATTATTATTCTAGTATTTTTATTTGTACTATCCATTAATTCTGCATCAAGAAATCTGCATCATCCATAAAACTACTTTTCTCCTTTCTCATCAAAACTATCTTGGAATACAAAGGTCAGGTGAAGATTGTCCCAATGTTGATAAACCACATTATCTAATTTTACTTTATAAATGTTTTCTTGGATATCCAATTTAACATTATATCCTTTACATTTCAAGAGGGGCAGTTTGAAAGCCTTTGTCTTTTTTAAAACTGCTCTTAAAAAATATTATCTACTATATAAGAGACAATTCTTTTTTAAAGATACTTTTAGAAAAATTGTGTGCCTTTTTCACTGGATGAAAAAATATTCTGATAGATAAACCTGTGCTCTCGGTTAAACAAAAACTGTCATATAAGATGGATCCCTTCTCTTTCTGGCTTCCAGCAAACACAGCCCACATCAGTCCTCCATGTAAAAGATCAGAGCCTTGAAGGAGCCAGGTAGCTCCCAGTCCTTTTAGATAATCTCTGCTTTGCTTTCCCCCTAATTGCTGAATTTTTATTACACTTGTAAACCTCTGAAATTCCCTTGGAAACAGGCAAGACATAACTCTAAGATCTATCCCAGTCTAACTCCAAGTCTAGCACCATAACTTGAAACATTAACCTTAATGCCCCCAGGTGGGGATAGAGCAGAATAAGATACAGCAAGTTCCTAAGCAGAAGTGAAAAAAGTAACTCTATATGTTTAGGTGAATAATGTGCAGGAGAATCTGCACTCCACTCTACCGGGAGCAGAGGTGGGAAGCAGCTACTCCAAGTAAGAGCAGGAGAGGAGCAGTCGCCATGGCTGCAGCAAGACCAAGACTTTGCTCCTTTATCTTCCTGCTTCAGGATTTCCCTCCCTTACCTACTTGCTACGATGACCCACTCCCTTTCTTCATCTGCTTCCCTAGGCAATCACCACTTCCTTCCCTTCCTATTGCTCTCTTTCTTCTGCCCTCCATTTTCCTTCTCTTCCCATCCCCTTCTTTTTTTCAATTGCATTAAAAGGGCAATTCCCTGGGGAAAAGAAAAAGAGGAGACAGCCAAAAGGTTGTAACTTGTCATTTAGAAAATTATTCTGCTAATGTTGAATATTAATGGGTCTTTTAAAATGAAAGATACACACCTCTGGCAGTGTTATGTTACACCGTCAGAAATATAGAGGCGCAATCAGGAAATCCATCAGCAAATACCTTTGGAGCATTTACTTTATGCAAGAACTGGGTTAGTGAGGTGATATTGTTAAAATTATGAATAAATTTTAATGTGGACCCTTACCACAGAGAGAATAGAATCGAGTGAGATATACACATATGCCACATTCAATAACCCAAGTGAATCATACAAAACCCTATATAGATCCCATGTTATGTGCAGTAAATAAGCAGGTATCAGGGTAGAGTGCTAGAGACTAGATGGGCACCACCGAACTCTCAGAGGCAGGGTGCACTGTTGGGTGGGCTCAAGGAAGGGTAGCTTGAGATGAGCTCTGAAGGATGGTTGAACTTTGCAGAGAAGCAGCAGAAGAGAGCTGCAGCCTTAAGATTTATGCCCCTGCCCTACCCCCACCAAACACAGACACATAACACAGATGCATATGCATGCACACACACACAGGCAGCCACTTCTCAAGTCAAGGTAACTGGTCTTAAGATTTGGGCAGGAGTGAAAAGAAGTTTGAATGGAGGTTAGGGTGAGAATGAGTAATGTCTCCTGTCAAGACACTGAACAGTCATCCTCACAGCCACCTGGGATTACTGCCATGGTTGGTATGAAGCCAAAGTGCTCATACATGAAGGATTCACCAACTATTGTTTTCTCTTAAATTCAACTAATCCCATAACCAAATGGTTTTAACCTCACTGCTCACCTCAAGAACTTACCACAACTAAGCAGAACAATGAGGGTGGGAATGAAAGGAGTAAAATCATTTCTTATTTGTGAATCAAGGGGACTGATCTCACAGATCTTTGGCTCTCCTATATATATCATCCCCCTTTCTACTGCTTTGCCACTTTAGCTAATAAAGATTATTTCTATTTCTTTATTGCACAAAAGCCCCAGGTCTCATAAACAAGGGGTCTGCTCTGCATCGAGGTTTGAACTTCCTTGACCTGAGCATAAGTCCTGTTCTAGAATATTTTTCTCCCGGTATGTGGGAGTCCCTAAGTCAGCAGCTCGTAAGCCTGAATAGAAGTGAGTCCTCATCACAGAGCAAGTGTTTTCAGCACCAAATGATAGAGCTAGGCATAAGAAATAAATGCCACCTATTTCCTGCTGAATCATTTATTTGCTTTCTGAAAATATAACTGCTTATTGTTAGAGCAGAGAGGGAGAAGCTATCATTGGTTTTTGTTTCATTTGGTATTTTCCTTCAGATGGATGAAAGCATGGATCTTTTTCACTAGTATCACCTGTAAGAAAACAAATCCAGGGATATCTATTTCTTTTTATTCTGTTAAATGCTAAAAGCTTGCAAGTAACCAGTATCCACTCTAAGATTTTGACTCTGCTGGATATTTTGTGTAAGCAGTAGTCTATTTTAATTAATAAGACATGAAGAGCTAGGCAAAGATAAATTCTCTCTTATTCCTTTTTTTTGGAGAAGTCTCACTCTATCGCCTAGCCTGGAGTGCAGCAGCATGATCTAGGTTCACTGCAACCTCCACCACCTGAGTTCAAGTGATTCTCCTGCCTCAGCCTCCTGAGTAGCTGGGATTACAGGCTAACACCACCACATGTATTTTTTGTAGAGATGGGGTTTCCCCATGTTGGCCAGGCTGGTCTCAAACTCCTGACCCTCTGGTGATCCGCCCACCTCGGCCTCCCAAAGTACAGGTGTGAGCCACCGTGCCCAGCCAATTCTCTCTTATTTCTATACTCCATTGAAAACAACTGTAATTGTTGACTTTCAACTACATGTATATGTGTACTAGTGGGGAGGTGAGATTGGGGGCACCTAAGTCAGAGGCCCAGGTTTTCAATAGTGGAATAGCCATTGTCATATGCTACCTGTCAAAACCATAGCTTCTCCATGTAGCTGCCATAGGGAGCAAGTTTCAGTTCAGTATCTTTAGCGGAGGCAGTTGAAGAGTGAGGCTAATTGGTGAATAGGGTTAGCAGAACGAGCTGCAAAGAGTTGCAATCTAACTTCTAACCTAATCATCTACGCATCTTCCCTATGGCAGGTGGTTAATTTCTAAAGGAAATTTTGGGATGAACAGCTAAAGAATTTAAACACCCTTTACTCCATGACATTTTGATTGGATCTTATTTGCCAGTCAGTGGTTAAATGTCAACTATCAATAATTTTAGAAGGCAAATTTAAACTGATGAATATTTATGTGCAAGACACCACTAGATGGTATGAAAAATAAAGAAGGGGATAAGACATGGTCACTCTCAGAAACTTCTAACTTCCCAAATACTGCCTGGACTGCTGATGATGAAGGACTTAGGGATAGACCACACTGACCTTCAATAACTTTCTTCTCAAAATGGGAGTGCTTGGTCAAACTAAAGAGCTACAAATGAAGACAGCAAACATTCTCCCTAAATCAGACATGGAATTCGTGTTCCAGACTGGATTATTCCATTCTGCAGAACAAAAGTCACTGTTGTACAAATAAACAGAGTCACTCAGTCAACAAATGCTGATTGAACACTAGCAGGAAATCAAAGAAATAAAGGGAGAGACAAGTGAGAATTTAATCAGTAGAGAGGAATATCCTTTAAATAATGGCTTCAGAGAACCCCAGCCCCTTCTGCCTTCCTGCTCCAGCAGCACCACACAAGAGGGGCTGTGCTGTCACAGATGTGGGGTACAGCTCTTGACAGCAGGCGTTCCTAGCTACGGACAGCACACAAGTCCCCAGGTACACCAAGGAGACCCAGGTCCTTGCTAAACAGCTCTGATTCTGAGGAAATTCTTTTGAATACTCAACTGAAACCTGCTTCTTTGTAGCTTCCACCCATGAGTCTTTCTTTCCCGCTGCAATAACAGATATTAAGGAATCAGTCTATGTTGATACATTCAACTACAATACAAGCACTTATTTAACACTCAGCTGTGTGTCAGGAACAGGGGATAGGCAGGGGTATATAAAGTCTTTGAGAAACCAGGGGGAGAAGAAAGGTACATAAACAAGACAATAAAATGGAATTAATACTCTGTTAGAAGGATGCCTAAAGAGGCATGGGTCCAGCCATGGGTGAGGTAGTGACCATTCTGCACAGGGGAGAAAGTGCCATTTAAGTTTAGAAAGTCTCTGGACAAGCCAATTCTGAAAGAGCATTTGAGGCAGAGGTAGGGCCCCGCAAGGATGTATAGGGACACAGAAAGACAAAGAATGTCTGAGGAAATCCAGGAGACTGATGTGACCATAATGACAGATGCAAAAGGAAAGAGACGCACCAGCAAGAGCCTCAATTCCACCTTCCAGAGTTTGGATTTAATTCTGTAGAGGACAGGGAGCCAGTAGGGCCTGTTAAGCAATGCCTTTGCTGGAAGGTGGGCAGAGAAGGAGTTAACGTCCTGATTTCACGTATGAAAACAACAGTGGCACAAAGAGATTATGCCTGAGGCCACTCAGCAAGAGAGGTCTGGAACACAGGTCTTCCTACCCCCAACCTAGACTGCTTTCCACTAACCCATGCTGTTTCCAGAGTCAATACATCTTTGTGGGAAGCAATATATTTCTTTGGATATCCTGTGGGGAGCAAGATCCTTACCTGCCAATAAGGAACTGTAATCCTCTTACTTCAATGAAAGGAAATGTTACTTTGATGGCTCCCAAGCTACCAAGTATACATTTCTATCAAGTCACTTACCACAATGTCATTGTGACTCTTTATCCATCTTCCTTTTCCCACTAAATTGTGAGCTCCTTGAACTCAGAGACTACATCTTCAATCAGTCCATAAGACAAGTGTTAACTGAGCAATTTCCATGTGCCAGGCACTGTGCTAGACATGGAATATTTCCACCGTAAGTGATCAAGACATGATCTCTGCCCATTGTGGAACTGGAATCATTCCAACCCTGCATTCCCAGGAAGTGAGCACAGGATTGACATTTCAGAAAATTGTGTGGATGACGAAGTGAGGGAGCTAGTAGAGTTGCACTATTTTCCTCCAGTATGGAGGGTCTCTGAAGCTGTGCCCTGTGCCTGCACAGTTTGTAAAGGAGAAAAGAACCCCAGGTCTCAATCTTGGTCCCCATCCCCCACCCACCACCATTCAGAAATATAAGGCTTAGGACAGAGACATACACCAGGCTGGACCTCACAGTTCCCGCCCACATAGAGGACCAGCAGGTGCTAGATCTCTCAGCATTTGATGGCCAGGAAAGTACCCAGTCAAAAGCTACAAGAGTTAGGAAACAGATGATGTCTTCACTCCATTCTGGTGTCCTCCCCCAGAACATTTACACCTGCCAACCAACTGGTGTGATTGAAAAAATGAATGCCCTAAAACAGGGAGTTGACTAGGCTGTAGGTTCAGCACTGTGATTCCAAACCCAAATCCCAGCCATGTGACTGCCTGCCCGCCACGTGGCGCTCAGCTGGGTGGCTCCAAGCCCAGCCTGGGCTGCCCTGGTGAGGAATGTCCCCCTACTGAGCTGGCCAGAAAGGGCTGCCAGCAAGCGCTGCCACTCCTCATAACCAGCCAGTCTCCCAAAGCTGCCAGGACAGGCAAGCCTAGTACAACTTCCAGTTGTCTGTTCCTTCCACCATCAGCAATGATGACGTGTACAGCAAGGCAACTTTTTTTTTTGTAAAGAATGATCCTTCTTCGCCCTAACCTGGTTGTTGAGTCCTTACTTTTTGCTGCTGGTTTGGAGATCATTACAATTTGCCTTGTCTTCAAGAGGTGTCCATGTAGGTTACACGCAGTCCCAGTTCATATTGAAACAATCATTCTCAATGGAAATTGTTAGGGTCCAATTGTTGCCTGATTTTAACCTGAGGACAGGATTATCATGTAAGCCAAAGCAGACCAAGATAGTCAAGCCATGTGTGATCTCAGTGGGGGCACACAATTACACTTCCTTGTGGGGCTGTGAAAAGATGCTAAATATGCAGTCACAGGGCCTGGATGGGAGTTTCCTTCCTCTGCCCTGCATGGGACCATGAGCAGGCTGCTGACCTCTGAGGATCTAGTGTCCTCTGCTGTAATACAGGGGTACCCTCTGCCACCACTTCGGATCTTACGAAGATTAAGTGAGAGAAAAAGCTTCCATTTCCATGTGCACCTCCACCTACTTTCAAAAATGTTTTTGTGACAGTCTGCAAATGAAGGAAACATACACAGTAAGCCTTACCAGAGAAAGAAAACATCCAGTGATATACAGAGGGAGGATGAAAAGGATAGAATTATACCCACACTCTCTCAGCTGACAGAGTGACAGATAAACATTCAGAAGTTCTGATGAGAGAGAAAATGAATTTTGCGTGTATCTGGTGTCTGGTACTACTGCTCAAAAGGAAACCAGGTGATGGATTGCCCATCTCCAACCAAAGGTAGCATTTTGATTCTTATATATCTTTTGAAAAACAGCGTGACACATGTATCAAGAGGAAAAAGGGAAGTCTACTCCCACTCTCAAGTATCTGTCTGAATGAAACAATCTCAGAGAATAAAAAGCTACATAAAAAGCTGTGCAACTACTTCCAAAAGTAGTCCAATAATAGTAAACCATTAAAGTAAATGTGTGTGTATACACACACACACACAGACACACACACACACACACACACATTCAGTGAAATATTGTCCGGTAATTAGAATCACCAAGAAAACATGGGGAAATATTTGTAACCATGGTAAGCGAAAGCAAACTCAAAAGGATATGTAAGATGATGAGTGTATGGTAGCATGTTTTCACAGAGGGAGATGGTGGAAGGGCACTGGTTAACCGCTAAATATAATCGTGTTATGATGGTGAGGAGTGTGTGTGTGTGTGTGTGTGTGTGTGAGTGTGTGCGTGTCTTTTCTTTTCATAAAAAGAAATCTCAAATTGTTTTTATAAACTCTTTTGTGAAGATAAGTATCACAAATAGTAGTTCATGCCTTTTAGATCTCTGTAGACCTTTAACTTTGCATGAGGTAGGCAGGCATGATTTCAATCTTTTTAAAAGGTAGTTAATATGGATGGGGGATGGGAGTGGGAGTTAAGACATTAAACAAAGCCCACAGAAGACTCTGGTGACCTTGGCAGCCTTTGGCCACTATCCCACTGACCATGGTCACTGGTTTTAAACCCAAGGAGTTCCCATGTCAGAGTGGAAGGCACACTCCGCTGGGAGTCTTGGGTTCAATGCAGCCTGACCTTGGCCAATGTCACTGCCCGGCTGGGCCTCACTTCCTCATCTGCAAAACAAGTTGGTTGAGATCAACGAACTCTGAAGTCCTTCTTTCTTTAAGGTTCGGTGATTTTATGATCCTCTAAATCTCGACATGAATAAATTCCTTTCTGCATGTGAAAAAACATGCAATGAAACATCTCTCCAATTAAAAAAAATGCTTCTCAAAAGGCAGCACAGACTAACAGAGAGTGCAGAATGTGGGGTTAGGCAGACGAAGTTTCGAATCCTGACTTGCAGCTTCCTGGATGTTTACTCTTTCAGAAAATTATTTAATCTCGCTGTAATAGAAGATTAAATGTGGTGATTTATGAAACTCAAGAGTGGTGCTGAGTGAGTAAAGACACCTGGTTAAAACAATGTTCAAGCCGTAAGTCAATTATATAGCAAAACACGTAAGTCTGGAAGCTTATATATGTCCAAAGACAGTAAGTGCCAGACTTTTTGAGACAGCTCTAATTTCCCATACTCTGGTTGCCCATTGTTCCCATAAGGACACACATGTTTTGATTTCAGTTTGGAAAGTGCAGTCATGGTGCACCTCATCGTTCAACAGAGACCCACGTTCCTCCTCAACCAAGAAGACTTTCTGATTTTGAAGAATGTTCGTAGTCCCCGCATTTTCCCTCCACAAGACAACACTCATGTGTGAAGCCTTTTTTTTTTTCTTTTTTTTTTTTTGAGATGGAGTCTCGCACTGTCACCTGGGTTGGAGTGCAATGGCAGGATCTCAGCTCACTGCAAGCTCTGCCTCCCGGGTTCAAGAGATTCTCCTGTCTCAGTCTCCCGATTAGCTGGGATTACAGGTGCCTGCCACCACGCCCAGCTAATTCTTTGTATTTTTAGTAGAGATGGGGTTTCACTGTGTTGGCCAGGCTGGTCTCAAACTCCTGACCTGGTGATTTGCCTGCCTCGGCCTCCCAAAGTGCTGGGATTACAGGGGTGAGCCACCTCTTGAAGCTCTTTACTGGGCTAGATTCTTGCCTGTGTTCTGCGTGGAGGTGGTCTGACAACGACAGAGACTGGGTGTTCTATTTCTGAGGCCTCAATATTTAACTGCGTGACCCTAGGAAAGTCACTCGCCCAGTTTGGGCTGTGGTTGCCTGGTGAGCTGGCTGGTTTGGAATGTAATGAAGCCTGCAGCTTTCAAAAGTAACGCTCTTCTGTTAGCTACCTGCACTTTTTGTAAAGTCTCTTATTAAATGCTCTTCGTTCTACCCTAATCACTACATAAAGTCATTTGGATCCAAGCCTTCTAGGTTTAGGAGCAGCAGGGCTGTGCCACTGTGCAGATCCGCCTCCTGTCGATTGAGGGTATGCACCGTACCAGCTTGGAGATCCCTCAGTGCTGTCTGGATTTAACCTAAGGGGCAATATTATCATCTGACCCCAAACACAACAAGCCCCAGAAGATCGTCAATTTCCCTAAATCGCTGGCTGGATACATGTTTAATGCATTCTTGTCAACTCAGAGTAAGACACACAGTATCCTGGGTCAGGAAAAGGCAAGAGGACCCACGGGGAAGGAAGGGAGGTGCAGAAAGTGACAAATTTGAAAGGTGTTTTTTTAAAAATCCTAACTGCTTCTTTGTTAGAACTGGATCCAGAAGAATAAAAATTTAGGGGAGGGTATGATGTGGGGGTGTTGAACTGCGGTGTTCTATTTCGTTGAACACAGGCCTCTGACAGGTTGTAAAAGCAGCATTTATTTCAGCAGGCAGCTGAGGACTCATTCACGGAAAGGCTACGCCCCTTCTTTTGCTGATGCTCTGGTGTGCACAGAAAGGACTCCCGTCCTGGCTTGATAACTGGATTTTGATGGGAAATTTTCCTTCTAGTAAAGGCAGAGGTAGGGGAATCACAGAGGTACAAAACTTACCACTTGCCTTTCCCATAGTCTGGCCAACCCCGCCCCAAAGGGCTCCCTCCCTTCTCCTCCTGCACCCCTTCCCCTCAGCCAGCTGCTGACCCCTCTCTGTCTTCCCAGTATATGCTGCACAACTGCCCCTCTAGCCTGGCCCCTCAGGCTTTCCTGAGAATTTGCATTGTAGCCTTTGCTTGCACCTGCTACACAGCCCCTCCCCTTCGCTCTCCTCTCAGGGGTCTGCCCTAAACCTCCTCCCACCCATGAGTAGATTCCCAGGCAGATGACTGCAGCACAGAATGAAAAAGGCTTGTGGAAGCTGCTGTTCCCTTCCCCACCTGCCTTGCATTGGCTTTTATGGGACGATCCCTTGGAGCCCCTCCCTCACCTCCCCCTCTGTCTCCCAGGCCTCCTTCTTTCATCTATTGTCCCTGGTTCCCAGGGTCTCTCGACTGTTTCTCTAATTTGTTTATTGATTTGGGGAATCAAATCACTATTGTTCAGCAAAAGAAACAGTGTGGTGTCACAGAGGACTCATTCATGTGGCCTCAGAAAAGCTATATTATAGACTCTGGACATTGAAGCTGGGAGGGTCCTCCAAGATCATCTCTTTCAAGCTTGTGACTTCAAAGATGAAACAGAGGCCAAGAGAAGCTGCAGGCCCCAATTCCTGGGCATCCATATGTCCTCAGGCTGTTGTTTTGCCTGTCTGAGTCTCAGTTTCCTCATCTGCCTGGCAACAGAAACAATGTGTTGGAATTTCAAAGAAAATTTGACAATCCCAATTGTGTTGGTTGACGAGAGCAGCTAATGGGTAATCCTGGCTGCAGCCTCACTGTTAATACATGAGTCCTATCACTTGCCCTGCATCCTCCAAGGGACAGAAACTGGAAAACACTATATGCATGAATAGCAAAGGTATCAGTAGCATCAAAAAAACATGTCCAGAAAAGCTCCAGATTTCTGCCACTTGTATATCTCCAGCCCCAAGAAAATGACCAAAGTAAACAGTAGCCAAAGAGGAGTCTAATAGACTATGTCTCATTTGATAATTCAAATGTCTATTGCCCATTTCTCCCTTCTTTGCCCCTGAAAAGTAGATACGGGCTGCCCCGTACAGCCTCCTCTTCAAATCCAACTCACGCTTTAAAGTTCAGTTCAAAACTCCTGCTGATAATTCACATCTCAAAGTCCTAAAGTCCAGATGGGTTTTACCACACATTTTAATGTAAGACTGTGTGCGGTCTAACTTTGTTTCCTCATCGAAAGAGTTCAGTTCCTAACGGTGGGAACAATACTTTCCTCTATTACTCCTTAGTGCTCAACATGCACTGGAAATATGATAAGAGCTTATCAGGTGCTTGATTTCTGAATCAAGGAGAGAAGAGGAATACAAGTCTTCACTTAGTTGCTGGCACAGGATGTGCCAAGGCCAGCAGCTATATATCTTCTCACCTCACCATCAGGGTCTGTCATATGAGGCAGTCCTCCCTGCCCAACAATATGCTTATGATATTAGAGGGAGGCTACATAGCCAATGTTATGAGATTTCAATTGACACCAAGTACAGCTAAACAGGATTCAAGGACCCCAAATTCCACATACTTTATCTTAATAGCCACCTCTACACACCTGTCCTTACGATATTTCACCTACCAGAAAATGCTCATCACCAAATCTGATTATCAATCCAAGCCAATTTTTAAAAACCTGTTCAGATTCTGACATTCTGGAATACTATGAATAGCTGCACAAGTTGTGCACTGCCCGACATCAGAGGTTACAGCTCAGAGTGCGGCCAGCCTGCATCTATCTCTTCTCTGAAGCCTTAAAGATCATTGTTCATATGGATCTCTGATTCTTAAAAACACTTGTCCTTGTCATGTGGGGTTTTAATCAAACATTCGGTTACATAGAGAAGGAATTTTATTTAGTCTTGGCTTATCACTAGAAGCTCCTACTTCCTAGGCCACCTAAAATTTGCCGTCATTTAGACTAACAGACAGTATGTCTGCTTTGCCAATTCTAGATGTGTAAGAAGCCATATATCATGTTGGCCCAATTTATTGTAATTAATTCAATTTTTAAAAAATCAGCAGCACTCAACCTGGCCCTTGGATCTGGCCTTCTGTTTAATTTGCTATCTGTTTTCTTTGGGCCAAAACTCCTCCTAACCCCACCCAGCAACCTCCATTTCTACCACAACTATCTTGCATCTAGTGCAAGTTTTGCATGAGGCAAGTTCTTGATATATTCTTATATAACTGTGCAAATTCAATAAGCTAGAGGTAGTTTCTAGAAGATTCTACTCTCTGTTCATGAGTGTGGTTCTCTGTACCAACCTTCCCCCATCACCCTACTCCCACTGGCCTAGGTGCATTTTCTCTACTCCTTCAGCCCTTGCCTCAGCTATAGATCACATTCTCAGGTTATTTTTTGCCTGGGTCCTCCACTAGATTGGGGGTTTCTGGAGGGCAAGGGCCCTCGTCTTTATTTATCATTATTTCCAGCCTATAGGACTTGGACTCTATCACGGAACAGAACCAAAGGACCTGCAGATTCAACCTGGCAGACAGGGCCTCCAGCACTCTCCTACAACTCCAGGAGATTTGGAGGTTCCAGGGTTAACAACAAAAAACCCATCAGTGTTCCCATGTCCAGAAACAGATGTGGTCCATTAGTGTGTGAGCATTCCGAGGAACCTGAGGGTCTGACTCAAATCTTACATCTGCAGCACTCAGGACACTGCTTGGCACGTTCTGCAGAATTACTATGTGTTTCTTGCATAAATTAATTCCTGAATACAAGCTGGATCCATCACCATGTTCTCTGTCTTTCCTCAGAAGGCAAAAGCTGCGTAAGTTTCCCTTTTTAATGATGGCAAAATCATAGAAATGTAGAGCCTAGATGGAATTGGGGAGCTGGTTCCAGCTTCTCATTTGCAGATGGCAACTCTGAGGTCCAAGATCTCACAGAAGACACCCTGCTCCCAGTCTAGCATGCACTCAGCTCTGTCACACTGTCACATTTTGCAGGAAATCCAAGCCTCAAGAGCTTGCAAGGCCAATGGCTGAGTGGGCTATTGGCTTCTTTCTTTCCAGCCCTGTCCAGCACTTGTCTCCCCATCATGAAGAAGAGTTTCCTTTAGGAAAGGGAAAAAAAAAGCCCTTCTACTTCCCAGGAAACAGCCAGAAGTTTTTATATCTTCTGCCATGTAAAAACATGGGGAGGAGCCATCACCATAGGGTATCTTCCAAAGGTAATGCCTCCATTTCAAAGATAGCCTGAAAGGACATGGCCACAGAATGGAGTGTTCAACTTTAATTTTGTTTAAGTGTAGGACATCAGTGGGAAAGACTCTCAGAGAAACACTTGTGGACAAAGTCACAGAGAAACCGCATTGGTTTCTTTCTTTCTTTTTTTTTTTAAGTGGACTCATTCCTTTTTACCTTTTTACATCCTGTATCCTCTCTGTTCTGTGGACAACTGATTCTCAGAATGAACATGTCACTGATGTGGCCCCAAAGAGACCTCTGATGTCACCCATGGCTAATGCCATGGAAGGGACAATCTTGGCAACACTTCTGGCCTGTGAGGTTTTCACATCAAGGAAAATAATCTTGAAATAAGAGAAATCCCAGGCCTGCTGAAGTGTAGCATTTTCTCACATTTTAGCCCTCATCAAATTATAAATGCAAAGAAAATGCTGCCCCATAAGGTATCCTTTTCCAGCTTACATATTGGCTTCATCCCAGTTCACATATAGAAACTTGATTTTCAAGGTGTTGGCAGGAAGCAATACAATGAGCAATTGGGGCACAGACATCAGTGCTGCCACAGAAAAGGCAACTCTCCTGGAGTCCACAGGAGAGAGGCAGAGATACCCAGCCAGGGCACCAACAGATCCCTTTTGCACTGTCCACATGGACAGTGCTCCATGCCAAACCAATGAGCAAAAATATCTCACATGCAATCATGAGGAGAATAATTAATTATTGTTCATTTAATAAAATAGTGCAACCCACAAGTGCTTGAGAAAACATTTTTTTCTTGCTCTCTTAAGGCTATTTTACGGCCCTGACACTATTTTCTAGAGGAATCTAGGAGCACTAAAAATCAATCCAAATTACAAGCAAATCATAGATGGCCAAAGGGAAACTGTGTATCAAGAAAAAATTATTGAATTTGCAAAAACATAAATTTATTCAAGTATTTTAGGAATGACATCATTATCACTGTGGTATAGTCTTAACCTCTGCAGGGGTGTATGTGGCGGTGGGGGACAAGTGGGGGTGTGCATGTGCCATGGGATAGCAGGACTGGGAGAACAGAGGTAGAGAGCCATGTCTGCAGAGACTTACATGCAGCTCTCCTCATGAGAGTCTCCTCATGAGAGCCCCATACCAATACTACCTCCACTTCTCTGCAGGCCCCTAATTCTACAAGCCCTGGGTATGTTGATGGGGCAGCTGCTCAGGCCACCCAGTCAGATGCTTCTGGGCCTCCTACAGCTAATTTCTATGGGGAATGGGATCAAGCTGTTATTCTCTGGTGAATCAGCTGTCCTGCTCAGAAAAGCTGCCACACAGGTCTTTAAAGCATGAAAAGCCAACTGCCTCCCTTCCAGTGTCAGCATTGAGACCAACCACCTCAAGAATTCTGATCTCTATGGGGGATCCCCAGAAACAGGTCTTGACTTGGGGCCTTTTGCATACCCAGAGCCATGGCAGGCTTGTAGTCCTCACAGGGACATGAACAGCTGTGTTGCTTAACTCCTCCTCATGGTAGGGGAAGAAAGGCAGATGTTGACATTCAATGTGAACTCAAAAGTTTAACTGCAACTTTAAATAGAATTGCTTTCTACCCCCTTCATTCCTTAGTTCTGTTGTTATCTTCAGCAGTCATAGTTCCACTTAGGAATGTATACTTCATACCCACGCAGGTACAGGTTACAGAGTCATATGACTGCACAGCAGCAGAAGGGCAGAGAATGGTCACCCTTCCAGAAAACCCATTCTCTTTACCGCAGTCAGCACAAACAATTTGCCAACCTGTAATTACTTTCATTGATATCTCCCTCCTTTGGCAAAGCATGTGGAGCAGTATGGAAGAGACACACATGACAAACGATGTGTGTACACACAGGTGTGAGCAAGCACATGCATATGTGTGAGCACGTGTGTATGTGTATTCATTTAAACATCTCTGCCTGGATGAATGTTCAGAGAGTGATGGGCGGATGGATCAAGGTTGCAGCCCGGAAAATGTTTTGCAAGGCTAGATTTGTCTCTTCATGAGTAAATAAAGTATGTTATGTTTTCAAAGAATTTCAAATTTCAGGTCTGGTCTAATACCTTATGGCAAGCTGTCTGCAAAAGACTCAAGGAGAATAAGCAATAGAATTGTTCTCAAGAAGTCTGTGTTCAAGTCCTGACTCTTAGATCAAACAGGAGGTCTTCAGCACCTCCCCTCTTGGAGTTTCAGCATTCTAATCTGGAAAATGAGGAAAGTGAATCTTTACTGAGTCATGAGCCCCCTTCAGAATCTTTTGAAATTTACATGGTTCGCCCCAGAAAATGCATATGTTCATATGTGGATATAATTCTGCATGACATTCAAAGGAATTAATCACCTGAAGCCAATTTCTGGGTGAGGCAACATCCAGTGTCCCTTCAGGCTTGAGAAAAATCTCTTTTTTAATATTTCTGAGCAAGAAAATTGGAGCCTGTGGGCTTCCATTTCAACTTCTCTTTTCCTCATTCCCTCAACCCAGTGATCTACATGGAAATTTACAGCAAGCTTTGAAGTGCTCAAGTTCTAGAAAACTACTTCCCAAACCCAAGTGGACATGACATGATAAGGAACAAAAGATATTACAATTAGGATCTCCAGACCCTAAATCAAACATTATTCACTCAGCTGTGGCAATGATCATTTGGAAAGCTTTGGGAATGGAATTCTCCTATGCTGTTTGGGGGTTCCATTATTCAAATGTTACTTGAATCTGACTGTGAATGGACACCAGGAAACCATAAAAAGGAAAGAGGCATTTTGCTTTCAGCCAATACTGTAAAGTTACCAACCCTCCATCTGTATTAAGGGATTCTAGAGCACTTTTCATTGTGTTCCTTAAAAATGACATAATGTTAGAGCTTAGGAGGCACCTTATACATTGTCTAGTTCAATTTTCCCAATGTTAGATGGGTGTTCAGGAAGGAGGGCCTGCGCCAGGTAGAATTGAGGCCCAGATCCAGTACTATCGATTCTCAAATCTTGATTTTCTTTTCCTTGTCCTTTGCTGCCTGTTTTGGAGACCCCATATGGGAGAATAAAGCAGACTGAATATGTTGGGAAGAGAGGAAAGGTAGGAATATTTTGAGAAATGAAGAAAAGGGTACCCAGGATAAGAGCTCCCCACTGCTTTACTTTCTAATAAATGCAGTGATAAAATCCATTAAATCCACAAGGACCTGTAAAAATGAGGGAGAAAATAGTTCTTGCAGGGAGGCCCTAAGGACAATTTGCCTTTTGCAGGGCAGATGGGATAAGCCTGGAGAACGTGGTGGTCTCAACACTAGCTATTCTAATGGGGTGTAGGGACCCTTGCTTTCTGCATTAGATTCTTTCCTAAAAAGGGTTATTCTGAGTGTTTCAACCTCCTAATCTTCCTAACCTCTTATTGTCCACTGACCCACAGGCTTCAGAGCTTCTCATATATAATTTGGATGGATCTCCCATGAATCAGGCTTCCTAACACTTGGGTTTGAGTTTTCTCTGCTCCTTTCACCCCTCACCTCCTTCCCCAACCCTAAGGTAATGAGCTGTGGCCAATGAGACCAGAGCTCTTATTAAAAGAACAACATCATCTGTACTGAGATTGCATTAGGGACAAATTGCTTGACAGAGCCTCTTCCCTGGATCCAGAAAAATACTAAAGGCCATGGGTAACTTTTCAACTTGATTTTTATGGCCTGGTTCCCCATATATCCCTTCCCCTCACAGTTCCAAGGATTATTTCAGGATTTCAGATGAATTTTCCTTTTAAATCCTAAGGTCAGGAATCAAATGTACACATTACTCTTCTCTGAGACATGTATGTCCAGACTGGGGAAATGAGAGTAATTTCTTGTTTTGAATTTCTTTTTTTCTTCATTTTGAAATAGGTTCTTCCTTGGTCAGTTTCTGAAGTCTCTTCCCAGTCCTACTACAGAGAATGCTTGGGGTCAGCTTATTCATGTAATTAATTTTTTTAAACTTTCATCTTTGCTGGATTTGCCTTTATAGGAGAGTGAAGGGAAACCTCATGTTTCTAGGATCAAGCTGTGGTTTGAAAGATTCATCCAACTATTTCTCACATATTCCTCTTTCAAAAAATCAAGTTTCCAGAACTTCTGCTCTGTTTTCTCTGTTGACCACACACGAACCTTCCAGTAGTTGAATAGAAAAAGGCACTATTCTCACTGGGAAAAGAAAAGGCACCCAGGCCAAGAATTACCTTTCAGGATTCTGCTGCCAATGATTAAAACACAGAAGGAATCTGCACCATTGGTTATATACTGCTGCGGGAACCTAATCCTGCTTTGCGTGAGATTTGTATCCAATTGGTGATTAGGATGAGGGAAAGCAAGGATTTGTAGCAACTCCCAGTTACTCATAAGTAGCTGGTTAATGGTATTTTTGTTTGTTTGTTTTGTAAGTCTTCCTTGATCAATTTCTGAAATCTCTTCCCCAGCCCTACTACAGCAAATGCTTAGGGTCAGCAAGAATCATGTTAGCCTGGATCAAATGTAATTAGAGGGGGAAACAAGCTCTGGAAGGGAAATTCGGTTTCTCAAATGCACTTCCTGCTGGTTCCTCCTGCAGCTCACCATGTGTTCCAGAAAAGCTGATCTCCTCAGTGGCCCCAATGAGGGTCCTGACCGCTTTTCTGTCGACGCATGTGCTGTGTTCTTACAATTACTCTCCTTTCACTCTATACATCCCACCCAGCAGAGGCTTCTCAGCCCACCTCAGGTCTCCCCCTGAAGACTTCCTGAGCTACTCTCGTTGGCTCTGACCTTTCCCAACTCTGAAATGATGGCTTCAAATGAAGCTTAATTGGTAAATGGTAAATGTCAGTTGAACTAGTGAAGACTTGAAAATGAACCACACATAGATGGGTTCTGCTGTGGATGCTCAGGGGCTAGTGGAGAGGCAAACAAAGAAACAAAGATTTATAAAGACATGTGAAGGAGGGTAGATCAGTCAGGGTCTTAACAGGAAAGAGATGGCACATCCAAATCATGATTGTTAAGGAAAACTAATTTACAATCGTGTGGATAGATGAAAGGGAAGCACAGGAAGTTATTAACAGAAAAGCTGTTACTGCCTCTTGGCTTAAAGCACAAATAGGAAGGTACTGGAACGACAGGAGCCTCCAGAGTGCTGGTGGGGTTTTGATATCTTTCACCTCCAATCTAGTTTCCATTCTGTCACCAGAAAACCTTTCTAAGAGCCAGATATGAAGATTCCACTGCCTATTCGTAGGTTCTGATGGCTTTGTTGACCCTGAGGGTAAAGTCCAAATTCCTTGGTTTGCTCCTTCTGGCTGTGCAGCCTCAGGACCCAGCCCACATGTCCAGCTTGTCACTTCCCCCACCCTGAAGCTGCCATCATCTATACCACCATGCCCTTGTGAATTCCATTTTCCCCCCTAACTGGAACACTGTCCACTTTGGTCTCCTCTGAGGCTGGAAAAGATGTTGGGTTCCAGCAATAGCACTGTGCAGGACACCCTAAATTAGCAATATAAATCTTTCTAGAAATGAAGATCCTACTAGTTCCCTTACAACAGGAATAATTGAAAAATTAATCAAGGAGGCATAAATGGACTTCAGCAAATAAATCCAAATTGGTAAGATGTTGACTGGCCCAGGGAATTCTATATCATTTCCATTTGGGAGTTTCTGTTGGCTCTCAGAATCAAAGTGAAACTGCTAAGTACTCTCGGCCAGAAACATCTCAAAGAAAAACAAACAAACAAACAAACAAAAAATCCAGCACCAAATATGAATGGAAATGTCTCTACAATGGCACATGGATAATTTAAAATAGGATAGAAAAAGTTTTGTGATTCTGAATTGAGTAAAATAAATGTAAAATGCTTACTGATAGAGTACTTACTAATACTTTAGCAGAAGATGAAAAAAAAAAGACTCTTAAGATGGAAAAATGAAATCAGTGGCCGTAAACTTTAGATCTACAGTGCAAATATACAACCAAGAAATAAACTATATGTACAATCTATAAAATGTGGTTTTAATGTATACTGTTCCCTGTGTTCTGAGCCTCAGTCTGAGCTCACATTATATTGCCAAGTTTGTGCTATGCAAAATGATTGCCACAGAAAAAAATATAAGATTCCCACTGTTACCTTCCAGAGCTTACAGTGTAGTTAGGGGGTGAAGATTAACACACTCAATGCAGTTTTGAACCCAGTTCTATATTAGCTCTCTGGGGCTTACTGAGAACAATAATGGAATCCTGAAATGGAAGCTGCTGGTTCAGGCTGGGTAAATCTACATGTAAAGTTAGACATTAAAAGATGAGAAAGCAATGGCTAGGTGGCACGCAGGAGGGAAACTGAGTCCTAAACATAAGGACACTATGTTAAAGCACCATTACCAAGCCAGATGCAATGGCACATGCCTGTAGTTCCAGCTATTTAAAAGGCCGAGGTTGGAGGATTGCTTGAGTCCAGGAATTAAATAAGGTATGATCACACCTGTGAGTAGCCACTGCACTCCAGCCTGGGCAATGTAACAAGACCCTATCTCTTAAAGAAAAAGCACCATTGCCAAAAAAAAAAAAAAAAAAAAAAAAAAAAAAAAAAAAAAAAAGGAGCTCATTATGAGCCAAAGTCTACTACGGAAAAACAAAGTTCAGTCAGAAAACGTAGGCTAGTTTTCAGCATGTTAAGAGTTTAAGTGTTACTAGTAGTCACATAAGTGAGAAAATCAAAACAAACTGGTACATAAATATATAGATATCTTTGTGATAGCAGAAAGACACACACATACAGCGAGACAGAGAGAGAAACTTAGAATGAACCTTTCCTGAAAGATATGAAAAGGAGAAAATATTACACAGAAGAATCAAACATGATGCATTAGCAGGGGACAAGGTCTTGTGACCACTCCTGCTAAAATATGCCAGTGGCAGAAGACAGATTCACAGGCTTTAAGAAAAGCCAAAAACAGAGTTTGAAAGTTATCCATAAGGGAAAACAGATTTTTTAAAAATAAACAAAGATCTCTTTTTCTACTTTCTCCTAGGTAGATTAACTTTTCTTCCACATTTTTCTATTTATTCTCAGCTTCCTAAAGTGGCATTTCCTTCATTTAATGGTAGGCAGGTGCATGTATGCACACATGGTACTTCAGGATAACAGAAATATCAAGAAGTGTGTGACAGAGGCAAAGAGGAAAAGAAGGTCTGGGGCATGACTTCTAGACCCTCCAGCACACTTTCCTGCCAAGCATGGAGGATCTACCAGACTTCTCCCCTGAAATTTAGTTCAGACACCTATAATTTAGCATAGAACAATGAGGCTGGATGAACTAGTGCTCCCCCTAGCCCTACCACTGCCTTATCTGATTAACCTTAACTGAGTGAAGTGTTACTTCCTTTGCTGAAAAAATGAGTTGTGCCAGCCAAGCTCTCTTTGGATGCCCAAACCAAAGGTGCTCTAGCCCTACAAGCTCAGCGCTGAGCTCAAGGCCATGGTCAGGCTATGGCGAAATCAAGAAAAAGATGACAGTCTCTGCCATCAAGGAAATAACGATCTAGATCAGAAGAAAAAGCAAATGCCTGAAATAAAGAAAGAACAGTTTAACAGACCATGGAAATTCATATGAAGTTACCAGGACAACAGAACATAATCAAAGTTAAAAAGGAGATGTCCAGGGTAAAAACACCTTTGGAGAAGTCCAAAATTGCTTTGTGAAGGGGTTGAGATTTGAGCATAGAATTGAATAACTGGTAGGTTTTGAGACGGTGAAGGAAGAGAAGTACACGTACAAACACACCCACACACACACACACACACACACACACACTTACATGTGCATACACATGGACCCACAGCCATCCCCATGGGTGTCTGGCAGCTGCTAGACACACAGAATAAGTTAATCCCTCAGACATATGGCTGAGCAGCAAATAAGCAGGTTCCCAATGTCACCTTTCAACATGCTAGGAATACTTTTATTATTTTATTATTTAATTACTTGGAGTCTTAAACGGTTTCTCATCTTTAAAGTCTTCTGATACATTTAAATCCCTAATTTAAATCCCTAGAGAGAGAAAACTTCCTCTATCAGCTCTCCTTAGACTTTAGTTGTATGGACAAAGTGTAGGGACTGCAAACAGCCTGAGATCTTGGGAGAAGCTTGAGTCCAGGAGTTGAAGCACACACAGTGCTTATTCCAGGGGAGGCCAGGATCCTGCAGCAGCCTTGTGTCTAAGGCTTACAGAGGAATTTCCCATCATCGTTTATGTCTCACTGTGTGTTCTGTGAAACACATGTCACACAGACTGATAGGTGACATGGCCTGGAGGAGTGGAAGCCTTTGCACAGGGCCCTTAAGGATGTTCCCCCATATCCGGAGAAAAAAACCATGAGAGTGTAAGAAACGATGCAAGCTCTATCAGAAATCACCATCCCACGTTGAGCTCATTCTTTTTACTAATAAGAAGAGGGCTGGATTTAATGGTCCCCAAATCCCTTTATAATACTCAAGTTCTCTGTTTGTGTGCTTGGGGCAAGTTGAACCATATTTATGGGCTTTTGCCTTCCTCATAGTGGATAGAACTGCATGTTCTCTCATAGACCATGAGAATTATGAAAATACTTTGGGATCCTTTAGTAAAAGCATTCATTCTTTTTAAGGTACCCATTAAAAGGGAGGGGAAAACCCAGATCCCAAAACCAAATCTTGCAAAATAAGTTAGCCACAGGATTACTTTCGAACAGCTCTCTTACCCTATTCTACCTGTCATATTCTGCCAGAATGTTCTCCAGGCTCTCCACGGACTCTACAGTTTACAAAAATTCATATCTCTTCAGGAAAATATCTGCTGCTTGAAATGAGGTTCACATGATTTGAAGCAAATTAGAATATTCCATGATGAGGAATACATAACATTTTGGTCAAAATCGCCTGGCCTAAGCCCATCTACATATTCTCCTCTTTCATCCTCATAACCTGAATGGAAATAAATGTCACACACTGACTCACAGACTTGCACAACCATGCACACACTATATCCTCCACTTTAAGACATAAGAGATTAACTTGTTCAATTTTATAACCTCTTGGTTTCCTTTCTTTGTTTCAAGTGCCTCTCTTTTTTCAAAATCATGTGTATTTGGGCAACTGGTTTGCCAAAAGGTATGGATGGCTAAAAACAATTTACTTATTGCAGACACAACCTCTTACCTTGTCCTGATAACTAATTAGCCAAAAGAGTGAGGGATGAAAAAGGAGAAAAAAAATAGTTCCAATAATATGCTAGTTTACCTCATACTTCTCTGTCATTTTGCAACAGACCATGAGAAGACATCACTACTTAATGAAAAAATATTCAATTGTCTAAATCTGAGTTTTCTTCCTGAAAACAGTAAATTTTAGCTAGATAGGAAAAAGTTTCTTTTAAAGAATATACCCTGTTTAGAGGTGGATAAAGTGAAAGAGTTATAGAGAAAAATTAAGAAATGTAAAGAATGAGAAAAATAGTGAAAAAGAGGTGAAGAGAAAAGAATACAGAGAGAAAAGATAAATGTAAGAATTTAAGAATGGTAGTTTAAAGATGCCCAACTCCTTGTTTTCACTATTGAGGAAGTGAGACCTAAAGTATGGAGAGGGGAAGAACAGGAAAGCTGGAAGAGGAAAAGTGAAAAGAAAGAGTAATCAAGAGAGAAAATAATGGAGGAAAGGGAAAGGGCAGGAGTCTCGAAGCAGCTTCTGGGAGACTCAGTCTAAGAAGTGCATGTCTCTAAGAAGCACATTCTGTCCTGGCTATCAGATGCAATCCTGTGGACATGACTGCACCAGCTATATTTAGCTCCGATGTAACTCAAGTCAATAGTGTTCCATTAGGGCAGCTGCTGCAGAGTCCTGAAGAAACGTTTTACTACCTACCCTGGAACAGCCGTGCCAAGGGCCTGGGCCTTCACAGCTACAGAACTCCACTGTGTTTATATACAAAGGAGCAGCATTTTGAACATAACTGATATGACTGTTAACATAGTTTAATGGCCTGCTATATAACAGAACAGCACTTTCAGAAGACCAAAGTCATTACTCTCGGTTCCTAAGGATGTCCCTTCCCCCAATCCCTGCAAGCAAATATTGGCCCTTACCTTATATGGTGTGTTCTCTCCCGAGACCTTCTCTGGTTTTCTGATCTTTGCTTTAACTCCGCATGGGGCTCTGTGCTTTGGAAGAATACTTTTCAACGTCTACTCAAGGACACCCAGGCCCAAATGACCCACAGAAATACCTACAGGTTTCCTCTGATGCCAGGGGAACATAGCTGATTCCTACTGAAAACAAAACAAAAACAAAAAACAAACAAAAAGCTTGGTTCTTGGAGGACTGGCAGGTTACCGACGTGCATACCCCATGGCCAGAAATGAAGACCTGCTATTACTAAGGAGAAGTGAAAAGTCTAGGAATAGTTGAGAAAGCCATGCTTGACCTGAATAATTCATTAAGTAACTATGAGTCATCGTTCTGGATATGGCATCTTATTAGATTTTGTGAGACAAACCACACATAGGCATTCCCTTCTCTCTCAAGCAGATTCAGTTATGATGTGTGCATAAAGCAATCACATGGGTGGGACAAGGAATAGATACATGGGCTCAAGATGAATGCTGAGGAAGGAAGATACACCTGGAATCTAAGAAGTCTAGGAATATTTTTCAGAGGAAGACACTCCTTTCTTGAAGAATGAATGGGGTACTGACAAGGAAAGAGAGCATTCCAGTTGAATGAGATCAAATAAGCAAAGTTGTCGCTTATTCTTTGGTTGTATATAGTCAGACACTTTCGCAAAGCTAAAGTCCCCAATCCTGTGCCTTGACAAGTATCAGTGGGTCTTCATAATTGATTCCTGGAACAAAAGCCATCTGCACAAAGGTTCTTTCCAAGAATCAACCTACTTATCTATGAATCTTTCTTCCATGAAACCAGACTAGGAAAGGTGAGCAGAAACTATCATAGAAAATATTTGGATCCTCAGAAGAATGACTGTCTCTGTTTCAGAAAAAGATTCAGGGCCAGTGACATTGATGCAAAAAAAATGATGGAAGCACCAGCTCTGATCTGAACCTTGAAAAGGAGATTCCCTGGAGGACGGTGTATGCCAATTATTTCTGCCTGGCAGAGGAGAGCAAGAAAGGAGGCAAGTGCCAGGTGGGGTGAGAAATTTACTGTAGCCAGAGTTCACCTACAGGCTGTCTAATTCCTTTAACCTGGGCTGGACTGAAGGGCTGAGAAGAACATTCTCATTAGGGTATGAAATGGATCATTTCCAGTGGCCAGATGGTTCCCCATAAATACATTAATGACTTTATAGGCATGTCTGCTTGGAAAAGGAACAATTTAACTACCACAACGTAGGAAGTGCTCCTTTTGGATTCTGGGTAAACTAAATCAAAGACCAAGAAATTACAAAAAAAAAAAAAAAGTCTTTGTTAAATTACTCCCTTTCGCACACCTCATTCTTTTTATATGGCAAGCTCAATAAACAAGTGTAATATTTGTTTTCAAATTAAAAAAATAAAATTCATCTCAACCTTCAAAAGTCATTCAACCATGAATGGTCCCAATGTTGAGAAACACACACACAAATCCACACACATATGCAAACCTGTGCACATGCACACACATACTCCTCATTGGTAACAAAGTCAAGGCTTCTACTGCTGAGTATGGCTGTGTAGTGACAGTACTCATGTCACACTTCAACTGGATGACTTTCCAAAGGCAGTCATGTCCCTGTCAAGAAGTTCCTTTCTTCTACCTCGAAACAGATCCCAAACCTGTCTCATTCTCTGTCTAATGCCCCATCCTCAACCCTCACTCAAGCTACAAGAGTAGCTGCCTAGAACTTCCAGAAGGATCTCTTTACAAACAAATCTGATCTTGTCCTGCCCCTACTTAACCTTTTTTTTTTAAATACTTTAATTTCTAGGGTACATGTGCACAATGTGCAGGTTTGTTACATATGTATACATGTGCCATGTTGGTGTGCTGCACCCATTAACTCGTCATTTACATTAGGTATATCTCCTAATGCTATCCCTCCCCGCTCCTCCTACCCCACGACAGGCCCCGGTGTGTGATATTCCCCTTCCTATGTCCAAGTGTTCTCATTGTTCAATTCCCACCTATGAGTGAGAACATGCAGTGTTTGGTTTTTTGTCCTTATGGTAGTTTGCTGAGAATGATGGTTTGCAGCTTCATCCATGTCCCTACAAAGGACGTGAACTCATCCTTTTTTATGGCTGCATAGTATTCCATGGTGTATATGTGCCACATTTTCTTTATCCAGTCTATCATTGATGGACATTTGGGTTGGTTCCAAGCCTTTGCTATTGGCGAATAGTGCCGCAATAAACATACGTGTGCATGTGTCTTTTAATGGCACCCACTGCTTTTAAGCTAGGGACAGTAATTTTCTCTCCCGGTCAACAAGGATGGGGCAGGTACTCACTCCAGTCTCATTTCCCACTGTTTCTCATCAGTTCATTGGACCTACATGGATCTTCCAGTTCCTCAAAATTTCCTCAGCCATAACTACTCCCTCTTGGGGTCTTTTGGAAAAACGTCCTCATTGCTGGGCTGCTCTTCCCTTCTCCATTCACTGGCTCACTCCTGCTCACCCCTCTGCACAGATGCATCAGGAAAGCTTCCTGCCCTTCCCAGCACCACAGGTTTTCTTCAAAGTTCTTGCCATTTTGAAACTGTTTATTTACATTTTGATTGTCGGATCCGTGCTCGGAAGGCCACCAGGGTTGGTGTGAAGATCAAATCTGAGAATGGGGATAGATATCCTTCAAGAATTATAAACAGAATCCCAATATAAATCCCTGCTTTTTTCATTGCTGCTTCTAAAGGACTCCCAGCCCCCAAAAGAAAGTGAAAGCAGAAGCATCACTTACCCCAAACATCAAAAGGAAATGACATCCAAAGCAGGCATTTTTAAAATTTATGTTGGGCTAAGACGGTAGCCACCACAACTTGGTGAATAATTAGCCTTGAGGTCTCCTAGCATAAAATAAAAATCCACTTCCCTCAGGCCAGAGAAACCACTGACAACCACCAGCCTGAGTTTTGACAATTTCCCTGCCCATCACACACCTGGTTCCTAAGGTCCCAGTAGCCAAAGGGGAGTAAATATTAACTCTGGTAGGGAATGATTTGTCAGTCATGAACAGCTGTCCACAGTTTCCAAGGTACTGACCTGAAAAGGAGATGAAAGGAACAAAGACTGGGGTAGCTTCCACACTGGGCAGGACATCTTGCCCTTGCCTCTTGGTCTGCTATCTAGCCAGTGATGCTGATTTCTATACCTACACATTCAGGTTCCTTTACCCTTTGGTTTTAGCCAAGAAGGGGCACCAGCAGGAGATCACAAAAGGGAGGTGAGTGAGGTCAGAAGTATTGTTTTCCCAGCTTCCTCCATGCTGGGTCACCCCAGGCTAGCTGTGTCCTTAACCAAAGGCCACAGCTCCTATCAAGTATACCTCCAACAGAGCTTGCTTGTGCCCTCTTTTTAGCTCCGCATCCCCAGCAAACCTACACATTCTGAAACTGATCCTCCTTCTTCAAGCCTAGTGTGATCATGGTTCATCTGCGATATTACTATCCCTGTGATGCTGCAGCAATCTTTGTGGTTTCCCTACACCCAGCTCACAACCTGGAGGTAGAGAGACATCATTTCAATAAGCACACACATGCGCAAGAGTGCAGTTTTAGGAGATGAGTTTTAGGAGGTAAGGAATGTGTTTCTACGCATGCCTGCATTTCTGTGATCTGGGGTGGCTGCAGGATCTAATAGGCAAGGCTTCTCGGAAAAAAACCTATACTTGATCTGACTTCAGAACAAGGCCAAGTTTAGGTGGGGCATGCATAGGAGGCTAGTGGAGGGAACAGGAAAAATCCCAAGCAGAGAGAACAACCTATGGAAAGGCCCTGTCCACTCTTACACAAAGGTTCTCACCTGTCTATTAAAGCTATTATGGGGAACACACAGCCATTTTAAATGTCTACACAAATATAAGATGTTAATGACAGTCATAATTCTGTTCATAAAAATCCTCAAGCTTTGATTTTACTTCTCCAACACATAAAAGTTTCTTGTAGGCCAGATCTCGTCCACAGTGCCCACCACAATGGCTAATTAATATACAGCTGAAGTCCAATAAACACAAGCAAATAATTGATTGATTCACTGAGGAACCAAAGGATGGAAAAAATCCAGCAGAGGCCTAGCACTGCCTATCAGTGGAGGCAAGTGCATGAAATGTGGATGAGTTGACTTCAGGCTAAGTATGGGGCTGACCTTGGGCAAGTTACACTTACCTCTACATAATGTTTGTTCAGGTCTCAGGCTCCAAGATAGGAGATAAGCGAGAGTTATTTTGGTCTTTTGAATGCTTAGGAAAACAGCTGAGCTACACGTAAGTGACCTCCATTCCTAGGGCAATATGTTAAGTTCAGTCTCAGTGTGAGGTTTCCAGCTCCCCACAAATTAAAAACACAGCATCAGAGAAGAGTAGAGGTTTCCTTATAACCCAGAGATACCATTGTGGAAAGCCCCTGTTGCCGGAAAAATGATGACTTTCCTCATAAAGGGGAAGTGCTATTTTAGATTCAGCCACTTTGGTTTTTCTTTCCACCCTGGGGTATAAGTTTGATTCCTGGGTATCTTCCTATACCTCAAGGAGTTATAAAGAACCCAAGAAAAAGCCAAGTTAAGTCCACCTTCACTTAGGTGGAAGGATTTCATTGTTCCAGAAAGAAAAGATGGTCAGAGGGACATTTCCATTTCTGTAATTAACCTCAGTGTGGCCTTAGGGAGCCACCTTCCTTCTCTGGGGCCCAATTTTCTCATGAGTAAAATGAATGGCTTCCACTAAATGATCTATCTATGAGATCTTCAGATTTTATGATTTTTGAACACCATTTTTTTTGTTATGGTTTCAGCAACTATGTCTTGAAAGTCTACATGTTCTCAACATTATGTTATTTCTTGGGAGGGAACAGTCCATCCCTGCACCCAAGGATTCTTATTTTGTGATTATGGTCCTCCTAAGAGGGTCTATGAATCTCCAGATGTTGCATATAACACTTTGTGTCTCTGTGTATATTTCCTGGCCTAAAAGCATCCATAGCGTTTGGGTCCACAAATGGATCCTATATGCTTTTAGTAGAACAGGTGACTGCTTAGATGTCAGGGAATGTGTTCATAAGACACCAGCATCAAGAGCAAGCCCAACATGAATCCACCTGCCAAGCTCTATGACAACCTGGGTTATCTTCCGGAACAGGATGGCTCTGGATTTGAGATGAGATCAGAGAGGTGGACTGCTAAAGAGAAAGAGAGTTTGGGAAGTCAATGCAAAAGTATAATTGTGGGCAAAATATGCTGTGTTCTCAAGAAAAGAAAAAAAAAATCTCTAATTGCTGTGGGAATGAGCTCTCTCCATGGCGCACCTGGAGGTTCATGCACTTTCTGTTTTCTACCTGTCCTCCATTAACATCAGCCCCCAGAGTACTGGGTTCAAGGAAAGAGCAGGACTCTGTTTTGCAGCTGGGAGGTGGCGCAAGAGAGAGCTACCATTTTCGCCAAGAGAATTCTAAGAGATCCTGAACCTGCATCTGTGACTCAGCCTGGATGGGGCCACCTCTCACCAGGCTACACCAGGGGTAGGGACAGGGTAGTGGCTTGGTGCTTTTCATCATGGTTAACAGAGAATAAGTCATGACAGCTAGCAGTATCATATTGCTCTGCGATTAATGCAAAATACATGACATTCATTGATTTTAAGGTAAATTTAAAACATGTAATGACAGAGTGAAAGCTATGCCATACACAGTTACACATGCATGGGAGAAAAACATGTATAAATTGAAGCTTAGGAGTTATAACTTACACAGAAAGTGCTATTATTCAAAAATTTAAACATATGTGAGACAACATATAGCAAATATGCTGACATATGGCATTGAAACCAATACGTCAACACTTACAAGTAAGAAAACATCTATAAAAATACAATAAGAACAGTTCTCTCTTTACATTGAGGCCACAAATGAGACCACTGCTGAACATCTCTGGTTAAGCATTAACACACACCAGGATCTGCCTGTAACCTGTTCGTTAAGGTGCAGTGCCCCAGCTAATTAATACATCACTGGCAGATCAAGTTCAGAGAACAATATTGAGCAAGTGCATTCCTGAGGCCTCATTTACCCCCCTTCAGGTAGGCGGAAGTCCAGAAGGGAAAAGGGGATAAGGGAGAAGAGAGAGAGACAAAATAAAGTAGAGATTATTATTTTGCTACAGTAGAGCATCCCACAGTTGATAAAAGTGGTGTGTGTATGTGTGTGTATGCATGTGTGTGCGCGTGTGTGTGTAGCAGGCTTGCATGTGCTGGCCAAGTTCTGAAATCATGTCACTTGAGAAAAAGCTGAAGGAATAGGAGCTGTTTAGACAGGGAAACCCTACATTGAAAGAAGGCTATCATAACAGTATTCTGCCATGTGCAGGGATTGCTGCTGACTGTGGGCATAGACAATGCTGTATTGCCTGTCACTTCCACTCCCTGGGCCTCAGACTATTCATCTGTAATGTGAGAGACTTGTATGAGATGCCTGATTCTCAACTCATGCTGCAGTTGGAATCACATAAAGAGCTTTTAACAAATACAGATTGTGGGGCTCCACCCCAGATAAGCATCTCTTTAGGAGGGAAACAGGCATTGGTATTTTAATAGTTCCCCAGGTCATTCTTACGTGCATTCAGTGAGGATGGACAAGCACTGGTCTAGATTACCACTAGATAATTCTAGATTATCCTGGAGGTCTCTCCTAGCGCAATAGGCAGGAACCGTTCTAGCTCTAAAACTTTACTTAATTCAGTCATATATATAATTCTTTTCCCATTTCCTCTGTGACTCTGGAAGGAATCATAATCCTAAGGGAAATTCAATACATAAAATATTGATGTTCATTTTGCAAATACCCGATAAATAAATTCACTGAGCTGACTGAAAATGAAAAATCTGTGGAAAGAGAACTCCATTATAGAAGATCTACTTGAGTCTTAATTCGGGATCAGTTTGCTCCAACATTCAGCACATTTTTCACCAGCTTGATTATGTCGTATCCCATCCACAGCAGATTAGAAGCACAAATTGGAAGGTTAGTTTGGTGAAAGAGCTGGTTATGTTTATTAACAGTGGAAAAGGAGAAGAACTAGCATCTTCACAGTGAGAAAGAAAACTCAAATGATATAAAAAGACAGCACAGGAACCAATGTAAAATCATAGTCTAGGGATGTTTAGTGTAGGGCCAAACTGCTCTACCCATTTTTAAAGACTGACAATATCTCTGTGTTACTCTCTAACAATTAGAGAGAGAAGAGCTTATGTTGACTGAGTTCTATTTAACAAGGCAAGGCCACATGTGTATGTATGTATGCTTTTGTATCTGTATGGTGATTTTCTAAGCAATGATTTTAAATGTTCAAAATTTGAGGGTTAGCATAAAACATTGTATGTATAAAATACATAAAATACACGTATTCTTGTCAGGCTTTTAAAAATACACCTGTTATCTGTAGCCTTTTCCACCTTAAAAACATTCTTCAGGTTTTCATCAGATAATAATCACCCTGGATGTAACCAGTAGATGAGTTTAGAAACCCCAGAATCAATAGGTGGGCAGAATGAGACACAGTTTCCCCTGCTACTCTTAGTCAGTAAACCTGATCTAAAACCGCTCAATCACTCCCACTCTACTTCTAATAACAGCTATAGCTACCGAAGGAGACTCAGGCTATGAGGAAGAAGACTTGGTGTTCGATGTGCCAAGTAGCAATGAGTGAATTATAAACTGGTCAGGGTTCCTGACACTATGAGGATCTAAAAGGAACCTGAGACCGAACAACTAAGAGACCACCCATGCTATTTCAGGGCTCATCACCATCACTGTGGCATTTTAATAAGTCATGGTATTTCAAGAAAAAGAGAAAGAGAGGAGTGGGAAAATATCCATGGAACTGGTAGACCATTGACTATGGCAAGCAGTGACCTTATTCACAATAACATCCCCTCATAAGACACTGCTATTTTATACTAGATTTATTGCACTTAGGTAGAAGCAGCACTTTATCAACTTACTTTTCTGGAGCACAGGAATCATATTTTTCTTGAAACTAGAGGGGAGGGCCTCTGCCACATTTTCAAATCTGGGTAAGCCTTGATCCTCCACCGCATCTGAGCCTCGTCTATAATATTAGGTAGAATGTCTTGCATCCATGAATGTTTCCTGCTTGATAACCCAAGGAAGAATTATCACATACAAATCTCAGATCCTAAGACACATTTTGCCACCAATAGTCATCCCTAAACAAAATGAATCACGATCCCAAGTCACATCCCTACCCAATACCATTTATTGAAGAGCCTGCAGTGGTATGTGAAGGTAGGAGGTCCAGCAAATCTTCCTGTTGTTTATTTGAGTGACTTTAGACAATGAGGTGATATGTTAGGGACAGCACTGGGTAAGAACGACACCAAGAGGGCTGGGGTCATTGCAACCCTTTGTGACTTCCCAGCAGGTTACTTTCCTCATCCAAACTTCAAAATCCTCTTCTATAAAATGAGAGATGTGCTGGGCAATGTCTAAAACTCCTTCTGTCAGCCCTGGGAGCCTCTGAATTACGATCTCATTGCCTCCAGTAATCTCCCAAGTTTTGTACACGACCATATCTTCCTGGAAGTCCCCTCTGCTCTTTCCGACTCCAGTACCTCAGCCTGAGCATGAGAAGAGCAAGCTTCTAGTCCCAGTTCCACCTCTTGGTGGTGGGGTGCAGCATTTATCTCTAGGACAACTAAATAAAATGATCTCTTAGTGCATCAAAAATTCAGTCCTAAAAGTCATTTCTGTTTAAGAATACAGCTGTATCCATCACAGACAGTGAATTTTACAAAATGCCGTACAATGGCTGCAATCTTAGCTATTTTAGAAGAGCTAAAAGGGTTACAGTTGTGTCCCAAGGGAAAGGTGCTGCTGGTGTCCCCATTCCCCCTCTTATTTAGCCCTCCCCTGTTCATACTCTGCAGGCTGTTATTATCTTTACATTTACCTGCCAACCAACCTCCAAAAAATCTGTTCAGTCACAGTAGTTACAGAAACCAAAGAAGCGGCCAATAGTCCAACTCTGACTAACCCCTTGTTAATGGCTAAGAATTAAAGAACAATTTCTTTTTGCAATTAACATATTCTGTACTGTAAGTATATCATGAACTAAAAATAACATGTCCTCCACAATCCTTTGGCCCACAAGAAGCTCAACAGAGGGAGGGGAAGAGAGAGAAAGAGAGACTGGAATGACATGCCATGAATCCTAAACATCTTCCTAATTGGATAATTAAAAGAGTTCTGGATAGCAGTTCAAAAAGCCTGGATTCTGGTAAGGGCTCCCCTACATATTTATCCATCTGTGTGGCCTTGGCTTGATCTTGTACCCTATCTAGGCTGTTTATAGGATTATGTTTGAAACCTAGTAGGCACCCCTTAAAAAGTTATCCAATCTATTGTTCTTTTCAAACTGTCTCATGCATAAGAACCACCTGGAGAGCTTAATAGAACACACAGGGGGTCCCCACCACCCAAGTCTCTAATTCAGTATGTCTGGGGTGGGGTCCAAGTATAGGCGTTTCTAACAAGTTCCCAGGTAATGCTGCTGCTTCTGGTCCTGAGACCACACTTTGAGAAGCACTGATCTGGCCCAGTGATGTCAACCAGGGCTGGAAATTAGAATTCCCCTGAGGAGGGGCACTGGCAATATGCCGGTGCTCAGTGTGCACCAGGCCTTTTCAATCAGAATCTCTGGTTGTGTGGCCCCAGCATCTCTATTATTAACAAACTCCCCAGATAATCTTAATGTGCAGCAAAGGTTTAGAACACTGATTCCACCCAGCTGCCTCATTTTATAGATAAAAAAACTGAGGTTCAGCAGACCAATGACGGCTCATTCAGCACATGCATCTGCAAAAGGGGAGGTTTGGACACAATAATTTGGAGACCCTAGATTTTAATTCTACGGCTGTCACACTCTATAGCTGCATTTCTGCTTTTTCTCTTATCCCATGATTCCCAAATAATAATAGTCAGGGAGACTTTCTTCATCTGGCCACTCCATGTAACCAGAAGGAGAATCCAACAGGACCACTCGTAGTTGGAAGGCTCTTGCATTCTCAAAGCTCTCCTCCGGGTAGTTTCTAAATATAACAAGCAGTCAGACACTCTGAATAACTCTCGGCTGACTTGGCTTCCCTGGGATAAACTTTTTTTTTTTTCTCCTAGATTATGCTATACCAGGAATAGAGCCCTAAGGGGAGAAATTCCTCTTCAAAGTCAGAGCTAGATAACACTGTGTGTGGTATTCAGGTTGTTCTCCTTTGGAAAGAGAAAAAAAGGTGGGAGGCAAACTTCTAAAACCAGCCAACATCAAAAAGCATATTCCTACTTTGTCTGTGTGGTGTGCATGGAGGGGAGGCAGAGGAGAGGTGGAAGTGGCCGGGCAAAAGACAATTAACACATCCTGCTCAGCAGGGGGAGGAACGTGGGCATCCGGTCCAGGTACTCCAGGCGGTGGTGGGCAACAGGAAAAGTACACATGCCAGCTCTGGCAACTACCCTATGCTGGCTCTACCACCAAAGACCCGGAACCAAAGTTGGGTGCACAGTTTGCTCCCTGAATGGTGGGCTCAGGCACGGCTCTGACTTCATTTCTCAGGCAGGCAACAGACACGTTTACCTTACGCTCTGGCTCCTGCTGTTCCTTGCAGCAAGGGGGAATTCGATGGGACCTAAAAATCATCTGGAACATACACAGACATGGATATCTTCTCTCTCACATAAACACAAAGACCTTTCCCCATATTTCCGTGCAGGCCAAGCCTCTGTATTTTCCAGCATGACACTGTATTTGCGTATTGTAGTGGATGGGACATTGGGGATCTCCTAGTCCTGTACTCCCCCTTTGCTGATGGTAACAATTTTAAATGCTGCTATTTATTAAACATCTATTATATTATATATCAGGTACTTTATACAAATTAAATCTAATCCTCACCCAAAGCCCAAAAGCAGAATTGTTAGATCACAGAAAATGGAGCAGAGGCAGACAGAAATGAAATGATGAGCCCGAAACTGCACAGCCAACTGTGTCAGAACCAGGACTGAAGTGCATGGTTCTGGCTCCAGATGGATGCCTTCCCCACAGTTGAGTAGGAGGTCATGAAGAAGAAGAGATGATACCTGCCTTACCCCTCCCCAAGAAGTTAGGGCAATTAAGCGGCCGCCTCAGCTGACATCACTCTGTGCTTTTCAAGACTTGAGCCAAAATTCTATTTAGAAATTCTAAATGTCCAGGGAGGCGTTTGTAAGCGCTCTCTCACTCTTGCTCTCTCTCGCTCTCTCTCTCTCTCTCTCTCGCCCCCACAGGAAAATACAGCCTTTTGGTTTCAACCTTAGACAGGGAGAAGCCCAGCTGCTATTAAAACTGAGCAGGAAATTGCATGGATGACCAGACAGCGATTCTTCTTCTCCATGGAAATTTCTCCTAAATGCTGAAAATTCAGGGAAAGTGAGTGGTTTGGGACACGTCTAGAAACCCTGAATGTGTCCCCCACCACTGAGAGATGCAAGTCTCCTCAGAGGCTGATGTGAGGCCCACAAAGCAATGCACTGATTTGTCTGTTTTATCTGTGTGGGTGTGCATGTATATATGTGTGTGTATGTGTTTTGTGTTGGAGTAAGAAACATTACAGTAAGAGAATTTTCCTGCAAAAAGTCCTTCTCCCATCTTCTTTCTCTACCACTAGGACGGTTTTCCGAAATGCAGTGCTTTTGACATTTGGGACTGAATCATTGTTTTTCGTGGGAGCTGACCTGTGCATTTGAGGGTGTTTAGTGGCATCCCTGGCCTCTACCCACTAGATACAAGAGCGCCTCCGATCCAACTGTGACATTAAAAATGTCTCCAGACTTTACCAAATATCTCCTGGAATTGAGGGCAGGACAAAATCCTGCCTTCAGCGCACCTCTTATGCAAAGTAGCTCTAGTCCATTGTCAACTTAACTGTCCTTGAACTTCTCTAAACTCCAGGCAGGCAGACTCCTCACCAGCTCAGCCTGTGTATTCCCAGGGTCTACAATAGTATTGGGAACAGCAGGTATTCAATTAGCATTTCTGAAAAAAGCATATTTTTAATAATTTTTTTAAATAGACAACTGCTCTCATAGTTTATCTAGGTTTTGTGTTCGTTCAGGGTGGACTCTTTTAAGGAATGTACATTTTTATCTCCCCAAAGTTTAGGCTTCTCTAAAGCAAGAAGGTTGGCCAAGCAATTCCTGAGCCCCTAGGACAGTGCTTCTCAACTTGGGCCACACAACTCTTAAAAATCCCAACATCCAGGCAGCACCTCCCAGACCAAATAAACAGAATCTCTGGGGGTCAGACCAAGGCATTTTGGTCTTCAAAAAGTTCCCCATGCATTTCTGTCATGCAGCCAATACTGAGATCCCATGCCTTACAGGCCTGTGAAGGAATCCTGGGAATATACTTGAAAAAGCACAGTGAAGTTTTACATTTTCTGGGGATAAGGCTGCCCATGTTAACTAAAGGAGTAAGGTTCTCAGTTTGTGAGGGTTTGCAGCACCTCAGTGTGACGGCACTTGCTATCATGGCTCAGAAGGTCTGGCTGGTTTTAACTCATGAGAAAATTAATGTATGATTATCTAATAAATACCTTCTGCTCAGGCAACAAAATCTTTGTAAACGAGAGTCCATGTGGTGCTAATACTTTGGAAGCAGTATCTTAGAGTTGCCTTTTATCTTTCAAGGTACCCAGCAGAGAAAAAAAACTGAATAGTACTTCTTGACGAACAGTTTGATTTGGTTGAGATTTTTTTTTTAATTGTTGTTGTGTTATTTTTTAAGTTGGGCCAAAAGTACCCAAATTCTCCTTTCTGGAGCAAAAGTAATCACAAGAAAAACTGACAGGGGGGCATGTGGCTATTTTTTTCCACATAAAACACAGCCTGTTCTTCCTGCAGGGATCACAGAACTGTAATCTGTGCAGCAGCTACCAGGATTCAAAGGAGAAGTGAGAAAAATCTTATGATGGGTGGGGATTTGGTTTAAAGAATAGATCTGGGTAAATGACATCATTCCTGGGTTTGTCCAGTGAATTGGATCACACAGCTTGTCACACAATGACTTCTGACTCTCCCGGGGCCAGCAAAGCAGCCCCGGGCAGGCCTTATCAGGAGGAATCAGTGTGGAAAAGTACTTTCTGAAATAAAACTAACATAAACCAGGCATGTCATGGTTGGTTTTGCTAAATTTCAGGAATGTGGGAGGAGTGAGTTTACTATGCACACAGGTTGGGACAGACTCCGTTTACTAAAAGCACAATATCCATCCTACTCCCTTCTCCGTTCATAGATAAGGACAGAAAAATCATCAGAAAATAAAATCTTTTACTGTTTGTTTTTTAAGAAGAGAAGCAGAGTAAAACAGGAGCGAGAGCGCAGGGAGGTGATGGACTGCTACCCAAATAGGAATATAAATTTCAACAGTATTTAAGTTAAATGGACACAGCCTGGAAATAAATTCTGCTGAGTGATCTTCCACATACTGCTCGGATGATCACTTAGATCCTGTCTTATTTTTTTCTATATTCTTCAATAAACTGAAAGAAGTCAGATTCAAGAGGGCATGTTTGTACTTGCTGAAACACAGAGCAAGGAAACGTTATTTCAATAAATCAATTTTATGCAGCTTTAAAGTTTAGAACCTTAGAGATGTTGAGCTGGAAAGTATACCAACAACCATTTTGTCTTTCATTTTACAGAGGGAAAAGTTGAGGACTGGGGAAGTTAAATGATTAATCTCAGGTCACAAAGCTATTTTGGTAAAGGATCAAATCTCATGTTTTCTTCTGCATGATCCTTTTCTCCTCTTATCCACTGTCACTAAAACGAGTCAAAAAGTCCATTAGATCTAAAAGAAATAAGACACTTTAAATCATGTTTTAAAACAGGAGGAAGCCGGGTGCGGTGGCTCACACTTGTAATCCCCACACTTTGGGAGGTCAAGGCGGGTGAATTACTTGAGCCCAGGGATTCAAGACCACCCTGGACAACATGTTAAAACCCTGTTTCTATAAAAAATCAGAAAATTAGCCAGGAGGAGTGGTGTGCGCCTGTAGTCCCGGCTAAGCTACTCATGAGGCTGAGATGGGAGGATCACCTGAGCCCAGGAGATCGAGGCTGCAGTAAGCAATGATCACGCCAGTTCACTCTAGCCTGGGTGACAGAGTGAGATCCTGTCTCCAAAAAAAAAAAAAAAAAAAAAAAATTAAAAAGGAAAAAAAAAAATCAGTTTCTCTGAGTGGGGAGTTGTTCTTACATTTAAATGATCACTTTCATGACTGATAGTTTTACTAATTAAAACAGTACTAAAACAGTACTCCATGCTTGCCTTTCCATAAACAATTCTGCTCCCTTCTTAGGAGTGTTTGTAACAGAATAAACAACACCATAAGTGAGTGGAAATACTGCAAAGATAAGGTCTTGAGCCTGCACAGACTATTATATGAGCAAGGCCAGGCTTCCAAGCACCTGTTCTCTTCACTCTGCTAATGGCCTCAGCCATCTAAAGTTAACACAATGAGAACCTTCCACAGGGTCCCCATCAAGATAAAATACAGAGACATAGCTTAGGAGGTTGTGCATAAATAAAAGATTCAACAGGGAACAAGCCAGCTGCTGTCGGGTGACATATTAATTTGCAAATGTATCAGAAGTGATATCCTGTCTCCTGAAGTCATTGGACAAGCCCCCCAAAATATACCTTCCCTCTCTACCCCTGCCTCCTGCTGCTGGAGGAGTTCAGGAAGCAGTTCAGAAAGGAGGCAGCCTTCCCTCCTATCTGCCCAAGAGAAGTGGCACCATTTCTTACGACCATCAGGAATGGCTTTTCCCAGGAGCCAGCGGAAACTAAGATTCTACACTCTGAGGATGAACTTCTTTCAATCACTTGAGAAATTTTTCCACCTAACATCTGGGACATTACCTTCCGGTGCCACATTTTATCTTTGATCTCTAAAGCATAGCTCTGCTCCTATTGTGAAGAAAAAAAAAAAACTCCAATAAACTAATGTATACAAGTCCAAATAAGTAAAACTAAACAAATCAGAAGGTCTTTATTTATGTTTCATGAAGTCTTTTGTTTCTTATTTCCTTTTTTTCCTTAGAGAACAATTTTCTTTTTTTTTTTTTTTTTTTTGAGACGGACTCTCGCTCTGTCGCCCAGGCCGGACTGCGGACTGCAGTGGCGCAATCTCGGCTCACTGCAAGCTCCGCTTCCCGGGTTCACGCCATTCTCCTGCCTCAGCCTCCCCAGTAGCTGGGACTACAGGCGCCCGCCACCGCGCCCGGCTAATTTTTTGTATTTTTAGTAGAGACGGGGCTTCACCTTGTTAGCCAGGATGGTCTCGATCTCCTGACCTCATGATCCACCCGCCTCGGCCTCCCAAAGTGCTGGGATTACAGGCGTGAGCCACCGCGCCCGGCCAACAATTTTCTTTTAAATGACCAACTACTACAGTACTGGGATTTTGTTTTTAATTGACTTCCCCAAGAAACTCCATGTCTGTGTATTTTTTTCAGTAATTCATCTATCTCATAAAATGAAGAGCGCCTGCTCCCATTTACCACAATAGTTCATTCAGTTTTGTATTTAGTTAGGGTTCCTGGAGCCTGCCTCAGTTCCATCTTCAACTTAGCAGCATTTTTTTCTGAGAAGGAAAGCAGTTCCTGTTTGTGAAGACTCTGAAAGTACTTCAGGCTGACAGATGCTATATAAATGAAATATCCTTTCAATTACTGCTACTGTATGATATTGAATTAAGCTATATCACCATAAACAAGGAAAGAAGCCTGCCTACACACCAGCACCCTTTCTCATCCTAGTTCCACTCATGCTCAGTTCCTCATAAATAAAATTATTCCTAAAGAGAGAAATCTAAATTACCTTTGAAAGCACTATTGTCCCTTCTATGTTACTACACACCATCCGAATAAAACTGACAGGGCATCAAAGTCTATAAATGGATTCCCAGGTAACTGCTCAAAATGTTCTCCCTTCTTGATACCCAAAGCATCTTTCGTCTCCTCTTCAAATAGACAGCAAATTTGAGAGAAAGATCAGAAACTGAAAGCTACTGACAGCCTGATAGGAGCAACCTCAGCACGACAGCTGATGGAGACGATCACATTTCCCCCGACAAACTCAATTGCTTTAGTAAATCAAGTGAAAGTCAATACAACCCCTCCCTCCTTAGGTCCCGTGTGGCTCTCTAAACCCAGGCCACTAAAACTTGTTCTTGGAGGAGGAGAGAAAAAAGCAAGATCCAAATATTCAGGCAATGTTTAACTAATACCCAAAAATGTTTCTTTCTGTCGGGGCAGTTTCTCTTTGCCCAAAGGAGCTGCTGATGTCTTAGAGAGAGCTTCAAATGCATTCTCCCCTCCCCATAGTCCTACATGGAATCTTTCCCTTCCCTGTTACCCTTGATCTTTACCAAGAAGGCATATTTATCCAAAAGTACAACTTCCAAGTTCCATATAACATATCTGCATCTTTTCTTTGGCCAGTGACTTCTGCTTATGACTATAGAACAGTACACAGTAGTTCCATAATTAGGTGGCATAGAAAAGATGTAATTCTTGGGGAAAAAATCAAGGACCTCTCAAATCACATATTTGCATTTCTGTGTGTGCTAGAGCTTAGGACTAAATCTGGGCTGTTGTCAATATTAAACCAAAAAGCCTGGGGTGTGTGTGTCTTCTTTATGCAAATCAATAAGCATGTACACAGGAAAAAATCTAGGATGTCAACGCTGTAGCTTTCAAAAACTTTAGAAAAAGTATCAACCACAAATAACTAAAACATTGCATTTCCAAGGGAAAAAGGAGATTCTCTGTCATAGACAGGAAGTTGACTTAGAGGCCAGCAATAAAAGGTGGGAGAAAGGGACATATCTCTGCTAGTTTCATCAATGGCCTTTCTGAAAAATCAATACTGAGATTGATAGAAATGAACTAGAGGAAGAAGCACCCCATGAAACAGAGAAGGTCATATGTAAAAACAGAGGGGAACAGCAGGAAACTCTTGGGTGATGGAGTGAGAAAAATAAAAGAGTCAAATTAGAGCTTACTTGCATAAGATAATGCTTTGATTTATGGTGGGGGGGTTAATAAAATGTACTTATAAGGCAATGATACCATCCTTTCAGGTCTGAGCAGGTCCCATAGGCAAAATCGCAAAGTGGCAACATATAAGAGAGAAGCTAGTGTTTTTACAAAATCATCCTTGGCCCTAACCTGAAACGCCATGTGCTGTTGAGCATGTTGTGTCTCAATCAAGAGATAACGAAGGGGAAGAACCAAAGGTAAAATCAGCAAGGAGATGGAACAATGGTCTTAAAATGACAGATTAATAACACTTGTTCTCTAATGGGGAGATGAGGGCTGACAAGTCTAGGGACTGGAAAATCAATAAACATACTCCTCTTCACCAGCACTCAGACATTTGTATCCAGAGAAAGCTTCCTTAATGCTCAAAAGAGAAAACATAGAGCAAATGAAAGCAAATTTGCTTCACAGAAGAATAAAAAAAGAAAAACAATACAATTAAGAGGTAATCTAGGTGACATCCACTACCTCATCCCTCCAAAAGTTCTAATAACCGAGAGATTCATGATGGGTAATTGAGAGAAAGTAGGCCATCTAGAAAACACCTGCAATGCAACTTCTGGGGCTGAACTTAGAGGGAACAGCCATGTCCCCTGGCAACTTCACATGCTCAACAGTTTCACCCATAAAACCCTTTCAGCCTCTGTCAGAGAGAAAATCTCTGCAGTTTGACCAAGAATCTAACTGGCCTGTCACCTGTCACTGTTTATATTCTCTCCTGATTGTGTGTACATGATGTGTATTTATTTGTTAAAATTCAAGTATCATCAATAAAAAATATTGAAAATGCTCCTAAAATTGGCTTCCTTTAAAAATGAATTAAACAAATATGGGATGATTGATTCCCAATATACAAAGTACATCGATTATAAATTCTGTTGTCACAAGCTGAATGGTGTGAGCCTCAGGGAGTTCCTCATTTCCCTTAAGAAATGCATTCAGTTTCACATAAATGTCTCACAATCACTCCAGATTTTATCAGTAATTATCAGGAACTCCCATGTATAAATACATATACATTTTGGCAGCATCATATCAGTGAAAGGAACAATAAACTAAGAGTTGAGAGACTGAACTCTGGCCCTAGTTCAGTCCTTCATTGACTACGTACTCTTGAGCAGTTGTTAAATTTCTCATAAGATGTTTATTTCGGTCAACATGCACTAACCTCCTACTATGTGCAAAGCACTGTTCTGGGTGTTTGGTATACAACGTAGAGCAAGAAAAATAAGTCTATTGGAGCTTAACTTCCAGCAGGAAAGACAGACCATGATAATGTAAACAAATCAATAATATTCACAATTCAGATGACAATAAATCCTATGAAGGAAATAAAACAGGTCAATGTGATAGAAAAAGACATGGCCTGGGGACCTTAACTGCAAGAATCTGCAAAGGCCCTCTGAGGAAGTGACATGTGATCCAAACCTAAGTGACAAGAAGGGGTAGGTCATGTGAAGGCAGAGAACAGATCATAGCAAGTGCAGACCCCTTGGGGAGGCACTGGGCCAGGCTTGTCTAAAGAACAGAAAGGCAAGAATAGCCAGAGGAAGTAAAAAAAGAAAAAAAATCCTTTGTCCAACCTTGCTAAAGAATGTTATAAGAATGAATGAAAAAAGATGGGGACATCCTTAAAAGTAATGTAAAGCAGTCCACAAAGTAAAATGAATTAATAGAACCTGCTTATTTTACATGAAAGAACTCCTATTTTCTGCATTGTATCTTTAGGAAAGTCCACAATTAGAATATCTTTCATCCATATATCTCAAAACATAATTTTTAGTGCAAGAGAGAATTGTCTAACCCCTTCATCTTCCAGATCGGAAGACAAAGGCACTGACTTACCCAAGTCCCTGTCAGTGACCTTCCAGGACCCAGCCTATCAGGCAAGGGTGGCCTTCTACATTAACTGCTTGGAAGCAAGGCTTCCCACTTCTTTTCTTGAGATGACTTATTTCACTACAAGAAATTTGCAATATAGGCATAATGAACCATTTGCCCAAGGCTTAATATAAAGAATTAGTGCCATTAGCACCATGGAGATAAGAATTTGAAGTCTCAACATCCAGGCCTGACTCTAGACTCACCTCTTACAGGTTTTTCAATCTTGGACAAGTCAAGTTAACTCTCCAGGCCTCATGTTCTGCATTTAAAATTTAAGGATAATAAAAACACCTTCCATCCCTATATTATAGGATTGCTGAAAGAATCAAATATGCTGATATACACAAAAGTCTGTGGAAACTGTAAAGCACAAAACAAATATCATTACCCTTGTCATTTGTTTTTGTGCATAGGCTCTGTTTAGGTCATTGACTCTGCACTACTGCCAGCATTCTACCATGTTGCACAATTACCATTACCTTGGATAAGGCTTGGGGTATCTTTCTATTTTGTGAGTTAAAGAAATTGCATCTAAGGAGCTCCACGGACACTTGATGATTTATGAAATCTGCCTCATGAATATACTTCTCATTGATTTCCTTCCTTTTCTTCTGATTTCCTGCAGTGGAAGAAGCAACCCCAGATTATAATGGAAATACCTCCTGGATAAAGATCCATGAGAAAGATTCTGCTAAAAACAAGCTGTGGCACTTTGAGCAAGTCTCTAACCATTCCACTACCACAGTATGTTTTCAATCCCAAAATGTGCAGGGCACTTCTTATCTGTCCCCCAAAACATGCAAAATATCTCATAAATGTTGATATCCTTGAGTTCATGGAGCAATTTCAAATCCATTATTTTATTTGATCCCTTTAGTAACTTTGGGAAAAGTGAGAACAGGGATAAGAAAGGCAAATTTATATGGGAGAAAATAAACCTTTTGGGGTTATGTGCCTAGTCCAAATTCCCAGAAATCTAGATATTCAGACTTCAGTTCAGTGATCCTTGACGTTTACTAAGCCTCTTCCAGTGAGGATCTAGTGATGATAAATATACACACCTACTACGTACCCCCAAAAATTAATTTTTAAGAAAATGGGGTCATGGATATAAATACTATTAGGGCTTCCCAGTGGTAAGATATAATTATCACAAGGACAAGATCACCCTGGCATGCTGTCTTCCTCTGCCCGTTTCTATTCCCTGACCAGTTAGTGGTGTATGCCCACCGCGAATACAAGCTGGGGGAAGTTCCAGACTGACCTAGACATATTTGCAACCCCCAGGATTCCTGGAAAAGCAGACAATGGGCTTCTATCAATCCCTGTGGGTTGACTGAGTTTAGCCTGAAAGATTATCTAGTTCTCTCCATTGGAACCATCCCAGGTTTTTTAAGAGAGAAGCCCCCCTCTGGAGTCCCAACAGGGGGAAAAACAACACACCCCACCTAGATGATTTCCATACAGCCAGGAAACTTTCCTTGCTGGAGCACTCTTGACAGGGCTTTCTTCATCTTTCCTCCTGGCTTTTCTTTCCTTCCTCTATGAGGTAAATAAATACTTTAAGAAGAAAGTTGTGAGCTCTTTTGTTCTTTCTAATCTACATATTAGAATCAAAAGTCTATATTTTTCCCCAAAACCAGTCATGTTGGCTACGTAGCAAAAAATACATTTCTTTTTGGAAAAAAAAAAAAGAGTTTATTTTACATGTTGTAAATACCAGGAAATCCTTATCAGGGTGTGAAAGTTCAGATCTTGTTTTTCCTTTCATTCCCTTTCTCTCTCCTTAACGTGGAGAAAGAAGAAAACATATCTACAAATCTCTCTTTATAGTGGAATCCCTTCTTTCTACCCATGTCCTGCTGGAAGCAGTGTGCCTCTTAAGTGGCTTCTGATGTTCTGGTTGAGGTCGTTCTGCATTCCTAACAGCTACTTCATTTTCCCTAATCCCCAGACCAGAAGGGAATAATGCAATACCCAAGATAAGTAGGCTTGGTTTTCTGACATCCTTCTAGCAAAGGACATTTTATAACAAACTCAAAACGTTAAGGGTTGCAAATAGTGAGAGTTGTGTTTGATTTAAACAGTATTACAGTCCCTTAAGTCATAGAATCACAAAAACCAGTGATTAACAGGCTTTCTCTGGCCTGACTTCTTCATTTTACACTTCAAGTAACAGGGTATCAAGAAACTGCAGCTTGGCTCCATTTGCTCAGCTTCTCAAGGGCAGACATGGGAAGAGAACCCAGGTTCCTAGTTCAGTTTTTTGCATTGTGGTACCATCCTCTCTAACACATGGGTTCAAAATCTGGGAAACTTTAATGGAAAAATTCTTTCAAGAGGGGAATCTATGAGGGATTACACATTTCTTCATTCATTCATTCCTCAAACATTGATTAGGCATTTTTTATGCCTGGAACTGTGTTAGGCAATAGGGATACATAAATGAAAATGATGTGGACCTCTCCCTGAGATATAGAGAGAGACAGAGGTGGGGGTGGGGGGGAGAGGGAGAGAGAGAGAGAGACAGAGACAGAGAGAGAGAGAGAGAGAGAGAGCGGTGCAAAGAAGCACAACAGCTCTATTCTGTTGCTTTGGTGATAAGAGGTTACATTAAAAAATATCATGGTGGGAGTTATGCCAATCAGAATACCATGTGTGAAATCTTCCCTGTCTCTAAGAATTTTAGTTAAGTGGGCATATCCTTGCATAGCCACCCTCAATGCTCTATAATCCATTCTCTGCACAGGAGCCAGAACAATCATCTCAAGAAGCAACTAAGGTCATTTCATTCCCTCGCTTAAATTCTTCAATGATTTTCCATTGTTCATGGGAAAAATTCCAGAGTTCCTCAGAGGGTTGGGAAGACCCCTACCTAACATGCACTCCTTCATACCCTGTACCCTGTTCCTACCTGCCTCGCCAGCCCAGCAGCCTGCCCACTTGCCTTGCTTGACCCAGGCCTGACATATTGGTCCTTGTCAGTTTCCCCAAAGCACTGGATTTACCCTTGCCTTAGGGTCATTTGAATAAGCTGTTCCCCTTCTCTGGAACTCTTTCCCCCGCCAGCCAGATTTCTCATCACTCTGTTCTAACTCCTGTTCACCTAGCTGACTCGTCATCATTCTTCAGCTCTGAGCTTGGACACCACATCTTTAGGGAGCTCCATGACCCCCAATACCAAGTGACAGCCCCTCTGGGTGCTGCCACAGTATGCTGGTCCCTCTGCCTTACATTCAACAGCTTTATTATATTGCCTTGTTAAGGTCTCTATTCCTCAGTAGACCATAACTATGAGGGCAACTATTATTTTGGCTTTGTTCCCTGTAAGGCTGGGGTCTAGTACAGAGCTTGGCAATCAGCCAGTTTTCCAAAAACATTTGTTGATTGACTGGATAAACGAATATATGAAGGTGTGTCCATGGGCATCTCAAATGGGGAATGCCACAAAACCATGACTTGGATGAAAAAGTTCCAGCGTGAACTTGATCTGTCAGTTTTGGAACTCAAGAACAAATGAGCATGTCCTAAAGTAAGGAAAAGCTGACCCCTTCAATGGAAACAAATATTTACGATTTATTATCCTAAAAAGTGGCTAAGGTCCATTAAAATCTTAGGTACCCAAGGGATGAAAGAGATACAGAAATGATAGCTCCAAAATGAGAAGTGTGTTATTCAGAGGGGCAGGATCAGGAAGAGGAGTCAGGGCTCAGGGCTCCTCAAAGCCCAGCTGTATGTTTCCTTCATTTGTAAAATATTAGGAAAAGGCAGGGGAAGAGAGGCTGATTTCTGGAACCTTGGGGATTTGGGGCACAATACAGTCTCCTACAACACATGCCTCCTTGCAAGAGTTGGAGGAGCAGGGCTTGTCTGTTTTTTGTCTCCGAACACCCAGATGACTGCACAGTTGGGTACAGGTCGTGCTGGGAGCAGGCAAGCTGTGAGTTCCCACTCCCAAACAAGGAGGGAACTCTCTTAAGTAGTCCCAAAGTGTTGGCGGGAAAGTGCAGAGTGTGTGTGAGTGTGCACATGCGTGTGTGTGTGCATGCGTGTGTGCGTGCGTGTGTGTGTGCGTGCGTGTGTGTGTGTGTGTGTTCGGGGCTGCAATTTAAACTTTATTAGACTATTAAGACAAGGGAAGAAAACACAACCGCAGAGGAACAGAAGGCAGCAGGCAGGAGGGAAATGTGACTTCTGAGGTTGATGCAGCAGAGCAGAGGGGTAAGAAGCTAGAAAAGGAAGACAATTAAGGAGCCTCCCCTTACAGAGGGTGGATCAGCTCACACATAGACTCCAAGCGTGTCAGAGTTTTCTCAAGGCCTCCCTTTGCACAAAGTCTTCGACAGTTAGCCAGAGGCAGCCTAGGTAAGCCACCTTTCTCTCTCCCTCTCCTCTCTTTTTCCCTCTCGCTCTCCCTTTCTCTCTTCCTCATCCTCTCCTGCCAACTGTTTGTCCCCAGTGTAACCACGGACAGGCCATTATTGTTATAAAAGAAAAAGAAACTGCAAGACTCACCCTAGCCACAAAAGGAACCTCATACATGCTGAAGCAGTTTATATATGTTGACATCTGTACTGCATGACATGTGTTTCTTGCACTCCTAAAACCTCTACTCCTGGTTTGGAGAGAGTACTATGCTCTATCAGAGGCGAGTATTCTCTTGCTCTAAGCAATTTTGTGAAGGCTCAATGCATGGTCCTCAGCCTTCCAATACCCGCACCAAGTGCAAGGCTCTGAAGATGATGATGCAGTGTATATGAGAAGAAAACAGAAGCATCACACATACCCTGCCTCTCTGACAAGGCTGTGATTTTCTCCCGGTGGATATCTGGAAACCCAGCCTCCTCTAACCTGTCTAGTGACTCTCTGAAGTCACAAAAGCAACATTGTCCAGTCCTGTCTTAAGGAAGATTAAACTGCATTTAACAACCCAGGAAAGGTAATGATCTCACTACAAAATCAACACACGGCGGTGGCCAGAGGCTGCTCCAACCATTGCTCAGTGACCACCCAACACCTCAGGGTTTAACCAGCCATTTATCCTTCTCCTTCCACCCGGCTGCTCAGCTCGCAGCTCGAAGGCTCTGACCCAGTGACACCACCCCACACTGCGCAGGATTAAATGCTCTGGGGCTGAGTAAATAGACCTTGGCAGGCAGTTTCCTGCAGGGGCTTCAGGGGAGAGATCCCTGGTCTGCCCCAGCCCTTGGGTTACAATGACAAGTTCCATAATTCTCCACTCCATGGAAGCCTTCCGCAGGCTCCTCACTCCTCCTCTGAGCTAGGCTGAAAGAGACAGGAACAGATGCAAAAAAGGAAGGGGCCAAACACTAAGTAGAATCTTTGAAGAGTACTAGAAAAGAGTCACTTAGTGGAAAACTATAGTGCCTTACCACTGAATTGGCCAACTTAAGAAAATTACATTTTGACCCCAGAAAAGGTAGAACAGAGGCTTTTTGTTTGTTTGTGTTCTTAGTAAAAACCATAATGAGATCAAGAAAATCAGATGATAAAAATCAACAATATGTAGGATTTGGTACTTGACAGTTCTTTAGGAAAATGTTATGCAAGTGACATCAAAGCCTCACTGATAAAGCTTTTGATGAACTTCTTAACCCTAAGTCCAAGTTTACAAAATACCCCGAATAAAACTCAGAGAAAAAATGGTGAGTGATTAGGTGACCCCCCTCTAGCTCCAGGTTTTTGAGAATAGGCCCCCCTAGGCTGAGAATAAGAGGGGGATGGGAAGGAGGGACTGTTCTCTACTCCAGAGGATCTTACGTTTTTGACTCTCAGACGAACAGGACCAGCAAGTGGGTTTCATACAAGGCCAGCTCAGTATCAATGCCTCCAGACTTGAGCCAAATGAAACAACTCAAGTCTTGGCACTGGCTCTTTCAGGGAGAAGAGAGGGAGGGGGCCCAGGCAGATAAAGACGCTTTAGAGAACACGCCAGCCCATCCCACAGCCCATCCACACACACAAGAAGCTTGATTTTCATGCCCCAGGGAATCTGTCAGTGAAATTCCAGAAATTTGCTTAGAGATTGTAAATAGAACAGTCGGGTTCAGAAATGGGAAGGCGGCTCCCCGTCTCTGCTTTTGCACAGAAAGTACTAATCAGTGCCATTCTGATCCAATAGACAAATAAAGTGCTTGAGAAATCAGACTTTTATCATTGGCCCCAAAATGGGCCTATTTCAGCTTGTCAGAAGTTGTGTGAAAGTCAGATTTTGAATTTGGATTTCCTCTTTTGGCCTGTTTTTATCAGACTACAGAGGCAGTGCCAAATATGAACTGATACGGAGCCCAGAGCAACATGCATCCCTGCTTTCCTCCTTGACGGGTGTCCAGGAACCTCCTGTGTCCTCAGTTTGCCTGCATAGAAGCCTGGGGAAAGGGTGGTGATGTCTGCTCTGAAGGGGTGAGCAGAACAGCCAGAGATATACAGGTGCAACTCTATCCACCAGATGAGGGGATGGCAGCCCCAGGACATACGCGGAATGGTGCCGGGCCAGGAACCAGTCAGGTCCACACAGGAGCATGCATAACTGTGACATTCAAAATGACAGCCACAATCTAACAGTTAATGCTGATGGAGAGATTACTAAGTGCTAGGGGTTGACTCTGAGTTTCAGAGAAAGACTGAGTTGAGTGTATAACCCAGTTCTGCCACTTAGAATGGTGAGATAGTGGCCAAGTAATTTAACTTTTATTTTTTTGAGATGGAGTTATGCTATGTTGACCAGGCTGGATTCAAATTCCTGGGTTCAAGGGATCCTCCTGCCTCAGCCTCCCGAGTAGCTGGGACCACAGGTGTACACCACCATGTCCAGCTAATTTTTTAATTTTTTGTAGACACGGGGGTCTCACTATGTTGTGCAGGTTGGTCTCAACCTTCTGGCTTCAAGGGATCCTCCTGTCTTGGCCTCCCAAAATGCTGGGATTACAGGCATGAGCCACCACACCTGGCCTACCTTATTTTATTGCCCACATTTTGGCCTCTAAAGCATCTCTGCCTTCCTCATCTGAGTTAATCCTCTCCACCTCCTGGGAGGTAGCCTAAGGGAAAACTCTTCTCCCTATTCTCCCAGTGTGGAAACTGAGTCACCCAGCGACAAAGTAGGAGCAGAATGCCCAGGACAAGACCTCAAGCCCTGCTGATCCTACACGAAGTATTAACCTCTATTAACTGATCAGCATCAGAGATGGGCATCTGTGAACACATGTGTGCTCCATAGGAACACCTAAGCCCTAAATTTCCTAGGATATTATCTCCCTGGGGCATTATTATTTAAGGTGTTTTATATTTCTTTACTATTTTTTTGTGGCTAAAAGATTAAAAGGCAAGACTTCTTTAGGCATAAAGGATAAGCCCAAATGGCACAGCTCAAGTGATGAATACAGGGAATTAGAGGGAAAGAGGAAAGCTTCTTAACACACACTTTCCAATTGCCCTGGAGCCCAGGAGCTTAAATATTTACCATGAAATTTCCTGTCCCTGTGCTTTTGGGGAGTTTTTAACTTGCTAGATGGAGTCTTATCCAGACAGTTCCACCTCACGGTGTCACTAAATGAAATGAGAGGAGATTCTGTCTGGTTTTGAAATCATATTTTCTTTGGCCTTTTAGAAAAAAAACAATCTAGCCTGGGTTTAAATCGGCATCCATATGGGCTGTGCTATGGAGCGAAAAGAGGGCTCTATAGCCTGATGTCAATCAGGAACAGTAAAATATGAGCCCTAGGGGTTGGGTGCGCGGTGGAGCCCTGGAAGAAGGTGGGGGGAAGAAAATACCAGGGGAGAAAGTATCCTAAAGAAAAGTGCTTCTTGCTTGACATTCAGGCCTCAACTGCCTGTCCACAGTACCTTCATGATGGGTACCTTTTCATAATACCCTCCCTCTCACCTGCCAGGGCAGCTACACACAGATAGCCACACCTCCGGACTTCATAGGAGATGAGAGAGAAATACAAGTCAATTACAACTACGTTAAAACGGCTCTGTCCATTGAACATTGAAGGGCAATTAAGGGATAGAGACAGGATAGGGCCATTCAGAAAAGAAAACATGATCCCATTTGGACAGTTTATGTAGAGATCAAAGTGCAAAGAAAGTGGCTTGAGCAGGGATCTGCTTCTCTGGACCACAAATCCATCATGTATCTATGATCTATGCAGGCAATGAGTGAGACGGCCCTTAAGGTCTCTTCCAGCTCAGGTAGTCTTTAATCTCGTTATTCTAAATCCAGTCTCTATGACTCACTGTTTTTTAGTGTTGGACAACGAAAAAAAAAAAAAAATGGTGCTCTCTACACTTGGAAATTCCTAAACTGACCTAAACATGAAAAGTACGCTCCATCCTAATCACCTGAATTGAGTGAAGGAATTAAGAGGTAAAACAAAAAACTATAGAAAAAAAACAAATTAGAAAGTAAGGAGACAAAATTATATTTTATTCATTTCTTGAAAACAACACTATGGAGGAAGTGATGGTAGGGAAAAAGAAAAAGAAAAAAAAGTAGCCAGAACTGAAGTACTGAATTCTTACAGGAACTCAGTGAGAAAGAGAAAAGATTCTAGACTTCATAAACCTTATGTTACTTCCCTGGAAACCTTCCTGCCTTCCCAGGCTATGTTACTGTAGCATCTTCTACATCCTGCTAACTGCAGGTATCACATAGAAATATCCATGTTGACTGAGTTAACTGTCTCTCCCAGAAGATGGTGAACACCTTGAGGACAAGGAGAACATCTTATTCAACTTTGTCAGTGTAGGACCTTGCCCAGAGCCTCTATAAAGTAACTGACCAAAAAATATTTTGAATCAATGAGCCATGAAACTATACCCCCAATAGCAATTTAAAGAAAAAAGGATCCAGGACACAGGCTAAAGGTTTTGATTTCTGGTGAGACCTTTAGTAGCAATGCAAGGTGCATTGATTTGAAGGTATCAGCATTTTCATAGTTTTCATCAGCATTTTCAAGAAAGTTAAAAAAAAATTCTAAATTTACCTCTAGGAACCTTTCCATTAGCCTAGCTCCAAAGCATTATATCAAATTTGAAGTGCTCTGACTAAGGAAAAAGAAAAAGGAAAAAAAAAAAACACCAAGTAAAAGCATAGAATCTCAGGAATCTATTGCTAAACTCCTAGAGACCTGTAACTCACTCAAATTGAGAGGGTACAGTCATTTGTCTCAATGAGGGTCGACAGTATATGCTCTGGGATCAGGTGACCCAGGTTCAAATCCTGGCTAGGACCCTTCCAGACTGTATAACTATTTTCGGGCTGAGGTTGAAGAATATTTTCCAGAGTGTCTGTAGAAGAGTTAGATTAGATTACTCACAAGTGACCTCCAACTCTGAGTTTTCATAATCCCATGTGCTCGCACCCTATCCACAAATCATCTACTGCCAGGTCACATTCTACATGACAACTCTTGCCAGTCTCCTCTACACGTCCTACTTGTGATCACCACCTATAGCAGTGATCCATCAGAGGATGCTCATGCTAGGAGGGATAAAGATCCAAGATGGGTCATCAGCATGTCTTTGCATTTATTTTATAAGATGCATATATCTAAGCCTCCTACACCCACACACCCCCACACTCACACCCACACACACACACACCCACACACACATACACACTCAAACACATATACTCTCTCCTGAAGGGTACTTCCAAGGATCAAGGTCAGAAATGTATGTTTCAATAAAGTTCCTCAGATGGAACAATTTTCTATGGCTTCGCCCCTCACTCTGACTGAGACTCTCCTGACTGTGCCAGGATCCATGCGTACATCAAAAGAGGCAGTAAAACCTGTCCTAATTTTAAGATTAAAATCTTCAAAGTCACAGGGTCAGCTCATAGTAAACCAAACAAATTTCTAGGAGGAATTGGTGTATAAATCTTGGGCCTCCCTTCCTCTTTCTCACATTGTCCTCAATAACTATAATCTACCACTGGCTCAAACTTTTGTTTTCAATCTGATTGAATGGCCATGTTGTCCCCAGGCACCTATAAGTGGTTGTGGTAGGAAACTAGAAGTATGTTAACATGTCACCTAGGAGCTATGCCTTTTACCTCACCATGCCATGCCAAAAGAGGACATACAGTCAGAGAGGGGGAAGAAAGACACACACACACACACACACACACACACACACATAAACAGAGAGAGACAGAGAGAGAGAGAGAGAGAGAGAGAGAGAGGCTGGTTGAGATTAATACTTGGAACCTAAGGTATGAACCTACTTTTATCACATTCTCTTCGGCTAGCCTGAGATATTCTGCAGGCCCCCAGTGGTTGGACTGGGTTTTTGTTTACTTGTTTGTTTGTTTTGGTTTGGGTGTTATTTTCCATCAGTTGGGAATACACACTTAAAGAGTGGAACTCTAATATCCCACTACCACTTCTCTATATTCTAGGAGCAAGAAGACAGTTTGTTTCTATTGACGTTGCAAAAATGTGTTAAAAACATAACTTCAATGCTCTGTTGTGAAGAAGAGGGGAGGGAGGTGCCCAGCAGACCCCACAGTTCTCTGGAGTCAGCTCTGCAGTGTCTCCTGGGGTTCCTCTTTACCTGCTTTCCTTGTGCTTGTCTGTGAGCCAAGCTTGCTATGATTCCTTTGGGGCCATGTCTGTAACTAAGGCCCACTGGTAGGTTTCAAAGCTACAGAGCACTCCCTCCATGGCCATCCCTCAGTTCCAGGAAGATCACTCACAGCACATGATACATCAGGAGAGAAAAACTGTGCATGCCCACTAATAGATAGTGCAGAGATCTAGGGCACCTTAGTGTATATGCTATGCTTCCTCTATGGACTGTCTATACATTTATTTTTTTAATTACTGTAGATTTTAGATGGATAATTATGAACCCTTATTCAATAGGAGTAGGTGGGAGAGGAAGATAAGGTAAGCAGCAACAATCCATTCAAGGATCCACATGAACAAAGCGTCTTTGGTCTTCAATGAATACCAAGAAAGTAAAAGGAATTTAAAGACCAAATTACCTTTGCTAGATATTTCTATACAAAAAGGCACAGTTCATACCTCCAAAAATCCAACTGAATTATGAAAATATGAATAGAATAAAAGATTCTTTCAGGTAGAAGACGCTTAAGGAGGAATCATGTTAAGATCTAACATGTTTTGAGGGTCTACACTCTGCCAGGGATTATTCCAGGAATTTCTATATTGATTACTATATTTAATTCTCAGAATGTTCCCCACGAATCCCATTAAACAGATGAGAAAACTGAGGTGCAGAAACATTAAGAAACCTGGGTAAGGTTATCTGGTAGTATCTAGTGGAGCTGGATTCAAACCAGTTCAGTCCAAGTGCAAAGCTCAAAGCTTAAGCACGGCACATAATTACTTGGGAGGATGACCAAGAACAGACGCATCACTCTGCTGAAGAGTGGAATTTTCCTTTAGCCCTGGGGTTACGCTCTTATGAAAATACCCCCAGGATCTGAAGAAGCCTCAGAGCCAAGAATGTTCCTCTCCCTGACGGGCACCAGCATTCCCAGGGATGCGGTTCCCAGTCCCTGCTGGGCCAGGGCAGGACTCCAAAGGAGGGGATGCGTTCTCCAGCCAGTGCAGGAGGCCTAGCCCTGTGCTCTCCAGGCAGATGTGGGTCCTCGAGGTGTTTTCTTTCCTTTTTCTTATTTAAAGAAAAAACAAAACTCTACACACTCCCCACATGTGAAATGGCGCTCGCACTGCTGCCAGACAATAATTTTACAGTCACACGATGACCCTTGAGCAAAGAAAAGAGGAAAAGCCTGCACCCCACCCAATCCAAGCCCAGGAGAGTCAACCTTTGGAAAAGCCCAGGTCACAGAAGATCAAACTCACATGCTGAGGAACAACAGGAGGTGGGGAGGCTGGGGCGGGGGAGAGGATGGGGAAAGAGGAAGCATAAAGTTTAAAGGTCAAAACAAATGTCAACCTAACACCAGTACTGTATGAACAGCACACAGCCTCACTGCTAGACAAATAAATGCTGCCGGGGAGGCAAGGTATCAAGAGGTTTTATTAACTCTCTTCCTGGAATCGTACACATAGGAAGTCTGTTCCATCATATAAGCTGCAAAGCACAATATTTATCCCTTGGGGGGGAAATCATGGAGCTGATATTGAATCTACAATACAGAGTTTCTCCTCCATTCCCTTCCCAGCCAGCCTCTGTTCTTGCTGCACCTCCAGGGGCCTGTGAGCAGGAAATACCCACGTTGATTTTGATAAGAGTGGAAAGGGCTGCATGCTGATGAGAATTCAGGGCACAACCCTGCCTCCACCTTCTGCTCTTTCCCAGGCATAACGTGGTCCCTCTGAGCCCAAGGGAGGCCCGAGATGAATGGCATCCACATGTCCTCCTCACCGTGGGTGTCTCTGACCCTGTGTCCAGTTCTGTGGGGATCCCAACTCTGTCTTAGGGACTTACATAAAAAATGTCCTTTTGCAGAGCCCAAAGCAGTTAAAGAGAAATCACTGGATGGATGGTCTGGGCCTGGCCCCTTTGCAGGGTCTTTTGGATGAGCTCTCTGCCTATTCTCATTGTGCTTGTTATGTTAGCTGCTCATCTAACAGTTTCACCCTCAGAAACTCTGGTGAGGGTCCTCTTTCAGTAACGGGACCTGACACCACCTGTGCACCCATGCACCATCTAGACCAGGTAGACGAAACCACACCAGCCTCTGTGAGGGCTCACAAAGACACTTAATTGCAGAAGTCCCAGAATTCTCACTCTCAATCCTACCATCCAAAGAATGCTCTAGACTGTCCCTAACTCCTAGTAGATCCTGAAGTTTCACCCTCAGAAGTTCTGCATCAGTAGATCTGGAGTGGATCCTGGGAATCTGTATTTATGAAAAATTCCCAGGTAATTCTGATGCAGCCAGCAACCCCAACAGCAGGCTGAAAATGAGTGACATAGGCTATCAGAGATCATGGTATTGGCCTCCCTGCAAGGTGAAATCAATAGTCTAGAGTGGGCAGCTCAATATGCAGCAGGCCACTGTGATGGCCATGATGAACCTCACATGACCCAGAACCCTCATTCTAAGGGCCACACAGTTCTCTATATTGCCTTCCGGTGACAATCCTGGGTCTGGAGTCACACCTCCACCTTCTGTTCTCAGGCATTCTCTGATTCCAAGAATGCCTTCTGGAATCCAACTTTTCTTGCTCCCACCCTACTGTCAGGAAATATTTGACTCTACATTCTAGTGCATAATGCCTCCCACACTTTCTGATAAGATTTGGTTTACTGAGCTCCCAGACATCTGTATAGTTATCACCTACAATTGAAGACTTTTAAAGGAATGGCGCTAAATCTTTTGTGGGCTGTTCCTGAACAATTAAGGCTGAAAAATGTTTTGCTCTGGCAAGTGTGAAAACAAAAACAAAAACAAAAACAGGGTGAGATATTTGTCATGAAACATCCAAGTGCAATAGATGAAAACACGAATCCACTGCATATCCCAAGGACACTTCAAAAATACCAAAATTCTAGACTAAAAGGATAAATCAAAGGTGAAAATAGATAAAATAGGTTAAAAATAAACCAAATAAAGGAGGTGAACTTGGAAGATGTTTGATGTCTAACTGATCAAGAGCCACAGAAGTAAGGACATTAACCCACCATCTCACCCAGGATCAGCCTCAGGCAAACCAAGGAGGTGCTGTTTTCTTCCAGGCTCCCAGCCAATACTCAGCACGTTTTACTTATGGCTCTATGCTCTCTCTCATCCAAACATGCTAGCCATAGGGTCCTTATTCTCTTTTCAATTGCTTCCACAGAAACTCTTCTCATTAACATATCAGTTATCAGTCATTAATATTTCAGTTCGAATAGAAATCAGTATTATCTCTCCTGTAGAATTTGCATTCTGTGTTTGATTTCTCAAAAGAGCTGGGAGGAGGGGAAAGAGGAAATGGAAAGCAGCGTTTTCCTCTTCCTTTTGAAAGAATTTCAGGATCCACTAGGAGTCAGGGACAGCCTAGGGCTTTCTTTAGATGGTTCAGTTGAGAGTGAGAATTTGAGGATTTCTGGAATTGTCTTTGTGAGGCCACACAGCAGCTGGTGTGCCTTCATGTACATGGTCTAGATGGCACATGGGTACACAGGTGCTGTCGGTCTCGATGCTAAAAGATGACCCTCAGCACAGCAGCATATGTATGTGAGTGGCTGAAGATGCCAGCAAGACTCTGCCTTTTCCCTCCATGGCCACAGAAAGGTGGCACTTCATGAACTTCTATATAGCATAATAGTGGTTGTGCATGTGACTTCCTTTTTTGTTTGTATTTGATTTCCTTATAAGAATAGTTATGGGAAAGAATAAAGCTTTGAATTCTCTACTCTCCATTCTCAACAAGTAGATACAGAAATACACACTCAATACTCACTTCTGGACCCTGAAATGCACCTAACATAGAAGAAAAGAAGAAAGAATTTAGACAATCAGAATGTATTGGAGAACTTGGCTTAAGCCAAGGCAATCTAAATAGGTATCTTTTAATGGACACATTCCTAAGAAATCATCATTCAGTAAGAGCAGAGATAAACAGCACATTCTGAAAGGAACTTCTTGTGGTCTGAAAAAAATATCAGGACTTTTGTATTTTGAACCTTTTGCTCCCAAGGGACTTGCATTTGTTAGAACCAATACTAAAGAGTAAAGACTTGTTTCAGGCTAAGTCCAAAGCTTCCCGAGGTTGAGCTACCATGGAAAGAAATAAAAAATGGCATCAAGACGTAAAAAGGGACATGTGTTAAGTAGAAATTCTCTACCCAGATTCCCATGGAAAGTCCAACTGCTGGGACCCTTGAATTCATTGTAGATGAGAGTTCCTTTTCTGGACCAACCACCAAACCAAAAGCAAGCCCCAGCACCCTCTCCAGCCTCCTTGGTTCAGCCCTGAGCAGTTAGCTGACCCTTCATCTTGTTTTTTTCTCCTCTCTTCCCTGCCATTTTAGTGTACCTCCCACCTCTGTTACTGAAGAAAAACCACAAGCAGGTATGTTATACCCAACAGGTCCCACTGTCCAACTCTTTTCAGAGGGCTGTTGCAGAGACAAAAGAGTCTATCTGCCCATATTCCACTCTATCACCCACTGTGGGTATACGGAAAACAACTGCAGAGCAAGCAGTCTTTGTCTTCTTATGAGGGTTTCCAGGAGGTTTTCTTGAGCAACCAAGGGCAACTGTCAAAATAACAAAGTCTTTAGTGAAACAGATCTCCGTATATACTTTATGAGGTTTGCAACAATTCAGGAATTGTAGGTTTCTTGTGTAATTCATTGTCTGATATGGTTAAGCAATGATCATTATAAATCCACTAATGGGAAGCTCAAATCCTTTTAGAAGGAAAAGAACAAAACACCCGGTAATCACCAAAAATCTTGGTGAATATGAAAAAAACCTCAGCTAGTCTTGACAGATCCTTAATGGAACAACTTGTATTGTAACCAACCCAATTCCTCCAAAAGTAGAGAAACATTAATTGAAGAATTAAACTGAATAAAGAAATCTGAAAACATTTACACCTTATCCTAAGCTCTGCCACACACGACATACATACCAGACACATACCACACACACACACATACACACACATACACCATGAAAGCATTTAATAAGGTTTTAAGTATCTGTGTATGTGTCTTTCAAAATATTTTTAGAGAAAACTTCACTGGAGATCCCAATATGTAACATAAATGAAAAGCAGAGCTTGTATGGTTAGAGTGGGGTCAGAAGAACAGATTCCTCTCACTTAACAATCTCTTGGCAATCAACATTGGACTTTGAAGCATCAAAACCTCCCAAATCACACCTTAAAGACCACCAGCCCAGACTCTACAAGATCTTACATTACTAACAACAGGTGCCCCTACTGTGCTCCTATACAGAGACACCAAAGTGAAAGACGCATGAATCTTGATTCCAAGGAGCTCAGTCTATTACGGGAAAGAAAAGTCATCAGAATTTTCTAACCATTAGAACAAGTAATGTGATAGAGGCAGTCACAGGATGCTATGGGCTTCCAATGTTCATCCTACCAATAGTTCTCAGGACACTGTTTCAAAATGGACTATCCTTTATCAGCTTCCTAACTTTGAGGCAGAAGATTGGGTGCTGAGAAAACGAGTATATCAAAGGCTTGTTTGAGAAAGACTCTATGAAACGTCTATTTCGTTTTATTCCCACTTAATATCTACGCTGTAAATAAGTGATGATGTCAAACATTTAAAGACATAAGAATAACATAATTTTCACATGATATCAAACAGCATACATCTCCCCCAGGATTATAATGCTGCAGATGGGATGGTGGTGGCCTATGTTGACCCTAATCACAAACATGAAGCTAATAACGCATATCACATTTAATGCAATTTACTAACCTGTTTAATCTTTTTTTACAAGTATTTCATATAACCATCTTAAGGAGGTAAGGAGTTCCTAAGCTGAATACCAATTTGGTGAGTTGAATTTGCTGACATCCTTTCCTTTGCTGAACTAGAAACTTTTAAGTTCAAGACCCAAGTCACAGGTGGTGACTCCTCTGAGAATAGTTTTCTAATAAGTTGGTCTGTGCCCAGATAACTCAATTTACTCCCACATAACCTGTGGAGTCCTTAATAGCTGCAGGATTGTGTTTTTCTTTGTAGTAATGGATGCCATTATTTTGGGGAATGAAAGAAAACACTCACACTAGTAAGAAGGGAAAGGAATAAAGGACTGTAGAACCTTGGGAAGGAGGACAATGGCCATGCAGATGAGCGCATCATCTGTGCTTGGACATCCCCAGGAGAGGGAGATGACTACTTCCTGTGGGAGCTCATTCCTCTTGGACAGCCTTTTTAAATTTTTATTTGCAAATACAAATTTTCTTAAGTTGATACAAAGTTTTTCTTCCTGTCACTCCTACCTATTGTTTCTAAATTTGCTCTGTGAAACCACAATGAAAGGAAATTCTCCCCCTTCCATGGGACAGACCTTCATGGGGTCTTACAGATTGCCCTCCAGTGATCTCATCACTTTATTCCCCAGCACTCTGAGGGACTATAATAGATCCATACTCAAAGATATAAGTTTTTAGAGATTATTACCATTTCATTTTACATTTTTGAAATTGCATAAAATACACATAAGATAAAATTTATCATCTTAATCACTTTTTTTTTCAGAGACAGGGTCTTGCTATGTTGCCTTGGCAGGCCTTGAACTTTGAGCTCAACTAATCCTCCTGCCTCAGCCTCATAAGTAGCTGTTACTACAGGCACCCACTACCACCCATGGCTCATTTTCAACCACTTTTAAGTGTATAATCAGTAGTATTAAGTACATTCACATTGTTACGCAACCATCACCACCATCCATCCACAGAACTCTTTTCATTGTGCAAAACTGGAAGTCTATATACGTTAAAAGAAGAACCCCTCCTTCCCTTCTATCACCCACCCCCTGAAACCACTATTCTATTCTGTCTCTATAAATGTGACTACTCTAGATACTTGTATAGATGGAATTGTACAGTGTTTGTTCTTTTGTTCTCATTTCACTTCATATAATGTCCTCAAGTCTCATCCATGTTGTAGCATGCATTCAAATTTCCTTCCTTTTTAAGGCTAAATAATGTTCCATATCATCATTCCAATTTACAGACCTGAAAAATCAAGACTACAAGAAGTTAAGAGCTTTCCTAAGGTCACACAACCAGAACTGAAGCCAAGCCCCATGACCCGTTGTCCACTGCCGGACCATGTATCATGCTCTATTTTCCATATGTCCTGTATTTCAATGTGGACTGAAACTGAACAGTAAGCCTCCTTTACCAACTTTCCCTAGGCAAAGAGCTTATCTTGTTCTTGGAAGCAATTCCACACACACACACCCCAGAATGGGAAGTACCTTTCAGATAGAAGTGAGTTTAAAAAGCTTAGAGATTGCAACTCTCAAGATCCAAGCACTGGCAGAGGAACTAGGTGAGGAAGCCTGTGGATTTAGTCCTACTACAGGCTGGCTAATAAACACCACTTCCTTAAGTATAACTCTAATTACTATTATAATCATTTACTCTGTTCCTTTTGAGGGGCAGCATACTGCAAAGCCCCTTTTCTTTTCTTATGCTGGAACTTGAGTTCTTGTCATAGGTAGTAGGAAGAGGGAGATGCTTCATGGGTGCTTGTTTGTTTTTAATTCTTCCTTTTACTTTCACTCTGGATGTGTGTTGCTCTCCCTCTCCTGCTGAGAAATAGGGAAAGGCATAGTAGAGTGTAACCGGAGTAGAGCTCAGTCATTCCTCACAGCTATTACTGCTTAATAAAGAATAGCACTTCTGCAAGGGATGAGGTTACTGTCATTGGGGCATGATTAATAATGATTAATTTGATCTGTGCCAACATAAACTGGATCCGCCATTCACTAAATAATTATTCCGTAGCCTGGATACCATTTCCACAGGGCTCAGAGAAGTTGCTGGCCATTTATCACATTAAAACAAAACAAAAAACCTACATAAACAAGAGAAGATAAAATTAGAAACCATCACCAAAATAAAACCAAATGCCTTCATATCCACCCACAAAATGCCTGCTTAAAGCTGGAAACAACAATAACAACAAAACCCTCGTGTCGCTATCTTGTTCCAAAGAGAGAGAAACAAAACCAATGGGAAAACTTCTTTCCTTCTGCAAGGAAAGAAGAGGAACCAAATCTGCTTTTTTTTTTTCCTACAGAGGGAAAGGTACATCTACCTACTCAATTGATCTTCACTTCTATCTTATAGGCAAGATATCAGCACCCATTCAACACACAAGGAAAGTGTGGTTTGTGAGCTCTAGGTGAATTTCGTAACACGGAGCTTGTTTGCGGCAAAACCTGGTCTCAACCCAAGGCTTCCAACTTAAGGGCTTTCCTTTGCTGTGGCCTTTAACAAAGTTCATCCTGGGCTAGATCCTAACCCTGACTGTCTCTTCTGAGTTCTATTTTTAGAGGGGATTACTTCACAAATCATTTTACAAATATTTGTTGAACATGCACTCTGTGCCAGGCACTATGTTCTAGGCACAAGGACACAATGTGAGCAGAGCAAAGTCCCTGCCCTCAAAAAGCTTCCACTCTAGCACAGCATGGCAGGTAATAAACAAATAAGCAAGTAAAATATGTAGTATGCATTTACAGATAAATGCTAAAAATAAGGCAGGTTAAGAACAGAGATGGCCGGGCGCGGTGGCTCACACCTGTAATCCCAGCACTTTGGGAGGCCAAGGCAGTCAGATCACAAGGTCAGGGAGCGAGGCCATCCTCACTAACATGGTGAAACCCCGTCTCTACTAAAAATACAAAAAATTAGCCAGGCATGGTGGCAGGTGCCTGTAAGTCCCAGCTAATCAGGAGGCTGAGGCAGGAGAATTGCTTGAACCCAGGAGGCGGAGCTTGCAATGAGCCGAGATCGCACCACTGCACTCCAGCCTGGGTGACAGAGCAAGGCTCTGCCAAGAAGAAGAAGAAGAAAGAAGAAGAACGAAGAAAGAAGAAGAAAGAAGGAAGAAGAAGAAGAAGGAGGACAGCCAACAACAACAACAACAGAGGTAGTTAGAAGGGGAGAGATCTGTGAGTTTTTACAGGATAGTCAGGAGAAACATCATGGATAACGAATGGATACATAAGCAGAGGAATCAGGGGCAAGTACTGCAGGTGTCTGGGGGAGAATCTTACAGGCAGAAGAAATGGCAAAAGCCAAGTGCTTGAGACAGATTTTGGTTTAGAGTATTCAGTAAGGTGGAACACAGTGAAACAAGGCCAACAGCTAACGGACCAGGTCATGCAGGACTCCGCAGGCCATTGCCAAGAGTTCACTTTTGCACAAAATGAAATGGGGAGCCATGGGAGGGTTTGGAGCACAGGAGCATCCTAATTTGACTGATGGTTTAAATGATTACTCTAGCTACTATGTGGAAAACACAACGGATATTAGTTTGGAGTCCAGCTGTTAGGTCCAGGGTATAGATAAACATTTGGTGTTCTATGTGTGTAAATGATATTTAATGCCATGAGAAAGGACAGAGAAGAGAAGAGGGTGGAGAACTGAGCCCTGAGGCACTCCAATGTTTAGAGGTCAGGGAGATAAAGAGGGACCAGCAAAGGATTCAGAAAAGGAACAACCAGTGAGCTATGGAGAGAATAAAGAGCGGTGTCCCAGAAGCCAAGGGAAACATATTTTAAAAAGGAGGAAAGGATTAATATGTCAAATGAGACTGTGAGGTCAGTCAGTAATTAATGTTATCAGAAGCGTAGGGATATCTCTCCAAAGATTATTTAAATTTTGGCTTTCAGCATAATTAGAAGAGTACCGGAGAAAGCGTTTCATAGCTTTAAATGACCATTGCCATTTACTATCTCTCTTGAGTTTCCAAAATGTTCACAGTGGGAGTTTAGAGAGTCAATACAGTAAACATCAACTGCAAACAACGCAGCTCCATGCTGTGGCTGGTGGTGCTTCCTTTCACCAGACACGCAAACACCTTGATGTCAATTGCCTCTCTGTTTCTCACCACATGCCAGGAAGCCTAGAGGGAGTGATCAGTTTACCTTTTCTTATTGTAGAGGTGAAGACACCGGGACACGAATTTGAATTATTTCCTTCGATTCTATGCCACATTGGTTTGTACCATTAACATATCCCCTCTGCCCATCAAAGTTTGACTTCCATGACCTTGCATTTAACGTCTTCTATGACCTACTATTTCATAACTTCAACTATTTACTCCAGCCTCTGTAGTTACTCATTGTTCCCTCAACACCTGGAATGATGTTTTACTTATGGACTGGCATGCTTCCCTCCCTATCTCTATTTAATTTTTAGGCCCAGTTAAATTCATCAGTGAAGACTTCTGTAAATGAGGTCTCTTCAAAGTCTAGAATAATTTCTGTCTTGTCTTTGTGCTGCTCATATAGCACTTATTATATACATATTAGTGTTTGCCTCCTGCTAATGATATCTTTTGGATGACAGGCACTAAATCTTTACCAAGTCTTTATTCTATGTAATACTTGACACCATGCCTTACACCAAATAAATACTCTGTTACTATTTAGAGAATGAATGAATAACTCATAAAAAGAATGATCTAACTTAAGAGCTAAAAGCAAGTCAATAGTTGAGTTCAGTTCAGGACCTTTAAATTCTGACACTTAGATTCACTTTAGAAATGGCTGTTCCTTTTTCTGCCAATGCTAATCATTGATGGTGACGGAACTGTTAAATATACTTTGAAGGACTTGGCTTTTTCACCCCAGACATGGGCTTGCATTGCCTTTCCTTCCCTGGGTACCACTCCCACATTCCCAGCCTCAATGGGAAACTCTTGACCCATATCTGTTTGAAAAATAATTACATCTTCCCTTTCTGCTTCACAATATACCCTGTCAACCATTGAGATAATACTATATAGTAAACAAGAGACAAGTCAATGGTTATCTGCTCTAAGCACTGCGTGCTTAGAACTATGCTAGCACCACTCCCACCTCTACCTCCATACCTGGGACACAGAAAAGAATGGACAAATACCTCTAGCTTTACATGTACTTGAAGATCTGAACAAAATGTAAACCTGTATGTGCAACTTGCTTAATGGGTTGTACAGTCCAGATAACAATATCTTAAGAACTCAGGGCCTAGGGTAATACCAAGAACAGGCTGCTGTCAAGGAAGAGCTCCTGAAGAGGTGTGTTCTGGGCTGGGCCTAAAGAACTGGAAGAATTTGCTAGAGTGATAACTCCAGGGAGAGCACTCCAGAACTGGGAAAAGAAGTCAGGAAAGCCTGAAGCAGGAAAAAGAAAAAAAAAAAAGTGTTTAGAAGCTTGGTAGAACTGTCAATTGGCCAAAGGGAGAGGTAAACCTTGAAAGACCAGTCTGGCCAGCTGGCCCAGTTCATTACATAACGGTCCTAATATAGCACCCTCTGTGCATTTAGATGGCCAGGGTCAGCCAGGGTACAACAATGGGGCCAGGTCATGCACAAAGACCTACCACGAGTCACAAGTCATGGAAGGACCACTGGAGCAGGAGTCAGAAGGCCTGAGTCCAGGCCCTGGCTCGGACATCAAAAAACCTATAAACAAGGCAACTGATTTCTCCTTGCCTTGATTTTCTCCCCTTAGCAGGAAAAAGGAAAGAAAAACAATTGTTCTGCCTAATTCCTTTGGTTATCACGAGGCTCATATACAACAATGATTACCAAAGGTCCATTCAAAAGCAATATGTGTATGGCATAAATCTCTAACAAAAATATAGTAGGTTGTCTTAAGAAATACACTGACATAACAACATAGATCCAATAAGAGCACTGTAATCTATGGCTGCCCTTACTCAAGAGGACATTCTCTTGATAAGGAACTGTAGTCAATTCTTCAGGATTAGTAGGGTGCTGTAAAGAATGTTAGGATCAACATGGACTGATCTAGCTGTGCTATGATCTATCATGTATGACCCTGGGCAAGCTTTGTAAGCTTGCTAACCCTCAGTTTTTATTTAGTTTTATTTATCAGTAAAATTAAAATGTGGGAGAGGGGACCAGTAAAGGTTGGCCAATGGGTACAAAGTTATAGTCAGATAGAAAGAATAAGTTGTGGTATTCTATTACACTGTAGGGTGATTATAGCAAATAACAATGAAGTGTATAGTTCAAGATAGCTAGAAAAGAAAATTTTGAATGCTGTCACCAGAAATGATAAATGTTTAATGTAATGTATATGGTAATTACCTCAATTTGATCATTACACTACATATATATCCATTGAAAACCCACATTATACCCTAGAAATACGTAAAATTATTATGTCAATTATAAATTTTTTAAAAATAAATAAAACATGCTTTAAAAATAAATAAAGTAGCACGGCTGATTTTGTGGTGAGAATTAAAGATGACCTCAATGTAAAAGTTCTAAGTCAATCTCTGGTACACAGTAGATACAAATGTTGTAACCATTTTTATAATCATTTCAATATGAAAGACATTATGGGCAACAGATACTATGTCACATTAATCAGCCATATGCAAAGGATTGAAATGTCTTTGATATCATAAACATAACTTAAATCTTATTTAAGATTCCTTCCTTCTTTTTGTATGTCCTTTATTTCTCAAACTGAAGATGGCATGGTGGAAATCACCATTCGATGCTATTTAAATATATTTTACTGCGAGTTAAAAAACAGTATATACACCTCCCTCTATTTCCATACCCATCTTATAAAAAAATCAAATTCTAGGTCTAGTGATTGCAAAATAACTGAAAAATGTATTGTTATCGCACACTACACTTGAAATTTGAATTTGATTTTGTGCTTCTGTCATGTTTGGATTGGCAGGGGCTAGAGAGAAGAGAGAAGGAAAAGGAAAGAGGAGGTGTGTCAGCCAGAATGGTTCTGAATAAGCATTTAAACTTAAAGGTAATAAAATGCACTGGGCTTCAGTCAAAGCCTCACTCCTTCCTTTGATGACAGAAATAAGGTCAGTTGACCAAGATTTCAGATTTGGCTTTTGCTGGCCACTGCTGCATTGAGATCTTGGGTAACCAAGGCAGAACTGGGCTTCTAAACAGGTCCTGGCTGATAATTTATAGGTTAAGCTGAGCATCTTCAAGTACAGACACATTTCAGGCCTCTGCAGTGCACCCACGTAAACCAGCTTCCTCCCTTCCCCATCCAGAGAGAGATGTCTGAGACCTGATGAGAGGAGGCCTCTATCTCAACAAGGAAGTAGTGAGAAGTTAAAGGTGAAAATATTCTATATGGCCACCTTTAAAATAAGGTCTGTTTCAGCAACAGTGTTTACCAAGCTAAGCAAAGGTCTGATAGGAAATGGAACCACCAGTCAGGGACATGTATTACCCTAGTACTGTTACAGCTATTGTAACAAGAGCCTCCACCACCACAACTCCTGACAATGCTCAGCTGAGAAGGAGCCCAGGTTCTCCACAAGCATGCAGGCCAGAAGTTCCCAACCTGGCCACACATACAAATCACCTGGGGAGCTTGAAAGAAATACCTAAAAATCACCTCTTGATTTTCTGGTTTAATTGGTACAGGATAGGATGCAGACGTCAGTTTTTTGGAGTTTTTTGGTTGCTGCTTTTAAAATTTCCTAGTGATTCCAACATGCAGCCAGAATTGAGAACTAAAATCTAGTTTAAAGCCATTGCATACAGCACAGGAATGTGAGGCTCAAAGATTTGCCATGAGTGACTTGCCTAACATCATAAAATGTGCTAGATTAGTTCTTCAATCAAATTGCCTTTCTCTCATTGTCCAATATCTTTGCAATATTTCAGGGAAATCTTTTTATTTTAGACTGAATTATAAAGCTTCTCTCCCCAGCTCACCCCACACACACTGTTTGGGGAACTGAAACTCTGTAAGGCTAAGATGGAGGAGGGAACTGAAAGGTGAAACTAACTTTAAATAGGAACGAAACTGACAAGAGTCAGCTCAAAGGCCAAAAGAGGAGAAATGAAGCAAATGAAAACAATCCACCTCACTGAGAAAAGCCAGTTAGACCCGGAAAGCTCTTTCAGTTTAGATAATTTAAGGTTTCAGGGAGGGATTATGCTTTACATGTTGAACGTATCACCTTCGCAGGAAAGCTTCGCAGACGCCACAATTCTTGGGGGCAACTGCAGAGCCATAAAGGTCTGCTGATTGAAAACATACCTCCTGATATAAAACAGGAAGACAGTGCTCACGGCTCATGGACCACTATGGGTAAAATCGAGAGGCTGCCACCATCCCATGCCCTGTAAAAGCACATCTAACCCCCACAGCAGCACATTTTGATAACTGAAATATTTTCCCCTTGCCACATCACAAAAAAACTGACTCACCAATTATGAACTAAGGGAATAAAAATGATGGTTCTCCAATTTGGAAGAGCCCACATTTAGATTTTCTCATGGAGAAACGTGTTATTTAGAGAGACTAGTTTTGAAGAGAGTTTGGGTGTAGACCACGGGCCAGCATCACACACATACAGCATCTGTGGTGGTCCCTGCAGACGTCCCAGGGACGCATGGGGGGCTTTTCCATCAATGGACAATGGAAGAAATGCTCCTTAATCCAAGTTGGTATTTTCTGATGTGGAAAACATAGGTGGGAATCCAGGTCCGTCATTTCTCACAAGACCATCCTAATGATCAAACCAGGAAAGAAAAAGAGGCAGTCAGGAGAACTAGATTGTCAAGGACATGCAATGGTTCATTGATGTGATTTATGAAATCAGCAGCAAGATCTTTTTAAAAATCTTTCAGGCCGGGCGTGGTGGCTCACGCCTGTAATCCCAGCACTTTGGGAGGTCAAGGCAGGTGGATCACGAGGTCAGGAGATCGAGACCATCCTGGCTAACACAGTGAAACCCCCTCTTTACTAAAAATACAAAAAATTAGCCGGGCGTGGTGGCAGGCCCCTGTAGTCCCAGCTACTCGGGAGGCTGAGGCAGGAGAATCGCCTCAACCCGGGAGGCAGAGCTTGCAGTGAGCTGAGATCGCACCACTGCACTCCAGCCTGGGCAACAGAGCGAGACTCCGTCTCAAAAAAAAAAAAAAAATTCTTTCAGCTCTGTGACTTCTGGAGTCTCAAGATTTAAGGTCCTGAGATCTATTCTCAGCTGTTTTATTTGCTCCAAGGAAAGTGCCAATTAGTAAAGAAAATGATCTCAGAACAGATTTATTTGATCAAACTTCTTAATTTGGCTAAAGCTCAGGAGTGTGTGTGTACTCTCAGTCTATGAGCTCTGGGGTGTCCTGACATCAGCGGCTGCCTCAGTAATCTATGTCCAGACTAACCTCTCCCTGCATCGGTGGCAAAATTAGAGCTGTACGCTACACGGATAATAGATGGGACGGATGGAAGCTGGGATTTCCCTGTTCTCCCTCCTGATAAGAGAGTCCTCCACCCCGCCTCAACCTTAGTACTCGCTGAGACAATGTATAAGAGACTCATCTCCAACTAGAAATGGAACGGTCAGAAACACATCTCTCTAACAAACATAAATGATGTACCTGGGATGTCTTGGGACTTAGACTTTCCTCATTATTATCCTTTGACACATTTTGAATTGTGATAGGTTTAGCAACAAATTAATGTTACTTGATCTACACAGCACTGTGTTATTTATGCATTGCTTCCTATAATACTTTCAAACAGAGTTCTTAAGAGTCTGGACTCAGGAGTCAGGATTAAATCTCGGTGGTGTGAAATTGAGACAAGTCGTTTAATCTCTCTAAATCTCCAATTTCATTATCTGCTAAATATTTCCGTCAGATTTGTTAGGAAGATTAAATAAGATAGTACAGATGAAGCACACAGTAGGGAGGCACATAGTAAGTGTTGAGTAAATGTTCACTATTGCTACTAACATAATGTTCTTTAGACCTTACAATAATGCAATCCAGTTAACTGTAGTGGAGGCTGGCCGGGGATACAGAGCACTCAAATTCAGGCATATATAAGTGTATGCGTGTGTTCATGCATCCTTGGCTATAGGTGGCTAGTGCGGATTGAATCTGTCTAGTCAGCGAGCATTAGCAGTGAGGCAGGCTCTACAGAATGCCATGCTTGCTATTCCCAGCAGGGGTAGAGCTGTATATGGACCACACAGATAGTTGGTAAACCACTAATGGAGACTAAGTGTATTTAATTCAGATCATACATTTTTCACGGACAAAAATGATCAGAGAGACTGATCTTGGCCTTAAAGCCAAATTCAGGGCAGAGGGGGAGTGGCCACTGAAGGGATTTTGGAAATAATCTCCAACCTTCCCCACTGCCCTAAATCACCTGATGCTGTTGACAATATCATAGGGGCTCATCCTAACAACTGTATCTTATCTTGGATGGCTGAGGAGTCAGATACGTGAACTAAATTATACAGCCGCTCTCCCCTACCAAAAAAAAAGAATTTAAAATGCTAAATCTGCCTTTTGTCAAATAAATTTAGAGTATCCATCTGCAGGGCACCAAAATGCCACATTTGTGAACCGGTAATGTCATTTTGAAAAATCAAGAAATCCACAAAACTGTTCCCTGGTGCTCTCCTAAGCATGTCCTCACCCCAGAGACAGCATGCCATTTATTCTCCCCACATAGAGGGGTGCCAAGTTCCAATTCACAGAGCAGCCCAGGAGAGCAAGCTCTCCTCCTGGGAAGCACTGAGAATGGCAAATTTTAAGGACAGAGGTTTATATGGAAAAAAGATACTACATCATTAAGGAGGTTAATGAGCTTAGCAAGGCAGAAGCCCTGAATGCTGAGGAGGGGAGGGAAGAGAAGGGAAAGGGGTGGTGTGAGAGACACATCCAAAGAATTGCTTCCATTCTTCAATGTCTGGTGTGGTCAGGAGGCACCCTCCTCATGGTGGTCATTGCAGCAGAAGGACAAGCACTCCCCGTGTGCCCTGGAGCCTGGCTTGTGGCTGGGCAGCAATCTGCCCTTTGCGTCCAGCCCTGGGCTCTCTGAGTGAAGGATGTACTTGACAGCACTGTGATCCCAGAAGGCTGTGTGAGAAACCAACTAGTTCAGTGTTTCTCAAAAGTGGTACCAGGGAAAATGTGTCCTACTTGAAAGTGTTCCATGATCAAATAAAGTTTGGGAAAAACCGCATAGCACTTCTCACATGTGGAGACTCACGAGGCACATTAGCAACATTAGCATGTGGAAGACCCTGAGAAACGCTTTATAATGAAAACTGTTTAACTTTTCTTTTTTTTTTTTTTTGACATGGAGTCTTACTCTGCCACCCAGGCTGGAGTACGGTGGCACGATTTCAGCTCAGTGCAACCTCTGCCTCCAGGGTTCAAGTGATTCCCCCTCCTCACCCTCCGGAGTAGCTGGGACTGCAGGCATGTGCCACCACAGCCAGCTAATGTTTTTTGTATTTTTAGTAGAGACGGGGTTTCACCATGTTAGCCAGGATGGTCTTGATCTCCTGACCTCGTGATCCACCTGTCTCGGCCTCCCAAAGTGCTGGGATTACAGGTGTGAGCCACCGCGCCCGGCCAATTTTGTTTTTTAATTGGAGAAAAGGAACACAAATTTTATTAACACGTACACAGAAGAACCACAGAGTGAGTACCCTGTTTAACTTTTTTTAACCAAGCTGTATTGGTTAGGATCTTCCAGAGAGACAGGACAAATGGGATATATATAAAATGGAACTTATTAAGGGGGAATTGGCTCACATGATTACAAACACAAAGTCCCAAGAGAGATCGTCTGCAAGCTGGAAAACCAGAGGAGCCACAAGCATGTCTCCCAGGGAACTAGTAGTGTGGCTCCCAAAGAGGCTCAGTCCAAGTCCAAAAGCCTCAGAACAAGAGAAGCCAATAGTGCATCCCCTAGCCTGAAGCCTAAGGCCTGGGAACACTCAGGAGGCTGCTGTAAGTTCCAGAGTCCAAAAGCCTACAAACCTGGAGTTTGATGTCTAAGGGCAGGAGGAAGAAAAAAAAAAAAAGGTGTCCCACTGCGAAGAGAGAAAACAAGAGGGAGCTGAGTATCTCTGTTCCTCCTCCTACTTTGTCCTAGCCCGCTCCCAGCTAATTGGATGATGCCTCACATTTACAGTGAGTCTTCCTCTCAGTCCACGGACTCATGTCTCAATATCCTCTGGAAACACCCTCAGACATGCCCAGAAACAATGTTTCACCAGCCATCTGGGCATCCCTCAATCCAATCAAGTTGACACCTAATATTAACCATCACACAAGCATCTGTAAAACTTTTTTAATCACTGAATTTCCTCCCTTCTCATTTTTTAATCTAACAACATTTCATTTTGGAAAACATTTTCTGAAAAGCTGTTTTGTCCAAGATCCTTCATTTTACAAAGTGTGAAATGGGTCTGAAGTTTTAGTAACCTGCAGAGGGTTAGAAACAAGTTAGTAGTTCATATCTTTCAGTGAGTTAAGGGCATAAGATAGTTTGGAGATAGATTCCAGAAATTTGGTCAAAATGCCAGGACAGAATAATGATTAGCAAATCAATACCAACCTATTGATTATTCTCTCCCAAGAGCACTAGGCTGAAGGAGTGTCTTTGACCCACTATGTTGGGGCTTTGGGTATACTAAATTCCAGACTCATTCCTGAGAGAGGATTTTAAGCGTAAACAGAATTCATCATCAAGCCCAGCAACAGATGCATGAAGGTGAGATGCAAGTCCAGTAGACAGAGAGCCAAAGAGAACCAGAGTGACAAAGTTCACACTGGTGTGGGTGACAGAGTCTAAATAATTTATTAAGCGGTTTAGATAAATTCTTGAGATGAAGCTCCATTCTCTTGACTGGGTATCTATATGGTCTCATGTGTTAATATGAGTATGTGGTACTTATTTTAAGAGGCCAAGACCACAGACATAAAGGGACTTCTCTATAAGAATGCTCCTGACTTTTAAACTTAACCCTGGCCTATTCTATGATTTCATCTAAGACATTTAAAAAAAATTCAAATCCACTGATGATACAAAATAGAAATAACCAAAATGATGGACAAACTACATCAAATTTGAAATAATCTCCACATTCTGGGATGCCAATCCAAAATCAACTTAGCATTAATGAAACTACTGAGGTTTAAGTTCTCATAAACACAGCCTAAGAAGACTAGGACCCTACATAAAGTACCCTACAGAAGTCTCACTGTGTTCTACATCTGGAGGAATAGGTTCTATTTTATTCATATTTAAGGTATATTTAAATATGACATGCATAAAGAGAGTAGCTCTCACTTAAGAAGGTTTACTAGGAATAACCTGCAGAGTGATTGGGAAACAGATTAAGACAGAGAGGCCTAAGGCACTGCATCCAAGTCATTTTCAAATACTGGGGAAGCTGTCTCATAGAACAGAGGATAGAACTGGTTTGTAGGGTTTTTAAGAAACTGAACAGAGGCGATCTATGGTGAATGCAAGGAGAGAGTATTACAGTGCAATATTAGAAATAACTTTGCATGAGTTTGAGCTGTCCACAAATGGTAGGTAGCCAGATGTCAAGCTACCTTCGAACAGCCAACTCTAACCAGACTTTGCCAGAATTAGGTGAGATGGCTTCAACTATGCCCCAAGAGTTATGCCATCCTTCTTCACCTTGTCTCTTCCAGATTCCTGACTTCCTTCCCATTCACGACTATGATTCAGTCTTTTTCCTTCCTCCCTCACCCTGCTGTCACTGGTCCACCACACACCACCTTTAGTGTTCCACTATTCTTTCCCTAGACACTTGACTTGATTTCCACCCATGTCAACATTCCGTACCTCCAACATGAAACTCATGCTCACCTAAAGCATTTCTGTCTGGGTCATTCATGGTCTTGGCAGGCATGGGATAGGGTGGCCAATGCCCATATGCCCAGAACTTGAGAAATGAATTTCCTTGGGTGTGGGAGACTGAAGCAATGGCCTAGAAAGGCTCCATAATGGTGTATTTCTATTATTTGTTTAGGTAGCACTACTTCTAATACACAAGTCTGTCAAAGGTTAGGCAAAGGCATTTCTACGACATTAAGTAACCCAGGCTATGTCTGTAGTTCCTATGCTTAGGACACCTGGGGGCCAGGCTCCTTAAAATGATGTTTCCCATGGATGAAGGAGTATTCTCATGCCAGCCTCCTAGGATCTGTCCGGATTATCATTCTGGGGTTTTATGATTCGTTGCACAAAATCCCCATTCTTCTGTGATGAACCCATGGTGGGTTCAAATTGGTCCCAACACAAGAGCAGCCTCAGTGGATTAGAGGTTCTGGCAGGAAACTGATCTATAAACTCATTAGTAGCTCATCTTTCTCTGTAGGGTTTTGGAAATAATCTACAAGCAAAGTGACCTCTTGATCTTTCAGAGAGGAACAGTAGAGAGAATATAGCAATGTAACATAAAAAAACCATAATTGTCCCAGCTTTCAGTAGCTTTGAGAAAGTTACTAATCCTCTCTAAGTCTTGGTTTCCTCATCTGTAGATTTGAGAAGTTGGAATCAGTAGTAATTTCTAATTTTTCTGGGTCACAGACCATCTTGAGAATTTGAAGAATGTTGTAAGCTCTTCCAAGAAAACACTTAAATGCACATATATACAAAATTGGGCATCCAATTCCAGAAGGTTAGAGGAGAACCTGAAGGCCACTTATGACTATTGACAATGATCTTGGAACCTAGGTCAAAGGCCCCATGGACCAGTCAGTGATAACTCTCTATGCTGCCTCCACTTCTCCATCTTATTTCCTACAAACCTTCTTTGTAAATGTGAGATTTTATTAAGTATTTTTCTGTTTTTGAGCCCCCAGTCAGTTACACAAGAGTTCTCATCATACCACATCCCTTAAAGTAACATATAAAATATATAAAATTTGTCCAGTATACTCATTTCTTTAGATGACATAGAGACAGCAATTGATAATCAGTCAAGTCCACAGTTGTTGCTGCTGGAGTGCAAAAACATGCTGCACATTTCCCTACTCAACTAAAGATTTCAATACCCACCAGCACTTCATTTAGGTCATTCCCCAAGAACTGCCACATTCCTTGAAGCGTTCCTGTTGCCTGCCTAGGTCTCTAACCATGACATATATACTTTCTACCTCAAGACCCACAGACAGCTATCTAGGTTCTCTGTTCATGAAGAAGATAGTCCTGGGCTCATCCCAGCACTGACCACCAATCAATGTAATGATCAATCATTCAAGAACCACTGGAGTCCTGCAGTGTCTCACTCTATAATTGGTAAATCACCTGGATTGGGCGGGTAATTCATTGAATACATAAAAATCAAATATACAAACGTGGATTGTTCTTTCACTTCTTCCATATTTTTTATTTTTTTCCCTGTATTTAAATGTTGTATCCTGCTTCTATAGACGTCATTGTGTTCTTCCAGAATCCGTATGTTGAAATCCATATGTTGAAAGGAGATGGTACCTTTGAGAGGTAGTCAAGGTGAGATGGCTAATAAAGGTTAGTGAAGCCTTTAGAGAAAGAATTAGTGGCTTTATAAGACGAGGAAGAGAAAGTCTCCACCATGTGAGGACACAATGAGAAGGCAGCTGCCTGTAAGCCAGGAAGAGAGCCCTCACCAAGAAGTGAATTGGCCAGCACCCTGATCTTGGACTTCCTAGCTACCAGAACTGTGAAAAATTTATGTCTATTTTTTAAGCCACTCAGTCTATGGTATATTGTTATAGCAGCCTGAGAAGACTAATACGCCTGCCTGGTTTCCAAATGTATTGAAGTTACCTTTATTAAGGATTTACTAAGAAAAAGAAAACTGTTTACACTTTGAGAAATACGAAAAAGCATAGTTCCTCCTTTCAAGTTTCTGGCATTATAACAAAAGAGAGAAGATATGAATGAAATTGCAAGAAACAAAATGACAAATAAAGGATAAATCAAATAACAATAAAACCTGCAAATAACTATAAATAGTAATAAAAATAGAAACCACAATTTCCATATGATTCATTGTCAAATAGTGGTAGAAAAAGAGAAAGGGGCATGGAAAGTAAAGAATGGACACAAATCAAATTAGGAACTCCTTGCCCTTGCTGATCTGATAACCTCTCTCATCTACTTTCTTACCTTCCAGCTCTCTGCTCTATCTCTCAAACTCTCTCAAAATCTTGTCGCTAGGTAAGCTGTGAAGGTCTTCCAGCTAAAGAATGTGAGTTTGTGAACTGTTCTCCTAGACTAGCAGTGGCTAGCTGTGGGGAACAGAAGGGTGAGGCTGATGTGGAAAGCATGTTTAACTCTCCCTTACCTTCCTGCTTCTTTCTCCTCCCTTGCCTACCCTTTTCACTGTCTACACATTCCATAAAAACAAACAAACAAAAAACTTTACTTTGCCATGTCCTGCAGGAGATAGTAAGTGCTAAATATAATGCTCTTCTGTCCATACCTCTCCATGACCCCCAAATACCAGGCTGACCCTTGTGCACTTAAGTTTGCTCATACTGCTTCCCACTCCATCAGCCTCATCATAACCACAGCCCATAACCTCAAGGCCCAGCACAAATCTCACTTGCCCCAAAGAGCCACGTCCTACTCAACTGGCCCACAGTGGTCTCCTATCTTTTTATATTTATAACACAGACTGTCAGTACCCTACACACTTTGCATCTTAGCTAGTTTTGTTCTTAAAATCTTTCATAACTTGATATTTTTTATGACCTAGCTAAGCCTATTGAGAGCAGGGGTCATGTCTTCCCTTCCCTTATATTCTCTACAAAGCAGAACTCTGAAAGAGCAGTGAAATGGAGATAGGAAACCCGGAAGAAGTCTGGTGGTGTCTGGCATGATTAAATGCCAACTCAGGTGGCCAAATGCCTTCAAAACATCCATCGGATGACTGCCATACTTGGACCCTAAAACATCTCCCAAGTTTGTCCAATGATTTAAGTTCCAGAACCCAAATCTAATTTAAATTGGTTCCCAATTGTTACGGACAGATGTTTGTGTCTCCCCCAAAATTCATGTTAACACCCTAACCCCCAGTGTGATGATATTAGGAGGTGGGGCCTTTGGGAGGTAACTGGGTGTAGATGAGGTCAGGAGGGTAGAGCCCTCATAATAGAGTTAGTGTTTTTATAAGAAAATGAAGAAACAGCAGAGCTTCCCCTCTCTGCCCTGTGAGGCTATAGCTAGAAGGCAGCCATCCACAAACCAGAAAGAGGGCCTTCACCAGGAACTGAATCTATCTACTGCCACCTTGAATGTAGACTTCCCAACCTCCAGAACTGTGGGAAATACATGTCTGTTGTTAAAGCCAGCCAGTCTATGATATTTTGTTATAGCAGCCCAAGTTGACTAATACACCAGTATTTTACTTCTCCTATCAATAAACCAGTTTCTCCGAAGTCCTCTTTGGCAATTAAGCCCAGAGCTAGACATTCCCCATCACACCTCCCTCTTGCCTTCCCACTTGAAATCTTTCCTGTTCTTCAAGCCTTAACTCAATCTTGCATCATTTATGAGTCCTTCACTTTCTATCCCACCCTGCTCCCACCCAGCCATCCTTCTTCATTGTGAGCTCAAAGCAACAACTGTCAGTACCACTCATTGGATGCTTCACCATGCATTGGCATATCAGAGAAGTCAGAAAACAACAAGTGAATGAACACATATGGCTGTAACAACTCTGGATAATTTAACTTTCATTTTTATTTACCTTTTGTATTACTACCATATCCCATGATTATAGGATGCACAATTTTTTACTTCTAACTTCTTTGAAACTGTCTTGTAGTTTATGATATCTTAGATTTGGTGAGAGATGGTATTTTAATTTTCATATGTATGTCTGTATGCAACAAACCGCAAGCTCTTTTAAAAAAGGACCCACATGTTGCAGATCAATTTTCTCTCACTTGCCTAGCAAAGATGCTGTGCACAGTATCAGTCCTTCATACTTTCTTGCTAAAAGAAGAAATTGCTTCCCTGGAATCCAGGGAAAAGCTCCATCTCCCAGGGTCTGGGTTTCCTAATTGTTGCCTTTCTCCCGAAAAAGAATGGCACAGGCAGAAAGCAGCCAGACTTGAGTGTGTCCAGTGATGAGGGAGCTTCATCCTTGGTCCTTTCTCTCCCACAATATTCTAGAATTCTAGAATTGGAGGCACACTCTGGTTCCACTGTAATTTTTCTCTCTGAAGGCCAGAGTATCACTTGCATCTCTGCGCCTCACCTTCTCTTTTATAAAATGGGTCCAATTATTAACTCCCCAACGAGGGGTAATGAATGTAACAGAACTAAAGGATGATATCTTATAAGTGCTGCAGAGGAGGTCATAAGTATGATTATGCATCTGCCTTGGGAGAGTGTTGCTTTGAGTGATGGAAAGGGGGAAGAAGGCTTGGAGATCCTAAGTTGCTGCTCTTTGTAGATAATGTGCATTAATGCCTCCCCTTAAGCTTGCCCCTCTCATAACTACCCCAGAAATCACTCTGCTGACAAGCAGGCAAGCCTCTGTGGTCATGGAGATTACAACAGAGTAGAAATGATGCAGACAGCCAGCAGAGTGTTCTGCAGCAGCCCCTGGGAGACTTTTGCTTACCACCTCTCTTCACCTGTCTGCGAGTCAACTTGTGTGTCCTGCCACATCCCCACAGAGAATGTGCAAATATGTCTCGTTGCATGATCCATCCTGCATTTCCCAATAAATAACAGACACAATCTAAGTTGCCAAAAGCCGCTTATCTGAGACTGATCTTTATGTCTGGATCTGAGGTCCAGAAATACCAAGCCAATGAGACAGAAGCTAAGTGGACACTATTCCCTTTACCTGCATTGCTCCTGGGATGTGCATGCACAAGCACGCACATGGTGCCTGCACACGCACAACCCTCCTTTCAAGGGGCATCTCAAGCAGTCTTGGATTGAGTTCATGATATCAACTGACCCACTGCATAAAGCATGACCTCTTGAGCTACTTGAAGTTTGACCACGATCAGGAATTGTCCTGAAGTTTTGTTAGGAAAAGCAGTGAGACTGAAGCTGATAAAACTATCATGTTCTGCTCTTCCCCAGGCTTGTGTGCTCTCCTCTTCCTCCTCTGGAAAAGTAAACCAATGTTCTTGTTTGCTCTCCTTATTTTCTTTGCCTCTCTAGGCCTACATGTCTAAACATTTCTTCCTAAGTAAATAGGAAACAGAGAGATCATCTTTTATACTAACTCTGAGAAATATATTTGCACCCCTTCTTCTTGTTAGGGCATGAGGATCCTTGAGAGCAGTGAAATGGCTTCCTTCCTTCCTTCCTTCCCATCCTTCCTTTCCATCCTTTCCATCCTTCCTTCCTTTCTTCTATCTTTCCCTCCATTTCTTCCTCTAGTGGGAGGGGAGCAGGAGGAGTGACACTCAATGGAGTTGGTGTTTCAGGATGCTTCCTTCTCCAGAGTCCTGTACTCCAGTGCAGTCAGGGTACTGCCAGCCTCCCCACCCCACTCAGCCTCCCAAGGCAGAAGCATAGATCCATGCAGCATCTTTACAAATACAACCTGACCTATGCTCTCTGCCAGGGAGGCTGTCTCTACATAAGAATCAGAACTAGGAGTGCAGTCTAGGGATAGCTGATCTCCTAGATATCAGCTTGTGACCTAATAAATTTGTGAAACAACATAAACTCAACCACACTTGAAGATCTGTGATGCTTATTAACATTAAAGGCTTTGAGACATCCTACTGCAAAGACATCAGATTAGCTTTGTTGAACCAGTTGTTTCCCAATGTTTCTTGCTCAGAGAATTTTTTTGACCTCTAACACCTCTTAACATTCTGAATAACTGAGTTACACAGACTGCATATTGTAAAATACTGACTTTCATATTTCTCATGGGAAATGTAGGAAACAGACAGAGGCATCAGCGTACTTAATCTCACACATGCACAACAATGTGGAGCAGTGCATAAAAAGTAGAGCAAGCTCTGGATTGGGAGGCCAGGATGTCTGGGTTAAAGCTCCTCCCTGCCATTCTCGAGCTGTGTGGCCTGGGCCAGCACCTCTCCTTTCTAGAATTATTTTCACTCTTAATAAAAGGAGAATTTTTTTTTTCTTCTGAGGATTTCTAATGCTCTTTTCAGTTCCCTTTTCCTGGGATGCTGAATGACTCTAGTCCTTACTGTAACACCTCCTGGAGCAGGTCCCAGAAGTGTGAGCCTATAGTTGTTCTAAATATAAACTTTAAAAAGCTCATGAGATTGTTAACCCACATGAAGGAGAACCAAGAGCAAAACCCCTGGGGGTCATGAAGGTATCCCTGAAAGGATGCATGGGGAAGAAGCAGGACCTTGGAGACCTGGTCATCACCTGTAGAAGCCTCAGAGTAGATATGATTGATGCTGGAGTCACCAGGAACCTCCATTCACATGCAGCTTCCCTAAGTGCTTGCAGCACAGCATTAAACAGCAGCCAAGGCTGGGGCTGGCATGTGACTAACTGTTGGGCCAAGGTCTATCTCTGGCCATCAGACACTATATAAAAACATGAGGCTGGTTCAATATAACTTAGGTGCCGTATGCATCCATAGCACACCCTACCTGTTCCTCACCTTTACCTGAAGACAGTGCTTACACACTCAGAAACAATATGCAGAATCGTCTCCAATCACATGTGCACGTAGCTTTCCTATTGTCCTCACGGCCATACCAGACCACAGACTCCATGTTGGCACAGACCCCACCCGCTTGTTCTTTACTGTGTCCCATGCATGATATTAATTGCCACTCCCTTAATATGTGAGGAATAAATGATTATTTCTAAACTGATAGTTCCTGATTGTTAAGAGTCAGAATATACATTAATCCACAAGTTCATCAAACATCTATTAAATGCCTTGCATGTTCTGAGCACTAAGCTAAACATTATGGGGGAACAAAGAGATATTCCAACTCAGACGCCACTCCCCAAATATCACATTTGATAACCCCTGTGTGAACTTGATTCTGTTAAAAACATATCATCCTACTTTTCTTACCACCTCCCCCTTAAAAAATATGTTCTTTTTCCTGTATTCTCCATTTTGGAACATGGCCTGAAGGCAACCACTCACTGGATCACCTAAAAAACACAGTAATATTCATCATGATTATTTATCACCATCACTTATTGAGTGCTTATTATGTGCCAAGCTAGCAACGCTATGACTATTGTACTATCATGTATCCTATTTTACAGAAATGTGGGCATCATTACAGATCCACTCCTTTCTCTCCAACTCCTTACATCCAGTGATTCTCAAAGGCAGTCCCACTACATAAATGTCTTCCCTTTCCACCTCTGTCATCTCTCCTATGACGCCCCATATTTTAATCACTATTCTTGCTTGAACTATTACAGCCACCTTCTAAATGGTCATCTGCCTGACTGACAACATAGACACCTTCAAGACATCCCAACAGAAATGGCAGAGTGGCAGAGTGACCCCTCTACCCTGCATATTTGACCACATCTCCCTGCCCCAATTCAAGCTCTCTCTTCACTCCTGGGTGTGTGTGTGCCTTCCAGATCAAGGAAGGGTGCCAGAGAAGGGATGGTCACCACTACACTGGACACTCAAGTTCTATGAAATAATTTTGCTCACCCCGCCTCTTACCAACTACCTTGAACATCAAAACAATCCTGCACCACCTCCTCCAGGAGCCTTCCCTGATGGCCCTTCTCCCTCCAAGGCTTCCTCCTGCTCCCTCCTTTGATGCTCACTTAGCACTTCCAAGGCTCCATGGCCCTAGTCTCCTTATTGACTCCCCATTTTGAGATCCTCAGGACAAGACAGAGTCTGAACCCTGCCTCCCCAGTGCCTGGCAAGGTTGAGCACAAGCTCGTTTCCTGTTGCTTCTGGCTGTATTTTTCACTGAATAATGCTTTACAAAATTGTTAGAGAGTAATAGGACACTCTCTTTTCTATTTTTGTCATAGCTTTGAAATACTGTAATATTTCAAGAAATACAGGCATGCCTTCCTTCTATCAAAAATAATGCTCTTATTTTTTTCTGGTGAAGAAACTGGGTCTTTGAGACATCAAGTGACTGACCCAAGGTCACACAATGAATCAAGGACAGAACTGAGGCTGCGATCTTGGTCATCAGCCCCTAGCCCCGCAGCGTTTTTCCACCTGCTCCCTACCTCAGCTCAGGGCCCTCTATTAAAAAGAAACACACCAAAAGAATACACATGGGTGTATGTGTATGTGTGTATATACATACCTAGGTGTACATACACAAGTATATAATATGAATATACACGAATGATTATAAATCTACCTTAAGCATTTAAAGAAAGGGGTGGGGGCTCTGAGAGCTTCACAAGGAGAAGAGATTCTACCCAAAAGGGGGCCGGGCAGGGCGTCGCAGCAGCCGCAGCACAACAGACAGCTGGTGTTTGGGTGGTAGTAAATCACGCTGAAATGAGCCTCTTCCGTGGGCTCAATGAGGCCCCCACAACAAAGGGAGGCCCAGCTTGCAGCCGGACAGCCTGCCCGCCAGCCCCAGACGCGCATAACAGCTTCATTCAGGAGCCCCACGTCCACACAAAGGCCCCGAAATCAATCCGACATCCCGCCACCCTGGACAATGCCCTGAATCTTCTCAGAATCGAAGCCTCGAATGAGGGGACAGCATTCAGGGGAGATCAAACCGCCGGCCTGCCACTGAAAGCAAGCACGAAGAAAGCGTTTTTTTTTTTGTTTTTTTTTTTTTAAGAGGAGGGTTGGACGATGCAGGCGACTCTCCCTGCGCTCCGGCGCGCGTGGTGGCTGTGCTTCGGCTCCCACAGCCAGGGCCACACTCATGCAAAGACTGCGTTTGGCCCGGCTTCCAGCAGTCGTCGCGCCAGGCGCTGCTGCGAGAGACTGGGTGCGCGACATTCGCCAGCCAGGGCCACCGTGCCGCTTGGCCTTGGGGCTTTGTGCAGCAGTGCCCCGTGTGAACTGCCACCGCCGGCATTTCCCACTGGCTCTTGGGCGCGTACAGTAGGGCGCACACACATGCAAATGCCCTGCAGGAGGCAGCGGCTTAGGGTGTTGACAGTGGCAGCCCTCACGCCAGGCCAGGGAGCCCCTGTTCCCAGGCAGGGCCCCTCAGGGTACTCATCTGCCCCATTCTGCTGCCTAATCCGGTTATCAGCTGCAGAACAACGGGTTGCCTGGTGGAGCTGGGGAGGCCCCTGCAGGGAAGGGGGGAGCAGGCGTGCAGCTCCAGCAGATGAGCCTGGATTGTATTCTCCTTTCCTAGGGTAATTGTTAAGGCTTCTGGTCTCTTCCAGTCCCCAGAGACCCAGGAGCCTGAGACTCAACGCTGCACTGGGTCACAGCTTTTCCTGGATGTCAGAAATCCACCTGCTCTCTGAGAGTGGGGGTTCGCCAGCAATGGCAGAGTGGAAATGTTCAGGGGTGTAGCAGGCAGTATTTCGCTGATCTGTGGGAATGGCACACCAATGAGACCAAGGCATGTGCCATTATATGTGGCCAGAATCTCTCCAGAAACTCCAGCTAATGTAGCCTTAAATTTGACATTCTTGGCAGTCACCATGAAGGTTAAATACATTTTGGTTGAAAACAAAAGGCTTCTGCTAGAGGGCCATTCAGTGACATCTTTACACTCACTTCTCCGAGATCCTGCCTGCACTTTTCCAAGTATGCAAAGGGAGCAGACAATGGCAGCAGGGTGAGGTGTGGCTATGTTGGGCAGCTGTCCATGGGTAGAGCAGAATAAAATCGAAACAAAAGGTGCATCAAACCAAGTCAGACAACTAGTAGAAAAAAAGAGGTAGGTTAAATGGGGGCTAGTCTTCCCTTGACCCCTAATTTTAGCCACAGAGCTATTTTCTTTTTCCTCTCTCTCCTGGAATTGATCCACCAACACACAGCCATATCCCACGTTGTATAAGAAACTCTGCCCATGCCCACTGCCCCTGGCAGACCCTTCTCCCAGAACCAGATCCTTGGGCAATATGGAGCTGGTACAAGTGAGGTCTGTTGTAGGTTGGGGGTTGGGGGGGTGCTGTACCTTTGAAATTCAAAAAGGGCACTTTCTACTTTCGATTCAGTTCATTCTCAACTGCTTCTACTGGCCAACAATAGTAAATTGAATCCAATTTCCCCCTTGGAAGGGTCGGTTGTTGTTGTTGTTTTTCTTTTCTTTTTTTTCTTACCCTTCCCCTTTCCATTTTCTGCTTTTGTAGCTCACCTCCTCCAATCTACTTCCCTACAGGAGCCGAAATTAAACAAGCTCCCCATATGCCATGCCTCACTTGTTGTCTGTTCCCCTCACCACCATCTGGCCTATTTGCTCAGCCAAAAAGAGAAAGAGAGAGAGAGAGAAAGAGCAAAAATAGGGAGGGGGAAGGGAAGGCAGGGAAGCAGGGCTAGGAGAGAGAAGAGGAGAGAGAGAGAAAGGGAGGAAGGTGGAGAATAAGAGAAGGAGGGAGGAAGAGAGAGGCAGGCAGGAAGGGAAGGAGGAAGGGAGTGAGACAGAAAGGGGTAACGGGACAGGGGGGGAGAGAGAGAGAGAGAGAGAGAGAAGGAGGGAGAGCCAGACACAATGAGGAGGCAGGGGTGATGATGCAGCCTCTCCCATCTGTTCCTTGGCCAGAGTCCCGGATGGAGCAGTAATGGAGAGCAACAGAACCAGTGATAATTAACCCAAACACAGACCTGTTTATTTAACCTGTTCAGATAGATCAACTCTGAGGCAGAGCTCTAGCAGAGGGCCCTGGGACATACTTAGGGAGACACCCTGGAGGTTGCTAAGGACACAGAGGCAGGCTGGCCCTCCCCACAGACATCCTGGGGCTAATGCGTACTTGGTGAGCAGGAAAAAAAGAGAAGAAAGAAGACTTTCTGAAATAAGTCAGTAACAACCTCCCAAATCTTCTGGTAGGGATTCTTTTGTCATCTTGCCTTTTCTCCTGCCATTATCTTCTTTCATGGCAATAGCTGCTTCTGGATGGTCAAATCATGAAAAGCAATGCCAGCCAATGAGCTATACTTTTGTGCTCCGCATCCTCCTGCCCCAGCATCCTCTCTGCCACCCCATCTTGGCATAAGGACCAGGGCCAGGAGACAAAAAAGGTGCTAACTAGAGGACATGAAACCAGAGCAAAATCTCCCAGAAGACCTCAGACTGAGATGGTCAGTAGCCAAGGAGCAAAGCTAATGGCACTGATAAGGGCTGAGTGTGAAAGTCAGGAGACCGGGGTGCGGGGCTGAGATCACCCACTTTTGCTGCATTGCTTTGTCTGCATAACTCTCCTCTCTTGGCTTCAGTTTACCTATTTAATGGAGACAGCAAGGTTGATCCCCCAAGATGTTTCAGTCTTCAAAAATTAAAATGTAAATGGTCATTGTCATCTGCCTATAGTTCTCCAAGTTAGAAAGAAGACAAGACTTGAGCAAGACCACCAGGGATTATGGTCTGTTTGAAATGGGTAATGTGCACTGCCCAGACAGGGGAGTCTACAGACACATCTGTGCGTGCTGCACCCACCTCCACCTCCGTCCTTAGAGGCCAGAAATACAGGGCAAGAACATTTCCAGGGCTGAGTAGCAGCAGACAGAATAGGAGTTGTGAGTCTGGGAACTGGAACCCAAGAAAGCTCTCTCGGCTGAGCACTGAGGGTTAGTGAGGGAGTGCACTGGCTGGGTTGAAAATAGGAAGCGTCAGGGGTGGGTGAGGAGTTGGCAGGCACCGGATTCCAAGTGGCTTCACGCTCCTCAGTGGAAGAAATGCAGAGATAATTTGAACATGGCTATTTTCAAGCTCCACAGCTGAGCTCCCTTGCTCTCCCACCCCACACCTCCCACCCAGCCCTGCAATTTGGCAAACCCTTTCTGCTGGCTGCTCTTATACCCAATATGTTGGGTTGCCTTAGCAACTAAGGCAATTATCTCCTTGGAGCAGTTAAAACAATGACCGTCATAAATAATAACAGTAAGAAAGATGATGGTAAAAAATAGATCTTCAGCATCTAGGGTCATGGGTTTGCATGGAACCGAAAAGGAAAAGGGGTCCCGATGGCACAGGCAATGAAAGGTGATCTCTTAGGACTCTAGTTGTATTTTATTTTTCTAGAGGAAGAGATAGGAAATAGTTAGCCTTTCCTCACAGCCCCATCCCCACCCCCAGGCAATCTTAGGACAGTTCCTATTTGCTGTTGATCATCCCTCTTATCCTCCCATCAGCCAGACTTGGCAAGGAGCACAGTGAACACTGCTTGTTTAATGCCTATCTCCTCTCTGGACCATGACCTCCTTACAGGCAGGCACTGGGTCTTTGATCTTGGTGCCCTTAGCACCTAGCTCAAGGCTTGGGACAGAATAGGTACTCAAAAATATTCACTGAATGAATGAAAATATATTATACTGAATGAATGCCCAATTTTTGCCTTAAAGTTTTTTGTTTGTTCATTTGCTTCCTCTAGCCCTCTGGGCCAGTTAATTATAAAGTCACTTTTAGTTTCTATATTTGATGATCTTATAATCTACTAGTCCACAATGCAAGATATAGCAGGCCTCCATATTTCCGAGAGAACTGAGAAATCAAGATGTACATTCAAATTTATCCAAGTGCAGGTTCCTTTTTCCCTAAAGAGCCATCCATAAAATTTTGTGAATGTAGATCATCACTTCAGACAAAACACTAAATTAAAACCAATTAAAAATGAGAATTAAACTAATAATGGATCAAACAACTTGTACTCACCCTACCTCAAACATACACACCCTCCATTCTACACTCTACAAACTCATCCCACAAATGCTTTTCCACAAATAAACTCCAATTAATGCACAGTATTTGTGATTCAAAGCAAAAGGCAGCATATCCTTTTCCCAGTGTCCACGAGAAATGTATGGAAAAGCACAGGATCAGAGAGTTGAACTGCATCATTTCACCTTAACCTAGAAAGGCTTTCTACCCCTATTTCTCTCTTTTAAAGTATTGGGAACTCAATAGCCACTAGACACTTTCAAAGTGCATTTACATCACATGTCATCTTCGTAATAATTCTTGAGGCAAGTTGGGCAGGAATCATTATTCCTATTCCGAACATGAAGAAAGGAAATAACTGATCACAAGTGTTAAGGAGTGCCAGCCCTCAGCTGTCCTGATAACCACTTTCTTGCTGTCTCCTCCCCTGGTGTGCACACTGTAATGGCCACAATGTGTAATAGGTAATATCGTCATTAGCGTAAAGGTAAAATGGGCAACCTTCCCAAGCTGTCAGCAGAGTAGTAGGCAAATACCTATGCTCACTTTGCAATGCCCAAAGGAGGTGACGTAACTCTACCATTGAATCCTTGGAGCCCTATGACTCACAATGCCCGCTCTAGAATAATAACCCAAACCTTAGCACCTGCAGATTCAAGGCCAGCCAAATCTATCAGTGCTTCACCTTGGCAGGTCCTGGTTCCTTACCAGGATTTGGGAGGTGAGGTGAGGGGAACCGTGACAACTCTTAGTAAACAAGACGATCTCATCCTCTGGCATTCCAAAGACACTCTAGGCAGACTTTCTATTCTTCCAACCAAAATCTATTCTTCAGGTTTTCTATTCTTCTGATCTTCATAGAAGGTCACATGGGAACCCCTCCACTTCCCACGTATGATCCTGCAACTCCTTGAGAGTCAAGTCTTCACACAGTAACCATAATCACTCCTACTCGGACATCAGACATCTGCCAAGACACAGTTAGCACTTGCTGGATGATAACCCAGTATACTGGTTTTTAAATTTAATGAACACATTGCCAAACTCTTCTGTATCTGTCATTCATTTGATACAAGTTGAATAACCAAAATTATCCTTTCAGGGTATTTTAAATGTGAAAGACCTGAATCCAAATTCAGATATCACTGATAATTAAAATCAGATTTCCCAGAACCTCAGATGAATGAAAATATTTAGTCAGACTCTTTTACAAATATACAAGTATCTTTTTATTAAAACATATCTTGAAAGCATTATGACTCCAACAGTTCTACAAATTATAGCAAATTGCTTTTTGTTTAAAAAGCAATTATTTCATTCCCCAGTATAAAGAATTGTGCTTGGAGGAGCAGTCACAGATCAAGGAGATAAAGGCAAGGTAAAGTTGTTTGTTAATGTTTTATTAATCCAAGTTATTAGCACTACTAAAATAAGATGTAATAGGCAGAATAATGGCCCCACAAAGATGTCCTGTGTCCTAATCCCTGGAACCTGTGAATATATTAGATGGCAAAGGGCAATTAAAGCGGAACAGAATTAAGGCTGCTAATCAGCTGACCCTGAAATAGACTGTCTTAGATCAAGCAGGTAGGTCCAAATGTTTTCACAAGAGTCCTTAAAAGTGGAAGAGCAAACAGAATAGGTAGAACCAGAGAGATGGCAGGTTGAAAATGATTCGACTTGAGTTACTAGGTTTAAGATGGAAGAACAGAGCTAAGAAATGACAGCAGCTTCTAGAAGCTGAAAAAGAAAAGGAAACATTCTCTCCTAGAGTCTTCTAAATGAATACAGCTCTGTCAACACCTTGATTTGAGCCCAGTGAGGCCCATTTCTGACTTTAACCCCCAGAAATATAAAATAATAAAATTTTTGTTGCTTTAAGCCACTAAGTTTGTGGGCAACTGTTACACATAAAAGGAGACTCTGTGTGTGTATGTGTGTGTGTTCGTGTATACCGTCTTCCTTTTTTCTTTTTTTTTTTTTTTTTTGAGATGGAGTCTCGCTCTGTCACCCAGGCTGGAGTGCAGTGGCATGATCTTGGCTCACTGCAACCTCCGCCTCCTGGGTTCAAGTGATTCTCCTGGCTCAGCCTCCTGAGGAGCTGGCATTCCAGGCATGTGCCACCACACCCAGCTAGTTTTTGTATTTTTAGTAGAGATGGAGTTTCACCATGTTGGGCAGGCTGGTCTTGAACTCCTAACCTCAGGTGATCTGCCTGCCTCGGCCTCCCAAAGTGCTGGGATTACAGGTGTGAGCCACAGCGCTCAATCTTTCCTTCTTTCAAGCTGCAAATAAATTTATGGAAAATGTGAACACTCATCTTCTAATGCTTCCAGAAAAATGAAATTGAGTAAAATGGAAGTGATGGCATAATTCTTCTTTCAGGGCTATGGAGCTCTTGAAGAATTTTACTGTTAATAAAGATCACCAGCAGCATGGACACCAGAAGAGAATTGCAAAGAGTAAGTGGAAAGAGATGTCAACATAGGCACATATGACTACAGGGTAGATGTCGTTCTTCAAACAATGGCAATTGGAGCATTAAGTGCCACTGGAGACCTCAGCATCTGAGTCTCTCACAGAGGGACACAGCCAGCACAGGGCACCCAGTCTTTGGCTTTAATAGCAGTTTATATGGGCAAGTCACAAAGAACACCACATGCTAGGTTCTCAGAGGAGGAAGACCCAGAGAATGAGCATGTGACCATGTGGATCTGCACATGCCCTAGGATATGCAGATGTCCAATCAATTGACAAGCCCAAAAAAGATAATTCATAAATGGTAGACAATGGGGGTGATGTTGTTGCTATCAAAATAGTGACATGGCAGGTCATTAATTCACTTATAGGTTGTACAGAGTAAACAACGTAATGCTGTGTCTGTCTCCCTGCTGACGTCAGTTTGGCCCATGCTGATGGGATTCCAAATCAGCTGAAAGTTACTCAATCGGGTTGGAAAGGCCCAACACAACTACACTTCTAAGGCTAAGAATCCCTGTTCTGGAACTTCCAGCCAGCTATTGGAAACTCACTGCCTACAAAGGCAACTCATTCCAGCTTTGGAAATTTCTAGCTTTAAACTCTGAGATTATGTAGCCTAATGCCTTCATCCTACAGACAGAAGTCAGGCCTAGTGAAGTGACCCTTCTAAGGTTACACACTCAGGGCAAACCAGAGTTGGAAGTAGAATCTGTGTCTTCTAAATTCAAATCTAGTGGATTTTACACTCTACATCATGTGCCTTCTCATAAGGTAATCTGGTCACCAGCTTGTACAATATTAAGTAAGCACAGTGTACTCCCAAGGCAAATCAGTAGTTGGGTGTGTGTGTATATATGTCTGTAGCCAGCCTATGAGTCTATACACCAGGGAGAAACCAGTCCTCTCCCCAGGGCAGGTAACCAAATACTGGGCATCTGTATCCAAGTGGGCTATACTCACCTCAGACACCAGTCCACTCCACTTCTAGAGACTAACACGTTGCTCTTTCAGTCAGCCAAGAAGTTTGTGCCTGACAGTGAAAGCTGTTACTGCTGGATCATAGATGTGAGTCTTCACAGGAGGCCTGTCCCAGACAAACTCAACACAGGCCTCTAGCAAGCCAGGCCTGCTGAGGAGTTCCAACTGAGCCACTTGCCAGACTTGCAACTGAATTTGCCTCTCTTTCTCATCCTGAGCTTTTAGACCTCAATATCATTCATTCATCATTTATTCTTTTACAAAGATGTACCAAGTGTCTACGGTCTACCAGGCCCTGTGTTCAACACTGGAGATATACTGAGGAAAAAAGACTGAAAGAAGGAGGGCAATGAAGTGTGTAAGAGAGAGAGAGTGAGCACAGAGGACACAGTGGCTAAGTTTGCCTGGGGCACAATGGAGATAAGAGTAGGCTTTATGAAACACTTCCAGATAAAACTCCCTTTCCAGCAATACCTCTTTTCCAAAGAACTGCAAAGTCATGCAAACTGTATGAGCAAGTCAGTCAACAAATAATGCATTAAGTATTCTAAGTGCACTGTGGGTTATGAGAGAACTGTACGTAGAAACTTCTGTTTTGATCCTTTTTCAGTAATTAAAGTGATAAAATATATACACAACATCATATTGTATATAATTGAAATATATGCTGATTTCAAAGGAGCATGAAAAATGGAAAGAGTGAAGTAGGATAGAATCTACATTACCAACCATGTGGCACAAAAAAGAGAAATATCACAGTGGGTTGATGTTATCAAGGTAAGTTTTCTAGACAAGATGACAGTATCTTCCCAACTTAGGGTAATGACATCCTTATGTCTATAAAACTGATCTCTCCAATAACAGTGTCAATTTTAAAGACTTGTCTTGTGTTCTTTTGCATACCCTACAGAGCTTAAGTAAACAGACGTGATCTCACTCTGTTGCCCAGTATAGAGTGCAGTAGTATGCAATCATGACTTGCTGCAGCCTCGACCTCCCAGGCTCAAATGATCCTTCTTCCTCAGCATCCTGAGTAGCTGGGATGACAGACGTGCACCACCATGCCTGACTAACTTTTTTTATAGAGAAGGGATCTCTCTATGTTGCCCAGGCTGGTCTCAACCTCCTGGGTTCAAGCGATTCTCCTGCCTTGGCCTCCCAAAGTGCTGGGATTACAGGCATGAGCCACTATGCCCAGCCTGACCTTCTTAATGATATGGCATTTCCCTTTGTGGCTATTCCAAAAGACCAGTAGAGTGACCTGCATTTGGAGGTAAAAATGTTCTTCATGATTCTAAGGCAGCAGCAGCTGATAGTGACTAAAACAAGCCCCACAAAATGTTATCTTTCCCTCCCACCACAGCAGCTGAAGATAGCAGTATATGTTCCTCAGGCTGAAACTGCCCAGATGTTTTATGAAAAAGGACTCACCAGAAGCCAACCTGGAGCATCTTTCTGATGAGTTTCCTTGAACACGAGAGCAGCAGGTAAGAAATATCTTATACCATTCTGTCCCTGGCAGAACTTGTGTTAAGTCATGGACTACTAGTAGGCGTAGGTGAGACAGGAAGGGGAATGCATCCTTACAGTTTTGATCTAGAATCTTTTCTAAAAGTGTTCCTGATCCTTTTCATTTTTATCCCAGGAAGACTGGGCCACTCCAGCATCTGACCCTCCCTGTGCCCTGGAGCACCTATCATAGGTACCCCCGCCTAAGCCATTGTCTGTCTCTCTTCTTAATGTTTAGTCTTGCAGATGTTTGGGTGTTTGTTACTATCATGTCTGTTCAGTTGAACTTTTATTTGCTAAAATGTATTGTGCAATGGCAAGCAGAATTAGTCTCATTAAATAATAGAATCAAAGAACCTAGAGATAGAAAGGAAATTTAATAGATCATCTGGTTCAGATCTCTAACTACAAGCAATTGATGCAACCTTAGTTGTAAGGAAGAAACAGCTGAGCCCAGGAAATTATGTGACTTACCCAAGGCTAAACTGCCAGCAACTGAAAAAAGAAGAACTAAAATTCAGGTCTCCTGCCTCCTAATGCAGAGCCAAGCTGGGTCTGTATCCTCAATTGATTTCAGCACACATGACCACAGATGAATCTTCAAGCACATTTTCAACAGGATTTAGCAACATGGACTAAATCCTCTGCATCTATACCAACACTCTTTCTTGGGATTAATGAATATTGAGAAACATCATTGAGGTGTGGCTTTCCAACTTTACAATATTATATTAGTGAATATCTCTAAGTAGAATTCTATGTAGACTTATAAATAACTCTCTTCTTACTGGATAGCAAAACTCCTTAGGAGTAGAAATGGAACATAACACACTTCGATATTGTCTAAAACTTAATCATATAGAGTCAATTTGTATTTATTGAGTACTTCCTATGTGATATGCTGTGGGAAATGCCAATAAATTAAACCCTTTATCCCCAAGATAATTTCTAACCTAAATAAGAGAAAGCAACATAAAATGTAATAAAATAAGTGAATTTTAAATAGTCCAAAAGAAGAAACGTAACAATGGAGGGACACATTTTGCCAGGAAATGACTGTTACTGCGGAGAGGTGCTCTAGAAGTTTAGAGGTAAGGAAGGCATGAGCTGAGGACACCAGGAAGGAAGGGGATTCTTCAAGGAGAGGTAAGTATTGACTAGATAGGGAGAGAGAGGAGACATTTAAGGTCAGAGCAATGTAAACAGAAGTATGGAAGTGGGAATTGGAAGTGTGGTCAGGGAATTCACGGAAGTCAGAAACTGGTAAGAGATAAGTCTTTAAATAACATTTCAGGTGAAATGGGAAGATCCTAGAATGTCAAACTAAATTTTTTCACTTTCTTTTTATGTCTTGCAAGAACAATGGTATTAACAAGGGCCTAAGTTGATTCATACACACTCCCAGAATATACAGGAGAGCTGGAATAGCAGACAGCTAGGACACACATGCAGTCTTCAGGAAGGCCCAGGGAAGAAACGAATACTAGCAGAGAGTACGAATTTAATTAATAGCTCATGAATGACAAATCCAGATACACTGAAGGGCAAAGAAATCCTCTCAAGCAATAAGCAATGCATCTTACTCACCCTTATAGCACATTTACCATTTACAAATTCTTATACTGCCTATCTGAGATTTTATTCTGTTATTTCCTTTTAGAAATGATCTCAACTAGTGTACTAGAAAGCCCCTGGACCAGGCCTCAACAGGGTCTGATTTTCAGGGCTTGTCCTCATTTGCTTCAGTGTGTGACTTTTGCCCCCATCATTACTCACTCCCCCAGCTCTGTGAAGGCCCTGAATTGTGATGGGAGAAGGGAACTTTTGGACCGGGCAGATCCTGTGATGAATGCCCTCAGGGTCTCAGCCACACATCTGTGGATTTGCAAATCATTCATAGGCTGATCAATTTCCTCATCTACACATGAAGATGGCAGCCTGGTCAGAAGGAACAGAAGGGGAGACCTGCTACTCCCTAATGGACAGGAATAGGGCCTCTCCCAGCCACTCCCCAAAAAAGCTGATTAATCTTTAAAATTTCTCAGGGACACCGTGCAATTCAAAGGCCACAGTCCCCTTGATGGAACACTGAAAGAGGGTTTTTGTTTTCCACAAAAAGGGAAATTGAGGTTTTTGTGGTGAAAGAGAAGGATGTAAAATCAGCCACGTAGTGGTTTATTCACAGCCTGACCCCTCCCCAAACCCACAGGGATACTGGAGCTGCGACTCATCTCTTCTCATGAGTCATGTGGACTTGCATGGGCCTGGTGGAGTTAGGAAAGAAAACACCAGACTCCACAGTGTGCACAAGCATTTGGGGACAGAGATGTGATCCAAAGATGGAGAGATACAGTTCCTTGACTTTAATGTGGAGAGACAGGCCGGAAGACAGGACTGTCCAGATCTAATAGAACCGACAGGTCGTCTCTCAAAGGGCCAGAGAGTGGCTATCACATTTGGGGCTTGTTATTTGAGCCGTCAGAGCCGACTTTTCCACTGACATCCCCAACTTCCAAATTAATTATTTACTTACCAGAGATTCAGCTTGGCCATGTCAGACAGAAATAACAGGGGGTGTTGTGTAGCTCAGATGAGCTGGCATTCAAACAGTAAAAGAGGACATCACTCAGACCACATGCCCCTCTCTGGTTCAGAGGGAGCCACTTGTGAGATTTAGAGGTCTCTAAGATCCCTACACCTTCCCTCATCTAGGTCTGGAGCTAGAAAGAGATTGCTGTGCTGATCCCAGGACTTCTTGTGGGAGTTGTTTTTCTGATTATTTTTTTTTTCCTGGCCCAAACCAGAATCCTGAGGGAGAATTTATTCTCTGACTCTGGTTTTTGAGAGTTTGAAATCCTAAGTGAAAGGTGCGAGCTGCCGGTAGGGCCAGGGCAGGAGGGGCTCAGCCATCACTGTAAGCTCTGTTTGCCGCAGAAGGACAGGTGTTGAGTTACACACTTGGGGAATGTGAGCGCCAGGAAGGGACCTGGTGGGTGCCAGCCAAAGTAGCGAGGTCAATACCTCCTTCTGTACTGGTTCTTCCTGGAGACCAAAAAAACAAACCATCCCTTGGCTTCAGGTTCCTGAAAAGACCTGAACTGTTCTTGTTTACTGTTCTAAGGGGCTGCATAGCACTTCTTTTTAGAGTAATTTATTTCATTGACTTCAAGACCTCAGAAAGGCAGCAGTATATGCATTGAGGGCTAAATAGGGCATGTTTACAGAGCACTTATTCTCGGCAGAAGGGTCTAAATAAATGCAACATACAATATGGCTGCTCCTGTCCATTGCAAGGGTGAGAAATAGCACTAACGTCTTGTTTTGACTAACGTCTTCACTTATATATCCGTCGGGACACAGGCTTTGGGTTTCCTCCTTTACTGGATGTCTGCTCAGCACAGCAAGTTCCCGGAGCTAGGAATTTTTGATCGTACATGCAGAAGACATCAGGGGTTTAGGGCGTCTGCAGTCAAGTCGTAGCATGTTAAAGAAAATACAATTGCATAGCCCTGCTCAGCTTCAAGGAGCAGTAAGCTAAATTCCAAGAATATCATATTTAGTCACAAAGTTCAACCAATTCAGGACTCATAACGAGGGTATGTGATCGTCTATCTGAGTGGTAATCAACTTTCTTAGGTCAGCTTCTATTTTAAATCCTTCATGCAAAGAGTCCAGCATATTTGCATACTCACACAGACACATTGCTCATCAAATAGAACTAGACAGCCTCAACACAAAAACTGAGAACATGCACCTCACACACACCAGCCACTGGGTATTTCATAATAAAGAAAAATGGGATCAAACAAGGCATTAGGAAGAGAAAAACAGGTTCAGCCAGATGCTATGGAAATCCTGATTCTTATCAGGGCAAACAATCAGAATTACTATGATGCTTCTTAGGGAGAGTCTACTCTGAACAGACACAGAATATTGAGAATATTGTATTTCATACTGTCTTCACGTGGACCAGGCAATTAGAATTATGCCCGTTTGATAGATGAGGAAAGTCAGGTTGAGAGAGCACGTGTTTGTCGGGTGGCAGAAACAGGAACTAGACCAATGTCTGTTTAATTGCAGTCAGTCACTCAACTTCAGGTTATGGAGCATATAAGGATATGTGTGTGTGTGTGCGTGCGCGTGTGTGTGTGTGTGTGTGTGTAAAGAACCATTTTCCTCCCTTCTAAAATCAGAATAATTCCATTAGCCCCAGGGTCTAGTAGAATAAAATATAAAACTATCATGACCAACATTTTTATTCACAAATCAAAACAATTCTAAGTTTGGTTAGATCGAGATGAAGCCATAATCACAACCCAGGTCTCTTGGCTCCTAACTCAGGGCTCTTCCAGACAGTAGACAAAAACCCACATGGATTCTGACAGTCTCATAAACCTCTCTGCGGACCCTGTTTTCTGTCAGTTTAGCGAGTGGTGCCTCTCCCGCCTGTGGCCATGTGGAAAAAGCACAGCTTCTGCAAAGCCTGATCATCTGGGCTGGCCTTAGTGACTGTGCTTAGTCAACAGAATGTGGGGGAAGGGATATTTGGAAATGCTGAGGGTCATACATAAGGGGCCTTGCAGCTCCCACCTGATTCTCTCTGAATGATACCATGTGTGAAGTCCAACTACCCCGAGACCTGCCATGCTGGCTGGAAAGTACAAGTCAGCCATGTCAAGAGGTCAGAGTGGAACCCAGGCAGCCCCAGCTGTTGCATCCATCCCAGCCCAGTCACCAGGGTCATACAGCAGACAAGACATGGAGAAGAGCTGACAGACTCTGCCCACAGCCAGAGCCAGTCACAAGTGGGGCAATGTCACACTATCACAGCCACTCCAACTGAGTTCCTGATTATGGAGGAACTATCACTACTAGGCCGATCCACAACCCTGACAACATGACAAAATGGCTCTAGTTTTAATGCCACTGAGTTTTGGGGTAGTTTGTTACACAGCAGTAGATAATTAGAACATCTTGTGTCTCGTCTATAAAGGGCTCCCAGGACAATCTTATCATCTAGAAACCCTGATACCATTTAAGCTTCCTCTTTCTCCCACCCCCACTGTAACTCTTCTAGCTGCTCCTTTTGATGTCTCTCTTAGACCAGTGGGGAATGATGAAAGCAAGAAGGATCTGCTGAGGGTCTGAAAAAGAGGACAGGCACAACAGGGAGCATGTGTCAAAATGCTTTCTTCTTGGTAGGCAAAAATGGTACATGAGAGCCTCTTGGATGGAGAGACCAAGCAACACAGGAAAGTTCCTGAAAAAAGAGGCTGGAAAAAGTCCAGGGTCAAGAAAAGAGCGAGGTTCCTCACTGCCTTCTTTCCCTGACTCCTGCATACCACCCCATCTACATATCTGTATAGCAGATCGCATGTTCTCTGAATCCTCCGTAGTTCCATCCTTCAGGATAGAGTTTACTCATTGCATCCCAAGGACTCCAGCAAACTCTTACCTCCCCAGTATCTGACAGCTGAATTATTGACCATTTAGCTCATATTGACTCTTAGTTTTCCATGTTTGTCTTATGTAGAATAGACAGAATAAAACTTGTTTGAGGGCAGAACCTATATTATATAATTTTTCTTCATACTCCATAGTAAAATGCACAGAACCAAACAGAATAAAGCAAGTCGTATTCAATATGTATCTAAGGGAATTTAGTGCTACCCATATAACAAGGGCAGATAAGGTCTCAGCCGCACCACTCTAGGCTTCTGCAGATGTTCCACGCTGAGTTTTCAAGAAGTTGACTCACACAGATGCATAGCTAGACCTCACGTCACACTCAGGCTTCTGCAAAGATTAGTCTACATGACAGTTTCTGCATCTTCTTCACTGGCTTCTGATCTCACAGCTCCACAGAAAACACTCTCTCAAAAGTCACAGTGACCCTGCGGTGCAAAAGCCTGTGTGACATAAACCACAGCCTCCCCGGGACCTCCTGGGGTTTCTCCTGCTCTAGCCAGACCACTCTTTGCAAACACTTTTTTTTTCTGCCTCTGCTTATCTTTTAAATGCTTGTAATCTCCAAAGATCTCTCCACAGCTCTAAGACTTTACAAGCTATCCCAGGCAAATTAAGCCACACCCATGGTTTTAACTATTAACAGATTCCAAAGCCCACAGTAATCTGCAGAACTCAAATATTCAGCTGCCTAACAAGTATCACCACATGGGTGTCCCCATAGGCCCCTTTAAACTCAACAGGAATCACATTGACTTGCTGCAGCATCCTCTTTTCAAGGCCTCCCTTCTTTATGAATAGTGATATCCATTTACCTAGGAGATATCTTAAATTCCGCCTTCTCATTCAACAACTAAATCCCATTAGCCACTGAGTCATGCAGATGCTACCTGCTTAATGCCTTTTATATCAATTCCCTTCTGATGCTGTCTCTGTCACCATGTGTTTCAGGTTTTTCTCACTTCTCACCTACGTTATGTCAAAGGCCTCTAGCTGGCATCTCTTGCTCCAGTCTCTCTCCCCTATGATCTGCTCACTGCATGGTTCTCCATGTGACCTTTCCAGAACATAACTCTGCTCATGTCCTTCTTTGTCTAAAATAAATCAGAGTTTTTGGGGATAATGTTCAACCTCCTAGGACACGGGGTCCAAAGAACAGTGACTCAAAGTGAACTGTAGAGCCAGATTTCATGGGTTCCAATCCAAACTCTACCTCTTACTAGCTCTGTAACAGGCAGATGACCTACTGTGTCTATGCCTCAGTTCCCTGATCTGTAAGGTAAAGATAACAATAGTAGCTACTGCCTAGGGTTTTATGGAGACTACTTGAAATACACATGTAAAGGGCTTAGAACTCTATCTGGCACACAGTAAGGATTCAATAAGCACTAGTTAGTTCTTAGCTGCATTCTTCCCACTGCCTAGTTCTTACCTCTGCTCCCAACCACCTTTGGCATCATTCATTCAAATGGATCTACTTGCATTTCTTCTAGTCAAGTCTATCATTTCATCACCCATGCCTCTGCATATGCCATTATTTCTTCCTGGAATGCCTGTTCTCCTTCTTCCTCTAGCTGACTCCTCTTGTTCCTCAAAACTTGCTCCAAGACTACCTTCCCTCCATCCCAGAGCTTTCTCTCCCTGCCCCCAATAGGATTTGGAGGATTATACTTTCTGTTCATTGAATTTGATACATTATTTTATAATTACCATTTTATTTGCCTATCTGACTCAAGCTTGTCTGATTCTTAAAGGCAAATGACATGTCTTATTTGATTTTATATTCTTAATGATGAGTACAATGACTACCTTAGAATCCACACTCATCCACTGTTAACTGAATGAACAAATGGTCCCTATGGAACATCAGTAACAGGTACCCAAACACACTTAAATTTGATTACCTGCACTTGAAACAAAACAGTGACTTTTTCCCGAGACCCGCATGCCTTGTGTAGTTTTTAATAGATTGCAAATAAACTTAGCACAGGGAGACGTGATCATGTCCAGGGAAATGATCAGCTCTGAGAACCACCAGTCTCTGACAGTGAATAACTGCTAAATCTCCAGAAGGTTTCTACTTCTGCCTGTCTCTTGATTGTCCTGCTCTCTGGAATAAATCAGACAGTACAATACAGGAATTTGAATAAAGTAGCCAAACTGTGCAAAAGTGATCACAATGGAGTAGAAGTGCATTATTCTGTCTCTCAGAATTAGCATATTTCTAAGTAGTGAGTCTTAAATGAGAGAAGACTTTGCTTTTCTTCCTGAGATAGCCTTCATTAATTCTTCAGAGTGAACCTAATAAGTGACGGTAGAGCAAACAGGGGATAAATGGTACGTGTAAGGACCTCCCCTCAAATTCAGTCTCTTTTTTTTATTGGATACAATTGCTCTGGGTTTAATTTGGGTTCTGAGCAAAGTGTCACTAACTCTCTAGCACAGCTTCTGTGTTTGAGGGTTAGATAAGACCAAGAAGTGGGGGCTATAAGAAGAATTACTTGTTGGATTACTTTGACCCAACAAGGGAAGCAGCATCTCAGCCCAGAAGTGTTCAACAATAGAAAGGCCACCCACAAAGCACCAAGGAGATTGGCTAAATGTCTGTGAGGAAACTCAGGATAATTCTCTTTCACCTTCGAGAATCTGATTTTATGATGGTGGTAGAGATTTCATATTTAAGGTGTTTTGAGAGCTTGGTGAAGACACAGTAGGGGTTGCGTAAATGATTGTTGTTCCTTTGAGGTTGAAGGGAACATTCTGGACATCTCAAACCATTCAGTTGGCAACTTACTACAGGGCTCATACATAGACAGTGTCCACCTACTGTCCATCCCCCCACACTGAAAAGTGATGCTGGCCACTCACTGAAAAGGCTGCCGTGAAAGCAGCAAGTTTAGAATGTCATCTGAATGCGTCTTTGTGAACCACAGGAAGATAGGCATTCAGCAACAAATCCTTAAGATGCTTTCAAATGAGAAGGAAGGCCCTGCCTCAAGACAGGAACCTCTGCAGATATCACTTATCCTAATCTCTCACCCCAAAGTGAGAGACAGAAATAAGGACACTGACAGTAAAACCTTAAGAGTTTGTTTTATTTGGGTATCAACACACACACACACACACACACACACACACACAGTGATCAAATATTTCAGTCAAATGCATGCAACTCATCCAGAGAGCTCAAACACTGAGTTATCCAAATGTTCCAATGCTAGTTACCCAAACGAACATTATGGAAAAGGACTTCAGAGAGAAGAGTCTGAACAGCAAAACTGAAACATGTTTATAGTGTTAAAAAAAATAAAAAGCTGTCCACCTCTTTTATTTTGCATTTGGATAATGCTTTAAACTTTCCAGGATCCTCTGATAACCACTCCACCCTCACGATGGTAAGATCAATGGCAAATGGATTTATCTCCCCAGTTGATCCCAGAATGAAAAACAGAAACAGAGTGTGTGCACAACTGACACACAATAATCTAGCCAGCCCTTTCATCTTGGGCTCTTCTCCACGTATTATTACAAAAACAAATTATGTAACGAAGCACACAGTTGTGTGGCTTGAGGCATTTATTAAAAATAGGGCCTTTATGAAGTCTTTGTGTACTTTACATATTTAATAAACTTCAAGTTCATGTCACTTAGAATCAAACACGTGATGAAATTTGAAAGTAATATTATTACAGTTTATGACTTCTAATCTGCAAATGGGAGGCGGTCCTATATAGCTTTGTGTTTAAGAATATGAACTTTGAAATCAGACTAACTGGACTTCAAACACTACCTCTTTTATATACTCTCTAGATGTCATTTGGCAAGTTATTCAACCTCCCCATGCCAGTTAACTCATCAGCAAAATGAGAACAGTAAGATTTACCTCTTAAGAGTTTTGGGGAGGATTACATATACATTTGCAGGTAGTAGGCTTAGATTGGTGCCTCCCATACAGAACTCAAGAGATAAGTATTATTATTTGATTATTCATAATCTCTTTCAATGATTGCCAGCTTTAGTTACTACAACAAAACAAAGTCCCTACCTTCCTTGAAAAGAATGTATTATGTATCTAGAACTGTTGGAATGAAAATCAAGAAGGCTTGAAATGTCACTTACAAGCTATGTGTAACAACTCACATGAGTTAGTTGTTAAAGTTTAAAAATTATGTAAGGGTTTCATGAAGCTTTAGGAATGGTCCCTGAATTGGTGGAAAGGAAATTCCCTTCTGAACTTAAAAGTCAAAAAACTTCAGAGGGAAGGAATCTTTTAGAGATCTACTCAAGGTCATATGAAAGTTCTTGGTTCTAATTCCATCCAGGCCACCAGAGAGCCAGGAGATGCCCATCCCCTTTGAAGCTTCTCATGCCTCCCTCCCCACCCCTGGCCACTATTACCACCCTACACCCTTTTCTAACCATAGATTTCTAAGTAAAAAAGGAAATTGTCTAAAACTGAAACTGCCTTAGTCTATTATTGGCTTTGGTGGCTGTGGGAAGAAAACGGAGTTGGAGGGGGGAGGTATGTTGATGAAAATAATCTGAGTCATCACTTCCTGGAAGAGGTGACAGCACACCCAGAGCCGCTGGGAAGTCAGGGGGCCGAGGGGGAGGAGGTCCCAGCTCTGCCACAACCTCACATAGCACCGGGAGGATGTCCCTTAACTTCTGTGGGTTCCTATTGGCAAAATGACCCTAAAGGCCTTCCCAGCTATATGCCCCTATAATTCAGGAAAGGTCCTGGTGAATAAACCATCAGTGCTATTCACTGTCAGCCTAGAAAACAAAATGAACCTGTGCTCCTAAAATATGAAAGCCGAATCTTTCAAGCAAGGGCAGGCTGGTTATGGTTGAGTCAAGACATAACTGCTTTGTTTCCTAACTACTTCCCCAAACCCAGACTCTGCCCCTCCACACACACCCCCCAACCCAGTTTTGCTACACAATTCCTTGGACAGTACAGGTAACTCATTAAGAACAGAGGCCCTGGGATAGCCAGACTTAGTGCAGGAATCACTTTATAGTCTCTCTTAGATGTGAAATTATATGAAATTATTCCCCAAACTGTGAGCAGATACAGATGATTACCAGATTTAGATGTTGAAAAGAAAAGAACAATAACAGCATCAAGATGGGAGTCTCACGTGTTGCAATCACCTGCTTATGTGTCTCCCTAGCCTTGGGAGAGAAAACTGGCCCCTTTTACATTTATCTGATGGTAACTCTATGGGCAGCTACTAAACCCTCCTTTGAAAGTAAACCCCCATTGCCAGTGACCATGTGCTAAATGAGTGAGTGAAGAAATGAATGCTGTGCATCCCAAATTAGGAAGCAAGGAAGGAGGGCACATTCATACAGCTCCTTGAACTCTGCACACACTTTGGCTTCTTGCAGTAATTTAATAATATTCTTGCTCATTCATATTCTTTCTTTCCACTTCCAGCCCCACCCCCACTCATTATGTAGTCTGACTGAATACCACTCAAAATATTTTCTCAATTAGAGGAGAAAACAGGAATTTGCCACTTGTCTGCCTCTATTCTGCTGCCTGTCAGCCTTCAGCAAATATTTCAATCCTGGGCCTTTGCCTGCTGCTAACCCCTGTCCTTTAACCCTTGACCCTGTCCTCTTCAAATCCTCTAGGCTTTACCTTCTCATCCTCCCAGCCCAGACACTCCACTCCAGGGCTGGTGTCACAGGCTACTATGTTTAACCACAAGAGGTACAGTGATGCCCCTAAAGCAATCAGAACAAGAGCTGTGCTTCTGAGATTTGCTTATCTGATCAAAAGATGCTCAGAAAAATTAACATATCACAGTGGATGAGAGACAATCTGTAAACAGACTCCCACTCTCACTTACCTATCTCTGGTCTTCAGAGCCTCTTCTCTGGTCTAGGCCAGCTCCCCTCCCCCACCCTATATCCTAACTCCCTTAAATGGGCATGTCACTGAGATTAGAGGCTCAGGGGTTGGCTGTAAGATGCAGAAATAAAATGGAAATCATGTCCGCTAGAGCAGTAAGATGCAGAGCTCCTCTTTGACTTTTCCCAACATTCACATTCAGCCAAACCACAAGATAATTTGCTTCTAAACCCCTGTCCCAACTTCCTCTAACCACTGCAACTTCCCTGGCTCCAGCTAAACCCCCAGCCCTGTGACATCCAACATTAGAACCACTGGGACTCATCATTTCCCCATCCTTGCCTGTGTCCACCAACATGTGAGCTGTGCCACTTCTGGGTGTTTCTGTGAGTATTTGAGAAAGGCGTGGAATATTTCAGGACTTTTTCGTTGGCAATGACTACTTTGCTCTCTGATAGCACTCCTTCCCATGTAATTAATAGTTCTGTCTCTTGGCTCGTTAAAAACGAGACCCTCAGGTCCCAGGCAGCATTATGCAGGGTAAATCATGTTTAAGTAACTGCATAACTAGTGGGTCAGTTTTATCTTTTGTCTTGGCTGCGACCATTATTTAGCTGGGTTCTCAAAATGCCCGGCAGTGAAGCTTTCATGTCAGGCCAGTATTGAAAGACAAATGTTTTCTCCCCTCCCCACCCCCACTGCCAGCCCCTCTTCTCTGAATGCTGCATGCACAGGGCAGCTGGGAAATAAAAGGCCCCTTTATCTGATTATCCTGGGCAAAGGCGTGGTAGGTTCAGGAAGGTTCAAGAGAGAAGTGCCAAACTGTAATAAGATGGGCCAAGCAAATAGTTGGGGCAGACTCCCATGCAGTGGCAATGACCGGCCACAGCAATTCAGTCTCCTGTCTCATTTTTAGCACTCAGCTTTGTGATGACTAAAAAGGGTGTTGTTTTTTTTCCCCCCGCCGACTGTCGCTGATTGCCATGTGATCTTGAACAAATCACGAGACATCACTGATCTGGGCTCTATGTCCTCATCTGTGAAGGGAAGACAGCTCTGATGATCTTCAAGGTCTCTTTCTGCTTTAACATTCTTTGTGTGTATCCATCAAGCAATAAAAAACAGTGTGACCCTCTCAAATAGCTATGGAGAATACCGCCTGACAGTATAAAAAGAGGACTTCTGAAGAGATGAAAGCAGCAACTTTCTTTATAGGCAGAGTTTGTCTCATATAAAAGGAAGTGAGAGGAAGAGAAGGAGAAGGAAAAGGCAAGATTACCCACTTCACAAAGGAGAAATTAAGGGGTAGGGAAATTTTGTCCAATTAACCCAGTTATGCCTAGTGTTCCATTATTGGAACACTAAGCTTGTGGGAGTTATTTATATCCTACTGCTCAAGGTCATCACCAAGGTCTGATTTTTCACACCCAAAAATTTTCAACCTCCAGCCTAAATGGGTTAAATTACCAATGTCATACAATTAGTTATTGGTGCTGTTAAAAATAAAACTCAGAAGGACTCCCATTTTTGTCCTAGATTCTAATCCTATTACATTATCCTTCCCATAGGATATTGTGATGATGAAAAGAAACGGTATTTGTGCTGTTTAATTTTTGCAGATTTGCATTTACCATTTTCTTTGGCCAATCTGGAATCCTAGAAGCCTACTAGAGAACCGTCCTGAAGACATGCCCTTCACAATCATCAGCCTTCTACAAGCACTCAGATGGGAATCCTTTAGTGACCATCAGAACCCAATAACCAGTCCCTTCATGAGCGTACTCCCGAATTTTGTTCATCCCATCCACAGAGCACGTGATGCTCACCACTGGAAGACAGAAATCATGGTGGCCATGCAGCCTTTAGACAGCTGCAGCACCCGAATACTGCTGCTCTGCAGGAGGGTCTACAATAGGTCCCCATAAACACTGTAGAATTAATTGAGACAAAACAACAGTATCTTTGACATAGAAGGATCCATTGGTAGCAAATACTACTCTAACATCTCCCTTAGCTTATAACAAGCTGCCCTAAATACGTTCTGCCTCTTGCTCACACACACCACCCATTAAGCACAAGAATTGAGGCAAAATTGTGTGAGAAGGTAGGGCAGCAGGGGACTCATGGGAAGGTAGGGCAGCAAGGGAAGGGGGCACAAAAAGGCGACCGGAGATGGTGACTAGGAATATCCCAAAATAATATAAACAGGTTCCCAGGATTCCTTCCTCTCCTACTGAGCTTAGAGCCCAGTCAAATCCAGGCCCCCCAAACATCTATGTCAATGTCATACCAATGCTGGGCTCTTTTCGGTACACACATGCATGTCCACGCAGATGCCCTCTCACATACACATGTCCAGATACCCTCTAGTTGGCAAACAAGTGACAATATGCAAATTATCAGAAGCCACAAAGATTTCACATGCATGTCCACGCAGATGCCCTCTCACATACACATGTCCAGATACCCTCTAGTTGGCAAACAAGTGACAATATGCAAATTATCAGAAGCCACAAAGATTTGCTTCGGTGGGGAGCCTGAACAAACAAGGAACAATTTTGCAAGTGACCACAGATGGCTTAGGTAGCTTCTCTGCTTACAATGGACACTAACAAGATTTGCCAGAACTAATTCATTCTTTCACACCATTGCCCTCTTCCCCCACCTTCTGAGGGTAAGGAAAAGTCCCCCTCATGGCCATATGCATTCTTGTTCCTTTTCAACACAGAAAAAGTGCAACTCGTTCATCCACAGTGTGAATGGGTCATATTTAAAGCGGGTAACATAGATTTAAAAGGAGATACTGTGGAAGCAAACATATGCTGACTTCTCCCCCGCCCCCGACCCACCTACACCATTTCCCTAAAACCCTTATTTGGAGAAAGGGGTAGAAAAGAAGAGATTTATGGAGTCCCGTGCTGAGCTGGAGAACCCAGTAGCAGAAAAGAAATGAGTGGCAAAGAATAGACAAAACAAAATGGACTAGAAACAGACAGTGAACCTATCAGATGAAATCCAAACCTTCTCACATGATGGGTTACAACTGGCCTCATATACAGAAAGTAAACTTTGGCTTTATGCAGCAAAGGAAGAAACACTTGATGCAGTCTTTCCTCTGTGCATTCCTATATGAGGCATAACTCCTGGAAACAAAACTCCAAGACAGAGGCTGGATTCAGGACCTTTGTGCATACCCAGAGCTCTTCTTCATGCAAGGCCCTTTCCAGTCAGCTTTCAATAAGTGTCAGTAAGATGCTTATGAATTCTTAAGAAAAGAAATCAATTACTTCTTCAAAAAAACACCTGAACTTCTCTAGGTCACAAGAATAGAGACCTTAGAGGTGGCTCCTTTCCACGTCCCAGAAGGCTCTCTCAGCCTCTTCTCTGTATGTGATGACAGAACTCAAGGCCACTCATGCCCTTCGCTGGGTGCTGCCATCAATTTCTAGCCAGTCTCTGGGCTCACTCCCCACCAATGCTGGACGCAGTATGATGTCCTAAAGCATCTCTCTGCACATTCCTTCATTCTCTTCTCCCCAAGGGGTTGGGGTGGGGGGTGGGGGTTGGAGGGCTCCATTGCTTTCTTAGTGCACGTAGGAAAAAGTCAAATCTGTCTGATCTGGCCTACTGAAGCTTCCACTCCAGATTTTCCAGGTCAACTCTGCAGTCCAGCAGATCAAGGCTGCCCACCATGAGCACTTTGCCCTCTGCACAGTGTTCAAGCACACTGCCTATACCCCTTTCCCTCCCACCTAAATCCTATGCTTTCTTCAAGGCCCACTCAAGCTTCTTCCTCCATCCCTCCCTGTACTCTCTCACATGTTCCACCATCGGGTACAACATAAGCACCATGCGTGGGCCTAACCTCCCTAACAAGGTAGACACTGGGAAGCTTCCCCAAAAGCCAGACAAGTCAGTCTAAACTGGGAGCGATGGCTCTGCATCCTGTCACCTGCTCAAGTGCCCATGTGGTTCCTCTCTTCATTCCCAGGCATCATTCATACTAGGTGTAGCTGAATTTGTCTACTTTTTTTCTCAAATATATATGTTGGATACCTACAGCAGCGGCTATTGAGAAAACTATACTGTTGATTCGATAAAATTTGTTTACATGTACATAATCATGTTCATGTGAATACTTAGTTAGTTATAGGAATAGGTATTTCTATGGTGATGTCCTGGAATATCAGAGTTGGAAAGGACTTCAGTGTCTTCTGCTTCATGGCCTTCATTTCAAGAGGTGACCTCTGAGAACAAGAGGCAGGTGAGGAAACACAGGTGGTTAGGGAGAGAGACTAAAATTCTTGCTTCTTAAGCCAGGGCTCTATCAGATTGTATGCAATATCTATCATCCCAGAGGCTATACATGCTCACACATATGTGTATGAGCACACAACAGTGCACTCTCTCTAACATGCAAACCAATGCGCGCCACCCTCTTCAGCTGAGGTCCTCAGAGAATCATGAGGACAGAATGACACAAATGCCTGAGAAGTCCCCGGATGCTCTCCAGATTTGACATCTTCTCACATGTTTGTCCTCCCATCCAGATCTTTGCCTCCACTGCCAGCAGGCTGTGTGCTTTGACCTCTGACCCCCACAGCTGGACTGTCTTCTGAGGATGACAAGCTCCAAGGACCAACAATTATCTCCCAGTGTTAAATAAGATGAGCAGAAGTGGCCACTGCTGCTCCTGCAATCAGGGCCCAGCCAGAGAGGAATCTGCTGCAAGTCTAAAATTGGGAGCAAAGGTCAGCTGTCATTTAGAAATGAAGCCAGAAGGAAAGGCAGGTATCCAGAAGTTCAGCACCTGCTCTTCCCTGGAGGTGGAGTGGGGCACAGCTGGCCAGACTGGAGCAGCCCCTCTCTGCTTATAGGGTATCTGCAGCAGTTCTGACACCAGTGGGAAGCTGTCAGTACCTTGGGTGGAGGAGCAACAAGCATTTTTGAAAAGGTCCCAGAATCACAGACCAGGCTCCTCCAGGGTACTCTCCATTCCTTCTCGGAAAAGGTCATCTGAACTAATGGAGACTTTCAAAGGCAGTCCTTCCCTTCAGACCTTGAAATCCTGGTGCCGCCCATACGCACATACCACTCCCCTGCCCTCCACCCCTTGCACACATTCTCTCTCGGATGCAGTTTTTACCTTCCTCCATGAAGTGGTCAGCTCTCGCGTGGCCTCCACTTCTGAACCTGATTTGCCCGAATACACTGGGCCTTTCAGGTGTTTTGACCTTCCCCTAATTTATCAGATTTCTGCTTCTATTTCCTCTGCTACTTTTTTTGGATTCTGTTCCGTCTTCCAAAATGTGTGATGCATGATTTTTCAGGTTTCTTGTCAAGCTTACTATTCTACCTTCCTCTTCCTATGCTGGGACTTTCAAGGACATCCCATAGATTAAATATATCAGTACCATAAAACCCCATGTGTCTTCACATAGACACCAGAATGGAAGCCTTCAACTAACATCTCACCTTGTTCTGCTTGAAGGTGTTTCTTGACTTTCCTTCCAATTAGGCACAGACTGTCCCTATTACTCAGTCAAATTAATCGGTCAATTACAAGTTATTTTTTGAGAAGCTCTGACATCCTCTGTCCTAGTTGAGATACTACGAGGTGCTTTCTGCTTATAGAGTATCTGCAGCAGCTCTGATACCAGTGGGAAGCTGCCAATACCTTGGGTGAAGCAACAAACATTTGTGAAAAGCCCCAGAGCCAGAACTACAGACAGCTTTCTGTCTGCAGCTTATGAGTCAAATAGACAACGGTACCCCACTTGCAACATCTGAGGGACAATACCCACTTACATCTCCATAGTACTGCCTGGCATGCAATAAAGTGTTACTGAAGAAAATATATTTGGTTGAATGAGTGAATAAATGAATGAATGACTCAGTTATGCTAAGGAAGAGAGCAGTTTAAGTGGATAAGCAGCATCAGCAGGGCCATCCTGGTTCCATTCAGCTTAGCTCTCTCTCTCTCTCTCTTTGCTACTAGGACATCTTTCTCAGACTCAGTAGAGCCCACTGTTCTGAAATCAAATTTTGTTTTTGACACTTCTCCCGCTCCTCCTGCTCTCACAGCTCTGGGATCTGCAGCTTTTGGTGACCCTGGGCTCTGAAGAGGGACCCTGGCTAACCCAAGGTGCAGCATGAATCAGCTGGCAGGGCTGAGCATGAGGGCCATTCTTGACTCCAGGTCCAGGGTCTGACCTGCACCTGCTGCTACCCAATCTGTGGCATCCATCACTTTCAACCTCCCTCACCTAGTCCAGTGTTTCTAGATCCTATCTGCTATTTCTCCCTCATTGCTTCAGGCAAGACTTGTTTTCATATCTGGATTATATTCAAAAATGAACAGGAGACAGCATTTACTAAAAACCAGATCATTCCATATGGTAAAGTGCTGAGCAAAAACTCTTATTAGTTTCAGGAGTAAAGTTGAGTTCATTAGTAAAGTTGCTACATTTCTTATAATCCACACTATTATGAACCTATGACATATTTTAAGAAGTTAAAATGCACACACAAGCACACACACACACACACAGATGCATATATGCATTTTAAGTCATCTAGAAAAATTCTATGTCCTTAGGAGGAAGAAACAGAGAAAACTTCAACCTCTCTGACCTTCTATCTCTGTCTTTCTCTTATCTTTGTTTTATTTTATACTCTATTCTAAGGGAATCCTCAGGTCCTTCAGTGCTCTGGGTCACAGGCTTAGTCCACCAGTGAGAGGAGGGAAGAAATGGTGTGTTTAAGAACAGCTTTTTGGATTTCATGTATTTTTACCAATTTAGTGCATTCATCATATGTTCATTCCCTGACCCTTTCTCTCATCACCATAAAGGATCAAAATATACCCTTTTGTTGGTAAAGGGCCAATCCCTTGCAATGGCCCCAAAGTAGACATGGGAGTATGTGCAGTGAGGGCAGACCCTGCAGAGCCAGAGGCCAGCAGAGCCCTGTGTCTGCAAAGTCAGAAGACAATCTGAGAGAATGTGCTTGAGCATCCTAAATCTGTTGAGACAAGTTTCATCAATTTTGTGGAACATGACAGAAAAAGAGGACAAAAGCATGAAGTTTGGGAGCAGATCTTATACAGCTTTCTCAAGATTCGACCCAACTGTCTCTCTCGTTTCCCTGGCATCTAGCTATTGTGGTCTCACTTTACAAAGAGATTAATGGAAGGACCAGAAAAACACCTCTCTGCTGGTTTTCCAGAAGGCAGAGTCAGAGGTGAGAAACTCTGATTCCAGCCTTGGGTTCAGCTGCCTGAGCACCGCATGAGGAGCCACGGTGGCTGCCTTGGAGCTCAGAGGGTGTGGCACTGGTATCACAACCTCCTGGCTGCCTCTGAGACCCAGGGCAATTTCCTGGAGCTCTCTATGCCACATTTGAGTCATCTGTAAAATGGGGATAGTAACATCACATTGCGGTTGTGGGGAAGATTCGGTAGCAATGTGTGTCAAGTGCTTGGCAAAGTTCTCAGCTCCTCTAAGTAGCAAAATGGCAGCTGTTGTTATGTCCAGGAAAGCAACCTGCACAGCCAATTGGCTTTCTCTATGATTCAGGGGTTCCACAAAAGAATGACTCACCTGGATAAGGGCGGTGGCTAATGCCATAATCCCAGCACTTTCGGAGGCCAAGGTGGGTGGATCACTTGAGGTCAGGAGTTCAAGACTAGCCTGGCCAAGATGGGGAAACACCTTCTCTACTAAAAATACAAAAATGAGCCGGGCATGGTGGCAAATGCCTGTAATCCCAGCTATTTGGGAGGCTGAGGTGAGAGGATCGCTTGAACCTGGGAGTTGGAGGTTGCAGAGAGCCGAGATCGCACCACTGCACTCCAGCCTGGCAACAGAGTGAGACTAAGTCTCAAAAACAAACAAACAAACAAAAAGAATGACTCACCTATGCTTCTGATACACAGTTCCCATTTTTCAGAAATAAGAAAACATAAAGAGCCTGGACACCAAAGAACCTTCAAGAAAACCTCCAAGGACAGCAAGGCCTCACCTTTAGCAAGCAGTAGGATCCGGGTGTGACTTATGGGGCAGGTTGGACACAGAAAGAAAAACTTCCGTCAGTGGTGGATTTAATTTTTTCCCTATTTTTTTTGTTTTGTTTTGTTTTTCTCCTCCTGCCAAGGGATTAACGTATAGGTTCTTAAACAAGGGGATCCCCCACTTATAGCTGACAGCAGCAGCTGCAACCACTGACTCTCCTGCAGAATGGCAGGGAATCGAATCAAAAAGAAAAGCAAGTGGACAACCTTTCCTCCGGGAGCATGAAACACAATACCAGCCTTTCGCCAAACCCAGCAGACACCAGCCCTGATTGGAGGTTGCCTCGGAACAAAGGGAAATTGGTATTTAAAAAAAAATCTTCTGAAAGCCAACTCAGCAGATGGTTTTTTCCTGGGCTCCAGGAGAAGGGAGGGAAGGTGGGGGTAGGGGAAGGATGCTGGGATAACACAACTGCCACCAGGATACAGATGACTGAGAAGTGACAAAGATGGGCAAAGAGGGCTGACCTCTCACCCCAGAATTTCACAAAGGGCAATTACACCATGTGGTGGGTATCTGGACGCGCCCACTTCCAACCTGCAGCTGCTGTCCATCACAGCCACGTCTGGGGGCTTTATTAAGAGAAGAGGAGGAGAGAGGCCAGGGAATAAAAGGATATTGAAGGAAGTGATGGAAAAGTTTAATTAGCAACGATAGTTTGTTGGAAATCTACTATACAGTAGTTTTAAAAAAGAACACTTTCTATTTCCATTGCACTGTTAACATTTCAGAACTGTTTTATAGCCATTGGCTCAGATTATCTTCAGAATAATGTGAAAAGAAGAGTGACATTATGACTCCCTTATTAAATATGAGCAAACACAGATGGACTTGTTAAAGGCAGAACAGGGACTTGGACCCAGAACCCTTGACTGGGGAAACTGTTCCCCTCAGGCCTCAGGCTAGTCAGCGCTCATGGAATCTTATTTTGCAAGGGCCTCAGCTGAATCCCACATTCTCAGTCCAAACCAGGACACTTTAGAATACCCTGTAAATAACTTCTGGATTAAGTCACAGCGAGCCTATTATCCCACAGCCCTGTGCTGCTGCCAGCCCATCACTTCGTACCACGCCTCACTGCCGCTGTGACCTGCCCAGTGTTTTCTAGCAGGGATACGGCTATGGGCAGTCAAGAAAGGCGCTGTGGGTCTCCAGGATGAAGCTGCAGTGCTGGAGTTTACCCACAGCCAGGGCCAAGCAGCAGAAACAACCAGGTGAGTTTCAAGAGACTCAACTATTCTCTTCTTAAAGATGCCCCAGCAGGGCAAGGCAGGGTGGAATGTTTCGAAGATAGCTTCCACTGCTGGAAACCAGGAGACCTGAGGGTTTGAGTCCCAAACACCCCCCACCCCACCAACCTCAGTAATTAGCTGTAAGCTCAGGCAAGCCATTTAAACCCTCAGAGTCCTTTCCCCAGTTTATAAAACAGGGAGAAATAACAACTTTGCTTAACTATACGAAGAGCAAACCCAAAAGAAGGAACAGCTGGGCAGATGTGAGTACACTTTATCAAGGTGCTGGGCAGATGTGATTGTCCACACCATGCACTATCATCTGGATCACATATTTTGACAGTTACTTATTAAATACAGTGCCCTGGGTTTTTCCCTAAATGTCCTGAGATCAATACTTCTTAGCAACATCTTTCTATACCCTACACAGCACTTAGGCTGAAAACCCCATTAAACTCTGTAGGTACTTCTAGAATTAAGATGCTTCAGCTCTGTTACAGTATATCTGGATAGGAGAGCGCTCACACGTGCATGCGCACACACACACATACACACACCCCGAGAGACACAAGATTTCAGATGTTTCTAACTACCAATGCAAAATACACAGAGCTGACTAAGCAGGAGCTGTTTTGATATTAATAGAACAGAAGAGCTAAGGCCAGGTGCGGTGGCTCACGCCTGTAATCCCAGAACTTTGGGAGGCCAAGGCGGGCGGATCATCTGAGGTCAGGAGCTTGAGACCAGCCTGGCCAACGTGGCAAAACCCCATCTCTACTAAAAATACAAAATAAATTAGCCCGGTGTTGTGGCATGCACCTGTAGTCCCAGCTACTCAGGAGGCTGAGGCAGGAGAATCACTTGAACCTGGGAGGTGGAGGTTACAGTGAGCGGAAATCGTGCCACTGCACACCAGCCTGGGTGACAGAGCAAGACTCCTTCTCAAAAAAAAAAGGAGACCTAAGAAGAACTTGTTTAACATCTAGGCTGGAAAAATAAAAATAAGTGAATATTACATTAAAAGATACAATTCCTGTCCTCAGGGAGCTTACACCATAATTGAGAATAATAGACTTCACCTTTAACAACACACACTTAACAGCCCTTTCATTTAGATAAAGGAGGTCATTATATAAATGAGAAACCAGGTTCGGAGAAGGCAGATAGCCATCTAGAGATGTATCTCTACAGAATACATAGAAAAGGATTTCTGACTGAGTTGGGCAACTACATTTAAAAGTGCCTTGTTTCTGTGCCTTCTATGTAGTCACTAGACCCAAACCAGACCATCTGTATAACATTCGATTCACGTCTCTGCCCAGAACTGTGCACAAAGAGATGATAATAACGCAAACACCTGAATTTTAGCCTAGAGAATCGACTGACTATCGGATGTGATAATTTGTACAGCAAAAGTAGCATAAGACAATATTAGTTTGGCAGGTTTCCTTGACCTTGAGTTCAGTGTATATGAACAATGACATAGCTTCTAGAAAGCTGGTACAGCTTGGGGTCATGTTAATAGAGATACTGTGTCTAGAACAGAGGAGGTTACAATACCCTGGCATAATGCAGGGCCAGATCACCTCCCAGTATTGTACTCTATTCTGTGAGCTCTCCCACTTACACCTTTTAGAAGAGACACTGAAAAACTAGTATTCCCAGCACAGGAACCAGGGTGGTTTGGCACCAGGAAACCATGGAATACAAGGAACACTTTCAGGAACTGGAAATATCTAGGCTATAAAAGGGATGCCTAGTGCAATATAAGAAAGAGCTTTCTGAAACAAGGGCTGCCGCGAAAGGTGGCACGTCCCCCCCCGTGAAGGCCTTTGAGCAGCAGTCAAATAACTATGCCTTAGGGAGTTGGAAAGGGGTGTTTTGTTCCATTAAGGGGATGCTGAGGCCGGGCGCGGTGGCTCACACATGTAATCCCAGCACTTTGGGAGGCCGAGGTGGGAGGATCACGAGGTCAGAAGATCGAGACCATCCGGCTGACATGGTGAAACCCCGTCTCTACTAAAAATTCCAAAAATTAGCCAGGTGCAGTGGCAGGCGCCTGTAGTCCCAGCTGCTTGGGAGGCTGAGGCAGGAGAATGGCCTGAACCCGGTAGGCGGAGCTTGCAGTAAGCAGAGATCACACCACTGCCCTTCAGTCTGGGCGACAGAGCAAGACTCTGTATCAAAAAAAAAAAAAAAAAAAAAAAGAGGGATGCTGAAAGAGAAATGCTCAGAGGCTCTTCTAATTTCTAGCAATATCCACGATTTTGGAAGTGTGACTCAGTTGTGGACCTATGACTTTCTTTTGACACAGAGCTTCTGTTGTCAGCCTTCTCCTGCCTAATGACCAGATGCCTGATTCTCACCTGTGTCCTCAATGAATTCAACTTCTCATTCGAGGACCCTTTCTGGATCTCCCAATCTTGGCTTCCTTCATGATCCAATAGCACGCAAGCCCAATCAGAAACACTGCCCTGCCATTTATCTAAATGGTAGGAATCAAGCAGGAAGACTGGGTTAGTTCAGGAACCTGATGACACAGGAAGAATCACACACCCAAATAAGTTAGTTTCTACATAATGCTGCCCCCAAAGGATAAGAATGGAGAGATCATGGAGAGTCCCACTGTATACTACAAAACCCATGATCCACCATGAGGAGCTACTGCTTTAAGTTGGTTCTGCAGGGGTACTGTGTGTTGTAAAAAATGCTGAAATTCCTGAGCTGAGTTCTCATGAACAACACTAAACAAATGAAATAACTGGCCTGGCATAAAAGGCTGTCCACACTCCTGGGCAAGTTTATATTTGCAAATGATTGCTTCTTATTGGCAAGACATGGTGGGTGGCCCACCTGGAGGGACAGAGCTGCTCTCTATCTCCTTTTAAGAATTTCCTACCCACCCCCAACCTCCTATCCCCCACTGTGAAACTGGCTAGAAACTTGTGGGAGGCAAAGACGACCATCTGGTGGGGGAGGGAGGGAACCACAATAAACAAGGTCTAGAAAACACACCAAAGCAACCTGCATTTGATACTAATGATGATTATCAAATGGCCTCACAGGCCAGGTACTGAGGTGGGAACTGCTCAGACTTCTGAGAGTAAATAAAGGTCTCCATTGTTTCCCGTGTGAGGTCACAGGCTGGTGGGGAGGTGAGGGAAGTTGGCCCAGGGAAGAAGGGGCAGGCAGGGAGAAAAATACAACAACCTGGGAATTCAGAGAGAAATGCAGACTCAAGATATACAGGGAGGCCCTTGCCTTCATAGGGCGAGATCCACTGGGGTATTATGGAAAATGGTGAAGTGCCCTAGAGGTTGTGTAGTCAGCCCAGGCCGGTGGCCTGTAATCCCAGCACTTCAGGAGGCCGAAGCGGGAGGATTGCTTGAGGCCAGTTCAGGACCAGCCTGGGCAACATAGCAAGACCTATCTCTACCAAAAAAAAAAAAAAAAAAATTTAAAGATAAATCAGCTAGATGTGGTGGTGCACACCTGCAGTACTAGCTACTCAGTAGGCTGAGCTGAAAGGATCACTTGAGCCCAGGAGTTTGAGGCTGCAGTAAGCTATGGTTGTACAACTGCACTCCAGCCTGGGCAACAGAGCAAGACCCTGTTTTAAAAAAAGAAAAAAAAAAGCAACAAAGAAAGAAAGAAAGGGAGAGAGGGAAGGAGGGAGGGAGGGAGAAAGGAAGGAAGGAAGGAGAGGAAGAAAGGAAGGAAGGGAGGAAGGAAGGGAGAAAGGGAGGGAGGGAGGAAGGGAGAGAGGAAGGAAAAGAAGGAAGGAAGGAAGGAAGGAAGGAAGCAAACGAGCTGTGGGTCTCCCAGATGAAGCTGCAGTGCTGGAGTTTACCCACAGCCAGAGCCAAGCAGCAGAAACAATCAGGAGGGAGGGAGAGAGGGAGGGAGGCGGGAGGAGTAGGGGAGGGAGGGAGGAATGGGCGAGGGATGGAGGGAGGGTGGGAAAGAAAAGAAAAGAGAAAAAAGTTGCATAGTTCAAACCTCTTGCAATATAGGGCTCTGGGTGTTCCTGTTCAACGCACTCAGATGGCGGCCTCAGCTTGCACTCCCCCAGCAGCGGGGGCTCACTGATCCACCAGTTAATATATAATTCAGCCTCAGGCAGACTTCATACGACGTGGCGTGGCTAAAAATCAGTGAAGGTGTTTGCATGTTGTGTCTGTCTGTATGCCTCTTGAGGACCTGGGTCTACTTAACTCCTGCCCTCCTCTCTGGCAGCCTCTTCCTCTGGCCACTGATGGCTCCATAGGGGAGTGATCAGAGCCTTAGTGCCAACCTTCCAAGTCAAGTCACTCTGAGGACCATGCTGTTGAAACACTTTCCCCAAAACAGTTTGGCTGTGTGCAAAGTATAACACAAATTTTTAGTTTATTGCAGATATTAGAAACTTCCTGGCTGGGTGCGGTCATTCACTCCTGTAATCCCAGTACTTTGGGAGGCTGAGGTGGGCAGATCACGAGGTCAGGAGTTCGAGCCCAGCCTGGCCAACATAGTGAAACCTCGTCTCTACTAAAAATACAAAAGTTAGCCGCATGTGGTGGCATGGGCCTGTAGTCCCAGCTACTTGGGAGGCTGAGGCAGGAGAATTGCTTCAACCTGGAAGGCAGAAATTGTAGTGAGCCAAAAACCTGCCATTGAACTCCAGCCTGGGTGACAGAATGAGACTCCATCTCAAAAAAAAAAAAAAAAAAACTCCTAAAATGCATGGCTTCAAGGCCTTGTGCTGTGTATTTTCTATATTTAATGTTATCAGGAACCTGAACCAAGGCCTCAGACTCTGAGACCCCACCCTGTGTTCTCCACCTTGACTATCCTTAGCGGTTCCCAGTAACTTTCTGAACAAAGCCACTTGTGTCTAATAAACAAGCAAAGCAGGTGAGGGATGTCCTGGGATGTGCTGCATTTTGTAGCTTGAAGGTAGGATGTTTTTAACTTAAACTTGCAGGAATCAGAAAAGTCAAAGATGTGGTAGGAAAAGGCAAAAACGGATTGTTTCTCTTGCCTTTTATTAAAAAGAAAAAAAGGAAATATAACTGCGGGTCAACTAGCAATGTAGCAATGAGAGGACTTTTTGAGGATGTAAAATTGCAACGATGAGGAAGAGGGGCCGACTTTGCAAATGCTGGAAGAGTAGCAGCCGCCAGCTGAACCCCACTTGATGGTTCCTTTGACACTGCTTTGAAACTTTCATTTTGAGTCATCCTTTGTGCTCAGCAGTAATCCCGGTTTGGCAGATAAATGACCACAGAGATAAAAGACCTTTGAACTATCTCTAAATAAATCCGTATAGCAATTCCTACCACCAACACCAAAAAAAAAAAAAAAAAAAATCATTAGTGATATGCTCAACTAATAGAAGTTTCTCCAGGCATCAGACATCAGGCACTGGTGCTGCCCCCCAGCTAACATAATTCAACACAGCCCAGGCCTCCCAAGTGCCCAGCACCACTGCAGATCACTGTGTGCCCACTCTGTGCCTCAACTAAGGAAGCTCCTATGGATGGTCCGCAGGGAGAGATGCCAAACAGCAATGAGAGCAGGACATACTAAGCAAAGGGCTGTCCTAAGTGTCCAACGGACAACTTCAACCTCACCACAGTGACATCAACAAGGAGGGGCTGCTGTTATCCCTGATTTTCCAACTGTCAGGAAACGTTTCAAGAGGTTAAGTCTTGCCTAAGATTATGCAGGCTGTCTCTGTCCAGAGGCAGAGAGACCATGTTCCTGGAATCAGGGTATCTGAGTTCTAATCCACTTCCAGAGTGGAGGCTCTTTCTAATAGACCCTGTACTCCTCATCTAGAATTTCACATACAGAGCACACCAGCCATGCTTCAGAGAATAAATGACTTTCTGTCTGAACAGAACACAGTTTTTGCTGGTTACTCTGCCAGATGCATTTTCAATGGCATAGAATTCACCAAAAAACCTTCCTTGGGGGGGTCCAAAGAGAAAAAAACAAACAAGAGAACACCAAACCAGGAGGAAACAGCCAAGCTACATGTTTTAAACCCCCAGAGAATCCCAAACACAGGAAGAAAAAAAGAGAAAAATAGAAGACGGGGTTGAGGGATAACCAAATATTCCCAAAATATATTTACGGAACACGAGTTTGGTAAATCACCACATTTTAAGCTCAACTCTGACCCTTGCTCCCATGATTTTAGATCTTTTGACATTTCGGGCTAAAAGGAAACAATTTGATGACGGAACAGTGGGTCCAAACAGAGGTCAAAAATCTGTTTATAGTAATGAGCGTTCTTAAAGAGAAACACTTGCCCTGCTGATGAAACAGAATGGCCCTTAAAGTTTCTAGATTATAGAACAGAAACAAGACCTCAGAGGGAAAATGCTGCTTTGTTTTTCTTCTTCATCTTTTTCTTTTCTTTTCTTTTCTTTTCTTTTTTTTGAACATGTAGAAGCTGAGAAGCAGGGAGGTAAAGTATGCTGGCCGAATGTGATTGTGAGTCACAGAGGCAGAGCCGGTGCCCAGGGCTCCCCATCTCCAAGGCCAAGGTTCTTTCCCTCACACTTTCAGCTGACATGTCCAATGCTCCCTGCTGCCCTGCAGAAAAGGTCGTTCCCCACCTTCCCTGCTGCTTTAGCTACAACATAATCAGAGAGAAATCTATCAGGAAACAAAATTTCCAGGCATTCTAATGAATACATAGAAATGTGGTACTTAAAAATGTTTTTAAATCTCAGGAGACAAAAACTAAAATGAAACAAGAGGGGAAATTCAACCTCTTGTGTAGAAATGCTATGGAGACCTCATCTCCAAGTCAGGATGAGGGTGTTGTGGAGGAAGAAGCTCATACTCCCAGGAGTTTGAAACACCACATTCCCACCCCCAGAAGAAGAGAGGCCAAGTCTTCTGTAAAGCAGTACACTTGGGAGTGACCAGAGAAAGTGCTGACAAAATAGGATGGCAAGGGAAGGACACTTGAACCACCAGGAGGGTAGAAGGCTCTCTGAGCCACCCACTTGTGTGGAGGAGAAGAAAACCATGGGTGCAGCAGCCAGAGGTTAGGCAACCTGCACCCTTGGCAAAGCAAGCCACCCCTCACCCTCTGCCAAACACCTCCTCTCATAGACCCCTCCTCACCCACGTGTAAACGAAATTGCTACAACCATTAAAGGTCAAGAGAGAAATGTGCTTCTCAGGACATGCCAGGAAAAGGGAAGAACCCTAGACCAATCTCTCCTTGCTGAAAACTGTGTTACCAAAAGGCTCCCCTTTCATGTCTCCCATTTTAAGCTCCTCTACACAGAGTCACTCTCAGCAAGTTCCCCAGCACCCCTGCAACCGTTCCTTCTCCCTGATTCAAAGCCCTGTGAGCACCCCTGCTACTTACAGAATTAAATCCAAACTCGTTTATTTGACATTCATTGCTCTCTGCAATCTAATGCCAACCTCTCTTCCCATCAACAACACCTAAGAAACTTTTTTCCTATCCATACTTTGTGTGTTTGCTCTTTGTGTAAGGAGGAAATAAGTGCATGATTTATTTGGCTTCTCAAAAGCAGATTGTGAATGCTCAGGACGGAATACAAGAGTCTTTCCCTAGGCATATGATGACGGTCTAGACCAAGACAAATCCTGAATGTGCTTCTAGGACCATGGCAGGCACCTGATGGGTATAAGGTTGAAGTCCTTGCAACAGGAGGAAATAAGATCTCCCAATAGAACTGGAGAGGAGGAAAAATTAAATCCAAAGAAATGAAATAGAAGTTGTATTTTTGTCAAAAGCAAATAAAATTTGTAAGTACAATGAATAAAAAAATAGGGCTTTAACTAGTGAGCTTTGAACACTCTCTCAAAACCATGGAAAACTTAGAATTAGGGAAAATGTGGCAGATTATGCTTGTGCCACCCCAGCTATATGAGAAAGTATGGAAAAAACACTCTAGTGATCCTCACCTTTCAGAAATCCTTTACTTTTATAGGGTGTGGCAACTAAGGGACTGGAATACACATTTGCTTGGAGTCTAATAGAATTGGCTTCATAGGAAAACCTCGCCCCTTCCAGCTCCTCCTCCTTTGAAGCAATCTGAGCCTCAAGTTCCTGTAAATAAATAAGATCTGCCTGGCAGCATTGTTATGAGGACTAACAGATAAGGTGAGTAATGTAAAACAGTTAGCAGAGGGTCTGCCATGTAGCTCAAGAAATCAAAGTTATTATGATGATGTTTGCTCTGTAAATTATCCATTTTCTTCTAAAATCTTCCTCTGAGTTATATCATGTAGAAATCATCACCTGTATTTGGCAGGTGAGGAAACTAGGGCTTCAGCAAATTCATACTGCAGATCCAGATTCACAAAGCTGCTTGGTGTCAGACTATCACACCACATCTCCTACCCTGAGTCACTGTATGGCATCCATTTGGAACTCCCATGCCCTTATCTTGCTGTTGAATCTAGACAGGTGTCCCTGACTCCCAACATCCTCACGAAAGAGAAGAGCTGCTAAGCCTTGCCCAGCTTGGAAACTCTTCAAAACCCTGTCACTACTGGAATTTTTTTTTTTTTTTTTTTTTTTTTTTTTTTTTTTGAGATTGAGTCTCATTCTGTCACCCAAAAAGGCTGGAGGGCAGTGGCACCATCTCGGCTCACTGCAACCTCCACCTCTTGGGTTCAAGCGATTCTCCTGCCTCAGCCTCCCAAGATGCTGGGATTATAGGCATTCACCACCCCATGCCTGGCTAATTTTTGTATTTTTAGTAGAGATGGGGTTTTGCTACGTTGGGCAGGCTGATCTCGAACTCCTGATCTCAAGTGATCCACCCACCTCAGCCTCCCAAAGTGCTGAGATTACAGGCAGGAGCCACTGTGCCCAGCACTACTGGAACATTCTTCCAGAGACTCATCTTCATGGTCTCTGTTGTTTTAATCTAATCACCTAGAAGCAAACCTGAGGAAGTGTAAGTTATTAAGTCACTTACCTGAGTAAGTTTAAGTTGCAACCACGTTGGTCCCATGATAAAGAACAAGTTACATGTGTGGGGTCCATCTGCAAAATTAGACCTGTCCAAAGGAGAGTTCAGAGGCCCCGAAGTAGCTTCTGAGCTCTCCCCTCAGCCTCTACTTCCTACCAAATGCTGCTTTCACACCTCATGTAAAGCATGTAAATCCATCATAGGCCCTCTCCCAAATAGCATCTCAATTCCTATCCTAGTTTTATATGAAAGAGAAAAGAGACTTCTATCCTGGTTAGAAGAGTCCGTGCATCCTTGAGCCAGGGAGGTAGTACTTCCATGGGCTCCTCCTCACAACTTACCACTTAAGTGGTGATGTTCCCTGACGATCTATAATCCTTCTCCAGTTTGGAGAGTTAGCCCTAGGTTTAAAATTTGGAACAAGGCTGTTGACGATGCTACACATATATGCCTTCATCCCAAAGCAGTGGACCATGTATAACTAGAGTTAACATCACAGAGAACTAGCCTATGATATGTAAGTCATGCTACCCGTATCACACAGAGCTTTCTTTTCAAACACCAATGAAAACGAAAATCATTTGGGATCCCATATAAGCTGTCTTTGCCTGGAGCTGTCAAGCAATGACTTCAGCAAAATTAACTGGTTCACTTAAATAACAACAACAAAAAGCAGCACATAATATAACACCTAATTCCCCCCAGCCTCCAAACTTGGAGGCTGAATTATTAAAGCAAAACAAAATAAAACAAAACCTTTATTATCCTGAAACTCTATGTCCTTACCCTAAGTTAAGGATCAATGCACATTTTTTGTAAGGATCAGAGAGTAAATAGTTGAATCTTTGAAGGTCATAGTACCTCTGTCACAACAACTCAACTCTGCCACTATAAGAAAAAGCAGTCAGAGTCAAAACATAAACAAATGAACTTGGCTGTGTTCCAATAAAACTTTATTTATAAACACTGAAATTTAAATTTCATATGCCTCACATATTACAAAATATTATTATTCTTTTGATGTTTTCCCAACCTTTTAAAAATGTAAAAAACATTATTTGCTCAGGGGCAATACAAAAACAGGCAGGAGGCTGGATTTGGCCCACAGGCTACAGTTTGCCAACCCCAGCTCAAAGTCAGCACATATATTCAGATGACTCCCTAGTAGGAATCACTAGCAGCTCAAAGTCAGCACATATATTCAGGTGACTCCCTAGTAGGAATCACTAGCAGCTCAAAGATCAGCTTAACAGGGCTTCCTTTCTAGCTCCTAGTGTAGGACCTGCTTCCCAGAGGCCACTCCATGTCCACTGCTTCAAAGAGTGGTACAACTTATAAAAATAGATCCAGAAGGTGATTTCAGGATTAGATGCTGGTGTGTTGCTTACGAAATCTCATCCTCATCCATTCTGAGCCAAATTACTGATCACATATTTCTCATTCATACAAATAAGTAAATTCTGCAAGTTTATGCCACTAAACTTTTCCACACACATAGTAGGCAAGGTTTCTACATCTCACCCTCAGCTTTAGCCTTTGCTTACTCTCTGGTTGCAAAACAGCAGGAATTAAGGGTAATAAAGTTAACATTCTCATCCCATAGAGATCAGAGGATGTTCCTGTCATCTATCAAGTAATTGAGACTCAGTGATGATAGCTGTATTAATTCATTTCTGGAAAGTAACAGTGCTAGGCATAAATAAATGTAAGAAGGGTGGAGAAGTACCATATGAAGCAAGCTTCTAACAATTAAAAAGTTTTCAAGGGTATTCCCATCACAGTGTCATCATAAAGAGCACTGTGCATTGAATTTCAGCCCTTCTTCTTCCTCTCTGTCCCCTCCAGTTGCTGAGGCATAAAAATGCTTACTTGGCAAATCACATATTCAAATAAGCAATTTTATTTCTTTCCCATAAAGTCCACAAAGAGCATCCAGCTTCTTGGGTGAAAATGACCAGCCTGAGAACTTCAGATATGAGCACCAAAGTCCACTGCACATTTCAGCTTTGAAATCATCCCGATGGTACAGATTCCAAAACATTATTCTGGTGTGTTCCAATGGGGAGAAAGCTATATTTGGGAACAATCAGTGGCTTTAGGAAAAGTGGTACCTAATCAGGACAATGTATTCTCTTTTTAGGGCAGCGAATTTGGGTTTGAACTCCCAAAACTGTGGGTTGCTGCTTAAATCCTGGCAGTGAAGGTGATGGAGACAAAGGGTAACCATTACTCAAGACAACCCACCCACACAAAAATACAACAACACACAAAGAACTGGCCAACTCAATGGCCAGAAACAAAGATACTCATTTTCATATCTTAAGAGACCCAACTCCAATGCAAAGCCTCACTTTCAGAGCCTGATTTGAACTGTTGCATTTTCTTGCATGAATCTCAGAAGTTTCTGTATGTGTGGAGATTAAACCTTTGGTTTCACGACAGAGTATCCAGAAATCACTGCAAAGTTGTAATGGGGGAGGAGAGAGCACAACCTCTATGTTCTGGCAAAACAAACCAATTTCTAAAAGTTCCTTTGTCTTCCAAAATGTTAAACTAAGGTGACCAATCGTCCCAGTTTGCTAGGAACTGGGGCAATTCCTGGATGCAGAATTTTCAGTCTTGAAACCAGGACAGATTTTTTGGGCAAACTGTGAGGAGTCAGTCACCCTAGAAAGTCTCTTCTAGCCAGTTCTTTGGATTTTAAATGCAACAAAATCAGCCACAACACCCGGTATAAGGATGGACACAAGCCCTGTGCTAAAGAAATAATATGATTCCTAGTGGTTTTATTGAAAATAACTGCCCCAAAGCTAAAAAAAAAAAAAAAAAAAAAAAAAAAAAAAAAAAAAAAAAAAAAACCTAATGGTAACAGAAATGCTATGGAATATCTTCGGGCTATAAAGAAAAGAAGTTCATTCATTTGTGCCATTTTTAGCTGATCCACATATCTAGAGCCCAAATAATTGATCAAATGTCAGGGAGAGAGTGACAAAGATTATGATTAACACCTACAACCTAGAACCCCAAAACTCTGTCAACAAAAGGGCTTCTTCTAGAGCCATCTCCAAGTCCCAAAGATTTTCGAAGACAAAAACTTACTATACCAAGGCAGTCCTCTGCTATCACAGCTGAGTGCCACACACAGGAAGGGAGGTCACTGTAAGTCACTGTAACCCCCTAGGATATAAAATAAATTCAATGAAATATGAACTCATTCATTCCCAACCAATTGACACCACCAACCACCTGTCTAGCTACTTTGCACATCCATGTTTGACTTTTAGGAGGAAAATGACAACTAACCAAGTTGAGTCAATGTCCAATCTTAAAAGTCCGTGATGTGTTGGACAGAGATTCAGGCCAATCACTTGCCCCCTTTCTTGTTTTTCTACAGTTCCAGTTCTAATGCTCATCACTGGCTTTCACAATGATGATTTTTCAGCTCTGTGAGAGTCTCAGTTACTACAAAGACTGGGTTTCCTTAGTCAGGTGAGTAATTCATCTTAGGAAGATTTACAGTAGTAATGACTGAAATCAAAAGGAGATTTTAACAATTCTTGACTGTTCTGATTAACTCAAATTTTTTAATATCTCACTCCTAACTATGAAAACTAATGCAAACAAAGAAAAAAATACTAAAAAGTTTGTTATGGCTTAGCTGACCCAGACACTTGGCTGTTATACAATAAACAGGAACTTTCCAAAATTACAATTCTATAGCTATTTTTTGTCAGATATGCAGAAGATATGATAAAGAACTAGACATTATACCAAGATTATAGCAGAGGTGTTTCTTCTTGAGTCTCTAAATATTCCATCAAGGAGATTGGTAATTAACGAGTAGATAAGTACAGATGACACTTGAACAACACGGGCTTGAACTTCAAGAGTCCACTTATATGAAGATTTTCTTCTGCCTCTGCCACCCCTGAGATAACAAGACCAACCCTTCCTCTTCTTCCTCATCCTCAGCCTACCCACCATGAAGACGATGAGGATGAAGACCTTTATGATGGTGCACTTCCACTTAATAAATAGCAAATATATTTTTTCTTCTTTTTGATTTTCTTAAGATCGTTTTCTCTAGCTTAATTCTGGAAAGAATACAGTATATAATACATATAATATATAAAATAAGTGTTAATCAACTGATAATACTACCAGTAAGGCTTCCGGTCAACAGTAAGCTATTAGTAGTTAAGTTTTGGGGGAAGTCAAAAGTTACACACAGATTTAACTGTGCAGGGGTCTGAATCCCCAACCCCACGTTGTTCTAGAGTCAAATATAATATATAAATAGACCCTAAGAAGTTGAGGATAAAATGGCAAAAACAGAGAAACAAACAAAAACAACCATAAGACAGGGCTTCCTACCTTCTTTTTGGAGTGGCTTCTTTCTTCCTCCTTCGTGGCTTTGCTATTTTTTCCAGCACGGGACACCTTCTGGTCCCCAGACTGCTTGATGGTGATCTTGATCTCAGGTGGACATATATAGTTCTCCAAATTCTTTGGGGGTTTCTTAGCCCGCTTTGTGGTCTGAATCTTTAGCTTCAGACTTCCCTCTGTGAAGTTTGCCTCCTTGATAGAAAATTCCTGCTCTTCCAAACCATCTCCTGCCACCCATTTCTCACTGTCCGCGTTGGAGTTGGAATCCACATCCCGCCCTGAGCCTAGTTCATCCTCCTCCTCTGGCTCCATGCGCTCTCCGCCCACCGGGATCCCCTTCCCAGGTCCTGGAGTGGAGAGCAAAGGTTCTCCTGCACAGCCAGGAGCAGCTGGGGGCTTGGCTGAGGAGACCGGCAGGAAGTCTGACTCGCCCCCTCTTTGCCGGGAGCTGCTTAAGGTTTCCCTGGACTCCATGACAATCTCTACAGTCTTCCGGAGTTCTCAGGAGGGGGAAGGGGAAAAGGGAAAAGGGAAAGGTGAGAAAAGAGGACACCCAAAATTCCAAGAACAAAGTGGTCCAGTTGCTAGGGTCAGATTCCCAGGGATGGAGACACGATGAGGTGTTCAGAAGAGATCAGATCTGCAACTGAGAAGCAAAGAGACAGTTAGGCATGGCAGAAAGGAAAATGACCCCCAAGGTTACTCAATCTAAGTTCCAGAGGCCCCCTTCCACGTATCTATGGCATCCGGAAAAAAGAAATGATGGAAAAACAGCTAACCAGAATAAGCACATCCCCAAATTGGATTTTACTAGAGCAGAGGGAAAAACACATTCACACACGCCTTCATAATGGATTGCTATTAATTTTATAGCTGTAGGCCCAAGAATAAAGATAAGAGGTGCGAGTTCTCCAGCCCGGTAGCAAGCTAGAGGTTTCTTTATACTGAAGCTTCAGCTGGCTGAGTCACTGTTAAAACCAATCATGACGAAAGGGAAGTCTGAAGTGTTGAGGCTCAGGTCTGCTGGAACTGTATTTGGTTGGCTTTTTGCACCGCTTCTCTGTCACATGTGAAGAACAGTTTGCAAAGCTGAGCACAACCCCCAGGCTGCCTGGGCCAAGCTCTCCACCCACTTGGAGGAGGGGCATTCAGCCTATCTCTTAACCATTTTACCTTTATCATTTTTCACTATGCATTATTTCAATTATGCAAAGACCTCTCTATTTCTTCAAGCAAATGCAAAGCTTAGGTTTGAGGCACACAAAAAGAAAATAAAAAGAGTTCAGTGGCAAATCACTTATAACACTGTGATTAATGGAAAACAACTTCAACAAATGTTTCTACTGACACAAAAGAGAGAAATTTAATCATTATCAATTATTTAGATTAAAAATAGCCTTTCTAGACAGTTGTAATTCCCTTTCTGGTTTCTTAAATGAAGTAGTATTGTGTCTCCATAGCAGCAAAAGAGAAAAAGGGAGAGAAGGAGCATTTTATAGGCCTGTGGAAGTGTCAGGAGTCCCCCCAGGATCTTCCTCTCTACCTTCCTCCAAGATGAGAAGAGAAAAATCAGTTAGGCTCTCTCCAAACTGTCACAGGATCAGCTAAACTCTCCTTCACCCTTCTTCACCCCACGTTCTATTATTCCCAATTTCATACTCATAATTTTCAAAGCCCAAAAGGAAGCCCAAACGCTCAGTCTCAGGAGAAAACCAAGAGCCCTGGGGCTGCAAACATCACATCCTCCCACCCTTAGGCTGTACGCTGGATCACACTCAAGCTTTCTCAGCTGCTGAACACTTAAGTTTCCCAGCAGAAGACATGACTGTACATCTTAGGTTTCTACCTCTGAGCCCATCAATTTAAAGTGGCTGGCAAATGTGCCCACCAAAAAATGCCCAACGATGCCTGCAAAGACATATTCAGAATAACCAAGAACTGGAAGCCTGAAGACCAGACGTTTGTCTTCTGTCTCCAGAATCAGCACATTTTTAGCTGACGCCCTGTGAGGAAGCCAGCCAGGAAGGCAGCCCCGGCTCCAACACGGACCCTGCTCCCCAGAGAAGCCCAGGAGCATATTCAGCTACTGGAAAATGCTCAGCTTTGCAGAAAGACACATTTACAACTGCTTCCACTTCGGGGAAGATTCAACGAATACAGCTTTTCTGAAAAAGAAGAAGCTGCCCTAGTGAGAGCATGAGCATCTTCACTGACACTGTTGAGCCAAAACTGAAAACAGCCACCTGTGACCCATGCTACAAGATGGACAAAGTCTCCACTTTGGGAGGTGGGGAGAAGTTAGACCAGATGACACTTGATGTTTCTTTTACTGATAAGATTTTTTGTCTCATCTAGATTTATCTGCCCAATAATACACATTATTTTTAAAAAGTTATACTCAAGTTGACTTTACGGAGGCCTCTCTTACTAGTGTCAGGCACCACCCCAGCTGTTGGAGACATCAATGTACCTTAGGAAATTTCCCCATTTGTCAAGCGGTAAGAATCCAGTAGGTCTTTCTCAGTGTGTATCCCAGATCCATGCAAATTGCAAGCCATGTTTTCTTATGGCAGTAATGTTCACAGTCTATTCCCTTTGGCAGGAATCTCCAACGACATTTTAATTCTCTAATACCTACCTATAAAATCTCCCCAGGTCAGGAGAAAAGACAAAGCATATACATACAAATTTCCTAAATGAAATCCATTTGGACCTTTGAACCAGAGTAGGGAAATGTATGTTACAGATTCTGTGATACAATAAAAGAAGGTGAACTCTAAACTTTAGATGAATTGATGGGCTTATACACTGAATATATTATTAATATTAAGAAAATATCTTCCATTAAAAAAAGATTCACTTCAGAGTGAAATAAATGAAACAATCATTTCTTACATTTTACTACGTGTACAAGACAAAGTTCTGAAACTTAAAATTCAAGTCATAAAAGATCCACACAAAAAAAATTCAATACAAAAAATTTTTTTCTGTTCTCAAATCAAAATACTAAGGAAAACACAATCTTTTTCCTCAAGGAAGTTACACTTTTGATGAGAGATTTGACAAATCACTCTAAAACAACACAGAACTTTATATGTACTGTAAGAAAGGACAGAATCAAAAGGAAGAAAGTTTTCTCCACTTGAGCAAGGTGTAGGTAGCTAGGAAACTACACAGAAAGGCTTTGAGGAGAGCAGAAGACAGATCTTTGATCTTGATGGGGGTTTCCTAGGTAGAGCAGGAAGAAGGAAGACGTAGCAGAGAAAGGGAAGACGTGAGGCCACGTCCTGGGCAGGCGTGTGCAGGATTATGCAGAAGAAACAGGGAATTGATGTTTGGCTAGGAAGTATGGTAGAAACTGGGAATCTATGAGAGGTGAGGCTGGAAATAAAAGGTCATGGCAAAGTCATGAACTTCCTTGAATGTTGTGCTAACGAGTTTGGATTTTATCTTACAGGTAATGGGAAGCCATTTAAGGAATGGCAGTGGAGAAGGAATAATATCAAATCTAAGCTTTAGGAAGATAATTCTGGTACATGGTGTGAGGGTTGGATTAAGGGAATCTGATGTTAGAGGCAGGGGGCCATAAGAAAGTTCAGCTGAAATTTCATTCACATTGCTTGAAGACCCAAACCAGGGCAATGTGAGTATGTCATAATAAATACTGTAGGTAAAACAGTAATGCAGTTTCAAATAGCCTTAATCTTTAGGAATTCATCTATTCCAGACTTTTCATACTGATCTCGCCTTAAAAGACCAAAGCAAATTAGCCACCAACTTGCAGTAACTACTCAAGTCAAACCAGTCTCCACAGCAATGTTATACATAGTTCTTTCTGTATTTTTTAAAATACACAGAATCTGTTCTTATATCCACTTCCTCTCATCCTTGCAATGCCGGCCATGCAATTGGTGTTCCCCAAATGTTTGTTGCACGAAGGAATGAATAAACAAATGAATAAAAAGATCCCAAGCCTTTCCATATTTCCAGATCATCCCCAAGTCTTCAATTCTCCATGGCAACATTCTGTAAACTCCAGACCGTGGTGCTCACTCCTTGGCCGGACTGACATTGCACCCAGCTGTATAGTTCGCCACTAAATACCAGCCTTGTATTGTCTTCTAGCTGTTCTGGGCATATAAATCTTATTTCTCTAACATGATTGCAGCTCAGCCTCAGGTTGAGCCTAACTGTAGTTGTATAATGCTGACATTACCTATAGCATCCATTGCAGGACTGGGTGCTTGGAGGATTTCAAGGTTTTTCTGAATGAAAATGGCTTCGCCCTCTGACAGCTATTCAAAGTCGTGTAGTTCAAATTACTCCCACTGCAGCTCCACCCACCCAGGCAGCAGCCCCAGCCAAATTTGCTGCCTATCCTGAGGATTATAATCCAGCCCCTGGTGTCCATATGTGACCCTCATCTTAGACAAATAAAATAAAATAAGTTTTCAAAAGAAACAGCAAAGAAACCTAACCTGTCTGTTTACTTCATCAGCACACAAAGCTGTTGTTCTCCTTTAGCTTCCTTCCCAGCACGTACCTGCCTCCCCAAATTCACAGCTCAATTTTTTGGTGAGTCTGGGTATCAACTGCGAGTCCTCTTGTGATTCAGCCCTGCCAAAATGCGCGTGTGAGCACACGCACAGGCTCACGCACTCAGAGTTGGGGAAGCCAAGGCAAGGTAAAAATGTTTTGCCTTGTCACATTCCAGCAGTCAGTGACTCCTCCTGAGGGGGCGGGCACACAATGGACACTCTGTACTTGGCTCAGGCCTTCAGTCCAACAAAAGTTAACTCTTCTATGACTGCCTGCAGGACTTGGGCAGGGGCGGCAGTGGGGGCTGGGAGTGGAGGAGGATTGGAAAGATAAAATTGCTTAGGAGATAACAGCCTTGTCGGCCCCAGGCAAACAAAAGGGCAAGGAAAAGAAACAGATGTATTTAGAAAGAATACTGAGATAGGAGTCCAAAACTTTGTCTTTATTCCTAGCTCTGCTGTTCACAGGCAGTCAGATGCTAGACAAGCCACTATGAGTCTTTTACCCACACTTTGTGGATCTCTTATGACCCACACTTGCCTTAGCAATGAATGGGTTGGGACGAAAGTCTGTTTCATACTTAACACTTTGTAATTTTGCCCTGCAGAGCCATAGACCTATGGGTACACTCCAAAATGAACAGCATGAACCTAAAGAATTATTTCTCTGAATGGCCAGGGGAATCCTGCTTGGCTAGATGTGACTTATACCCAAATAAGTTCCAGAGTACATCCTCCCTCCCCTCCAAAACTGCTAGATAGAATATTTTTCCTAGTCTAAAATACATTCTCCAACTGGGAATTCTTACTTATTCTGAAGCCTGGTGGAAATGCAAGTTCTCGAGCTCTACTTACTGAATCAGGGCTCCAGAGCTGGGACCCAACACGCCAGCTTTTACCAAGCCCTCTCAGTGGTTCTGATGGCCTAGAGTCAGAACCAGTGCCTTAGACTGTGCCTGGTCTATATGATTACCCCTGTCAAGTTGCTAGATCATAGGTATTATTATTGAGTACATGAGGGTATTTCTCCCTTACAGCAGTATTGTGAGTCTCTTGGGAACAGGCAGGACTTGTGTCGTATTCATCCACAAAATCCTAACACCTAGCACCATGGCCAACACATAATCAACACTCAAGAAATGCTGGATGGCTGAATTAACAAGTGAACAAAGCAACTCAAGCTGGGCTTCCCAGCATCATTTATTCACCTCCCTCTTCTGCTTTGCCCAGGTGCCATGCACATACAGGCCATTGTCATCCTGACTGTTGCTTTCCAAAAGGACAAGGTGGTAGAGATAGGGCCCTTAGTATATTCAACAGGAGTCAAAAGAAATGAATTCCTGGCCTAGTTCTGCCACTTAGGAGCCTTCATAAGCCTCTTTCAGCCTCAGTGTCTCATCAATGAACAGAAAAAAAAAAAAAAGGTGGTTTCCCAGCCTACTTCACTAGCTTATTATTTTTACTTTTTAAAAAAATTTTACTGTATTTCTTGGTAGTAGAACTCCATGCTCCTTATTACAAAATAAACACATGAACAACACGTGCACCTCTCAGGTCTTAAAGGCAAACAATCCCAAACACAGGAAGAGTACTCGGCTTCATTCCTGAACTTTTGCAAACTTCCCCAAGCTCTTCATCCTCAGTCCTCCCTCGGCTCTGGACTCTGCAAATTCCCATACCACAAGGCATTTCTTTCATCTTCACACGTAAAACACACTGGGCTGACCAGATAATTCTCAGGCTAGAACTTTTTGCCTCAAAATTTTGTAGCATGTCTTTCAGCATTTAAACTAATGAAGGGAAAACAGAGGCTGGCCTGATTTGGTTTCCTCTTTAGGCAACTTGCTTTATGTGTTTATAATTGAAGACTTTCTTTTTCATTATGTTAGAATTTTATTAATGACAAAATGAGTGTAGTGTGGAGCTCTCTCCCTTTAATTTTCCTGGAACATAATGAGCCTTTTGGATCTGTAGATGCAGGTTCTTTCTAGTTCAGGAATGTTCCCTTCAATTATTCCTTTGGTAATTTCTTCCATTAAATGGTTCTGGCTTCTTTCGAAGTTTTTCCTGTAATTCTGAGTTTAGAGCTCTCATCTCTGTTCTCCATTTCTATCATTTTCTCTCTCACTGCTTTTCTTTCCTTCTTTTGCCTTGTGGGAGAGCATACCCCAATCTGTTCTCCATAATACCAATTTGATTCTATTTTCCATGCCCCCTTTGCCTTTATTGACTTCACTGTGGATTTTTTTTTAATTCTGCAATTGCACATTTTGTATCCCTGCAATCTTTCTTTACTTTATGCATCCACTTTTCAGCTGATTCTGATGTCTTTTCATCAGCATGCTCCGTCCTTGTTTCTTAATGCTCCTTTTCCATGGGTCATACTTCTTGTCAAAGATGCCAGGTAGCTTTCTGAAACTCTAATGTTGCTGTTGGATTAACTAATTTTCCTGATATTGTTCCTTTTACCTTGTTTTAAGTGTTTCTTCCACCTCAGGAGGGCTTGTGTTGGGTTCTGTTTCTTTGCTCACACTCTGATGAGGAGAGAGCCTGGCCTACAGAGGAAGTACTGGACTACCTTCTACCCATTGTGAAGCCAGTCACATCCTCCTCTTCGAGCTACTCCTCTTACCAGAGACCATATCAAGTTCTAGTGAACAGTAACCAGGGATGCAATGAAGCTAGTGCCTATGGGTTCATAAGAGCCCACTGTGTGTATCTCTCCCCAACTCCACATTCAGTGGCATTAAGTTGGTAGCTTAAAATGCAGCCATGGAGTGCGGTGGCGCATGTCTGTAATCCCAGCACTTTGGGAGGCTGAAGTGGGCAGATCACCTGAGGTCAGGAGTTCGAGACCAGCCTGGCCAACATGGCTAAACCCCATCTCTACTAAAAACACAAAAATTAGTCGGGCGTGGTGGCATGCACCTGTAATCCCAGCTACTCAGGAGGCTGAGGCAGAAGAATCACTTGAACCCAGGAGGCTCAGGTTGCAGAGAGCCGAGATCGCACCACTGCACTCCAGCCTGGGCAAGGGAGCTCAGCCATGGTGGGAGTGTTTACACCATAAGAACGAGCAAACTTTACAAGTCAGTGCTTTTAAAAAATCTGGAAAACAGGGTGTTAAGCATATACTAGAACACCACTGAGAGTAAACATCCATCTACTATTGTTTTGCTGAACTGAGAAAAGTCTTTTCTGTTGGATTCACAAAAACAGCTGAACAGCTAAACTTCACAATATGCTCTATGACAAAGACTCCATGCTCACCTCAGAACTTTACTTGAAGCAACATCTCTGCCCAGAAGTCAATGCCCTTCTTCCACTCCTCCCAGAACTCCCCTTCCCACTCTTGCCCATTTGTCTTCTGAGAGCTATAGTCTTTGAGAATATGCATAATGATGTCAGGGAGGGAAGTCTTTAGCTGGTTTTGTTCAAGCTGCCCATACAGTAGACTTGATGACTGCCTGCTTTTCTGGTTGACAGAAACTGATTAAGAAAGCAAATGGTGTAAAAAGATGGAGTGTGATCCTACTTAATTACAGATGAGGAAGAAATTGTATTTTCAACCTAGACTCATTGGCCTATAGTTATAAGAATCTCTTGTCAGGTTCTGGCAAGAGACTGACTGTCTGACTTTGGCTTTGGGAGTGGTTGATTATTCATCCTTCTTTATGTCTTCTAAGGTATTTTGGTGGGGAGTCACAAGTGACTTCATGGGACTTTGCATGCACCTGGAATCTTCCTCTTGCTCCCCTGGAGTTAGACTTCTTCATTACTCAGGCTGAGGTTAAATGCCTCTTCCCTGAGCATCGCAAACCAGATCATAACTCCCCTTTTTGTGCCTTTGTAGGCCAGAACTTGTCTTTCCTAACATTAATTATATAATTAAATATTTGTGCCATTCTTGGTTTCAAACTCTGCCTTCTCCACTAGATGATAAGCCCTTGAAGGGTAAGACCTGTGCCTATTTGGCTCACCATGGTCACCCCCAGGGCTTGGCACAGTTTCTGATACAGAGAGACACTCCAAATTACTCATTCGGTGAATGTTGAATGAGAGGCCAGACAGACACCACTTGACTCAGCTGCCTATAACTAAGTAATCTTTCCGGAATTCCTTCCAGCTGCAGAAACACCCAGAGTAAATGCTCCACAACACTGGTAAATCTAGCAGGTGACCCAACTCTTACCTAGCTCTCAATCGGCAAGAGCAAGGGCAGCTCTACACCATGGTTCTCTGACCCTGAAGATACATCACCTGTCTATAGCAAAGGACAAAGCTCCTACTCAGTGGTGTTTTTATACTCTGCACTTGTGTGGTAAGTTCCTGATCACATTTTACCTCTTCCAAGCAGCATTTCCAGACTACTTCACCTACCACATGCTCTAGCAGCATCTCGTAAGCTGCAGATCTCCCAAGTCCCACTGATGGGCATTACTGTATATGATTCCCTGATAGGTCCTCTGTTTAGCTGGCCCTTTCTCCTTTCTCTACTTGGTTAACTCTTGTTATCCTGCAAGAATTGGGTCAGATTTCACCTCCTTCATGGAGACTGGCTGGACCCTCCTTTTCTACCTCTTCCTGCATACACATGTGCACAGACACACACACGCACGGTCTTGCTCTCACTTCCCTGGTCATTCTGCTCTCACAAAGCATTTGGCAAGCTCTGTTTCAACATTTTAATTACCTGCCTCTCTCTCCCACTAGACCACAAGCTCCATGAGGACAAGGGCTATATTTTAAATGAGTCTCTGCACAGCTGGAAGCATAGAGAACACTGGGAGTAACTGTCCAACAGTAAGTGTTCAAGCCATGTTTCTCCTTAAAAAGAAGAATGGAAGCAGTTCTGACTTGATGACATAGGTTTAGATTTCTTAGCCTCCCTTTTCCACTTAGTAATTGTGTTCTTAGGAAACATTTTTAATCTTTTCAAGTCTCATTTGGAAATGGGGTAATAATCCTACCTCAAGGATTGTTTCAAGAAGTAAAGATTAAATGAGATAATAATTATGAAAGAACATACTGGGATCACCTTAGTAAGTGTGCAAACTTTTTTGTTACATTTGATTTACTCCCATAGTTGATCACCAAGCTAGCATTTGACTAAGTGCCACCCTCTCTTCTAAGACTCCAAGTCAAGCCCTGAGGGACAGGAGTTGAAGACCAACCTCCTCCATCTTGCTACACAGTGAGAAGCACAGACAACTTGTTTCCTTTGCATCTGCTAACCTGACCATTTAGCTGTTGTTTGATTATTGCTCTTCTCTTGTTTCCAGTTTGTCTCATGGAGGAAATAATACTGGGTACAGTCAGGAATTCCACATTCTAATCCCTCCTCCACCATTTAGAGCTGGTGGCCTTGGGCAAGTTCCTTTTTCTCCCTGAGTCTTCCCATCATTATATGTAGAATTGGGACCAGAGAACATGAGTTCAACCCTGTGGCCCCTTCCAGCTCTGACATTCCCAGGTACTGAGCCTTGTCTCCTCAACCAGAAGCCCTTCAAAGCCAGGGCTGGTACCTTCCACCTTTTTATCAGATTCTGCTGACTCTGCAGCTCAGCCTGGCTGGGCTGGCTGAGCCTAAGACAAAACTAAGCATATGCCGTTAGTCTCTGTACTCAGGGATCTCTATGATAAGGAAAGGAGATGAAACTTCTGAGACCTGAGGTCTGACATACTATCCATTAACCAACAGTTCCAGCTGTAGCTGTAAAAAACAGTGTCTCCTCTGGGAACCAATAACACAACACAACAGCATGACCCTTGTGTCTTTGCTCCCTGGTGAAAAATCTCTACAATCCTGCCTGGGCCAATCAAGTTTGCAGGTTGAGCTGTGGCTTTGATGCGTTACTTGTGCCTGTGTTCCTCTGTGCAGTCAAGGAAAAGTGTTCTCTTGTAGTGAAAGGGTTGGGGGGCGGGGGGTGGTTAAACATTACCACTAACTTGTGCTGAGCTCTTTACAGTCATTATCAATTTAATTCACACAACAGCACTGTGATGCAGAAGATCTTGTCCTCATTTTACAGACCTGGAAATTAAGGTCCAGAAAGGTTAATGATTTACTCAAGAGCACACACTTTCTGTGCCAGATTCACAATCAAATCGAGGTATATATGATTACAAAGCCTCTTAGTTTGACATCATGAGGTATCTAAAACACAAAGTGATGCCAACTTTTGACCAAAAGTTGTTAGTTGCTTCTACATACATGAGTTCTAAAACCAGTGTGCCATCTGAATTGCCACGTCACTTAAACTCTCTTGGGCATCAGTTTTCTCATCTGCCTTTTCTAATTCTCCTCACAGAATCTTGCAGGAAAAAAAGGTAAATAATATGTGTAGCACAATACCAAAATAGGTTAAATACAGTAGATTTGAAAGAAGTAATTGTGACCATAATATTTCCTGTCCAAGCAGGGAGGAGGAATTCACATCGTAAAGAAAATAATCTGAATTGTTAACATACATCAGGTATTCTCTAAGTTTATTTACGTTTTTCATCTGATTTAAGTTTATTATACTATTTAACCCTGATTTACTAACTGATTTTAACCCAGAGACACATCCATTTTACAGATAAGAAAATTAAAGTTGAGGGATTTGTTGAAATCACAGGGGCAGTTGTGTCTGACTCCAAATGTTATTTGAACCATAGAGCCACCAGTCTTCAAATATTCTGTATTAGTGGTCCCTGAAAACTCTGGTCCTCCACCACACCATTTATAAATTGAGGAAGGAATTGGTAGACATACTTGGAGGCAATGAGGATAAACTGAACCATCTAACAGATAATAATAAAGTCTTTCAAAGTTCTCTTTCACCTCACTACCTGTTCAGTTTTAATTCAAATTCCTTGACTTCTCAACCGTCTGATTAAGCCATTGCTTTGTTCATTGTCATTTGAACATAAAGTGTAATCTGGCACGTATATGTTTGTGCTTCTGCTGCAAAGGAGATGCTAAGCATACCAGAGAACTAAACAAATATCAGCTCCACTTCCCTTTCTCTGTGATATATCTCCTCTAGCTACCTTGTACTGTCATTAAACATTGTCTTGTTACTGAATCTTGTTTATTTCCTTCTCCAATTATACATTAAACACTTGGAAATAAGTACCAGTATCACAAGAGTTTTATGTTCCCCAGAGCGGCCCATCCCCATTCCAAATGCTTATATACAATTTCATTTCTTGTTCTAAAGATACCTCTTTTGAACCCCATGCTGAAGAGCTGGTAGCGGACAGGACCTAGCAGCAGGAGGCAGAGTCAGCTGTCAGCGTTCTTTCATGTGTGCTATGTGTGGAAGTCTCTGACAGGCACACCCACCTGCTCCCCAAGACTGCTCTCCCTGCACTTGGAAAGCTGTGGGCATGCCTCCCCATTTCAGCTTAGGGGAGATGAATCCTTGGCCTGTTTCCTACAGGACACCATCCCATCTGTCTTGCTGCCTTACACTCCACAGAGCCCTATGCTGAACTGTTCTCCTTTCTCCCTCTACATTCCCAAATGGATGATCTTCCCTGCTGCTCCATACCTACCCAAGACTATTCCATTGTCAAGGACTCAGCTCAAGTTCCACCTACTCCTCAAAGCTTTCTCTGATCTGACTAACCCTTGGAGACACTAAACCCCTCGGGCTCCCACTACAATTCAGCACTTAGACCTAAATGGCTGGCTGCTGCTACTCCTCCCCTGGTTTTCATGGGCTCTTAGAGCATCTTTCACTCCATCTCTTGGGATCCCCATGGCACCCATCAGAGTCTGGTCACAATCAATAATAATGTCAATGAACAAACCAATTTTTGCTAATTCAGAGAGTTGGAAGGTTGATTAGTTTGAATTATAACAGGCACATTGAGTCTGACATAGAGGGCCCTGGGTTTTATCCTTCTCACTGTGGACAGAAGACCTCGGACCACAAAGGTGTCTGCTATGGGGGTGTCTGCCCCTCAATGTCAGCCTTCTGACCTTCATCTTCAGGGCCATGCTGCTTCTGCCAGATGCAGTACATGTTCGAAATAAGCATTTGTTTCCTTGAGGCAATTCTCAATTCGCATTTGAACTCTGTCCCACTGCTGCCCCTATGCCAAAGCTGTTCTACCCGCCAAGAATGTCCCTTTGTTCTACATCTTCCATCAAATCCTAAACACATACTCTTTGAAATCTTCCCTGACTATACCCTAGGCCTGATCACACAAATAGCAAAATTCCATTTGGGATCATGTTCCAACTTTGGCTGCAGAAGAATGCTTTCCATTTCAGCAAAGCACGTATCTGTAGATACACTGCCCACTCTCCCAGGGCAAAAGCCACATCTCAGAGCAGGCCTTTCCCAAGCAAGTGTACCAGGCACAATGGCTCACACAATCTGCAATGCTGATATTTTAATAAATATTTGTGGATCAAAACACCAGTCGTAATAGAGCTCTAAAGTATAACGAGTAGAAAGGTTCACAGAGATTTCACATCAAATCATCCCTTTTAGTCACTACTATTAATCAATACTTTTTTAAAAACCAAGGTCTTGGCCAGGCGCGGTGGCTCATGCCTGTAATCCCAGCACTTTGGGAGGCCGAGGCAGGCGGATCATGAGGTCAGGAGTTCGAGACGCAGCCAGGCCAACATGGTGAAACCCCGTCTCTACAACAAATATAAAAAATTAGCTGGGCATGGTGGCGGGTGACTATAATCCCAACTACTTGGGAGGCTGAGGCAGGAGAATTGCTTGAACCCAGGAGGTGGAGGTTGCAGTGAGCAGAGATCGTGACAGTACAAGACTTCATCTCAAAAAAAAAAAAAAAATCAAAGGTCTCATTGCTCAAATAACAATAGGTCACAGAAAGAGACACCAACAACTGTACAGGACTTGCCACGCAGATTTCATTAGTCTGCTACAAGCACATTGGTGCTCCCACTGCTTCTGATGGGCTACTAAGTTGGTTCCATCAAATTCAGCTTCCCCATCTCAACCTTTCTCCAAGCCACAAATTCAAACTCCAAGAAGCTCCTTTCCACTGACAGAACTGAAAATCATTGGCAGATAAAAGGAATAATGAAGAAATTGCTGTTTACTAAATTTGGCTAACAATATTGCATGCTCCTTTTTCATCCCAAATCCTTTACTAGATCCTGGGTTAAAAGCAATTGCAGCATTTCAGTGGCTTAAAGAGGCTTCCTCTTCCTAAATATCCAACCAGTATGCTCCCAGGTGCTTCATCAATCCCACAGAACTTTTACAGCACCTTAGGCCAAAGCCCAATTTCCTTGATCCTACTCCAACCCAAATCAAAGGCTCTGGTTTTGCAGACTGTGGGTCACCGTATCTGATCTCAGAATGCACACAAACCAACCCATTAGCTATTATTGAACACAGGCTGCAATGTGGCTGGGCAGACCAGGTGCTATGGGGATGGAGAGGACACCTCAGGAACCCAGGCATGGCCCTAGACTTCATGATCTTTAGAATCTACATGGAGAAATGACATCCAGCCCACTAGATCCATGACATGAGTGAAGTATCCATAGCAGGGTTTCCAGATGCCACCTGACAGGAAGCAGCAGCAAAGCTCAACTACAGAATACATTCTGGACTTCCTAGAAACTGTCTTTGTCTGTTCCATCTCCCTTGATTCAAGTCAGTTATTTTACCAAAGAGAACCAATTCAAAACAGATGTGGGTAATTTAATCCCTTTCTTCCTTCCACATTACTCTTAGTGGTATGTCCTCACATTCAGCTCACCATTGCCTCCTCTCCCCTTCCCTGTCCTCCAAGACTGACTCCACTGTTCTAATAAGTGCTCCCCCCAATTCTATTTACCCCAGGGCACCACCTTCCCTTTCTGTAACTCTTTCAACCCATCAAACATTTAGCAAAGGGCATTAATCCTCAGTGGGATTGGTTTGGACAGTTGTTGGCGGCGCCATTAAAGGGGTTTGAGGAGCTCTGACCTTTAAGAAATCCTTAACATTCCTAGGACACCTCTAGCTATAGAATCACAGAATTTTAGAAGGGACACTCTATACCACTCCAAACTTTTTTACTGTACAACAGTAGAAAGGCAATGTAGCTTGTCCCACATCATATGCTAATAGATGTGAGCCCAGGCTGCTTTCTGCCTCAGCCTTCTTGACCTCTTAGGCCAACTAGTTGCACCCGGCCTCCTCAGCCTTCTCTGTTTTCCACTGTGGCCAGGCTCACTCCATCACTGAAGAGCGGAAAAGCACTTGGACTTCAGCAACAAAGATGACTGTATGGTTAAGTGCCAAAATGAGCAAGATGGACAAAAAATACAATTGGAATTTTCAGAGAAAGTCAAGGGCTATGTGTGTTAGAGTCACAATGAGACTCCAGTAGGCACTATTATTATTAACAAATATTTGATGATTGAATGAGTGAATCGGTGACTGAAAGGATGCACATGTGGTAAAATATGCTTAACTCTTAAACTTTAAGGGAGAAACTTTTGGGTGATTACCCCCGAAAGGTAGCCAAAAATATAAAAAGCAATTATTATTGGCTTAAAGTAGTTATTATTCACACTGTCTAAGGGGCCCTCACTGTGTTGCTTCATAATGCAGAGTGTTAATACACCTTAAACAACATTGACTTTCAATATTCTATCTCTTCATAAATGCTGTGATTCATTCAGGAAACAAAAAATCATTCATAAATAAGGTTCAGGGCTGTGTGGGAAAACTTCTCCCCTTTTTCAAGGGCTCAGAGCTTGGAGGGGGTAAGTGATAACAAACAGCAAGGCAGCATAAGTGGGGTGCCTTGCTCTGGGAACTGGGGATGAGGAGCTGAGAGCTGGGAAGAAGGAACTAGTTAGCTCCCACAGAGGAGGCTGGGTGCAACTAGCTGGCCACCTGGAGGTGACAACACAGAGACAGCTGAGGTGTGGAGGCAGGAAGATGTTCAGAATGTCCAGAGTCAGTGAAGAAACCAGTCTGACAACACAGCCTGGGGCATATTGCATAAAATTGGGGTTCACTCGAGAACACTGCAAGGTGCCTGCTGCAGGCTGCCAGGCAGGGCAAACCAGCTCTCATGAGAAAGGGTAAAAGGAGGGACACAGAAGAGTCAGGGAACAAATGAGCTGTGAAGAACTTTCCTGATTCTGGAGAACTTACTGGATTTGCTGGGACAGCGGCAACGCTGCTATTAGTTCTTTTCTTTAGAGGGGCTAGAAATTCTGTCCTGAATGCCATTGCTTAAGTATTGTGGTTTCTTGATGGAGAACCTCCCCCTCATTCTCTCCACTTCGCCTCCCCTCCCTGTGTGTTTGCACATCTTTTTCCTTTTTTCTTGCTGATCCTTAACTCAAAGAGCATTTCCTGAGCACTGGGACATCTTTGAGTCCAACTGGATACCACCTGAGACTTTGAGCCTCAAAAAGCACATGGCATAGTAGGCATCTAATAATTCAATATATACAGTTATATGGACATCGGTTGAATTATTAGAACACGAGGAGCCCTTGTGGGCATTTCTGATCATTCCAAGGGGTTATTAATTGCTGGGCTATGGCAACAATAATCCCAGGCACCAGTTTCCAGGAGGCAGCATGGAAATCCTCCCAGAGTTCAATTACAGAAATTAGCTGGTATTATTTAATCCTCATAACCCCCGTGAAGTAGGCAGGGTAAGCATCTTTATCTTTATTTTACTGATTAGGTTCCGGAGGCTCAGAGAGGTTAACTGACTTGCCAGGGGTCATTTAACTGGGAAGTACAGGGACACGATCCAAAGAGGATCTTGTCACTTCAGATGTGAGGCTCTTCACACTTTGCCACAGCCGTCTGGCCCCAGGTTGGCCACCAACTTGTGTCATTTCAGGCAACCCAGTGTATCAGTTGCCTCATCCTCTAAACGGAGATAAAATGCTTATCTGGCCTTCCTCCTTAGGAGAATCAAGGGGGCGGAAGCCATATAAAGATATTTTTGAAAAGAACAAAATGCCATGCATATGAAAGGGGGTATTTTTGGTGGGAAAAGATAAGTTGGACCAAGGAAACATTTTTCCAAGCTAACAAAGTTCTAAAACTCTTATCTGCTCACCATTCATCCCCTATTCCTCCTCAGCACTTGGAGTGGCACAGCCTCTGCCTACCTGAGGGTCAGCTCAGCTGGCTTTGCCTACACTTGTTCTACCTGGGTCTGCTGATCATTAACCATCATGGGCTCCTGGGAGGGGGTGGCAGCTACCTCCCAGAGGATCCTATGGACTTCAGGGCTGCTCACATTCTTTACCTGGTATCATTTGCTATGAACAGGGTAGGAAGTCAACTGCTGGTTTCTAAGCTAACGGCCATTAAAAAATAATGGTTCCTCGGTCGGGCGCGGTGGCCCACACCTGTAATCCCACCACTTTGGGAGGCTGAGACAGGTGGATCACCTGATGTCCGGAGTTCAAGAGCAGCCTGGCCAACATGGTGAAACCCCGTCTCTACTAAAAATACAAAAATTAGCCAGGCATGGTGGTGGGTGCCTGTAATCCCAGCTATTTGGGAGGCTGAGGCAGGAGAATCACTTGAACCCAGGAGGCAGAGGTTGCAGTGAGCCAAGATCACGCCACTGCACTCCAGCCTGGGCAACAAGAGCGAGACTCTGTCACAAAAAATTAATTAATTAATTATTTAATGGTTCTTCAACCTTAGATGGTACCCTCTAATGGGCAAAAAAAAAAAAAAAACCTTCTAAAAACAGCTGTTCTGGACTGAACCTACGAAACTTCTAAATCAGAACAGTAAGGACCAGAAGCTTCAACTCAGTGATCTACAATTACAGTCCTCCAAAACCTTCTCCAGCCCCAGTGTGATGTATCTCAGGGGGGCATCAAAATCTAATAGAAAGTTCGGTAAAAAGGGAAAACGAAAACTCAGAGCTAAGCAAAAATGTAGATTGGCATCATCTTTCTGCATTCACGAATTATAGTCTGTGGACATCCTGGTGTTTTCTTTCCTGCACTTTTCAGGTATATGGCAGGCCAAAGTATGTGCAACTTCATGAAGAGTTTGTAAAACACCTGGGTTGCCTTTAAAAACCACTCTAAAAGAAGCCCAAACTTATGGCCCAAAACATTTTGGGAAACTCACTAGGTTTCAACATATGCCACAGGATAGGAATGGAATTGGATTGTTTTGCTCCCTTCACAGGAACCCCAGGACCAGACAAAATGATGTGCAGCAAGACCTCTGTGAGGCTTCCTTTCTTCAACCCAGTGCTGCTAACCCTCCAGGGCAGCCTCCTGTGCTCCCACCACCAGCCTCTGGTAGGACTCTCACATACACTGAGTCCCTGAACAAACTCAATAACACCATCCCATTTTTAAAGCACTGCAACTCCTCCTTACAATACTAATGTGTTCATAATAATTTGCCCCATTCTTCTGGCAGGAGCAAAACTGAAGCAACTTGAAATGCCATCAGCAAAAAGTTATTTATTTCCCATTCCTGAGCATCAGAGAAAACAGGGTTTCATTGGCTGGATCTGCCTTCAATAGCTTTCTGGTTTCAATTTAAACTTCAAGTCTCCAAGGAAAAAACTGGCATTCTGGGAGGTCCAGGCCCAGCCAAGTTTCAGTGTCTCCACAGGAACCCAGAAAGGATGCCCCATCCAGCTAGCTATTTCTCATCTGCTTCCTTTTGCATACTATATAGAAGCTTTGGAGCAGAGATTGAAGTACAACTAAAAATAATGACCACATTGAGAGAACTCTCCTCTCCTAGAGGTACACTTTTGTGCCAGACAAGTATCGATTCATCCCCTAGAGGAATTCAAAGTTAACAGGAGAAATGGAATCCAGGGGAAAGTACCTACCTATTTATTTCTTCTTCAGCAAAATCCTGCCTCCTGCCTCTCCCCACTCACCATTTTCAACTAAATCCTAAAACACTCCCAAGCACTGTTTCCTTTTTCCCCAACCCTCATTTAGGTCAGGTGATTTACAAAGTAGCTCACTCTGAGCAAGGCAAGTCCATGACCAGAAGCCCTTATGGCAGCAGGGGCTGTTGGGTTAACTTAAAGATACCTCTAGGTTCCCCTGTGTGATGTCCAAAACTGGGCCTTCCAGCAGAGCCTTCCTATGTAACATTCTGATGCTAACATACAAAAGATCAAATTACAGCCCTTCACTTGCCTAGCCCTTTCATGAACATATAAGGCAGTTGATATTTTCTCCCAAGCTAGAAGTGGCCCCCTTCTTAACCGACACTACTGCCTCTCAGACACTCCACCTTATGTTCACTGCAAGCCATCCCCTCCCCCACCTCCAGTTTGTTTATTCCAGAGATACATCTATTTTCCCAGCTAAGAGAGACGAGTCCCTTTCCCTCCTCTGGCTCCCGGTGGTGCATTCGCTCACCACCTCCTCCCCCAGCTCAGCTCAGGTTACTATAGTGGCTAGCAACTCCCACAGCCCAGGTCTAACACCAACTCAACTTCCCAAGACCAATAGTTTGTTTTGGTTTTGGTTTTGTCCCCTTAACGGGGGAGGAGAAATCGTGTGCCAAGCAACACTCTGGGTACCTGGTCTCCATATCTTTGGGGGCTACATTCCCTGCCGTTTGCAAATACTCTGTTTAACCACACTTGATTTCTTCCTCCTCTTCCGACTTTCCCCCAAACACTCTGTCTTAATACCCTTTTCTGGGAACAGGCAATGAGACTAAGCACAGGGGAAAACACAGCACCTCACCTTCACTCTGACACCTGGGAATCCCTCGTCAGAGCAAAAGAGCTCACGCCTCCCTCAGGGAGTTTAAGGATGGTAGAAGCCAGAGAAATCAGAAAAAAAGGGAGGGAGTGACCTGGGATGGTAAACTAGCTACATCTTAAAGTGCTACAAACTTTCTCCTCCCTCACACGCCCCTGTCTGGTTGGCTCCGCCTTCCCATCCCAGCTGGGGTGTGCAAAGGAAACTCTCCCCGGAATGCCCAGGTCTGGTCCAGTGTTGAAGATGTGGCCTGCACACAACACCGCCCTTCCTCTCCAAATACCTCTTCTCTACCCCATCCCCTTTCTCCCACGACACACACATGCTTTGCACGTGAAGATGAGTTTGGATGGGGCACAGGAGATATACCTATTTACTAAAGGAGGGTAAGAGATGGTGCCAAATCGGCAGATAGTTTTGGTGACAGTACAGAGACTTCAAGAAATTAGTTTTTAGTATAAATCTACAGAAAAAGAAGAAAAACAGGATGAAGAGTGAAGGAATGAAAAGAAAAAGAAGGAAAAAGATGTAAGAGAAAAACAATCAACGCCAGTGGACTCCAACTAAACTTTAAGGGGAAAGGTGTGGATAGTTGGCAGGAGGTGGGGGGAGTGTAGGGGCTGGAAGGGAAAGGTATCTGCTGTAGAATTCCAGAATAAACTGCCCTTTTGGAGGAGAGTTTCTGCAGGGATAAAGAGACACACAAATTGCCCTTTTAGCGTTAGATGTCAACCGTGAGATTATCAGGACAGTTTATTTGAAACGGAAACGAATCGGAAATCCTTCCCACAACAGTCCTTTTAGACAGATACACACCCTGAGAATCCAACACAGACACACATAAAGAATAAATGCAGCATTAGGGGGCAATAAGAACTCCCCTTCCACACTCTCAATACCTCTAGCCTCATCTATTTCCAATTGCACAACTTTCAATCTCCAATGAAAATATTTCCAGTTGGATCCGATTTCAGACTTGTAGTAAGCGGTCTGGATGGGGGGGCGGGGGGAATAGGTGCTGTACTGTGCAGGGGAGGGGGGCTGGAAGACAGTATTTCGGCAGTTAACTTATTTTTTTAGAACCAGCATGCTCTACCGATCAGAAATTGCTATTACCCAACAATGCTTCCATCACAAACAGACACTGAAAACAGCATCCCCGTTATCACCATCTTGCCAAAGATCTGCCCGGTCCAGTTTACCTGACTTTGTCCCTGCGGAACTTCTCAGACAGTATTTCGGTCAAAGAGATAATGGTTTGGAAGACAAAAACAATAAATCGATACCGAAGGGTTCCCTTTCCGGAGTGATTTCCCACTGGAAACCACCGAACGGGGAAGCCTGCCGTTCATTCCCAAGCCCACGGCTCCTCTAGAAACGCACACAATGCGTGCTTTCAAAAAGGCATTCGTCTGCTTTTAAGGGAATTCCTATCTTTTCAGAGTCCCAAAACCAGAGAGCACAAGAAAGAGACTCAAATCCATTGATTAAGATTTTTAAGAAAAAGACTAACACACAGGCACAACACAAGCACACACCAACCTTCGCCGGCTGGACCACTTCTTGCCTGTTCTTCTTTCTATTAACGACACGTTAGATTCTGATACATTCCCCCCCCAAAAAAATCCAACTAGGTTACAATGTAGCTCTCTAGCTCCACTTAACCTGCAAGTTACAAAGAGAGAAAAAAAAAATCCTGCCTTCCCACCCCTTTCCTTACCCCCTCCCCCTCCCGAGTCCACTCCACCAACGCCAAACCCGCCAGCCCCGCCAGCCGGCTGCAGGACCGAGGGAGGGTGCAAAAGGCGGGGGGCGGAGGGGGGGTAGATCAGATTAGGCGAAACTCAATAAGCTCCCAGCCCTCCAGCCCAAAGCTTCCACCATCGCCGCCACCAACGAGCCACTCCAATTGAGCCAGCATCGCCGCCCACCCGCCGGCCCGCCGGAATCGCGCCCATCTCCTGCAACCTCGCCCGGACCGGCATCCCGCCCCCTCGGCCCGGTCTCCCCCTTCCCGCCGGGTGCAAAGTCAAAGACCCAGCAAGGCGACGTGAACTTTTGCATGCAGGGCACACACGTCGCCCCCGGTTCCGGGAGTGCGGGGGCCCGCGGCGCGGAGGGAGGCTGGGCGCCCGGGCTCCCGGGCCAAGGTCGCCGCGCGTGCTCACCCATGTCCCGGCGGCTCCGGCTCCGCTGGCCCCGGCGCTCGCTCAGATCCCGGCTCCCGTCGCTCGCCCGAGCCCCCAAAGGTGCTGCTGCGGCAACTCCATGGCGATGAGCATCTGTCAAACGGCGAGCCGCGAGCTGGCCGCCCTAGCTCGGGGGGCGCCGGGGCCCCCGGGCGCGCGGAGGCGGCGGCGAGCGGCGGGCGCCCCGGCCGGCCCCGCGCTTCCCGCCCGACTCTGCCGCCTCCGCCGCGCCACCGATTTATGGAGAGAGATATCAAGGGGGAAAATGGCGTCTCCGGAGCCCGAGGAGTCCTGGAGTAATCACATTCACACACACACGCCCGCACGCACACACACTCGCACACACTGGCACACAGGCGCGCGGCGAGCCCTGCTAATTTTAGCAGGAGCCAAAAAAAATTTTATATATATATATATATATATATATATATATATATCCCCGTCTCTCCGATCAATGCTTTTTCTTTTTTTGCTTTTTTTTTTTTTTTTTTTTTTTTTTTTGCTTTTCTTCAAAGGATGGGTTGGAGCGTTAAAAAATGTTGGTGGGTTTGGGCTCGCAGGAGGCGGCGCGCGGAGGGCGAGGGCGCTTTTGCTGAGCTGTGCAGTTCGGTCCGCTGAGCCCGGCGGCCCTGCCCGCCCGCTCGTCCGCCCGCGGTCGCTAGTGTTGCCGCCGCCGCCGCCGCCGCCGCCGCTGCTGCTCCATGGCCGCGCCCGCCCCGCGCCCCCGCCGCGTCCCGTCGCCGCCCGCCCGCGTCCCCGGTGAGCGCTGGAGTGGGGTCGGGCCCGTGTGCCTGCCTCCCGCGCCCTCTCCGAATCCCGGACTCCTAGTGAAAGGAAGGGGGAGGGCGCGGGCGCGGAAGGGAGGTGGATCGGAGCGGCAGCGCGGCCCAGCCGAACGGGTACCGACCGTCACCCCGCGATCTTCCTCGCAGGGGGCGCCGGCGCCCAAGCTGCTCGCCCGGAGGGCCCAGAGCCGCTTCCCAGACCAGAGCCGGGGGAGGCGCAGCCAGTAGCGAGCCCTGAGCGACCTCTCTCCCCACTCGCCCCCCTGCCCCAGTGAATTTCTGTCAGTTGAAGGGAGCGGGGCTCTTGCCCGGGGAAAAGGAAAACAGTTCGTGGCCTGGGATCTGGGACCCCTTGCCGCCCCCAGCGCCCCTCCCGCTCCCCGGCGCCCTTGCGGCCCAGTGGCTCCTGCGCGCCGGAGTCCGCCGCGAAGACTGAGCGGCCGCGGGGATCGCCGCGGGCTCCGCGCGTATTCCTGGGCTCAACACTGCCACTATCTGACACAACAGGAGCAGTGTCGGGGGGGTACTGCGCGCCCAGACGTGAGCTGTGATAGGCTCTCGAAACTGGGCGCATTTTTTTTTTAACCTGGTAATTATATTTCACTTTCAGGGTTTTTTTAAATTATTATTATTATTTTATTGTTGTTGTTAAGCGACTTGTATGCATTCAGATCTCATGTGCATTTTCTCGTTATTCAAGAGAATTGGACACTTGATGAAGGGAAGGACACGGAGAGATGACAAACGCAGACTGGCATGCAGTTGTTTTCAGGGTGGGAAGAACAAAGTGGAATGTCTTCAGTTCTTACAAAATATGGTGGCATTTGTAATCTCTGAGTTTTTGTATTTGGCCTACAAAGGGGGTCTTTTCAGGGAAACACGAATGGAACCCTTCAGAGACATGTCTACATTGTAAAACAATATAGGATAGATACGGATTCGGGAAGGTCTGCAAATGGTTCCGCTCAAAGAACTTGGGGTAAAGTTGACCGAGGACTCGGATTCTGAGAGGACTCCTATCACGTTCTTCATGAGAGTTTTAGGCTATTTGGACTGAGGAATGATTTGGAGGTACGTCGGGGGCATTCCCTCACTGAGGCCATCAGTGGCTGCCTCCCTGCATTGGCTGCTGGTTTGAGTTCCTTCACAGAACTTCTTCGTCAAGTTTTTCATAGGAACGCTGCAGTGAAGTGGAGTGAAAGAGACTGGGGATTGAAGGGTGAACCCCTTCCAGCCCCAATCCCATCCCGATTCCTGTCTGGATGCAGATTCAGTCTGACTCAGAACGGATAGTTCACCCTTTTACTGATCCAAGTGCTCTGTCCTCTTTTTTTCAGAGGAATGTTCTGACTGGCTACAAACTTTTCTTCTGTCACTGCAGGACCTCCCGTGGAGCAATTTTCGATAGGTCTTCTACTATGCTTTTTTACCGCGTCATTGTTATTGCTGAGAAAATAATGCTTAGTTAGGAAAAAAAATAGCAGAGCATATGAGCTGATGATAGAAGTAGAGATCAAGGCACAGAATACAATATCAAAACAACTATTCTCTGTAATCAAATGACCTTTCTCATTTGCTTGTACACCCAGATTTCTGAAATCCTACACCAAAGTCCACAGAGAACTAAGATAGCATGTGGCCTATTCCCCGCGCTTTTCCAGTGGAGAAAGTAGCCCCAGAAATCAGAAGGGTTTGTCCACAAGCATATGGCTGTCTGATGTCATCCAAACCAGAACTAAAGCCTATTGCCCTAGTCGTTTCCCTTCTATAACCTAGGCGTATTTACAGAGTCTTCCTTCCTGTGGTGTTGTGTGGATTAGAAAAGTAGCTAAGAAAAGCACATACCTTATTAAAATTCACTGCAATAGATGATAAGTCTGTAGAATTATAGTGCAGTAGAAGTTTACCTGTGAGATCATCTATTAGAATCCCATCTTTTTAAAACTGAGGAAACGATGCACTACCCCAAGCCACTAAGTTAATTCAAAGCCAGGAATAGATGCTATGTTCCTTGACTTCTTATCCAACGTTCCTTCCTTGTATGTAGCCCATCTCTGAATCATGAGAGGGGAGAGGAGAGAAAGGAAAGGAGGGATATTCTCACTCTCTTACATATATATGAAAAAATATATATGCCTCTGTGTGTGTGTGTGTGTGTGTGTGTGTACACACACCCATAATAATGTTTCAGTGAACAACAGACCACATATATTACTGTGATCCCATATAATATAATACTGTATTTTTGCTGTACATTTTCTGTGTTTAGATACACAAATACTTACCATTGTGTTACATTTGCCCACAGTATTTAGTACAGTAATATTCTGTACAGGTTTGCAGCCTAGAAGCAATAGGCTACCCCATATAGCCTGAGTGTGCAGTAGCCTATATCATCTAGATTTGTGTAAGTGCACTCCATGATGTTTGCACAAAGTCGCCTACTGATGTATTTCTCAGAACACCTCCCCATAAGCTAATTGACGCATGATTGGAGATATATATATATATATATATATATACACACACACATATAAATATATATACATATGTAAAATAGATACAATAAATATTTTATACACATTAATATTTTTGGTATATAATAATATATTACAAATATAAAAATTTTAATATATGATAATAAAGGATTTCTAAAAACTAAACCCCCATCCCTAAACTGTACATCTGTTAATAGAATGGGACCTATATTCAAATCCTAGGTGAATGTCACAGGAATTCTTCTCATTTTCTTTCTCAATTAGACCACTTTGTGATCGTCTGAGAAACAAACCTTGACACACAGAAAGTCTGAACTTGATCTAGCCTGAAAATAGAGTCAGGCAATTTTAAGATACCCATTTCCAGGGCCCAGGAGCCCTTGAAGAAATCAAAAGGCCATCCGAGCACTTGATGAGAATGCACAGGACATACATCTTTTAGTCTCACACAGTCTCCAGTATCAGAATCATGCGGGCACTCAGCAAATATTTATGGAGCATGGTGATGTGCCAGATACATTAGTAGCAACTGGAGATACAAATGTGACCAAGACATAGTCCCCATCCTCACAGAATTCATGACCTAGTGGGAAAGACTGACATGCGAAGCTCTAACTACAACGAATGCACAAAAATATCAGGAAGAAGAGGCTTACAAAGTGTGTGGAGTACAGATGCTGAAGTGGTGGGAGGAGAGTGGGGTCTGAAATCATGTCTTTTTAAAATTGCTGCACATTTATTTTCTATGTGTATTTAACATACACTTTTCATTTTCCCCTTTGCACACACATGTATTTTTTTCCATTACCTGTTTTCCAACCAAATATAAAACTTATCAGGACTAGGCTGTGCCTTGCATGGACAATGTCAATAAATGTAGTTGAGAATAATTGTTCCTCTGATATCACCAAATATCTGAATTGCTGCCAACTGGGATATAGCTCTGTGTTCTGGGCATCCATGTGCCTAACCTGTAAAATGACCATAATGATAACTCCTTTTTGTCCAAGGCCCTATGCCAGATGTACTCCAAGGATCTGCAGAATGATCATTTGCAGCAGGATTTGAGGAACAGAGGGATATATACAACTCAATGTTTGCCTCAAAGCACAAGAGCAGCTCATGTCATTTTCTTTTTCTTTTTCTTTTTTTCTTTTTTTCTTTTTTTTTTCTTTTTTTTTTTTTTCTTGAGATGGAGTCTCGCTCTGTCACCAGGCTGGAGTGCAATGGCGCGATCTCAGCTCGCTGCAACCTCTGCCTCCTGGGTTCAAGCGATTCTTCTGCCTCAGCCTCCTGAGTAGCTGGGACTACAGGTGTGTGTCACCATGCTCTGCCAATTTTTGTATTTTTAGTAGAGATGGGGTTTCATCATGATGGCCAAGATGATCTCGATCTCTTCACCTCGTGATTCACCAGCCTCGGCCTCCCAAAGTGGTGAGATTGCAGGCATGAGCCACCATGCCTGGCCCAGCTCATGTCATTTTCATATCTCTGAAGCTAAAGGTAAAAAGAAATGAGACAAACCCATCCTTTTTTCCTTTATAAGAAGTTGAGATCAAGCAGTGTAATCAAATGCTCAGAGCCAGTCACCTTCTACGGTGTTGATTCTCGCCTTTCTGGGAAATGGGTTAGTAATATCTAATGTAGTGATTCTCAATACTGATTATGAATCAAAATTACCTGGAGGAATTACTGATGCTTGGGATCCATCTTTATTGAACTGGACTTGCATAGACCCAGCATCAGTACTTTTAATAAAAACCTAGATGCTTCTGATATGTAACCAGCATTGAGCATCAGTACTTTTAATAAAACCCTAGGTGCTTCTGATATGTAACAAGCATTGAGAATCACTGATCCAATTGAAAGCACATGCTCCCACAGTGTGATCAGGATATTTACAAAGCTCCTACTCTCTTAGCTAATATAGCATGCATAGGTGTCCCTAAACAAGGGAGGTGATAGCCACAAGGAACTATACAGTGAATAAGTCACATTTGGAGTTTAGGGGCCATTCTGGAAATGTAGAAATTCAGAGTATGTTCTACGCTGCAATAAAAAAGACCATAGACCAGATCATAAAGGAGACTTAGTTATAAACTTATTTGACAAGTCTCCTCATCTCTCTGCCCCACTGATTCCACTTCTGAAAAAAACAGGAGTATTTGAAAGTCTCTAAGGACCAAACCAGCCCTAAAATTTTCTCAATTTTTGATTCTAGGTCACAAGAGAGTCCCAGAAGAACAGTGAGAGCATATTGGGAACAGTCAGATTGGATGTGAAAACTTTTCTTAAATATAAGAAAAGCATCAGGGAAAATAGAAAAGAGATTGCTTGACTCTGCTCGAGGGTGGAGGGGTGGGTGATAACAAGCCCTGGTCAGCTGAGGTTATGAGGAGGCAGACCTTAGCTCAATATAATGAAAAATACTGTTATTGAACCTACATTGAGAACAAATCATTACTTAAATAATATTGAGCTCCCTGTCTTGAGAAGTATTCTAGAAAAAATTTGGGGTCTTTATTTTTTTATTTCCTCCCAACTGCAGATTGAGGGGAAAATTTTTAAAAGTCCTTGAGATCAAGGACTTTGCATTATACTTCTGTATCTTCCCTGGATAAGATTGTACCTGGAGCCCAGTATATGCCCAGTAAGTACTGGTGGAATGTCAAAAATATTTGACAACCAACCTGATATGGAATCAATCCATAGAGTGGACGCAGACCCATGGCTCTGCTCAGCCAAGTGATTTCCTTTCGGTTATATGATCCTGTGGAGTTCAGGAGACAGAATGTCAGAATGAGAGGCATGGGGGTGAGTTTAGAGCAGTAATTATTTTAAAATTCCAGTATTTTAAGATCATCATGCCTATCTATGCATATGAGATGAACGTTAGTCTTGCTTCATGAATGCATGAATGAATCAATCAAGGATATTGTGGAGAGAAAGAAAATGAGTGTTGGAATGTAGTCCTGCTCTGCCATTAACTGTCTGGGTGAAGCTGAGCCAATTTCAGACCTCTCTACCTCAGTTCTCTATAAGCTGAGAACTTACAGTCTTGCCCTAAGATATTAATGATTATGAGGCTCACAGGAAAGATCAGATGTACGGTTACATTACAAAGTTAAATAATTCTGTTCAAATACTAGTTTTGATTATTAAAATATCGTGTGGACATGACTCCTTCCTGATGCAGCCTAATTTTGCCACCTCTGGGGTCCATAGCATATCTTTTTCTCTCTAGGAAATGAGAAGGTAATTTCCATTCCTGATTCCTTCCACTCCAGCCCCACTTTGGAAAAGACTCATCTCTCCAGTTCCTTCCCCTGATACTACTGTGGTTGCTAAGCAACAAGGCGCTAAGGAGGAGCACAATGTAATTGTCCCAGGAAGGGAATCCCAGGTCCAACAATGACTAGATTTTAGTTTTGGAAACTTTGCTTTCCTGGCTGCAAGAAATTCACTAAAGGAAGCTTTCTTGGCACACTTATCCTTGTAAGCATCCTCCAAGAGACTGGCTTTCACTACTTGAAAGGCAACAAGGTAGAGAAGAGCATTCTTCTGGGTTTTCATTTTCTGGCTCTTTGGTAAATTTGTCACTGCGACTTCAGAGTGCTCCAAATATGAAGCAATATTTGAAATGTTCCCAATTCCTAGCAGGGCCTTAGGAGCCCTGCCGTCAGGAGTTTATGTTTATATCACTCTGTTGGCATAGGAGCCAAAAAGAGATCTCAGAGGAATACCACAGAATCATGGAGGTTCTTCTTTCTCCCTAAAAATCCCACCCACATGGGCTGTAAGAGAAAAAGGGATGCACAGAAAGGTCATTGTAGGGATGGCTTGTTTACGTTAAAAGGGAATCTATTAAAAAGATAAAGGTGAACCTCCTAGAAGACAGATATCAGAAGTATAGTCAGGCCTCATGGGAATTGGGAAGTTGCCAGGCAGCTCCTCTGTCTCCCTCTCCAGGGCCATACTGACTCTTGCCTGCCTGTGTTTCTTTTTATCCATCTGGAGACAAATTTTCTTTGCAAGATTCTTGCTTTTGCTCCTATATAACTTTAGCTTACATCTGACTTTGGTTTTCCTAACCCTCCATGATAACCTCCAACTGTTTTGGCAATCTTTTCTGGAATACAGCTTCCTCATAGGAAAATATCTGATTGCCTTCAGTGCGTCAAAGGCACATTCCTGGTACCCATGGCTGAGGCCAAGAAGATGGTACCCCCGTGGCCCAGTAGCCCCAAGCACTTCTTCAGCAGGACTACAGGGAATGTGTCAAAGATGGGGCTGGCCCTCCAGGTCGATTTAGAATGAAGAGTAAAGACTCTCCGTGAATTTACATACTTGCAACACAAGGTCATCTTGTAACAGGAGAAGAATTTGGATTTGAAGTTAGACAGGTTTGAATTTGACTCACCCTGAGGAAAACTAGTCAAGCTACCTCTCTGCATTTTAGCTTCTTCATCTGAAAAAAATGAGCTTATAGATAGTAGCACCAACTCTTTAGAGTTTCAATGAGGATTAAATGCAGTTAAATGAAATAATGTATGAAAAGCACCTATGTGGCCAAGGTTATGTTAGGGGCTGTGAGAGTACAGGAGATACATAGCATATGTATTTGTCAATAAACGTTCATTAGAACTTAGTATATTTGACCTGAACTTGGTACTGCAAATATAAAAACTATGATGAAATGTTTTTCACCTTGATAACTTTTAGTTTTTTAAAGAGACTCATGCAATGTATGTGAACCCAATCTGTCATTCTACTGCTTTCATCTCTTAGTGTTTGAACCTGAAGAACAGAGGTTACTGCTTATTCTTAACCTCATACCCAAGGCCAGCTCTAGCTATTAGTAGCAGAAGAGTCCTCCATACACAGCCCTTCCCTTGTGATATGGTTTGGCTATGCTCCCACCCAAGTCTCATCTTGAATTGTATTAATAGTTCCCATAATCCCCATGTGTTGTAGGCGGGACCACGTGGGAGGTGATTAGATTATGGGGGCAGTTCCCCCATGCTGTTCTTTTGATAGTGAGTTCTCATGAGAGCTGATGGTTTCATAAGGGGCTTTCCTCCTCTTCACTCTGCACTTCTCTTTCCTGCCATGTGAAGAAGGATGTGTTTGCTTCCCTTTCTGCCATGATTGTAAGTTTCCTGAGGCCTCCCCAGCAATGAGGAACTGTGAGTTAATTAAACCTCTTTTCTTTGTAAATTACCCAGTCTCAGCTATTTCTTCACAGCAGTGTGAAAATGGACTAATATGCCTATCTCATGCAGCTTGCAATTTTGTCAGACAAGACGACATGTAAACAGTAAGAAAAAAATACAAGACATGATATGGAACTATATCTGCTATTGACTAATGTGAGTGTATAGAAGGGATTATCTTATAGGAAAGAGCTTAGGTGAGATGACCTATAAAGTGTTCTCTATCTATATGATACTATGAAGCTAAGAGATGGAAAGAAGAGAGAGATCCAAGTAAGCCACAGTTAAGATGCAAGCTTTTATGGACAACTTGAACTGCCTTGAAAAGAAGCAAAGGACATAGATAGAAAGGAACCTGGCTAGTCCTAGCTAGATCATTCAGGTTTACCATGGAGTATTTTAGAAACATGTGAAATTGTCAGCCTATTATTGCTAAATAGAGTTGGTTCTTAGTTTGGTGAACATCATATGAGCATTAGAGAGATCTGGGTAGAGGACAGTTTTTTAATGGTAGGAGGATGGCCATGGGAAAACATTAATTTGAGCTCTGCTTCCTGAACATTGGATTCATTTCAAACTCTGAAGTTGAAATCCACAGAGTCACTCTTTGTTCCTTGATAGTTATTTGCATCAGCGCACCTATCAAATATAGTACTGTGGATCTTGACACTAGATAGATCTTTAAAAATGTCATTTGGTTCAACCCCAGCTCCAAGTGATTCAATACAAGATCCATGGAACTGAACCAGTTGGGAAACTGAGACAAATTGAGGAAAGTTTTACACCCAGTAGTTGTTGGAACTGGGATTTAAAGCCCGGTAATTTGACTCCAGAGCCCATCCTCTTATCCATTGCTTCACATAGCCATTCTATTGCACGACTGCCTAGCCAGAAAGCAGCAAAGAGATACCTGGATGCTCCTTACATGGCCTCTTTAGTAAGTATTGAATAGGCTTGTTGATTTCAGCCTTCTAAACTAAACAAATCATTGAGACTTCAAATTAAAGAGCTGGCAGTTTGTTAGAGATCACTTGGACCAAAACAATTCATTTTCGTGATGAGAGAAAACTGAGAACCAGAAAGATAAGCATGCAGGTAATAAAGCCAGATTTAAAACTAGCACATTGGGCTGTAGTTTCAGAGTCCTTCCCATTGTATTCAGATGCCAGGGCTTGGTTACACTTTCTGCAGACCAATGCACACCAGGAAAAAGAAAACTAGGAACTAGGAGGTTCGGCAAATGGCCATCTCAGTGAGCCTTCAAAGGAGAGATATCTGGGCAGTATCTCTTTGAGAAAATAATTTGACATACACTTTGCAATTGTTCATTTTCCATTTAAACGGTGGTCCAAAGAAAACAAAATTGGGTTGAATGTTTCATTTAGACCAATATTCTCTCAGCCAATTACTTAAATTTTTGTCTTGTAATAATTGAAAGTAACAAAATGTTTCAGAGTAAAAGTAAAAGAAACAATATTTTGAGAGGTTAAAAACAAGCCGTAAGTATGAAATATGTATGAGGTATTTCTGAAAATGGTTGGCACACTTTTTGCAAAGAAAAATTAATAATTACAATGTCATATATTCATATTGAAAATGTAGGCTACATCCATCCTTAATATTATAAGCCACTGGACACAATGGTAGGGACTGTGGAATATACTATGAAAGGTAAGATTCCATCCTAGCCTGGGAGATACATTTAATCCAGATAGATGCTTAAATCCCTTAGTTTCAGGTCAGCAGAGAAGTTGATTGAAGATCCCTCTGAATTCAATAAAAAATGATGATTGAGTACAATAACTCACAACTTTGCTTATCCAGATCCTCAGTCAATTTTACCAAAGTCATATACACCTGGACATCTCCCATAGTATTATAAATGAATACATTTCCTTATGGACAATATTGTGGAAACCCATAATATTGTCTCTAATCACTCTGTATCATCCATTATTTAAAATTGGGGAAAAAAACTTGTATCTAAAAATAATTTTCATCAAGCCCTGTCTGACATTTTTTTCAACCGATTAAATTATATGTGTGTGTATATTCATTTTCATTTTATTCCTCAACTTCTCCACCGTCAGTTCCTTCTCTCTAAACAATGAGATGATGTGTATAAGACAGTAGAGCACAGTGTCTGACACATAAGATGGCAAGCAAATGAGAGTGGTTTCCACATCACCTGGATTATATTTATTTTTTGTATCATTTCATCAAGTCATTTAAAATTCTGTTTGTGGGCTAGGTGCCGTGGATCACTCTTATAATCCCAGCACTTCGGGAGGCCGAAGAAGCAGGATCATTTGAGCCCAGGAGTTTGAGACCGACCTGGACAACATAGGGAGACCCCATCTCTACAAAACATTTGTTTTTAATAGCTAGGCATGGTAGTACACACCTGTGGTCCTAGCTACTCGGGAGGCTGGGGTGAGAAGATTGCTTGAGCCTGGGAGGTATAGGCTGCTCTAACTTGTGACTGTGCCACTGCACTCCAGTCTGGGTGGCAGAGTGAGCTATCGTCTCTAATAATAATAATAATGATAATAATAAAATTCTGTTTATGGTGATGTAACAACTTTTAGATAGTATTACTATCTGTATCTAATGCTTTAACCACTGCAGCAACCTGTATATGGTTGCAGCATTGTGATGTATAACGCAATTACCTCTAACCAATATTCTCAAGTTTGAGAACAGAAAGGAAAAATAAAATGAACAAGCTAATAAAACTTAACTTTCTTAAACCTTCATGCATAAGATAAAATGTTGACTTGTTTGTGCATGCTAGTCTTTCAATAAGAATGCCTCTTTAATGAAAGTAGTGACTACGCCTTTTCTCTAGCATAATAAAACACAAGGCTGATAGAAGGCAATTATATTCCTTATCTTAGGATTTATATATTTATTAGTTGTGCCAGAGCAGGTGTGAAAAGAGTTGGAACTTAATGCTGTGTCTGTGAAGAAGGTGTGACAGACTTTGGGTAAAAGTCATGGCTGAAAGCCATGGGTCAGCAAGATAAGCAGGGCAAGCCTTCCCCCAGCGACACTAAGTTTAGACACAATGGAGATAAAGAGTCAAAGATAAAGTTGTGGGTGTGCCAATAAGCAGACAGGACACTGTGAGAGTAAATCTAGGGTGGCAACACCCTGCCACCAGCCTCTGGAAGACCTGCTCATGACCCCGGGAGAAGGAAGGAGATTGCAAGACTAAGGCAGGGACCTACATCTGGCAATGCGGATACAAGGCAAATCAGACCAATGGGAAATGATGGTCATAATAGAGATTACAGCAAATGGGGAGTTCTACGAATCCACAGAGGGGATGTCCAAGAAGGCATCTCTGTTTCTGAAACTTCAGTGGAGGGATCCTACTGGTCAGAGTGGAACCACTGTAGGGCAGTGAGTCATGTCCAATGATCAGTACAGAAATAGGCTATCCTGGCAGGAAATTAAATATTCAGCACCAGATCATGTTAGGCTGCTCCAACAAGACTTGCACAAACCAGTTTCTTTTTATCACCCTATTGGTTAAAAGGGAGATGAAAAGATTACTTAAAATTTTTCCTTAAATCAGATTGGTTTGAATGGGATTTAAGTTTATGTGGAAATCAGTCTGTCTATTGTGAAGAGGGAGGGAAGACACCAGCAGGAGAACTGAGGAGGCAGCATGAGAGATGCTGCTGAAAATGTCCTCATACATTGTAAAAACAGTTTCTCTTATCTACTCAGTAGCTTTTACTCAAGGTCTAGTTTTCAGTTAGTTAGCTAAATCTGTTAGCTTGGAAAAAAAATCAGAAGTATTGTATCTCTAGTATAAATACAAGTGTTCTGTCTTGCCCAGGGGATTTTAAGTGAAGGAGGGAAAGAAGCACTCTGCTTCAGTGATTTCAAAGTATTTATTGGATACTAACTACTACTAGGGATTTTCCTTGCCATAGATTTCTCCATGCCACAACTCATCCCTAACATTTGATACCTCCCCACAAACAAACATCTGCATAAACTATTTTCTGTATTTATCATCAAGCTTTCCCTGTAGTGCCTAGATCAGATACTTACCTGTTTAGCCCTTGTGATTCTGAAGAGGTACTGCAAGGAAGTCAAAATGTAAAGTACAAGATTCTCTCAAAAAGGAAGATGCACTGAGGGAAACCTGATATTCTACACTATTTCTTTCCTTAAGGCATTTGCTGATTCAGAAAACCCACATGGAGCAAGCGTCTGAAACAGCAGGTAGAAGGTAGAAGCTAAAAGGTAGAAAAGCTGAGCAGAGTTTGACAATATCAGAAGCTGAGAAGGAAAAAAAATGCACCATAGGGCTTTCAAGGCAGCTAGGACTTGAAGGGCCAAAGTCACAGAGAAGGAAAACACAAATGGGGTCCTACCTGGCCATACACACTAACATTCAGGAGACTCTGGCCTTGGGGGGGAAAGAGACCTAGAGAAGGGAAGCAGTTCAGCTGAAGACATACAGGAGTCCTGGCCAGAGGAGGCAACAACCGATTGGATCACCTTCTCAGGAGTAGTTACCAGATTATTTGCAAGCTCCAACCAGATCCTTCTCTACCGTGATCTCCCTCTACTCTGTTATTGAAATTCCCCAGCTCTCTGTATCACTCTACATGACTTTGCTGGCTAAGCAGAACTTGAGGTTAACACTAAGGGTAACTTATAGTAGGTTTTTAGTTATATGGAGAAATAAATAGATTTCTGTTTCCGGCTACAATGGAGTAACTTGCATTGTACCTACTCACCTGCTTAGAATAAAGCACATCTCTTCGAAGGCATTTGAGAACAATCAAGGAAGTCAAAACGTTAGGTGCCAGGATTCTCTCAAAAAGGAAAATGCATTGAGGAAAACCTGGTAGTCTTCACTATTTCTTTCCTCAAAGCATTTGCTGATTCAGAAAACTCACATAAAGCAAGAGTCTGAAAAACGAAGTAGAAAGTAGAAGCAAAAAGGTAGAAGAGCTGAGCAGAGTCTGATAATATCAGAAACTGAGAAGAAAAAAAAAATGCAGTTTAGGGCTTCCAAGGCAGCTAGGACTTGAAGGACCAAAGACACTGAGAAGAAAAACACAAATAATTAAACTCTTATACCGTTTTTCCTAGTGAGGAGTATGATGGTTCCCAAACAGGAGATTGAGAGGTCAAAGAGAAAACACACTAACAGGCTAAAAATCTAAACAGAGTTATTGTGCAGACAAAATATGTGAAAAAAAATTTATAGTTCAGGCTCCACCAAGAAAGAGGAGTTCTGATAAGTATTCCCAGGCTTTCATCTAAAATTCCTGAAGCCTTCATCTTAAAGGTAAGGGTAACCTAGAAACACAATGATCTCTGATCAAAATGGAATAGGCCTTAGAGTGATAGAAGTCCAGCTCCAAATCAGTTCAATATCTGACTAAATTAAGGTAAACTGCTCATAAAGATCAAAAATACATTTTTTCCAGATGAATGTGACATTGACCAGAACTTCTGTAATTTTTGTACATAATATCTAGCATTCAATCAATAGTACTAGGCATTACGAGTTCCCCAAGGTTAGGACTCATAGGAGAGGAATGAAAAGAGGTTTATTAATATGTACAAATACACAGTTAGATAAAAGAAAAAAGACCTAGTGTTCAATAGGTCAGTAGAGTGACTATAGTTTACAACAATCTATTGTACATTTTAAAGTAGCTAAAAGAGAATAATATGCATAAAGAAAAGACATATATTTGAATATACTAAATTATCACATATACTCTGAAAAGATGTACATCTATTCTGTGTCAAATTAAAAAACTTAAAAAGTTACTAAGCATTTAAAAAGATGAATAAAAGAAAAAAGAATAAAGCAGTAAAATGTTATCCAGATTTTGGAGTTATCAGTTACGGATTGTAAAATACCTGCTATTTACATATTTAGAAAAAGAGAAGTTGCAAAAGTTAACCAGATGCATACCTCTTATTAAAAAGAAAAGAAATAGAAATTCTAGAAGAAAAAACTCGGTGACAGAAAGTAAGGGTTTTATAAATGGGTTTATTGGCAGATTAAATACAATGAAAGAGAGGACTGGTAAACTGGCAGTTAGGACAATAAAATATATCCAGCCTCAAGCATAGACAAATGGAAAAACTGGAAAGATGTGCATGGCTCATGAACTATAAAGCATGATTTAACGTATTTCAAAGGATTAAAACATTTTAAAAGTCACAGAATGATCTCTGATCAAAATAAAATTAACTGGCCGGGCATGGTGGCTCACACCTGTAATGCCAGCATTTTGGGAGGCTGAAATAAGAAGATCGCTTGAGCCCAGGAATTCAAGACCAGCCTTGGCAATATAGGGAGACCCTGCTTTTACAAAAAAAAAAAAAAAAAAAAGAATAAATAAATAATATTAAATGTACCTAGTATGTACCCACAAAAATTAAAATTAAAAAATGGCATTAGCTATAAATTAGTATCAAAGAGGTAATCCATTAAAATCATAAAATCCCTATCTGGAATTAAGCAATGTACTTCTAAATAGTTCATGAGTCAAAGAAGAAATCACAATAAAAATCACGATGATAGATTATAACTAACTGAAATACAATATAATGAAACTTTGGCAATGCAGCTAAAGTCATGATTTGAATAAAACTTGTAGCCCTAACATATATAATGGAAAATTGTAGAAGCTAAAAAATCAATCAATCAATCATCTCATTATCAGTTTACAGAAGTTAGGAAAAAGAACAGCAAAATAAATCTATACAAGCAGAAGAAAGGAAATAATAAATATTTTAAATAATAGCAGAAATTAATTAAAAAGACAGTAAAGATACAATAAATTAATAAACCCAAAGACAATATTTTGTAAAAGGTTAAATAGTTTCTTAAACACTCATATGTAGGTACATGATTCACAAGTTTAAAATGACTTTACCAGCAAAATATAACTATTGTGTTCTTATCATTGACCTGCATACAGTCAAACATTTCTGAGCTGCTTCCAGTCATTGTTTAAATAAGTACAAAAAATTTTAAAATTTGGTGTTCTGCAATCAAATTTGTTTATGAGCCTATTTTTAATTATATATATTTGGGTTTGCATTTATATGTGTTACACAAGTAATATTCTTAAATGCATACATATACATATTTGTGATTAAGATTTCAATTTGATTCAGCAAATATTTTTGCATTTTCAATTTGCTAGGCACTGGAAGTAGAGCAGCAATGAAGACAGATGTAGTCCTGGCATTCCTCAAGCTTATAGTCTAATAGGAACGTCTACACTGAGAAAGAAAAAAAAGAAAAGAAGGAAGAAAAGAAGAAACCCTTCTCTGACACTTCATAGACAAAAAACAAGAGGAGATGATTATTTAAGTTCATCAGGTTTTTGTCTTTTATTTTTAACCCTATAATCCTCTCCTTTCTATTACCTGGTTAATTCAGATTAATTATTGATTTTGATTCTGTTTGGTCTACATGTCTCAGCTCTTTTCCACCATTATTTCACCCGATTCTGTACACTAAGCCTTATATAATTTTATATATTTCCCTAAAATATTTATTTGAATAATTTACGTGGTTCTCAAGGAAAGGGTTCTGAATGGAGTCATGGCTCTTAGGTGCATGACTCTTAGGTATTAGATGCAGACTGGGCATTAAAGAAGTATTTGTAACCGCGCATGGTGGCTCACGCCTGTAATCCCAGCACTTTGGGAGGCTGAGGCGGGAGGATCACGAGGTCAAGAGATTGAGACCATCCTGGCCAACATGGTGAAACTCCATCTCTACTAAAAATGTAAAAATTAGCTGGGTGTGGTTGTGTGTGCCTGTAGTCCCAGCTACTCAGGGGGCTGAGGCAGAAGAATCACTTGAACCCGGGAGGCGGAGGTTGTAATAAGATGAGAGTGCACCACTGCACTCCAGCCTGGCAACAGAGCAAGATTCTATCTCAAAAACAAAAAAAGAAAGAAAAGAAAAGAAATATTTGTATTAAATAAATATTTGAAATGACAGAAACTAAAAATGAAAAATGTTTGTCTTACACTGTGCAGCAGGGATATTGTAGCCGGATTAGACTTACTCTTCTTTTTATGCCATTGCTTAATATTCTATGTCCCTTCCCTGGTCTTTTCTTCCTCTTCTCTGCCTACTTATGAATGTCAGCATTTTCAGGGGCCTTCCTCAACCCTCAACTCCTCCCAGAAGCCTACTGCTGAAGACTACAGTAAAACCTGTATCCTCTGAAGAACCACTGCACATCCCATTTCTATCACTCATTGGCTCTTCTGGTTTCCCACCTGTATCTCTCGATATCTTTCCCCACATGCATGTCTTGTCTCTTGAGTAGAAACCCATCAGCAAGGAGATGTCTGTTATAGATGCTATGAAAAATACAAACAAAGCACACACCTTCTCACCCATCCACATGCACACATTGAGCTTTGATGGCTTCTCTTCCAGTTTTTGCCTAATTCTTAATAGAGCTTGTGGTAAATAACCTGATGTCAATTCACTCATTCTTCCCCCAAAATAATAGAATTTCCACATTTTTTATGAATACTGGGAATAAAGATTACACTTCCAGCCTCCTCTGCACCAAGTCATGGCCGAATGATTCCGGCCAATGTCATGATAGTAAAAGTGGTATATACAATTTCAGGAAATGCCTTTCCTGACATTTCTTTTCTCCATACTAACACAGTACCTAGAATGCAGTTGCTGCCACTTGGACCAAGAGATTGAGACTATGCACTAAAGGAGCATGGTATCTCAGAGTACTATGTCAGTCCAGGATCATCTACCCATATTTTACATAAAAAATCAACGCTCTTGTAGTTTCTAACTGTTAGGTTAGAATTTTCTTCACTTACTTTCACTCTCTGACCTACTCCTAACTAATCAAGGCTCTTCAACAGGATATAATGTTAATATTCCTGTGGCTCAATAAACTAATAGTGTAGTAATAATGACCACATTATGCAGAGTAAGTAAGGTTTCATTGTGCTTGAATTCCAAAGTCAATACACATTACATACTTTTGATTGGTTCTTAAGGAGAATTTATATTACTATATGGCCCTTCCTAGCCAAACTTATCTGCCTCATTAAGTGAAATGAGTATCCATAGACTGATTTTATTGTGTTATGACATTGTTACCAGAGGTTTCCTGTTAAAATATTAGTTTGTACCTGAAATGAAAATCTGAAGCTTACACATTTATGGTTAACACCTCAAAGGGTGTAAAATTGGCAAATAGGGAACATCGATTTTAGTTTTTGTTCTACAGTAAAGTTTTAGTTCTAGAGCAAAGATCATCAATAGGTGAAAACTTTTGCCTTAATGATTATTCTATGTGCAAATCATGAGTTAATCTTCAGTGTTCCAGGCAAAACCAGGTTAAATTATTTTTTTTTCAGGCAACATGAGACCCATTCCTGAGCCCTCCAAGATCTGCCAGGAGTTATAGCACTTTCCAAGGCTCCATGCTTTTAAATAGCCTCTTTCTTCAGATAATATTTTTCTACTTTCTGGTTTTTTCCCCCTGAGTTTAAAGTGTTCTGCTTTTTAGGGGAAAACTAGTAATTGCCTTAATTAATTCAACTTAGACTATTAATGGACTGCCCTGTATATATGTAAGGGTGTTAATTTCTTCCTCTCATTGCATGTACCCTACAGTGGGAATGGCACCTGCCCTGTCCTACTCTGGTTACTAGGGAAGTAACAGACTCCTTGGAAAAAACAACGTTGAGATGGAGAGGGAAGGGGTGAAACTGGGAAATGCTAAATCTGAATTCAGAGTATCTGGCCTCATCATTCAGGTAACACACTGATCTTTGTGAATCCTTAGGAAGGGGAAAATAATTGGAAGTCATCTAACTGTAGTCCTGAACAGAGCAAAAAGGCCTCTGGAGACCCCTGGCTGACTTGGATTTATCATTTAACAAACTCAGAATGTCTTAGGTGGAGGTTAAGTAGTCTTTGAAAGTGATGGGGAAGATGGATTTGTGCTGAACCTCTTCTACCATTTACATTTTGTGTTTTAACCTCACAGATATTTTAAGGAATAAAGGAAGTTGACGGGTGGAAATCTGAAGGTGAATTAAATAATTGGAAGTTATGATGAATTGCCATTCCATCTGTGTATTGCCTTTAATCTCTGGGTGAGTATCATACAACCTTTATGGAGACTAACTAAAAGAAAAGCATTTTTGGCCAGGTGTGGTGGCTCACACCTGCAATCCCAGCACTTTGGGAGGCCGAGGCGGGTGGATCACCTGAGGTCAGGAGATCGAGACCAGCCTGGCCAACATGGTGAAACTTCGTCTCTACTAAAATTACAAAAACAATAGTTGGGCATGGTGGTGGACGCCTGTAATCCTAGCTACTTGGGAGGCTGAGGCAGGAGAATCGCTTCAATCCTGGAGGCAGAGGTTGCAGTCAGCCAAGATTATGCCACTGAGCTCAACCCTGGGCGACAGAGTGAGACTCGGTCTCAAAAAAAAAGCATCTTTTGAATTTCCACAGACTCATTTGCATCTTAGAAATAACTTGGCATAATAATAAAAAGACGTTCTTCAGGGCCATGTAGACCCAAATGTCAATATTAGCTTTGTCCCTTTGCTAACAGTATGACCACAAGCCCATTATGTAAAAATTTGGGGAGTCAGTTTCTCTTTCTGTAAATACATATCTGTCTTCATCGTTATTATAAAGTTTACATAATATAGACAAAACATTTCTAGCACATTGTTAATTTCCAATGCTATTATAATGTTAGAATCTCAGCCAAAAGCCGTTTGGAGCAGGTATAGAGTGCTCCCTTTATTTTATCACCAACCCAATAGCCAGGGATATGCAAAGACACTGGTATGATGTTAGGAGTTTTCACCACAGTTCTGAGGCTGGAACATCCAACATCATTATCTTGAAACCCAGAATTGTGGTGAAGGCAGACGTCTCTCCGGGTACATCTAAGGCTCGCCTTGGTGAATAATAGCATAGATAGTCTCATGGGGTTTCATGTGTCCTATAATTCTTTGCACAGCAAGCTTTTGTCTTTGTTATTTTATTCCAGCCACTGCAGCAGATCTGACCCAATTTAGCTGTTACTATATCCTTTCTGCAAAAAAATGAATCTCAGAGAAGGCCAGGGCTGTTGCATGACTTCCATAACTCACTGCATGTTTGCCTGCCATTTCCCAGCTCATGAGCATCTGTGGAGCCAAGTTTTATCCGGGCCCTTTCAGTAACTAGTTTGGGTTGGATTTCTGGGTTCTTTTATCTACGGCTTTCACCATCTGGCAAAAGAAGCTGACTAAGTGTTAGTTGCAACAAGTGGTTGCCTATTTAGTGTGATATGCGGGTGCTACCAAAGAGTTCTCGGTTGGGTTCCACAATGGCTATTTCCATTGCATCAAGCCTTACAGCTCCAGAAGGCATCTCACAGCTAAAACATACAGATCACCCAGGAGAGAAGAAAGGTTGGTGTGATTTGCACATTTGTATCCATTAATCAACATGTTGGCACAAATTGGTTACCAGAGTAGCTGGCTGTATTCTTGGAAATCTGGAAACCAAGCCTGGAGGGGAAAGAACAGAACACAAGGCTTCAGTGGTTAGATAAGGGCAGACAGCAAGGAAAGCTTTTGGGTTTTCAAGTCCAGTCCTGGGTGAGTCTGCTGTGGGACACATGGAGGAACCAGTATCAGCATCAGGGAACTGATTTGTGGAGGATAGGACCCTAAAGACACCAAGGTGTCTAATGATGGGTAGGAATATGGATGAATGTTCTTTTCTTCTTTGTACTTTTCAAATTCTTTAAATATATGTGATGTGACAAATGTCATGAGAAAAATATTAACCATACAGGAATTTTAAAGATTGAAATTCTATGATTCCATGCCTGACATTTCATGGTTGAAAGGAGCAACTAAGTGATCATTACAAGTATGGTTACAGCCCATGTAGGGTTTGATGCCTTCTTCATGGTTTTCTTGTTACAGTCACTTTATTTTATTGCCTCTCTGACTTATTGTGTATGTCCATCATCCCACTTTTCACCCCTAAGATCCCACTTTAGCATGACTCCTTCACTCTACCTTCTCTAGTGGCATTCATGATACAATTGTGGCTATTTAATTAAAAGACTATTCACAGAACATTTCTTTTTCCAAGGAGAAAATGCCTATGTCTATTAATGGAAGCCAATCCTTAACCAAATGTTAGTGATTCAATGCAGTTAGGACCCTCAAGTCAGAAATTTATAGGTAACTGATTTAGTTCCTCAGTATCTTTTTGCTCTGTATAGACACAAGTTGTCTGAACCACCTTGATCCAATAATTCTGGGAATAAATAAATTTGATCAGACTTGACTAGTGTAGCTGTCTACATAGATCCAAGGCTCCTTTTTCCTTTCAGCAGCAGTTGCCTGAGGCTGAGTTTCTGACTGGCAGTGGTTTGGTCAACCATGTCATTTCAGCCAGCTTCAAGCTGAATTCAAGTAGCACAAGCCAAAATGATCAATTAAGTCAGGATACCCAAGACATGAACTAGACTTTCAGCTTGGACACCATAAATCTAGACTTCTCAGGTCCTTAGTTATGTCATCTAGAAAATGAGGATAAAGGTTTTAGCCTAGTTAATTAACTCAAGCTACTATCAGGATAAAATTAGGTTGTAAATATTGCAATCCTCTGAAAGTTAAAGTGCTGTATACATGAGCAGCACTTTCATTAACAGACTGACCACTGCATAATCCAATTAGTTCAGTCAAGATTTAACCAGGCCTCAGAAGGAGAGAGCATGTTACCGTGTGAGAACAGCCTGCTTAAGGGCCATCCCTGGCATCCAATTTGCCACTTTTTCCTGTTTTTACTCTCGTTTAGCCCTAGAAACACTGCAAGTGATTTCCATGTGATTTAGGAAAGTAATGGAGCAAAGAGACTATCTGTAAACATAAAGAATACAATGGGAAACATTATGTGTGTATATAAAGAAAGAGAAATAAAACCAGGCAAAAAAAACTTTATCGCTTGTCTCAGAAGAATTATAAAATTAGTGGATGAAGGGCATGTTGTTACTTTTTTATATTTGCATTTTGCCAGTGAAAATCCTCATGATATTTTTACTGTACTTGTAGTCTGGCTCTTCTACCTGCCACATGAATTGAAAACTGAGTTTTTGGAGCCGGGGATTTCTGGAAGATGTGGAATGGGAGAAAGCCTGAGGTGGTGATAAGCCAGCAGCTTTCCCTGGTGCAAAGCTGAGCAGGTGCACAGCATCAGGCCTGATTTGGGCTGCTCACATCCAAGCTTCAGACTCTCTTAAGATGCTTTTCTGGGGAACACATTCTTCACTCTCCACTCCCTTCATCTGTACTTCATTGTAAAAAAGGAAGTTAAACCAAAACGAAATAAATGTTAAGATAGAACCTCAGGATTCTAACCATGATACTTTTGCTTTACTGCTCTGATGTGATCATTCTAATGCTTTTGAAAGATTCATGTATTGATGTTTGATCTATATTTGAAGGAATTTGCTTCTACATTGCAAAGTTGGTTAATTTGTTTATCCAGTTTGCTATGGATGGAATTAAGCGCCCCCTTCCAATACCCACATTGAAGCTCTAATCCCTATTGTGACTATATCTGGGCATAGGGCTTTCAGGAGGTAATTGAGGTTACACGAGAACATAATGGTGGAGCCCTAATCTGATAGGGTTGGTGGACTTCTACGTAGAGGAAGAGCCAGAAATGTCTTCTTCCCTCTCTTTCCGCCACATGAGGACACAGTGAGAAGCTGGCTGCCTGCAAGTCAGGATGAGAGCCCTTATCAGACATCCAATTCACCACCACACTGATCTTGGATTTACCAGCCTCTAAAACTGTGAGAAAATAAATTTCTGTTGGTAAAACCGTCCAGTCTTGTTTTGGCATCCCAGGTTTACTAATATGTAATTTCCTGGGACCATTTATTCTCAATTTAGGATGAATTTGGCTATTTAGTTTCGAAGCCATTTCTGTTTCTCTCATGAGCTAACTGCTTATACTATTCAGAAAACAAGAGGATGGATAATGGTTGATTCTGTAGCTGGGTATCCACCAGAGTCACATCATTTGACAAAGTTTGCCTAGTGATAAGTGTGGACGTAGGCCTAACACTCTAGCCTGCTGAGTCCTATCTAATGTGCTTGACACTATGCTACAAACTTAGATATCATCAAATCCAGAACTTTGTCCAATGGGTGAAAAATAGTCTATTTAACCACAACTCAGAATCCAGAGAGGATAAATAATTATGATTGTGCTAAAAAAAAATGATTTCTTCCTATAAAGACAAAACAAAGCCCTACCGTCAGCAGAGTCAAAAGGCACATGACAGGTTAGAAAAAAATATGTGGCCTCTTAGACTAATAACCTGACAGGAAAAAGGGCAAAGCAAATGAATAAGCAGTTCACAGTTAAAGAAATGTGAATATCTTAAATATATGAACAGATTATTTGTATCCCTCATAATAAGAGAAGTAAGTACAAATTTAAATTTTACTGAGATGTTATATTTCACTTAACAGATAAGCAAAAATCAAAACATTTGATCCATTTTACTGCAATGTTGTGGGGCAATGGGCACTGTCACTCATGGAAAATTGGCACAACTCTTTTGGAGGGCAATTGAAAAATATCCAAAATTACAAATGTATGTCCTTCTGACCCAGAGTTTTATTTGTGATAATTGATCCTATGGCTTGCATAAGTCCAAAATAACTTTTGTTCGAAGTAATTCATTTAGGCTTGGTTTAGAGGAACAAACAAATGGAAACAACCCAAAGTTGCATTGAGAGACTGTTCAAATAAATCATGGTATCATCATAAAATAGAATACACTGAAACCAGATAGAAAAGAATGAGGATCCTCTCTATTTAGTGATACGGAAAAACCTCCAAGGTATATTGTTAGTGAAGTAAACAAAGGATATATATTATGCTATCTTTCAAAAACACAATGCTTACATCGACCTACACAAATACTGGAAAGATATACAAGCTTGTCAGTGACCTATGAAGGTTGTTGGATGTGGGGCCAAAGAAAATAGGTAAGGGAAGGAGACTTTTAACTCTATACATTTTCTCAAATTTCTTGTTTGCTTTTTGAACCATGTCAACATTTACCTATTTATAATTCAATAAAAAATAAATAAAACACGCACACATAGGGCAAAATCCATGAGGGGAATCCAGAATTTCCTCAGTAACCTGTGCTACTCTGTTCTATTTCCTGATATCAAGAATTTCTTCTATTTCTGATATAAAGAATTATTCTTCAGGAGCTTCAGAATAATAGCTTCACTTGGCAGTTTTAAAAAATACATATAAAATTTTTCCAACATAAGGAAATGACAAATGTTTGAGATGATGGATAACCCAATTACCCTGATTTGATCATTACACATTGTATACATGTGTTAGGATTTCACAGGTACTCCATCAATATGTACTGTTATTATATATAAACTAAAAATAAAATCCATATACAACAGTTACTGCATATTCTGAAAGTATAATATTTAAGAGGTTTGGCTAAGAAACTGGAAAATACAATCCCAAATCTTGTCACAGTTTAAAATGTTTTCAATTACTATGTGTGGCATCGTACAATGGAAATAACACAGGCGTTAGACACAGCCACATTTGGGTTCAAATCTCATTTCTGCCCCTAACAAGCTTTGTGATCTTCCATGAATACCTTCATTTCCAAGAACTTCAGTTCCCACTCTTAAAAGTGTATTACCCATAGGAGCAGTACTATCTATTGAAATCATTCAGGTTGAAGAGCTGGCATTGGCAGACGTGTCATGGATGGTAGCTGTTATTAGATGATTACTTCCTTTATTGTCATTGTGAGAATTCAACTAAGTCAGTAGGTGCATGAAAAAGAAAGATAGTTTACAGAGGTCAGTTACGTCTTACCTATCTGGAATTTTACTGTCTCTAATCTCACTGTCAGAACACAGAACATAGAAACAGAAAGAAGCAAACAATTGTTCTTGGTAACAAAATGGATTGCACAAATATTTATATGAAAGTTTGAGCACTTGACTTTTTAGAAGCCACTTGAAAGCCCCCAGATAGCTGGTTAGGCTTGGATTTCATGGAAAATATAAGAGTAGAGTTAGAGGAGGGAATGAGTTAGTTAGATATGCTACTTAGTGAAAGCGACAGATCATGGCCTGAGAAAAGAACCATATAAAGTAAACACAAGAATGTAGAGCATGGTAGCTGAGTGCTTTTCTCCAGAAATACACATCTACATACCCAATAAACTATGATGACTTTGCTGTACCAGACTGCATCCTTAAAAAGTACTTATCCAACAGGTTAGAAAGGTAGAGAAGAATAAAGATTTTCATAAAAAGGTGGCGAAAACAAAAATAAATGATGTTTAAATGCCCAGTTATGTATAAGATTCAACTCTCTTGAACTCTTCACTCCTCTCATTTTTTCATAAATAGCTAAAATTTCACTGTATTCAGTACCCAAATGTTCGTTAAAAACAGAAACTCTAACAGAAAAATATGGGCTGAGATGAATAAAAACATTTATACATAGCTTGAAACAAGAAAGCTGAACAATAAATGGGATATTGTTCCTATGTGCTTATGGAAACCCTGGTAAACAAACAACCAAGTTACCTGTCTTGCCTTTGATTTAAGGCTTATGTATGCATGGAGTATAGCCTGTAATATTTTCCAGCAGGCTCTCTACTCAAGTTATTCCAACTTGTTTAGATTTGGTGAAATCCAAGAGCTAAACAATGACTTTTGCAAGTTGCAAATTGTTTTTAAGAGGAAACTCTTCAGTTGTTGTCTGTGTAGCTTGGTAAAGGGTACTCTCTTTTGAAGCTGGGGAAAAGAGGTCCTAATTCCTATTAAGCTTTTGTTTGCAGAGACACAGGCATGATGAGGGGACTTGTCCCCCAAAACTTTGCTGCCCTCTACTTGGGATAAGTACAATTCTCCTCAGCAACAGAACCACAAGGTATTCTGTCACATTTCCCAAAGAAGCAGCAATCGAACTTTCCATGCACCGTCTGCATCACATATTTTGTGGATGACATAGGTAGCTGTGCTCTTTTGTGTCAACATTCCTTCTTTATTATATGGCATGCCCTAGTCTCTCTGTAGTCATGCCACTACTGTGGCTACTAGCCAGAAAAATTACAGAACCGTATCTAAGAAACTTGTTTATACTGGAAAGAGACCAGTCATTTTTATTATCATCATACTAACAAAATAATAACAAAGAATCAAATCATGCTTGTTGATTAAATTCTACTTGAAGAACTGAGCACGGTTTGCCCTCTGTATTTGTAGGGGATTGGTTCCAGAAACCCCAGCAGACACCAGAATCAATGGCATAGGGCCGTGGGACCTCTGTATCTGTGAGTTTCCATCTGCAGCTGGATGTGAAACCTGTGGATATGAAGGGCCAACTGTACTGACCCATATTCTTTGGGGTTCTTGATTTGATGGTAGGGGTCATATGTGTGTTGGAGGCACTGGTGGGCAGGAAAAGGGAGATGTATCTGAATCATCTGGAGACTTATTCAATTCAAAGTATTTTTGCACATTTCTATGTCTTTCTCTTTATTTTTGATTTATTCAATTATGCCCTTGAAGGACAGGTTTTTGGATTTTGAAAAAAAAAGCTTCTCAGATGATTCTGATATAATAAATGTATAATAATAATAATAAGTAACATATAATGGAAAATTGTTTGTTTGTTTGTTTTTGAGATGGAGTTTCGCTCTTTCTGACCAGGCTGGAGTGCAATGGTGCGATCTTGGCTCACTGCAACCTCTGCCTCTGGGGTTCAAGTGATTCTCCTGCCTCAGCCTCCCAAGTAACTGGGATTACAGGCACCTGCCACCATGCCTGGCTAATTTTTTTTTTGTATTTTTAGTAGAGACGGGGTTTCACCGTGTTGGCCAGGATGGTCAACCAGGGTGGTCTCGTGATCCGCCCGCCTCGGCCTCCCAAAGTGCTGGGATTACAGGCGTGAGCCACCGTGCCCAGCTGTAAAACATTTCTTGAATGCTTTCCGTGTGCTGGACACTGTCCTAAGCCCTACTCTTTCCTGTGGTTGAGACCTTTTCTCTGTGATATGCATGCAAATTGGTACTATAGTCTAGAAATTAGCTACATGAGGTCATCCACATTCACTTTCTTATACCCTTATAATGTTGTATATTTTCCATGAGAAAAATCTGTGCACTGAAAGAACAATTTCCTATGTGCCACCATATGTGACTTTGGACAAAAAATATTATTCTAAGCCTCAGTTTCCTTATTTGTGGCAAATAGGGAGAATAAAAGCTTCTTTGTCTATATTGATATATTAATGTTTACTATAATGAGATGGCTAATTCAGAGTGTGGTTAAGAAAGACAGAAACTTAGGACATTAACTGGAAATCAAAATTTACAATCAAAGAAAGTTTAACTGAATCTAATTTGGGCTAAACACCATGAGGTACAAAGAACTCTATAGTATTTCCTTGCTTCTAATGTTTTCAGTGATAAACTACATGAAATAATCAGTGAACAAGAGACCTTTGTGTAACCAACATGGTGCTAAAATATGGGTCAAAAATTAGGGAATAGACAAATCTAAGACACTATTAGCAAAAATGTTTTAAAAAAAGGCAGATAGTAACATGGACTAGATTCATGAGAGAGGTGAGACGTGAGTTAGGTCTTGAAGGTAGCAAGGTGGAAAGAAAGAAAACATATTTTTAGTAGCTGCATTGGTGGAGGCAGGAGGGCAAATCTGGAGTCCTAAGTAATCCCAGTATTATGCTATAACTCTCAGAGTCAACCCTATACACAAAAATAGAGAACATAAATTCATCGTGACATTATGCAGTGAGCATCGTCTTGTGAGGGTTACAGTGTAAGTAAAGTATGTGCCTCTGTGTGATTTGTGTCTCTGGAGGAAGTCTCACCAGAGGCAAAAGGTCAGAATTATGTCGTGTAATTCCTGTGTCCTCATAACATCCAGTATGATTCCAAGTATATTGGGAGAAACTCGGTTCACATTTTAAGTGGGTTGGAGACATAAGGAGGTTTCATAGGGTTGGCAGGTGGGATAAGGTGATAGACTTGGAACCAGAAGTTGGAAAAACAGGGCTGTGCAGAAGGGGAGTGAGAACCTTCACAGAAAATTAGCTCTCCTAAGCTATTTTCCTAAGACAAGGTCTCTGTCACATATCTCTAAAACACCCACCTCAAAAACTGGAAAGTCTGTATCTTTTCTACCCACCCTTCCCCCAACCCCAAATTTCTTTCTTTAAATGTAGACAAAAGTTGAGGCTGAGCTCGTGTGATTAATACCAGCCTGTCTTGAGTGCACCTCCATCACCCCACGGTCTTCCCATTTTTCTTAGATGCTGAGAAAATGCTTTTCACAGCTATGATGACACAGCCAGAAATATCACCTTTTGAAGACATCATAACCGTGAGATATGACACTCTTTCGGCCGTTAGAAGGTTATTTGCTGTAGCCATTAAATACAGCCCTGTCATTCCCACTCACCTGAGCCATATTTCCTCCTTCAATAGATTATCCATAAATATAGGCTCAGGTACAAATAGAAATAATGAACATTCACAGATAAAGAAGACATGCACAGCCAAATCCTGCCTGAAGATAAGAGAACAGTCCTCCCTAGAGCAGGCTCAGCAGAGCCCAGAGGCCAGGTCTCCTGGAGGGGTCCCAGGGACTCAGGGCAATGTGGCAATGCAGAGTCCATGCCTGCTAAATTCCAAAGATGTTACAGACTGCCCACTTGGTACTCCAGCCTACTTTGTTGACATTTATTAATTAGAATTATTAGTAGCAGCTTGTCCAGAATTTAGCTTCAGTTAATATTAGTATTTTTAACAAGACATTGTGTTGTTCGTATAGATTCCATAATTTCCAAAGGACTAAACAGGTTTACTCGCTTAATCTAAGTAATTTTACATATTCCAGTCCAGATGCCTTATTATCTTCTGTGCGTTCAGCACTTTCTTAAGAACCTGATGAAATAAAATAAAAATGTAAAAAAAAAAGTGACAATTTAGCATCAAACTGTGCCAAAACTTTTGGCCTTACGCAAGAGTGAAACAACAACACTAAAACTAAATGCGAGACTGAGTAGCACTGGTGACTAATTCCGCAGGCATTTGTAGAGAAAGATAACCAACGATCTCCTGGGACTGATAGGACTTTAGCTGGGCCTTGGGAGTGGCAGGTATGCAAAGGGCCTTTATCTGGGTTCTCAAAACTTGGAACCCTGTAGAGAGTTTGGCAGATTATCGGTAGGAGTGAGTGGAAATTTGAGAAGGGAGGAATATCTCTGAAATGAATGGGAATATTTGCTGCAAAGTAATATAAGACCTAAATTGCTCACGAGACTTCTAGCATTGAGGAAGATAACCCTGGGCAAATTAAGTCTTGGAAATAATTTGTAGATTTGTGTAATACTGTGATATAGCGATTCCCAAGGATGATCTACAAACACAGAAACAACTTCTTCATAAGTGTTTGTGTACCCCATCATTAAAAAATATGTTTCACCCAATGAGAGAAAACCCAGGGAATACCATGACAGGTATGGGATTAGTGTCATTTTGTGCTTCCAGATAGATTTGTCTACCACGGAGTAAAAACATAGTGACCTATCTACAAGTTGTATTTTTGTCTATCGGCCTATGCATGAAGTTGATGCATTTGATTGGCCAAGAGGACTTGCCTCATGCAGAGGCTCCCAGTAAATAAAATGAGATTGCTTTTCATAAACATGCATTCATTTCACAAGCTCATACCTTCAATTAGTGAAATATTTTCATGTGCTAATGCCTCTGTTTTTAGAATAAAGTGTAATTAATTTTTAACCCTCAAAGTACATGACACACTTATATGCAGGTTAAGTGCTTTATGCATTTTCAACAGCTTCCAGATCTTTAGTGTATCATCTGAAGCTGTAACATACACATAAAATTCATATACATATGTTTATAAAAGTTCTTGCAAGGACAGAGAGAAAGAGAGAGAGAGAGAGAGACAGACATTTGTTCATACACATATTGAAAGCAATTTTAGTTTGAGATCTGGCCATAGGCTGCCAGGATTGGAAGAGAGCTACATACAACAGTGCGTGAAGAGATTGGGTTGGCCTGATTTTGACCCTCAACAGTCTGTTTGCACACAGTAGCTGGGAAGGTGCTTTTGAAAAGTAAGGCAGTTTTGTTAGTTGCCTGCTCAAGGCCCTCCAATGGCTTCCTATTGAAAAGGAAACAGTAGGTTAGAAAACAACCTAAAGTCCTCATCTCAGCCTACCAGACCCTTCTCCAACTGGCCCCGGTTACCTCTTATTTATTTACGATCATTTTTGTTCACTCCACCCTCACTGACCTTCTCGCTGTTCTTCAAAGATGCTTAGCGGGTTTCTGGCCCAGAGTCCTTTTCCTTGATGCTCTCTCTGCCTGGAACACAATTCTCTCAGACACGCACATGGCTGACTTCCTCCCTCCACTCAGGTCTCTGCTCAAAGGCCACCTCTGCAGCGAGTCCTTCCCTGATCACCCCATTTAAGATTGCCCCCATGTCTTCTCTGGCCCACTGTCTTGCTTCCTTTTGCATCACAGGAGTTAGCACGACCTGACATTTTATAATACATCTATTTGTTATTCCTTTAGTTTATGTTTCCTAAATAAGGATGGCAGTTCCACAAAGGATGGCTTATGTCTTGTTTTCAGCTGTATGTCTGGCACATAGTAGATACCTATTAAAAGCTTGTTGAGGCCGGGTGCGGTGGTTCATGCCTGTAATCCCAGCACTTTGGGAGGCCGAGGCGGGCAGATGACCTGAGGTCAGGAGTTCATAGACCAGCCTGGCCAACATGGCAAAAACCTGTCTCTACTAAAATACAAAAATTCGCCAGGCATGGTGGCATGTGCCTGTAGTTCCAGTGACTCAGGAGGCTGAGGCAGGAGAATCACTTGAACCCGGGAGGCAGAGGTTCCGGTGTGCCGAGATTGTGCCACTGCACTCCAGCCTGGGTGACCAAGTGAGACTCTGTCTCAGAAAAAAAAAACAAAAACCAAAAAGCTTGTTGAATGAAAAAACAAAAATAGCAGAATAGTATTTCTTGGCTTATTTACTTACTTAGTAATTCATTTATTATGACCACCATATGCCTACAACCCAATCTGAGAACTGGAATATGATTAAATGTATCAGAGAATGTCATAGCCCTATGTCGGCCCTTCCTCCCTCACTTGGTCTCCCCCATCCAAGGTAATATTTATCTTAGGTTTTGTGTTATAATTTTCTTCCTTTTAAAACATAGTTTTATTTATATATATGTATATATATATATTATACCTATATATGTATTTAAATTGTATTTTGCTTTGAATGCATTTTTCATTTTGTTTGATTCTGAATTTCATTTAAAAAGAATATCATTCTACATGTAATCTCCTGAGACTTTTTCCCACTCAATATTTTTGGTTCCTCAATATTGTTTTGCTATTATATCACTTTGATATTATTTTATTTTTCTATTTCGATATATGGCTATAGTCCATTCATTTTGTGTAGCTGTATCTATTTTGTGACTGTATCATGATTTATTTTCACCTTGCTGTCAAACAAGTGTCCTAGGATGGGGCTCCCATTCAAGACTTGAAGAAATTCAGGCAGGGCACAATAGCTCACATCTATAATCCCAGCTTTTTCAGGAGGCTGAAGCAGGAGGATCACTTGAAGCCAGGAATTTGAGAACAGCCTGGGCAACATACAAAGACCCTATCTCTACAAAAATAAATTAAAAAAAAATAGCCAAGCCTGATGGCACATGCCTGTAATTCCAGCTACTTGGGAGGCTGAGGAAGGAGGAGAATTGCTTGAGCCCAAGAGTTCAGGGTTGCAGTGAGCTGATTGCACCAGTGGAAAAGAAATTTGTCAGAGTTCTTAAGCAATGTGTCCAAGGCCCCTGGAGTAGTTGGTGGGGATCTGGCTCAGATTCTCTAATGAGGATTCTTTCCAGTTTGTAAAAGCTTGTTAGGGGGCATTTTGAGTGTAATGTTTCATATTCAGTCAAAAACAGGCCCTGTTCTGCAATCTCTTGCCTTTTTTTCCTCTAAAGCGGCCTCTCCTAGTTTTTTAGAGCTGGGCTCACTTTCACATTCCCATCTGTAGGCTCAGCCCCATGTACACTCCCAAAGCAAATATGGTGGAAAGATGAAGTATCTTAATGGCACTGACATGGAATTTCAAATCAAGTCCCCTCAGAACCCAGTGTAAGAGTCTTTGTTGCCAGAAGACTCAGGAGCAGTGCCCTGCCACCCAGTTCCAGCATGGCACTGTTAGCTTGCTATTCTTCCCTGTTGGCTCTACACCATTTTCATGTTTTTGTGAGTGCTGTACTGCTATCCTGTCCAGGATTTTGGTTTTCTTTCTAGAAATAATCCTTTTCCATGAAATGCAGCCCAGCTTTGTACCTTGCCTTGCCTTTCCCAGTCTTATTCCTTAAATTCTAGAAGGGAATCTTTTCCAAATATGGCTGCCAAGACCCAACAGCATATGAGTCCTCTACCGTGGAGCCATGCTAGCTTGACCTGACCTCTAGTGCCAGTCACCCTCGGACCTGTGCTGGAAGCCATTGTGTTTATGGAGACAGGCTTTTCCTTTCAGCTGCACACCAGGAATTTGTCTTTTATATAGCTAGAATAGATTCTTTGAATTTGTGAAATAAATGGCTGAAATCAGAGGTGGGATTTGTGACCAAAGACCAGAGAGCCTATAACTAGTCTAGCTGGGGAATAAAACCCACGTGATATAATTTGAGGCAAAAATGAGCATATGTAATATTGACATAACTTTGTGATGCAAGATCACTCATTGTTGGAGACAGTGTACATTTGTATAATATTTTGGAGAACAACTTTATAGCATGTATCCTTCAGATAGCCATGATTTTGGCCCTACATATCCACTTCAGAAAACATATGCTAAGGAGATAATTTTAAATACAGAAAAACTTTATGCATAAAGATGTTCTCCAGCATTACATAGCCACAAAAATGTAATAATCAATATGTCCATTAGAATAATAATTATAGTACCTCCATCAGAAGAATGGTATTCATCTTAAAGCTTTCATGCTAACTTTGAAAAATATCAGCATTATAATATTAGAATGTTTTACAAAAAATTAAAATTCCACATATGGTATAATTACAAGTGTGAAAAACAGTCCTCTTGCCCCATTAAGTATGCCAGGAAATAAAGGTAATGAAGATCCTCCAAAAATTTAAAAGTGGTGGAATTATAGCTGTCCTCTAGCTTTCAAGGTTTTGTTTGTCTTCCTTGGAAATATGTATCACTTTTATAGGGAGAAAAAAAGTAACCAAAGTAAAACAAATTAAACATGCCACCTTGTCAATTATGAACACACATAAAAGATATACAGTAGAGTGAGAAAACTAGCCTCAAAGGGTTTTAAACTGCCTCCTTCCCACATAGATCTCTCACCCCATTGAGCTCAGAGGATGGAAGCCTTTTCGAGCTGCTGGTGAAACACCTGCTTTAGAGATCAAATTCAGGAGTAGAAATAGACCCAAGACATCAAATAATTTACTCCATGGTAAAGGTAGCCTTTGGAATCCAGGAATCAGATAATTTGCATAAATGCATTTAGAACAATGTCTTGGCACATAGTAAATGCTTTTAAAAAGGTGAGATATTATTACTGTTGTCAATATTCAGTACATGGTATTGAATAGGTACTATCAATTTAGGAAAATACATACCAATAAAACTCCGAACATTAGATTGTATATGAAAACAAATTTCAAACAGATGAGAAATTCAAATACCAAAAAGTAAATCAATAAGCCAACCAGAAGAACATTCAGAGTACAGAAGTCCCTTCTCAATATAAACACCAAAGTTAGGTTCCTTTAGGCATTAGAAAGATAATCACTTTAACCATAAGTCATTAAAATTGTGTGTAGTAAAGGAAATTAAGAAAACGATAATCTGGGATAAATATTTGCAAAACAGCTATTTTATTTGGTTTCATAATTTTTAGAATATTATGCTTATTTTTCTTTTTTTCCCATTACAAAAGGGTTAATAACCTTATGGAAAAGTTCTCTCAAGTCAATAAGAAAAGAGACAGGTACTCCAATAAAAACGATAGAGCAAAGGATAAAAACAGTAAAATAAAGTGTGTATGTGTATACACACACATTGTATAGATATATATCTACATACATATATATTTTATATATTTTACATTCATTAGTAATTACAGAAATGTGAATTAAAATACCATGAAATACTAGGCATTTTTTTTCTCAAGTGAATTGGCAAAAATAAAAATAATGTCTGATATTTTTGAGATAAGCGTTTGCATGTTGTTTTTGTGGGACTTCATAGTATACTTTCCTGCAAAACTGTTGTGCAAAATAACGGGAACCACCCTGGTTTACCTCGTGCCCATGAGAAATATATTATTTCTTTTATATTAGGAAGTGGGGAACCAGGAATATGGATTCCAAGGAGATGACACACAATTTCTGGTAATATTTTTCCATTTCATTTTATAAGAAAAAAAGATATTCTTTAAAAAAGTAGTTTATCTATTAGAATCTTCATTAATAAGCATGAAATTATTCAATTAATTAAATGCTAATAAACCAGCTAGTTCTAAAAATTAAACATCAAATTAAATTAAAATCAAATAATTAAGTCTAATAGAAATATAGAAGGATTGTGGTAGGCTCCAGAATTCCTCCTTCCCTCTCCCTTTCTCTCTCTCTCTTCAAAAGAATATTAAAGTGCTGCTCATGATTAAGGGGAAACACGCACTCTCATAGGAATGTAAATTAGTAAAAGCTTGTGGCAGAGTGTTTGGCAATATGTAAAGTACTTAAAATTGTAAATATGCTTTGACAGAGAAGTCTCATTTTATGAATTTATCCTAAAGAAATAATCAGACAAGTGTTCAAAGATGTTTGTACAAGGGTGTTCATTGAAGTGTTGTTAATAGTATTGAGAAATTGGAAATAAACTAAATATTCAACAGTGGGGAATTAGTTTAAAATTTATGCTATGTGGAGTAGAATATGCTAAGTAGAGTGAACCTTTGAGAATTTGAATTTAGATGTATATTTACTGAGTTTATTAAAAAATAAGATGTTTATAATATATTAACTGAAAATCACCTACAATATAGTATGCTTAATATGATTCTTTTAACATAAAAATTATATAAATGCACATGTAAAAACATACCCAACTAGTATCAACATCCAGGAAAAAACTATATATCAATAGGCTAACAGTGTCTACCTCTAAATGTAGAATTACAGATAATTCTTTTCCTCTTTTGTTTTTTATGTTTCTACAGTTCATGGGTATTATTTATTCAGCTTCAAAATAACTTGACAACTTTTCATCTGGGCTATCACCCTTGTTCAAGCCCCTGTGACCTTTCACCTGTCATCATCGCTTAGATCTCCTTGAAAACAGACTTCGAGGTAAGAAGTGAAGGGCCAGTAATTGGTTTGGAAGGTCATCCCAGGAAGCAGGAAATCCAGAAAGGGAGAAAAGGCGGTAAGGTATATTAATGAGCTGTGTGCAGCTGGGGCTCAGCCCCACCGTGGTCCGTGTGAATGAACCTGAGAACAGTTCCACTGAAGGACGGGAAGAGGCATTTATCCATCAAGTCTCAGCTCTCCCTGGTAGAAGGTTGCCCCAGGGTGTTAAATTTTTGGTAGCTGGTAATTTTAAACTGCCCTGTGTGTGGCCTGAACAGACCGCCCTAGTTCTGGAGGAAACTCCTCAGGCAGAGAAGCACAGAACTGAGCATGCTTGAGACGGGAGGCTGGTGGAGGGTCATACTTTGGGGCTGCAGCCGCACTGCTGTGGGGGTCCTGGGAGGTGACACAGAGCATCAACTGCATGGTATGCTTGCCACCCCTGGGTTTCTGTCACGACACCTTAACAGGCTTACCTGTGTCCACCCTGACAGTTTGATATAGTTTGGGTGCTTGTCTCCTCCAAATCTCCTGTTGAAATTTGACCCCTAAAGTTGAAGTGGGGGCCTAGTGGGAGATGTTCATGAGGGCAGATCTCTCATGAACAGCTTGGTGCCATCTTCATGGTAATGACCCAGTTCTCACTGTATTAGTTCCCATGAGAGCTGGTTGTTGAAAAGAGCCTGGACCCTCCCTCCCCTCTCTCACCGTGTGATGCTGGCTTCCCTTGGCTTTCTGCCATGAGTGAAAGCTTCTTGAGGCCCTCATCAGAAGCAGATGCTGGCACCATGGTTTTTGTACAGCTTGCAAAACCGCGAGCCAAATAAACCTGTCTTCCTTATAAGTTACCCAGCCTCAGGTATTACAAACAGCCTACAACCCACCCTTAGAGCATATTCTCAGCACATCACCAGAGTGCTTATTTAAAAATGGAAATCATATCATGCCACACCTTTGCTCAAAACCTTTTCATATTACTCACCAACACAAACAAGCAAACAATCAATCAAACAAACAAACCAACAAGCAGATATAGTCCATTAGGCAATACGTGATCCAGCCCCCATAGCCCAGTCTCTCACAATTCTCCTTTCTGGCCTCACTGCAGTCTCTTTGCTCTGCTAAGGATGCCTGCACCCAGGCCCTTAGTGTCAGCTTCTTCTGCCTGGAAGTCTTCTCTATCCAGCTATGCCGTCACCTATATCTCACTTCCTTCTGATTTCTGCCCAGATGTTCCTTTCTCAGAGCAGCTTTTCCTGACTACCTTTTGTAAAATAGCAATTCTCTGACTCTACTGCCTTGTCTCTTATTTTTTTTCTATTGAGCTAATCATCTTCTGACAAATCATATCTTTTTCTTTACGTTTCAGTATTTTATTTCTGTTTTCCCACCAACAGTAGACTGTAAGCTCTGCTAGGACAGAGCTGTGTATTTTTTGTTTTATTATTATTTTATTATTTCCCCCGTGTCCAGAGTATTGCAGACACCTAACCAGCACTTAATTAATGTTGAATGACAAATGAATGAATGATCAAAGGTGTGCTCAGCTTCCAAAGGAAGTATAGAACAAGGAAGAGAACATTTCCCCAAGTCATACTCCTTCTTTGGTGTTTTCTGCTCAATAGAGCTCCTTTTCCTAACCCTCCATGACTGTGACTATTCTGCTGAGTCCTCCTGGCTGCTTTGCAGCTGACATCCTGAAATGCATCCTTTGGGTTGCCTAGGTGTGTAGTATCTGCCAGTATTCACCTGGTTAATCAGATACCAATGTCTCCAGGTTGTCTGCTCCTAGGACAGTCTATGATCTGAAATATAGGAGGACTGGAGCTCCAGGCAAGATAACCTGACCTTGAGGATCAGTTCCCAGAGGGTAGGACCAATGTTCTCAGTACATTCTTGGAGCAAGTTCTGATTGAATCTGTGCTTGTCTCCTTGTCAGGCCAAGGGAAAGAACCTGCCATGCTGGCACTTAGCCTTGTAGCCCAGACTTCTTGACAACACACCCTCCCATAAGCCAAAACCGAATCATCCTTCCATCAGCACCTTCCCCAGTTTTGCTGGTCCTGGATCCCTGCCCCAACCTCCACCCTGCCTTACTGCTGTTGTTGCTTATGAAATACAGGATCCACCCACAACTCTCTCCTCCCGTGATTCACCTGCACTAATAACAGGCTTCCACTGAGAAGCGATAGCATCTTCCCCTCAAATAATGTGAAGTGTTTGGAAACTTGCCTGGGCAATCCATCCTCAGCACCCAAAGGCACCAGAGGTCACTCATTCATCCAGGAGAGGAAAATGAGTTTGGGGTTGGAAGTCCCCAGTGTGCCTCATGGAAGGGAATTGCAGAGCTGAAATTTCTGTGTAAACCAGTGGCATTTAATCCCATTTGGTGACATGTACTTCTATTTGGATCTGTTCCATTGCATCTCGTCTCATTGCATCCCATCTCATTCCATAGGTAATGAATGCACATCTAAGAATACATAGCATTGGTGCCAAGATCCATTTTCAAATATGTTGTGTTACATTTTAGTTTTAGTCTGAAGGTATGAGGCTGAATTTGCAAGAGATTGCTAGTATGATTTGTTTCTTTCTCTACATTTTATAACTGGATTATGCTTTTAACATAAATCACATAAAAACACTGTAAAAAAATAAATATTTCTATACTTGTTACTTAACTACAGCTAAATGCCTGAAGGAAGTCTTCTATTGTGCTCCATGTCTTCCTACTATACGCAAGTAGAAAGTGATCAGTGGATTTCTACTTAGGACTGTCCTGAAATAATTTGGTGTTTGTACAAAAGTCATTTCATGCATTTTATTATATCTTGGCTCCTAAGTAGATTCCATTTAGGGAATATTATAACATTTCGCCGTTGTATGCCAAGTTTGTGACAATGAATAAAAAGTGAATGTGTATGTATGAGAATAAACATTCTCTCAACATAGATTCAAAACCACAAACACTATATCTGTCAGAAATAATACATCTCAATGGAATTAATTACTGGCATTATCTACATTTTTACTTCTGTTTTTTTCTTAATATTATTCAAATAAGTTTTCCTCTTCCCTATCCTTCCACACTTTCCACAGAATGCAATTCACTCCTCCCTACCACTATGTGTGTAAGACTGTGCTTGAGCATTTGAGGCATAGACCATGAATCAGACGCAGATTGTGCTTTTGAGAAAGCTACTTCCTCTCTGTTCTCAGAGACATGGTTTGTTGTAGCCACTAAAGCCATTTTGTGTAGCATTAACAGTTAACAATGAAACAACCCACCAACTATTAAATGCTTATTTTGTGTTAAGCATTTTGCTAAATATTTTGTATGTGTTATATAATTCAGTTCTCATAAGGTCTCTATGAAGTGAGCAATAGCCTTCTTTAGCCCATGAAACAAGTAGGGATCCTCCCTATTTCATTTAATCAGGGGAATTCAAATTCTATCCTTCCACATTTTGATATAGCTGTGCAGGCCTGGTCTGAATTCATTGGTTTGCTTTTTTATTGAAAATTTTTTTTTTTTTTATCTTCTACACTCTGCAAGATGAATCAGGAGCTGTGCTGGGAGCTGCAAGAATCACAGAGAGAAATAAGGTTTAAGTCCTTCCCCTAGGATTCAAAACATAGTTTTATTAGGTGAAACAAACTTCCAAAACAGTGACATCTTAAAATCTTAATGACTTAATTCAATAGAAGTCCATTTCATCTCACCAGTGTTCAGTAGCCTGTCTTCCACCTCATGTTTTCAGGATCCAAACTCCTTTCATCTTGTAGTTTTTGCCACTCTTTGTGTTTTAAAATCCTTCTCTTCTGTATGTTCAATGGGGAGAAGAGATATGAAATGGGCCAGTCCAGGCTGTGGTGCACATATTCTCTTCCAGTGGCCAGAACTCAGAACATGACGCTATGTAATTCCAAAGATGGCTGGACAGTACAGTCTCCCTATGTACACAAAAAGAAACCGAAATTGTAATAGTGAGCATGCAGCAGTCTCTGAATGGGTTTGCACTTGGGGCATCAAATAACCATGCACTCCTCCATAGAACACTTGTCCCCATTCCCATTCCCATTCCATGGAAGACAAATCTAAAGATACATCTATTCAGTGCATCCAGGCCAGTGTTCAGGATTTCCAGGTGATGCAAGTTCTCTTCATGAGGACTCCATTCGACTCCTTCTGGTCTGGTGACCGACAAACTCAAGGATAAGTTTTCTGTCCTCCCACCTCTGTCCCCCACACTTCTCTGCCCCACATCTCACTCCCCCGCTATACTTTACAAAGCAGGGACAGGATAACAGCTATAAAAACTCCCATCTACAAAGTTCTCCCGCAGTTGTGGAATCCCTCTCGGCAGTCCTTATGAAGAATCCTTGTACCAGGAATTGGGAAGTTCTGAATGAGACCCTGAATATGCCTCTGGAAGAAATTCCTGTGTGTGCTGTTTTTGGTGGCTCCTCTTTGAACATTTTCTCTACGGCCACAGCTAAAGCAGGTGTGAGATAATTTGCCTTACTAGAAGACTACTCAGCATTTGTTGCTTCTTTTCTACTGGTGCACATTTGGTGGGTCAAAGGTTGTACTAACTCTTAAGTAGTCACAGTTTTCTTTCCAGCAAAAATGTGACGAGCTTTGCTATCAGTAATTTCCATGTGCTAGAAGCCACTCTCTAATCTCTTTTTTTAGTGATGATTTTCAAACCTGAGTTATTTCTACTCCCCTAACCCCTATATAACTTCCTCTCTAAATGGACTAAATGGACAGTAAGCTTGAGAGTAGGGTGGGAGGGAGGATCTAACACCTTCAATCTGATATTTAGCGGTTGTCTGAGTTACTTTGAGTTACAAATAAAAAGACTTATTGGTCCTTTTAAATCAGTAAGTATTTCTCTATACATAAAGCACAACAGACCAGAACAACACAAACAAACAAAAAAGAGATATTGGCAAAGTTTAAAACCAGGGTGTTCTCCAGTAGATGAAGTAACCACTTTCAAAGAAACATGCATTAATGTTGCTCCAAATCTTCTTTCTTACCTGCAGTGGGAAGGGCGAAGCCTACCTTGTTTCAGGTAAAAGCCATATGAAATAGTTGAAGTTACTGAAAGCAGGAATTCAGGACTTACTGAATAATTTTAGAAGTCATTCATTCTTATTCATTATCACATTGCAGCATTTTGCAAGCCTGTAAGTAGAAGGAAGCACTCATTGTAGGAAAGAGTGAATGAACAAATCCTTATTGAAAGCACCTGGAAAATTCAATGCTTATGTTAGTAATTCACAAATAGGAGTCTACTGTGTCTTAATCTGGCCTCCGTGCAGCGAAAATGCTTTCCCTGCTAAATTCTCTAAATTTCTCCATTAGTCATTTGTTTGCATTTAGGCAGACAATAGGCTTTTGGAAGGTAAAATCTGGACATATTGTCATCTAAAAATGGATTATTAAAGAGAAAGGACTCTACTAGATGAGCTCTTAATCACAGACACTTTCTTTGGAAGTGAATGTGATCAAGTTTATACATTGCATATGACCAGCTGACAACTCCATTGAGCCCCTGGTCAGGAGCCTGGGGAAGCTTGGGTGGTAGGGCATGGGCTCAGAAGGCGTAGGCAGTGGTGATGGAGAATTTGACTTTTCTCTGGAAACGGTCCTAGAGACAAGTTTCTGAGTTTTGGAAGACAACACAATGCAACAGAAGGAACACTAATTTTGAAGCTGGTAGGTTTTGTTTGCAGAACTTATCTGCTGTTTATGAGAGATATAAAACCCTGAGCAAGTTACCTACCTCCCTTTAGCTCATTTTCCTCATCGATAAAATGTGGGATAATGAGGACACATTCTCCACAGCATTATTAGAAGGATCAAATGGACTAATGAATGGGAAAGTGCTTTTCAAATGGCAAAGCAGTTGCAAATGTAAGCTGTTATGATAATTGGCCCTCAAGAAATGCTCTTTGATAGTAACAGTCAGTGTCTAATCCCATTCTTCTTCCATGAAGGACTCCACGGGAACAGGGCTTTCTGTTGGCATCTTCTCTACCCGTCTTAGAAGATTACTGGAAAAGTGGATGCAGGACTCACCTCACCCTGGCACTGTTTCTCTGGGCAGTATTTTACCAGGTTAGAATTTTTTTCTGACACAGAAAATGGTATCAGTGTGGCTAAGTGGAAAACACACAGCACTGAATTTCAACACATGCTTTCATTACTTCATTATTTTGTTCACTCATTCACTTACTCATGCAGCAGGTATTATTCAGAGCCTATGACATATCAGACACTGTGCTAACCTGCTGTACTTGTGAAGTTGAATATTTCAATCTCCTTGCTCATTTTAATGGGAACTGAGTCACTTAACTTGTTTGTTTGTTTGTTTGTTTTTGAGAATCTCATTCTGTTGTCCAGGCTGGAGTGCAATGGCACAATCTCGGCTCACTGCAACCTCTACCACCTGGGTCAAGAGATTCTCCTGCCTCAGCCTCCCGAGTAGCTGGGACTACAGGTGTGTGCCACCACACCTGGTTAATTTTTGTATTTTTAGTAGAGATGGGGTTTCACTATGTTGGCCAGTCTGGTCTCAAACACCTGACCTTGTGATCCACCCCCCCCCACCCCCCTGCTTGGCCTCCCAAAGTGCTGAGATTCAGGTGCGAGTCACCACACCTGGCCCACTTAACTTCTTATTGCATCAGTTGACTCAACTGTCCATAGTGACCATCCCTGTCTGGTCTTTCTTGTACAGTTTTTATGAGAGAAGGGCTTGAAGAGTGCCTTGTAGAAATAAAAGGGCTGGACAATTATGAGGCGCAATGCATTTATTGGCATTTTTTGAACACCTATTGGCATATGAAGTGGCTACTGTGCTCACATAGGATGACCACTAGGGAAAGCTGACCGTAAAGCAAGAGGAAAACTGGTTCTGGCTTAATGGCATTTTGTGGAATGCCAATCACTGAAGCAAAGATTCTTTCATGATTGTGTATGAAGTGAAGTGAAGCCATAAAGAAAGATGAAAAAGTGAATCAAGAAGAACAGGAGGAGTAGGTGTGGGAAAAATAGGTGTCACGGCTGGTCAGAGTTTTTACATGCTACCTCGCAGGAGTGGGCAGGCAGGGCAGGGCATGTCCAAGGAATACTCTGGGAACCTTGATATGAGATAGTAACACAGAATTAGTTTTGGTAATAATGTTAGTTAGCATTTATAACACACTTGTTTTCAAAGTACTTTACAATGGTGAATTGGGTAATTATATCCCTGTGAATTAGGTCAGCATTGTTATTTCTCTTTCACTCTATTAATCCCTTCTCCTCAGCTAGCTGAGGCTCTTAGTCACAAAGTTAAACATTCAGCCATCAGTTACATGTGTCCCCGTGAAACAATGTGTTGGCCTTAAAGGGCAGACATAGGAATGGTTAAATGTTACCCTAGCGTTTTCTCCTTAATGCTAAACAGAATTTTTTTTTTAAATCAGATCTTAGCTTGTAGAGAAGCTGGTTATAATACTTTCAAAGTCACTGTCATTCCTCCCCTCTGCTTCTCGTAAGAGGTATGCCAATTATTCTCAAACTACATGAACTGTGAGAAAAACCCTCGGATGTGTGACTCAGAGAGGTGTGTTCTGGTGTGGCTTCTGCCACTTCCAGCTTACTGGGTGAGATCATTTCAACAAGCCATCTGAGATTTCTAAGTTTCTGAGTTCACCTTTGTAAAACGTGAAGAATAATACTTGGCCTGCTTTCCTGTTTGGTGGTTTTTGAAAGTGACACAAAAATAATAATTTAGGAAATAATGTATGGCTGAATTTAGTAAGATATGCTAGACTTATTGGTTGCCAAGGTTTACATGACATGAATGAAAAGATGTCAAGTGCACAGTGCCATCACCTTTGCTCTTTTGCTTATGGTGATCACAGCATTCTTCCCCTCACCTCCCCACCCCAACCTGAGCTAGGTCTTAGCATTGGGCCCCTCAACACAGCTCTCTCAGCCACTACTGACTGATTGGAGTTGTTGCAGACAAGGAAAACTTTTGGTAAGCCCAAATCTAAGTGTCTTCTGCTGCTCATATTTATTTTATGTTATCTTGAATAGGTTATATGTATACACCGAGCAAAATATTTTCTAGAAAGTGAACAGTCTCCCCCTTAGTCCTCTTACCTTCTGCTATTTCTAAAGTGAAAATCTTCTCTGGTTTATTTACATGCTCTGATAAATATTCTCTCAGGAAGAAGAATTAACGGACATCTTAACGTCAGATGGATTAGGAGGTATGAAATTATGAAAAAAGAAAATTGATTTCATTGTAATTCTTGGCAATACGTTGGCTGAAAATCTAATCTTTTTACTTCTATCCCATGCCAGGTGAACTTTTTATAAACAGAAAATGCTCTTGAGTCTAGTTGAATTGAATGTAGGTGCTCATGTGACTTAACCGTGTTCCAAATATTAGCTCCTGTTTTAAGCCTCTGGATGCCTTTCCATTTTGAACTGAACAATGAAGATTCATTGAAATACTATCATCATCACCACACCTGGGATGACTGAATAAATTTTTTTTTGCCCCCCCACAGTGTCTCTCTTTTTCAGTGTTTCTCAGGGTGAGTGGCCAAGAAAAATTCCCACTTTCAATGGGAGTGCCTGGGTAAGGTTTAGGCAGATGAAACAAAGTCAGTGGAAACTATAGGATACAGTATCCATTTTCTAATTCATGGTTTAAGGGTCTTTCACATAAAAGTGCTAGATCATTTTGTTGGAGTGTCCTTAGCAAATTTGATATTACTACTTTCATCTTTGGTGTCTTCTGCATTGTAAAGGGGAAGTGAGAGACTCCTTTTTTCAGAATCTTCTTCTCTATATGGTGTCAGGTTTGAGTCTGTCAGTGAGAGGCATTTGCCTGTCATCTGGAAATAGGAAAAAGGAAGAGAAGTCACTATTCTTTGGAGGTCACTGCAGCCAGATTCATGAACAGAAGAGTGGCTCACAGTAACTTCTTGGTGAGTCCTAGAGAATCACTTGGTTCACTGCTGACAACAAAGAGATACAAACTTCTCAGGAATTTTTAAGAATAGAAACAGTGTTCCAGAGAGCTCTCCAAACTTTCTGCTTTGGTAGTTCAGGTAAGATCTTTAGTGTCAACTTCCCCAACCTGTGCTTCCAAGTTCTTCCAGTAGTTAAGCTACTATTTCCTGATTTAAGTCCTTTATACTTGAAATAGAGTGACTCCTATTGCTTAATCGAACTTTAACATAGATAGTTTTTTGTTTGTTTGTTTGTTTTTGTTTTTTAACTGTAGGTGGTTTGGGGCTATTAGAATGCTAGGGATGAAAGTGACAAATTGATTCTTTGATGTGATCATAGTGGAAAGCACTAACAATTTCAACAGCAGCTCAAAATGGGTCACTGATAGTACACGCATGGCATGCAGCAGCAAAACAGCTATTTACATTACCACTTCTGATTTCCTGGAGTTATGTAGCTGTAGAAGGCAAGACTTTGGAAGGCAAAGTAGCAATAGCAGTAACTGAACTTTATGATAGAAATAAAGAATACCAGGAATGTGGGGTGGGGTTGGCTATTTCTGAATATAATGTAGAACTTGGAAAAAGAAAGACAATGTCACGGTTTTAAATTAGTTATTCAAGGAATGCTTTAAATACTATAGAGTATGACTTCAGTTACTGTGTCGAAGGAGTCTTATATTTCTCATAGCCATTGGGCAAATATTTCCAAAAATCAACTAAAATTATAATCCTGAGAGTGGGTAAATTTATATTCAAAATGAATGTACAGACTTATTAAGTCCCTTATATCAAAGATACAGAATTAATCAAGAAAGACTGGCACGTTGGAAATATAGAGGAGAAACTTGGGCAGATTTCAATGAATCCAAATACCTTGAACACCCCAAACCTGCCAGGCCTCTGTTGCCAGAAGAAGCTGTGGTGCTTCCTTTCCTGCCTGACCACCCTGTAAAAATATCAACTCAGGCATTGACCTTGCAAAGGAATCATGATTCTCTTGAAGGCCCACCCATCACCGTTCTTTGCTTCCAAACCCATAATCACACTCAAATCCTGATAAAACCTGGGAGAATAAGATAAAATTTAACTTCTTGTTAGGGCCAAAGTTCCACTCATACAAGAAGAATCAAAATATTTTGTCAACGTATAGTGGTTTAGGTGTGGAAATGGACTATAGGTGTTAGACCAGAGAGTAAAGCACATAATGTTGAAGTTGAGTAACTACAATAGAAATCATGGACTCTCACAATTCTTAGACTTCACTTCACAGATGCCAAGATTCCTAAGTAAAGGGAAAGCTGTGGCATCTTGAAGGAGGACTCTGCTCCACTGCCAATGTTTATAACATGACTCTTCTACCTGCTTTTCCTCAAATTGACTTGTAGTCATTAATAAAGGGTTCTCTGCCTTGGGGAATACTAAGAATTCTGAGTGATTACTTAACATCTGAATTGATGCTAATTCTAGGGTATTCAAAATGCCAATTTATTCTACAAATTTAGAGTAGAAACTAGCAAAAATTAAGCAATGAATGCCATTTTGGCTTAAGTCCTATCTCAGAATGTGTTCGTGATTCCCCAAAACACCATTAGTTATTTTCCCAGTTCCTGAATAAATAGTTGGAATAGACATACTTGGAAAATGACAAAATTTTCCTATTGGTTTCCTAACCTGTGAAAAGATAGCTACAGTGATAAGAAGGACCAAGTAAGAGTTTATCCCTAACAAAGCAGAAAACCAAAATCAGTATAATGTACTAGAGGAAATTTCAGATTAGTAGTATTATCAAAGATTTGAAATATGCCTACTTGGCCTGTCTAAAAGATAGATGAAATTTAGAGAATAAAATAAATATTTCTGAACTTGGGTGGTAGCTCTAAATATAGCTGCTGTTTTAGATGTAGTATTTTGTTGTTTGCTTTGATTTGTTTTTGTTTGTTTTTTTACTTGAACAAACCATCTAAATTCCTGATGCCTAGTATTAAGCTATTGCTCTGGTGATTTTTTTTTTTTTTTGATTCTGTACCTGTTAGCAAACATTTTTACAGTTTACTTTTGCTTGTCATGGATAGCAATATACATTCACTGACTTACTTCAGGCTGTATTAACTCTTTATCATGATTTAGTTCCCAGGGATCTTGATTGTCTCACCATCACACAGGGCATGATGATAATCTGTAAGATTAATTACATCATGCTGCTTGGAAATGATGATCATGACATAGACAATGCCCTAGATGTCTTGGAAGTAATAAGCATGCCAGAAGTTAGAAAAATCAAACCCGTAAAAATTCAGGTATCATCCATCTTGAGGAAGTTTTTAGGTATCCAATGGTCTGGATTACACAGCCTTCCCTCTCTTTCCCTGCCAAGTTTCCCCGCCAAGTTTCCCCGCCATGATGAAGAACAAATTTCTGAATCTCGTACATACTATCTTTAAGAAAGGAGCACAGGGCCAGGTGTGTTGGCTCACGCCTGTAATCCCAGCACTTTGGGAGGCCGAGGCGGGCAGATCACAAGGTGAAGAGTTGGAGACCATCCTGGCCAACATGGTGAAGCCATATCTCTACTAAAAATCCACAAAAATTAGCTGGGTGTGTAATCCCAGCTACTCGGGATGCTGAGGCAGAATTGCTTGAACCCGGGAGGCGGAGGTTGCAGTGAGCTGAGATTGCACCACTGCACTTCAGCCTGTTGACAGAGCGAGACTCCATCTCAAAAAAAAAGAGAGAAAGAAAGAAAAGAAAGAAAGAAAGAAAAGAAAGAAAGAAAGAAAGAAAGAAAGAAAGAAAGAAAGAAAGAAAGAAAGAAAGAAAGAAAGAAAGGAGCACAACATGGTGTGGCAGGGGGGCCTCTTTGGATCCTAGAAACATCACATGCTAGATGAGTGCACACTATCCTGACCCCTTTATTTGATGCCAGTTTTGAGTTGGGTCCCGATAAAAATAAGGCTCTGTGGCAGACACCAGGTTTTCTGATTCTTGAGATATAGGATCAAGCAGATCCAAAGTGCTCACAGTATCGTTGAAAGATAGGGAAGGCTGTGTGATTCCAACAAAAGAATTATAACTCAAATATATACAGATTTGGAGCAAAGCTATACTGGTTTTTTTGCACTTAGCTATAGTTCTTTTGAAAGCAGCTTCTGATTTCTACAGGGCCCTGATAGAGATGAATACTTAATTATAGGACACAAAGTTGCTATGTGACATGAACTATTCATCTTTAACTGGTTACCATATGACCCACAAAGTCTTGAATCTGGGCATACACAGCATTCTGTCATTCCGTGGAAGTAGGATATACAAGTTTAGGCTTGAGAAGGTTTTTGGATACATAATTGAGGTGTATGAGCACATGGCTGACTCTATATCAGTTACCTAAACTGAATAGCGTGACATTTCAAATTTAATGGCTTAAAATGCAACCATTAATTTATATTATGATTTCCACAATTTGTCGATCAGTTAGATCATTCTTCTGGTCTGTGGCAACTTCACTTATCTCTGCTAGCTTTGCTCATATGTCTGCTGTTACCTGGAAGGTCAGTTTACAGCTGGCATATTTAGGGTGATCTCACTCACATGTGTGGCTGTTGACAGGCTATCAGCTGAGGCAATGGAGGTGACTGGATTATGTTTCTACTGTCATGCAGAAGGCTAGCCCAGGCTTTTTTCACATGGACAATTCAGAGTTCCAAGAAATATAAATGTAGAAGCCTCAAGGATTCTTAAGGCCTATGTTCAGAATTCAAAGTTATCTCTGCTGAATTCTATTTAATAGCAAGGGTAATAAGAAGAGCTCAGATTCAAGAGATTGAAAAATAGATTACATTTCTTAATGGCAAGAGCTTCAAAGGATCCTTGCCAAATTTAATAATATATATACACTTCCATGGCACTTATTATTGCTGACTCAACCAACACATGGCTGTATGGGAAGATTTCTATTACCATCGACTAAAGAAGAAGAAATGGACCCGTTTTCCTGATAATTCTGTCCAATATGGTGGCACCACCCCCAAAATGAATGGCTGAGTAGAATGGCCCCACTAAGGACAGCATTGAAGGATAGTGGTGAAGAGAAATTCTCTAAGGGGGCAGAATTTTGAGCATTGAACTTTTTTGTTCATTTTTGCTGAAGAAAAGATGGCTAAGGGCACACAGGGATGATTAGGCTAGGTGGTCACGTACTTAGTAGAAAACAAGATTAGCACGTTAGTGATAACAAAGTCTGGGAAGAAATTTGTGAAAAGATCTCACCGAATAAGTAGAAAATATAGGGATATGTATGTCCCACTTAAATGTTCAGTAAAGAGCTGAAATGGTTCTTAAAGTTCAGGTAGAGAAGAAGACATGTGCCGTGTATGTCAGTTAGCCTCCTTCCCCAGATACTCCAGCCATAGCTCGATGGTTTTTTGCCCATAGCGGGCCCATGATGACAGGGTTGGGGTTTTGCACAAGCATGACAACATGGGCTTTCATTAAGGCTGATCTGGCCATGGTGCAGCTGAATGCCAAACTTGCTTGTAGAAAAGACCAGCAATGCCCAGTAATCCCATTACTAGGTATATGCACAAAGGAACACAAATTGTTCTATTATAAAGACATATGCATATGTATATTCATTACAGCACTATTCACAATAGCAAGGACGTGAAACCAACCTAAATGCCCATCAATGGACAACTGGATAAAGAAAATGTGATACATAAATAGCATGGAATACTATACAGCCATAAAAAAATGAGGACATGTATGTCCTTTGTGGGAGCATGGATGAAGCTGGAGGCCATTATCCTTAGCAAACTAACAGAACAGATCACCAAATATCACATGTTCTCACTTATAAGTGGGAGCTTAATGATGAGAACACATGGACACATAGAGAACAAAAAACACTGAGGCCTACTGGAAGATGGAGGGTGTGAGGAGGGAGAGGATCAGGAAAAATAACTAATGGATACTTGGCTTAATACCTGGGTGATGAAATGATCTGTACAACACACCTCCATGACATGAGTTTACCTATATAACAAACAAGCGCATGTACCCCTGAACTTAAAAGGTAAAAAAAGACAAAGAAAAGAAAAGACCAACAATGAAATCTGTATATGGCTCCATTCCTTGGGAGAAAAATATGTCACTTTGTGATTAGATTGAATCTTTTCCATCATAGAAAGGGCAATAATTTATCTTCACTGCAATAGATAGAGCCTAGATTTGTATTTGCTTTCCATGCCTTCAATAGCATCTGAAAAACCACCATTCTTGTACTTATCATCATGGAATAACCTGCCAGGTAAAGATTCATGACCAACTAAATTGCTGAGGGCAAAGGAAACATAGAATATGTGGTAGCAGAAGGAAATTATTAAACTAACTCTGGCAACATGATCAGTTGCAAAAATGAGAACTTTTTGGTTATGCATGTTTTTCTCCATTGCTTTTATGTGCTTTACATGTCCGTCAGTTCTTCCTCCCACCTCCCCATCTTCTATTTTGTAATAAAAGATGCATTAATTATAAATGATCCTATAATTCAGGGCTTAAATTATAGTACACCAAAGAAAATTTGGTGTGCACCTCGAAATGAAGGACATTGCCAAAAGATAAAATAATACACAGGGCTTTGTGTCTACGCATTGGGTAGAAAAAAAGCAGGTCTTTGGTTGTATGAGATATAGTTGTGTCATGTTAGGTCAAAATGATGGTAATATCCTATTTGAAGGTTAAAAATGGGTAAAATGGGTGTGTGGAGATGCTGAGTTGACAAAAGAGGTAGTCCATGCCACTGGCTACTGTAAAGTTCCCATCAGTACAACCCCCCTCTAATGCCTAAGCCAAAGTTTGTGTTTCAGTATTCTTTTTCACGTATAGTTTTAGTTTAGTGTTTACCACTTACATAAGATTGGGAAGACAAAAGAGAAGGGGAAGTCACTATTCTTTGAAGGCAGTTGCAGCCAGGTCTGTGAGTAAATGTGAGATTCACACGAATTTTCTGGTTAGCTCTGGAGAAACACTCTTTACTGCTGCAGACCAGGGCTGGTTGGTGGGGGCTTCATACAGAATCTTGGGGATTGAAGGGACTTTCTGGCAAGTTCTTTTGAACTTTAGGGGTTTAGGCTGAAATCTTTAGCTTTGACTCTCATGAACTTTGCCTTCCAAGCTCTTTTAAAAGTTTGATAAGGACCTACTTCTAACATAAAACCCTATATACCCAGAGTAAATTCTATTTTCTGGCTAAAAACAACTGAAATGATCTAGAGGGATTTATTTTAGACTGGCAATTCTCAATATTGATAAATATGGGCGTGTCTGTACAGTTAACATCACATAAAGAAGAAAATGAATAATGGCAAATACTCTAAATTTGGCAAGACTTTCCTAAGGCGATTTTGTATTTAGTTAACCATAATAGAATCTATGTATATTAAAATAGCTTGTATGAGATGTTATGCATTCAGCTAACTGGCACATGTGAATTTAAAGACTCCTTGTAGTTAACCCTATAGCTGTCCCTGTACCACCCCATTTCACAAAAAGAAAAGAAAGACTGTAAATTTGAAAACTGCTCCTGTGGCTCAATGGCAGCTGTTTTTCAATAAAAAGTTTGAGATCTAGGAAAAGGATTTGGCTTTGATTATGCAGCTGGGACCAAAACAAGGCCTTCCTCATAATAGAAGTCCTTTTCCAATAAAAAGCATCTGTAGCCAAAAATGTCTGAAATTCTTCACTACTGTTTGTCCCATCTCTTAAAATTTCTTCGGGGCTAAGGAGTTGTTTTTTCTTTAATTTATTTTAAATGCAGACACTTTATAAAATTAAGTATAGGCCTGTTAGTTATACATACTTCTGTGTTAATTATTTTATTTCCAAAACTTAACTGAGCTGAGCTAATAAAAGAACGTAATGCTCTCACTGGGCTGCAAGAAAGCAAGTGTCTTTTTGGAGTAGTGATCTTTCACTCAAAGTCATACTTTATAGGGTAAGGTCAGCCTCATATAGGGAATTTGTTTTTGTAGCCAGATTTAAGGCCAGAAATACCAGATACTGGGCTGTTAAGAAAAAGTACAGAAAGAAAAATTGGAGAACCTTCCCAAAGGTTTATTTAACCTAAGCTGGAAGTTTGTCAATTGGCTTTGAGAAGAAATATGAATCAATCTAAATTATCAAGTCAGGAAAATTACATACATTCAATAATAAGAATATATCCCTATGCTACTACGTTTATACAACAAATGTTTGTCTAGCACCTGTCACATTTCAGGAAGTGTTCTAAGTCCTGTGACAAGCCTGAGAAGAAGACCCTGAAATGAACAGAACAAAGTCCTTGTTCTCATGGAGTTTATATTTTAGTGAAAGACATTGTCCCTGCCTTCAAGAGCTTACACTTTTGGGAAGAGACAAGAATAATATACCAGAGCAAAAGAAAATACAAGATCAGACAGAAATAGTTACTAAATTTAATTATTCAGATGACATGAGAAAGACAAAGGCATATTTTCCCAGAAGAAATGTTGTTCAATAGTTCATTAAAAAAAAAAAAAAAAACCTGTGCAGGGCACATCTGACATTTCTAAAACTGCTACTGGTGGGGATGCCTTGGTTTTCATATTAACCATCTTGATACTGTATATATTGGGGGCAAACTGTTTTAAAGTGGAAACTGAAGTAACTTTCTATGAATAAAGTATACTTTCAGTACATTCTATGTAACTGTCAAAGATGAATTAGATATCAGGAGCAGAGGTGGCAGCTTTGAGGCTCTGCCCAATCTGGAGCTCTTGCCTAGATTCTAACTTGGCAGTTTGGTATAAGGTCTATTAGGTAAGAAGGTGCACCCAGAAGAACTGGGAAGGCTGAGAATCCCTTTCCATTTCATAGGTGAACACAGAAGAGAGATCAAGTTCGTTGAGGACAGAAAAGACATAAGCTGCCAAGAAGTTATTATCTGGCTATCCAGGCAAAAGCTAGAGTCCAAGAGGCCAGATAATTCGTGAGAACATCTCCAGGATGCAGGAAATACTGGAAATGAGTTGATATCCTTGACTGAATTTATTTCATTCATTTGTTCATTTATTCAGTGACTCAAAATGTACTGGGCACTGTACTTACTGCTGTGAATACAACTTGGAGTAAGTCACCGTGCCTGCTACACCATCTGTTGGGAGAAACTGAAGTGAAACAGATACATTACCCTGTACCTCCATAGCACCTACAGTGGATGTCTGGGCAGGGAGCTGTGGGAGCTTACTGGTGCATGCTATCATTCCTCCTGCTGTGTGGGTGGGCGAGAAGGCTCAGGTGTGAGCATTTGCCAGCAGATATACAGATAGAGCCCCCAGGTGTTCATCCTCCTGCTTAAGGCTGAGGCCAAGGAAAGGCCTTTTGGGGTTTTCTTTTGGTAAGTAATTAATATATGTTTCGTATATTAATGCCAAGTTAAATGCCAAGAACATGAAAAGACCTCGCAGATGCTAAGTGTTATTATAACATTAAAATAATGAGAGTCTTGCTCATCTTGCTCTGTCTACCTTAGTGGTTATTCTCAACACTGCCTGCAGGTTAGAATCACCTGGGGGAGCTTTGGAAAATGCTGACGCCCAGGCCCCATCTCCTGAGACTGAATTTAATTGACTTGGGATGAAGTCTGAGTAGCAGGAAGTTAAAAAGCTCCCCAGGTGATTCTAATGTACTGCCAGGGTTGAGAACAAATACAAGCAGCTCAAATCATTCTATTTCCTTTATCCTTACCCTAATAGCTCCCTGAGACTCAGCTGAATTCCCATATCCTCTATGAAGTCCTTCCTGCCAGCTTCAGCTCATTCCATCACACCATGACTAATCACTTTTCTCTGATCCATCCACTCCCCCTTTTTGACGTTTACTTCCCCAGTGACTTTCTCAATTATGTAAGGTCTAATTCTTTTAATTCCTTTATTCCATGATACTGATGGTAGTAGTGCTTCCACGACTGAACCCTGATTACTATAGCCCCATTTCACTTCCCTTCCCAAATCCCCTCAGTGCAAAGGGTCCATTGAGGTGGCCACAATTCTCCACAGAAAGAAAGCAATTTCTGTAATTATTGGTGTCCAGATCTCTCAGTGAGTGCCAGAGAAGGGTAAGTAGAGATATTGCTTTGCAACAATAAGGACTTCGAGGCATCTCTTCATTTATAGAGGGCTTAGATTGAGACACTCAGGCTGCAGGATGATTGTAAAAGCTGTTGAGTCATATGACTATCAGTCACCCTAGGCCTGGATATAGGCTCGGAATACTAGGTGAGGAAGCCAAGTGACAAGCAAGGGACTGTGTTACCAACAAACCACCCAGACAGAGAAAGTCACTTTGGAGGAGTGATTGCAAACACAAAAGTCAAAGAGACTTCAAGTGTAAAAGTGGTGACTTAAAAAATAATTCAAGATGCTCCAAAGCCATAAGGAGACCCTTATAAAGCAGATAACATATTTCTTTTCTTTTCCAGGGGACTGGAGATTTTAAGTGTATCCTGTTCATGGCTAGAGGAGACCTTGGAAAATTTACATTCTGAACCAATAATATCAATAGTTGAGGTTCTGGGAGAGTCAAGAGTCCCACCGTAGTCAGTGGCAGTGCCAAGCAAAATGAGCTTTTGCAGAGCTCAAGGCCATTCAGCATTCCACCCAGATAGAGGTTAGATGAACAAAGAGAGTAGAAACAGTCACACCTATAACTGGTGTCTCAGTCTGTTCAGGCTGTTATAACAACATACCTTAGAGTTGGTAATTTATAAACAACAGAAATGTATTGCTTACAGTTATAGAGGCTGACATGTTCAAGATCAAAGCGCCAGCAGATCCCATGTCTGATGAGGGCTCACTCTTTATCTCAAAGATAGCACTTTCTTGCTTCATCCTCACAAGATAGAAGACATACACAAACTCTCTCAGGCCTCTTTTATAAGGGCACTAATGTCACCTCCCAAACATCCACTTCTTAAGACCATCACTTTAGAAGTAAATTTCAATGTATGAATTTTGGTGAGGACACAAATATTCAGACCATAGCAACTGGACTTTAGGTTATTTCATAAAATACCTATTTTTTTTCATGAAGGTGTTTGCATGCTTTTCATTTTTCATTTGTTTCATAGAAAAGTTCTATGTGAAGATTTTTAACCCTACTCAGGCTAAAATAATGAGGAAATTTATTTTGCCAACTTCAGACCCATGGGTATATGGAAACTGGTTCCTCCATGAAATTCTGGGGAACAAACAGCATCATCTCTTCCTCCTAAGACTAGCAGGTAGCCTGGCAGCAGAGCTATGCATGCAGAGGGATGGACATTCAGACTCAGGAAAGGAAAGCTGAGGGTTCCTGCTCCTTCCTACCTTGTGTGAACCTCACAGCTTCCCCTTCTTCACTTCCTTTCAGAGGCTCTCCATGGGAAACCTCTCTCCCCAACCTCTTCCAGCAAGAAAAAGAACCATTGTCATTGTTACTTCACAGAATCTGAGGGATTCACTTGAGGTCTCATACTATGTGCGGACCCTTTAATTGCAGTTGCCTCCCACCCTGCTGCCTCACCAAATTGTCCCCAAACCTGGAACATATCTCCAAACCCCAAAGGCAACAGTCCTCTAAGCAGCTGGTTAGCTGAGGGCAGCAGCTGGCTGAGCCTGGCAGCTGCACCTGGAGGGGTAAGATTACCCTGCGATAATCACACCTTCCTCTCCCAGGGGCACTGGAACTTGTAACTGTTGTGCTTCTTCCTGCTTTACATATAAATAAAGGGAGGGAAATGCCTTGATGCCCTTAAGCTGTCAGTTAAAATTATATTTTAACTGGGAGGTTGAAGCTTCCGGGTCTCCTTAAAATGCTAATGAGCTTCCTGAGCAGTATGACGGTAGAGGCGTCCCAGGTGAGTTCTTCCGGAAACTCAGTGTCCATGGCTGCTGTGTATGGTACAGAGCTCTGTCGCTATATTAAGGTGTCTTCTTCCTTAGACCTTTTGATTTATCCTGAAGGTGGTAGAACTCTTCATCTTATTCAAGCATTCTGGTGCCACCATGGGCAGGCACACTACTCTAGCCTACCAGGTCCCTAGATAATCTCATGGAATTCTTGTTGGCGCGAAAACCATGAGGCCAGCAGTGTTGATTTGTGGTGCATTTCCATCTGAGCTCATGGAAAGAAATTCTTCACAGAGAATGGGCCTTGCAAAACCAAAACTAGGAAGTGGAAAAAAGCATTGGAAAGTGGAACCTGGGAAAGATAGCAAAACTTACTCTAGAAAGAAAAAAAAACAAAACGAACAAACAAAACAAGGATGGAAGCTCAGGTAAGGTCAGACCCTGATGAGCACAATGAGACCCTGATTTCAATGAGTATTGTCATTTCTGGAACCACACGGGCCAGAAGTAAACTTGAATTTACAAGTAGAAAGTCATGGAAATTTGGGCTGGTGATCTCCTAAAAACAAGTCTCTTGGCAACTTTTCCCTGGGGCAGGGCTTCCCTCCTGAATAAATCTCCACCAGTCTTAAAGGGCTAGTTCTCAGAATTCTTCACAATCTTCTTATAGATTTCTTTTTTTTTTTGCATGTTATCTCCTACTCATTGTTTTTTTTTCTCAAATATTGAAGGACTAAGACTGCTTTTGCTTTCTTTCACACAGCCCTGATTTTCTTTGAAGATGGTTTTCACACTCTCTCCCCTTTCACCAGTTAATATTTACCTTGAGTGTGTCACTTTGTCCTTAGTGTGCCAATTAGCCCAAGTCTCAGACCTGAGATTCACTAAAAAGTGTTAAGAGCAGGTAGTGAGTTGCTATTTCTCCTGTATTTGTATTTCAATAGAAAATTTACTTTCCCCCAAATCCTCTTTTATGAAGGGAAAAACCTGTTCATTTGCCACCTCTCAGATAGTGTCCTTTGGGTGTCATCTATCCACCTGCTAGCCCAAGGACAAAAGTGACAAACAGAACCTCACACTCAGCTTACAAAACTTTTTCCAGGCCAATGGAATCAAGGCAGTTGGCAACTCCCAAATCTGTTTGCAGACAGTGATGAAAGTTGAGATTAGCCTAGCTGCAGGATTGGATTCAGCCTTTGGATTGCTTTGCCAAATATTGGGTAAAATGACTTTGGCTGCTGTAAACTCCTGCTTCAATGGAGACAGAAGAAACCTCTCTTTTTCTCATCTTTTCTGAACTCCTGGGGCCTAACAGTCAGTGTTTGGTTTAGAATGGGATTCAGTATCTGTTTATTATAGTTTTAATGTCAACCCGAACGCCACATGGGAGAGCTTCTTATGTGCAAGGGGCAGCCACAGAGAACAGCAATACGTGTGTTTTTCTGTTTCTTTTTTCTTTTTTGGTCCCTGGGATAATTTTGAAGGAGGTAATGTTTGTGTTTCCAACTTATCCCTCCATTTTTCTATTTCTTTTCCCTTTCTAAGTGCTTCATCTATCATTTTTCTGGCCCTGTGGTCTTAGGCTGTCCTTCTTTATAAAAGAAAGTGATCTGATAATCAAACCTATATTAAGTATTCAGAACTTTGGTATTCTTTAAAGGCTATTTAGATTTTAAAGGAGGTTACAGGAAGAGGGCAATACTTAAACCATATTTGTCTTACATACAAGAACATTCTTTGACACAGAATATAAGTATTATTTCCCATAAGCCAAGAAAACTTATACCTCTATAATAAAGTCAGCGCTCACTTCATTGAAGCATTAGTTCACTGTAGCTTCAATTTATTTTGTTGGTATTACTGCTAACGCAATAATGGCTTCTGTGGATTATCTTTTTTTCTTGATAATACAGAGGATCATAGAACTTGGGTGGGATATTAGAATGGGAGAGGGAGAGTTTGTAGAGCAATAAAGCAGAATTCCGGGAAGCCCAGAAGATGAGCAGCCATTGTTTATATGATCATTGGTCACAACTGCTGCTTGGTGGTAAAGGTATGGTCAGCTCTGATCTCCACTAACACCTTGAAGTCTTTAGTCACTTTCAGACATCTATGCTGTTTAAAAGTTAAACGTAGAGGCCGGGCGTGGTGGCTCACACCTGTAATCCCAGAACTTTGGGAGGCTGAGGCGGGTGGATCACAAGGTCAGGAGTTCGAGACCATCCTGCCTAACACGGTGAAACCTTGTCTCTACTAAAAATAATAATTAAAAAAAAATTAGCTGGGTGTGGTGGCGGGCACCTGTCGTCCCAGCTACTTGGGAGGCTGAGGCAGGAGAATCTCTTGACCCAGGTGGTAGAGGTTGCAGTGAGCCGAGATCGCACCACTGCACTCCAGCCTGGGCGACAGAGCAAGACTCTGTCTCAAAAAGAAGAAAAAAAAAAAGTAGAAAGATAATAACCATGACATTCTATGAAGTATAATCATTTTGTTGGAATTTCAATATGACTATGAGCATTTATGGCAATTTCATAAGATATGATTGTTTTAGCTGTGTGTGACAGAACACACCCTGGTGAGATACATGGCCCCAAGTTGAAGTGTTAACTGTTTTCAATTTTAAAAAGCAAAAATGTTTCCACTGCAAACATTTATTCCTGACACAGAAAAGTTTGTTGAGAGAATCTTTTCTGTAATGCATATCACAATGGTGGTTGACATTTTGAGCAGGAAGAGAGAATCCCAGGTGTGTGTGGCATGAGAAATGAACACATGAATACTAAGAATACTGCTTTTTTTGCTCAATTGGCATTGAAAAAACCTTGATTTGTACATCTACAAATATTTGGATTGTTTTAGGTGATCGTGTGCTAAGGCAGCAAAGTTGTAATAATATCTTATGTTAAAATAAAACAAATCATTTAAAAGATGTGTTTACTTTTTTAAACAAACAAATTCTTTCTCTGAACTCGTTTCCCAATTTACCTTTTGTGAATTTCTTTGCCATATCTCACATTTGTTCCTTAAGTAAAATTTTGTTGAAAAATATCATACGTATAGGAAGGTACAGAAATCACAAAGTAAACATTCCCCTGTCACCAGCATCCAGTTCAAATAACAATATTATGAGCACAAGAGAAGATCTCTCATGTCACCAGTCATGGCCCAATGATGACTATGATCTTCCAACATCAGAGAGATTACTCTAGCTGCAGAAATGGATTCAGCTTTTGGATTGCTTTGCCAAATATGGGATAAAATGACTTTGGCTGATTTTGCTTGATTTTAAAAGCTGTATAAATAGCATCATGATTTTATTTTATATTTATAAATTTATATTTAAATTTATACAAAATATCTGTTCTTCTTTCATTCCGTGTTATAAGATTCATCCATATAGATGTATGTCATATAAGTTGAATCATTTTCATTGCTGTATATGAATAGTTTATTATTAAATGGACATATATCATATATACTCATTCATATACATATATCATACATATATCATTATATACTCATTGACTTTTTGGTGGTTTACAATTTTTGGTTATTATGAATAGTACTGATATGGACATTATTGTACATGTGTTTTTATAAACATAATGTTCACATTTCAATGAGTATGTTTTTTGGTGTGAAAACACTGGGTTACATGGTTTAGCTCTAGCAAATACAGTTCTTTCAAGCTACTATTAACTCACACATCCATCAGTAGGCTATGAGAGTTTCAGTCATATCAATCTGCAACTGGTATTACTATCTGCACTGATTCATTTTAGCCATTATGTTTTGTTTTATTTTGGTTTTAATTTGCATTATTCTGATATCGAATGATTGAGCACCTTTTATATGTTAATTTGACATTTGGGCATTTAGATTTAATGAAGCTTCTCTTCAAAATTTTTGCTGATTTTCATGTTGTCTTTCTTCCTGATGCAGATGAGATTTCTTTCTTTTTTTCTTTTTTTAAGATGAAGGTCTTACTATTTGACCCAGGCTGGTCTCAGACTCCTGACTTCAAGCTGTCCCCTTGCCTCAGCCTCCTGAGTAGCTGGGATTACATGCACAAGCCACCCCGCCCAGCAGCCTAGGTGTGAGTCTTTTTTTGGACTCTAGTATTGCCAATATCTTCTTACTCTTCTTGGGTTTCCTTTGAATTCTTATTGTCCTCTTTTCATAAACAAAGTTCTTTAATAAAAACCAATTTATCAGTAGTTTTTCAAAAGTACTTTTTGCATCATGTTTAAGCAATCTTTGCTTACTTCAAGATCATAAAGATTCCCCTATGATTCCCTCTGAAATAATTACTGGTTTTTCTTTCAAAATGTAGGTACAAAGTCCATCTGGAATTGATTTTTTTGGCGTACTTTTTGTTCATAGCACTATTGACTGAAATGCCTATCTCTTTCCCAAGGTGCTATAATGTTATCCTTGTCATAAACTAAATGACCTTATAGATATAGGGCAGTTTCTGGATTCTCCATTCTGTTCTTCTATCTGTCTGTTTTGCCACCCTTTTGTCAATAGCATACTTTTTTAAGTACTATGACATTATACCAAATTTTGTCATCTGGAAGTATAAATCCTTCAGCTCAAGTCCAAGAAGAGGATTTACACTTCTTTAAGATTGGCTAAGCTATTCTCAGCCCTTTGCATGACCAGATAAATGTAAGAATAAGCTTGTCAATTTACACACACACACACACACACACACACACACACACGTTGAGATTTATATTAAGATTGAGTTGAATCTCTAATTAATTTTGAAGAATAAATATCTTTACAATATTGAGTATTCCAATTAATGGTCATGGTATATATATATATATTTTTTAGTTTTTCTTTTATGTCAATAATATAGTTTTCAACGTTTGTGTCTTATACATGCTTTGTTAGATTTATTCCTATGTATTTGATGTTTTTGATGCTATTGTATAATTTAAATGTTACATTTAAAATATTTTTATTTGTTTGCTGCTGGTCTGTAGAAGTACAGTTGATGACTCCTTTAAATATTGTTTTGTCCATCCTCTTCTTTCTCCTGTTCTGAGTCTCCAATTACATTTGTTCTTAATATGTTTATATGCTTCTTATGCATTTTTCTGTATGTTTCATTCTTTTTATTTTCTGTGCTTCAGTTTGGATGATATCTATTTATATCATCTGTATCTATAGCCATCTCCATCTAACCTACTGCTGTTTTGTTGGTGTTTTAACTCTTTGGTACTTATTTTCAGGTAATTTATTTTTAAGTTCTAAAATTCCTATTGATTCTTTGTTTTTTCCTAATAAGTTCTCATGGGATTTTCTACTTTTAACCCATTTTATCTATATCTTTGACTATTTAAAACATCAAAAAATAAAAAATGTTATTATTTTAATATCAAAGTTTTTGCTATTTCCAAAGGCATTCTCTAGAATATCTGCTAGTTTATTATTATTGTATGTTTTTCTCTTTGTTTTCAATTATATTTATCTATTCTTTTTTTAATTTTAATTTTTGTGGGTACAATGTAGATGTAAATATTTATGTGGCACATGTGATATTTTGATAGAGGCATGCAGTGCATGATAATCACATCATGGGAAATTGGGTATCCATCCTCTCAAGCATTTATCCATTGTGTTATAAACAATCCAACAGTGCTCTTTTAGTTATGTTTAAATGTACAATTAAATTATTTTGACTGTAGTCACCCTTTTGTGTTATCAAATACTAGGTCTTATTCATTCTGTTTTTTTTTTTTGTACCCATTAACCATTCCTACCTCCCGCTCACCCCAAATCACTACCCTTACCAGCCTCTCGTGTCTATTCTTCTGCTCTCTATCTCCAGGTGTTCAACTGTTTTGATCTTTAGATAGTACAGATAAGTGAGAACATGTGATGTTTGTCTTTCTGTGCCTGGCTTATTTCACGTAACATAATGACGTCCAGTTCTATCCATGTTCTGGCAAATGACATGATCGCATTCCTTTTTATGGCTGAATAGTACTCCATTGTGTGTAAGTACCACATTTCTTTATCCAGTGATCCATTAATGGAGACTTAGGTTGCTTCCAAATCTTGGTCATTGTGGACAGCACTGAAACAAACATGGGAGTGCAGGTATCTCCTCAATAAACTGATTTCCTTTCATTTGGGAATATACCCAGCAGTGGGATTGCTGGATCATGTGCTAGCTCTATTTTTAGTTTTGTTGAGGAACCTCCAAAATGTTATTTATAGTGGTTGTACTAATTTATATTTCCATCAAGAGTGTACAAAGGGAATAGCATTAGGATAAATACCTGATGTAGATGATGGGTTGATGGGTCAAGCAAACCATCATGGCACGTCATGCCTATGTAACAAACCTGCACATTCTGCACATGTATCCTAGAACTTAAAGTATTAAAAAAAAACAGAGTGTACAAGTGTACAGGGGTTCCCTTTTCTTCCCTTTTTGCCACATCCTCACCAGCATTTGCTATTGCCTGTGTTTTGGATAAAAGCCATTTTAATTGGGGTGTGATGGCATCTCATTGTAGTTTTGATTTGCATTTCTTTGATCATTGATGATGTTGAGCACCTTTTCATATGTTTGCCATTTGTATGTCTTCTTTTGAGAAATGTCTATTCGAATCTTTTGCCCATTTTTAAATTGAATTGTTAGATTTTTTCCTATAGAGTTGTTTGAGCTCATTACATATTTTAGTTATTAATTCCTGTCACTTGGATAGTTTGTAAATATTTTCTCCCATTCTGTGGGAGAAAATTCACTTCACTGATTGTTTCTTTTGCTGTGCAGAAGTTTTTTTAATTTGATGTGATCCCATTTGTCCATTTTTCTTTTGGTTGTCTGTACTTGTGGAGAATTACTCAAGAAAGTTTTCCCCAGAACAATGTCCTGGAGAGGTTTTCCACTGTTTTTCTTTAGTAGTTTTATAGTTTGAGATATTAGATTTAAGCTTTTAATCAATTTTGATTCCATTTTTGTACCAAGAGATAGGGGTCTAGTTTTATTCTTCTACATATGGATATCCAGTTTTCCCAGCCCCATTTATTGAAGACATACACTCTCTTTTCCCCAGCATATGTTCCTGGCAACTTTGTTGAACATGAGTTCACCGTAGGTGTGTGAATTTGTTTCTGGGTTCTCTATTCTGTTCCATTGGTCTATGTGTCTGGTTTTGGTATAATTGGGTAATATTGATCTCATAAAATGAGTTTGGAAGTATTCTCTCCTCCTCTATTTGTTGGAATGGTTTGAGTAGGATTGGTATTAGTTCTTTAAATATGTGGTAGAATTCAGCAGTGATGCCATTGTGTCCTGGGCTTTTCTTTGCTGGGAGACTTGTTATTACGGCTTTAAGCTCATTAGTTGTTATTGGAGACTGTTCAGGTTTTGTTTCATCATGGTTCAATCTTGGTAGGTTTTATGGGTCTACAGATTTATTCTTTTCCTCTTGATTTTCCAATTTATTGACATATAGTTGCTCATAGTAGCCACTAATGATCCTTTAGATTTCTGCAGTATCACTTGTAATGTCTCCTTTTTCATCTCTGATTTTATTTATTTGTGTCTTCTCCCTTTTTTTCTTTATTAGTCTGGCTAACAATCTGTCCACCTTGTTTATACTTTTGAAAACCACCTTTTTGTATCATTGATCTTTTGTATTGTTTTCTTCATTTCAAATTTATTTATTTTTTAATTTATCTTTATTATTTCTTTTCTTCTCATTTTAGGTTCAGTTTGCTCCTGTTTTTATAGTTCGTTAAGATGCATTATTAGATTATTTACTTGTTGTTTTTCTTCTTTTTGATGTAGGCACTTATAGCTACGAATTTCCCTCTTAGTACTACTTTTGCTGCATTTCATAGGTTTTGATATGTTGAGTTTCCATTATTATTTGTTTCAAGACATTTTTAAATTTTCTTCTTAATTTCTTCATTGACTCACTGGCCATTCAGGGGCATATTGTTTAATTTCCATGTGTTTTATAGTTTCTAAAATTCCTCTTGTTGTTGATTTCTAGTTTCATTCCATTGTGGTCAGAGAAGATGCTTGATATTATTTCAATTCTTTTCAAATGTTTTCAGGCTTGTTTTGTGACCTATATATTCTTTTTATCATGTCTAATAATTTTTAATTGAATGCCTGATATTGTGTATAAAATTTGTTGGTTACCCCAGATAATTTCTTCCAAGATTCACTCTTTCCTCTGCCAGGCAAATTCAGTGGTGACTGGTCATCTTTATTTCAATCAAGCACTGAGTTCAACTGAGTCTGGGTTCTAGTTTTTGGAAAGTTCAATCAGCCCCGTATCATTCTGCTCCTAAGGTGTATCCTTGGAGAATTTTTAACTAAGTGGTGTTTTCTGGACTCTAATCTTTCTGTCCTTAGGACTGCCATACTATGAAAAGCTCTGCTCTCTTTGCAGAGGCGTCTGCTTCTCCTTTAACTTTTGCTCCTGTGTAGCTTCAGAATTTGGCGTATATCTTGAGGCAAAAAGCAAACACTTTATACACTGAAAAAAAATCTTCAATATAACCCTTCAATCCTATGAGGCCACCAAATCTGCTGGCTACCTAGGCCCCAGAAGTGGTCTTATCAACAGGCAAAGCCTGGCCTGGATATTCCTCCTCATCTGTTTCCAAAATCAGCCAGTGCTCTTAGAGAAAGGCAGCGGCAGATAATCAGCTCATCTCTCTGTAGTTCTCACTCTATAATATTGGTTCATCAAATCATATTGCTTCAGCAGCTTTCTGATGTCTTTAAATATATACTTTTGATATTTTATAGCCATTTCTAGTTCTTCTATGAGAAATTCCACATGCTACTCTATCCTGCTTGGAAGAAGTCCCTCCACTGGTTCTTAACTGAGAACATTTACTTATGTTGCTTATTCAATGGTCGTTCCATATTTCTTTCATTCCTTAACTTCTTCTTCTATTGGCATAAAACTCATGTTTCAAGATTTACAGGTCACAACCCACCTTTTTCACAATTTCCCCTTGAATGCCTCAGTAGTCATTCAGGGTAATCTTATATCTTTTCTGAACTTCTTTTTGTTGTTGTTGTTTATACTATATAACCTCACTGTTGATTTTCTCCATCTATTCTTTAAATTATAAATTAGTCTATGTGTGTAAGCTTCCTGAGTGTCAGAATATGCTGGACATATTTTGGGTACGTTTTCTATATTTCACAACATATAGCATGATTCTGATAAGCAGTGCATCTTTTATTCATATGCAAAAAAGGACATTTTATAGTTGTGGAATCTTCCAGATCTGATACTCTATCCTTCATTTGAAAGTGGCAAAGAGAGTTAGTGATTGCAAATTTTCTCCCTTAAAAAGGTATTGCATTTAGAGCAAAAAAGAGAATGAACACAAGGAAATCTAAATATATTGTGTGTGTTTTACAAATAAGCGGGAAGAGGCTGTTTGTTAGTTATAACCACTATGATTTTATGTCATACTTGTTCTGTTTTTATTGCACTCACAAGAACTTCTCTGGTATCTTTGAACTGCAATGGAAATTTTTCTCTAAACTGAAACACAGGCTGAGAAACGGGCCCTATAAATGATCCAATATTGTCTATTCCAGGAAGGATAGAGTAGCTTGTGAGATTTCTTGGAATAAATAGAAATGCTATAAAATATTAAAAGCATATATTTAAAGCCATTGGAAGGCTGCTGAAGCAATGATGATTAGATGAACCAAGATTACAGAGAGTGATTTATAGGTGACAAAGCTTAGAGAGCAAAACTTACTTCCCCCACCCTCAAAATGGCACATTGATAGAAATTGAGGTAAAATGCATTCTCTTCTACACATTTGTCTTATATTTCAGTGTTTTCAGACTGAGTATTCTTGGTTTTATGAAAGTGATCCAAAAAATCTAGGATTGGATAAAACTTAGCAGTCATATAGAAGCACAAACTTGAATCTTGGACAATACCAGTGCTGGGAGTGAAGTTATCCCATTGTCAGGCCTCGCTTCTCAGAGTCTTTTGTTTTACATTTGTCTTTGTTTATTCACTAGTTCTTATTAATTATATACATTATCATGTGTGTAAAATAATGTCTGCATGGAAAATAATTTTGCTAATTTTATTAGAATTAAAGAGAAAGCGATCCAATATTGTAATGATTTTTAGAAAAGAACAATTTGAATGCATTTAAGAGTTGAACGTCTTAGAATTATGAGATCATTAGTGATCTGAAGAGTATAATTTGACATTTTCAGTCATGTTGAAGAGGAAATTATGTTCTATCCTGTTGTTGTAGAATTAGGGGTTTCATATTCCTTCTGATTGTAAATGGTCTTCACTAAAAGTAAACTCTTGTTGTTCTTCTGGATGTTCTGTTTCTCCCAAAAGATTACCACGTCTTTGAGGGCAAAGATTAGATTGTATTCTCCTCCCACTCTTATGCCCTTGGTGTTAAGTTCAAGTTTATAATAAGACATTTGTTCATCTTTTCTGGCTGAGAAAGTCCTTAGTGATATTCGTTACTATTTTAATCTCTTGGCTTTGATTAAATGTGCTATTCCCTCATGGTTGGATGGGAACATGTGACAAAATCTAGCTAATGAGTTGTTAGAGAAATTGTATGTCACTTCCAGGCTAAAGCATTTAATTACCAATGAGACCCACCAGAGCACTCTTTCCCAATGCTACAATGACTGCCAACATCCAGGTAGTGACTACTCTATCAACCTGGACCCTGAAATGACCACGCAATGGAGCAAAGCCCTCAGCCCAGTCAACATGGATATGCAATATGAACAATAAATAAATATTTGTTGCCCTAAGACACTGGAACTTTTTAGGTGTTTGTTATCGTAGCATTACTGACTCATTCTTATTGATTTCTACTGAGGTTTCAGCGGCCAAACTGCTTCAGAGGAAAACTGGACATGCAGGGACAATGTCACTCGCTCATTTTCCTGGCATTGGTTACCCAGACAGAAGAGACATTTGGTACCTTCCTCTCCTGACCAAAGATGGAGGGATTGTGGGTCTACCAGCAGCACATGCATCTAGAAAGATGTGGTCATGACACACGGAGAATCGGAATTCATCATTGGGGCCTTCAAGAGTGTGTGCTTCAGGTTACAAGAGTATCTTTACTATGGACTGAATAGCATATAGTATTAGTGATATAAGACCTGATTAAGTATTCCATATAGGAATATATCCTGAATCACTTCCTGGCTTCAGATATACTTTCCAGAGACTGTTTATGAACTTCATATTTCTCCTATATGCATTTGAAAAATACCTTCCCTAAGTTCATTGTGTGATCTCACATCCTGTGGAGCGAATACATTTTCAAGAAAAGAAATAACCAATTTTCAAGGAGCATATTGCAATGTTGAATATCTTGGTCATATCCTCTTAGCCATTTCTTCTGGTGTGATTAATATTCCTATACTTTGCAATGTCCTCACTTTTTCAGTTACTCTCAGCTTGGTACTTGTGGATCTCTGGGCCTCTGTTTAAGCCCAAAGGTTTCCTGGTTATTACATCTTTTTAGGTTTAGGCCACATGGTACAGTCTGTTCAGGTCTAAAGGAGATTCCCCAAATGGTGATGGGCTGTTCAGATCTAAAAGGTCTTTTCTGTAGATTTTCCTGGGAGTTCTTTGATGAATAAGAACATGTTGGAGGAATACAGGCAACTCCAGAGGGAAGACGGGCAACAAAAACATCTAAAAATTGCATAGGAGAGAAGGGAATATGCCCTTTTTCAGATTTGTATAATCAGTTGTTATTTTTCTTGGTTAAAGTCATGGAAATCTGAGGCTAATCAAGAAAAATATATAAGTTGGCTGCTTGGCAGGTATTCTTTTTTGTTGTATTCATTTCTTAATTATTGAGAAGAAAAAAAATACTTGTCACATGGTGAGGCCCTGTGGAGAACACATGTAAGTTAGAAGCTGTTTTAATATTTGCAGCACATACAATTCATTCATTCACTCATTCTTTCAGGTATTTCTTAATTTATCCATTAAACAAATAAATATGGAGAACAATACATGGTGTTTGATAGAAACCATGAAAATAGAAAATTAAAAATAGTAACAATAATAATTACTAATGCTAACATGTATTAGGTGACTTTATGTGAAAGATAACTCTGTTCAAAGTATCTTATAAGAATTAGCTCAGTGAATTCTCAGTGCCTCAGTTTCCTCTTCATTTCAGAGAGGAGGAATTTGAGACCAGAAAGGCTCTGTCAATTGCCCCAAATCAACACAGCAGATCAGCGATAGGATTGTGAGGATCCCAGACCATTTGATCCCAAGCTTGTGCCCCAAACATCTACACTATGCTGTTTTTCCTTGCCCTCAATGGAACTTATCATGGAGAAAATGAGAAGAGCCATGTAACTGTCCCATTCCTTGAAAGAGTTTGGGGTTTAGGGGATATTGATGGAGAGGGTAAGGGTCTGGCTTCCTCTAAGCTTCCCACTTTCATTTGTGTCTTAAATACTGGCATAGAAGGCAGCATCTTCCTCACACTTTTTAATTCATGAAATTATGAAAAAGCAGCTAAGACTCTTGGCAAAGGAATTGGGAGTCTTACAGCTTTCCTTTGAGTTCATAGTTATTAAAATATGTCTGATGGTCTAGGGTGGCCTGAGCATAGCCCGGGGAAGGGGCAGGACATACAAGGTCCCAAGAGAAAAAATAGATCAGAGCTAAGGAAGCAGTGGTGCTGGGGAGAGATCATGAATTTTTGACATTATGCAGGACAGGACTAATCACTGGAGAGAATATCCGGTTCTAGGCTTTCTTGAGGCTTTCTGAGCTTGCTGCTCTAGGATCATATGGGGAAAAAAAAATGAATGTGAGCTAAACGTGTTGTACTTGTAAAATTCTGCAGCATTTGAGGCCTGGTGGATTTTCTATTAGATGTTTGTGACTGAGACCTGTACCAGTAGCAGCAGTGGTGCTGAAAAATTGCTGGAGCCCAACGGGCAGCATTGTGTTACATCGTCAGCCTGTGTCTCTTGGCCACCAGGGATGTGGCACTATCATCAGCAATAGCACCACTCCACCAATGAATGTCCAGAGCCTGTGGTGGGGAAATCAAGCCTCCAGGACAGTGGCCTCTGAATTATGTCATTGTCTATCCCTATTGGAAAAAGAAACAAACAAAACAAAAAACACCTGTATAAATATTTATTTATACATTATAAAGACTCTACAGTACAGATAATGAACAATAGAAACATAACCAAAATATAATTTTTAAATGATGCAAGATACAATATACAATATTATAAAATGTCTCCCTACGTATTGATGGCTTCATAACTACCAATAGCTATAATCTAATGCTTCACCTATGCTAAGATGAGGTTAAAAGTCTATCCCGCAATAGGTCTCATTACAGAATCCATTGTTTTTGCCATATAATGTTCTCATAACTATTTCAGTTGTACCATTTTCTGGCTATTCATTTGTGTTTACATTATTATTTTTAACTTTAACTCATGTGTTATTCAATGAGGGAATATTTTAAGCTGGTTTACCTTATTGTGGAGGTAATGTAGTCAACAATAGACAACATGACCCACAAATATTCTTAATAAGACAGAAATGAACTGCAATACACAGCCTTACTTGGAAAGCAAAGCAAAGAATGAGGCTTCCACTTTCACTTTTTTCTTTGAGAAATAAATTTTTTTCTGAGGATTCTTATGTATTACATGGGACATGAGACCTTTTCATACAAGGTTTAGTGCAGGCCGTTTGTTTATTAAATATGAATAAAGTTAATTTTCCAAGTTTAAGTTAAATTTAAATGGAAATCAAATAGTGTGTGTGTGTGTGTGTGTGTGTGTATCTCACTAGATCTCATCTTGCACAACTCACTTTGGAAATAGCTCTCCTTAAGCTCCTTTATCATTTGCAAAATGGAAGCAAAATATATCACAAAAGGCATTCATGTTGACTTTGCACAAATCACTGGTTTAGATACTTGGATAACAATTAGAATTACAACATATTTTGGAAGTTGGAAAGATACTTGGGTAGCATTTAGAATTACGATATGTTTTAGAAGTTGGAAATATACTTGGGTAGCATTTAGAATTACAATATATTTTAGAGGTTGGAAAGATTCTTGGGTAACATTTAGAATTACAATATGTTTTAGAAGTTTGAAAGAAGCTGGGGCCACTTTTTAGATAAAGGGATCATGAGTCTAAATTGAGGAGATGAAATTGAAGCTGATCATTGAAAGTAGAAGGGATATTTACAGAAGTGTAGGTATTCTGGGGGAAGAGAGAATGAGTCAAGCAAGTACTGATGGACAATATAAGGAAGGAGAGTTTAGGAACCATAATCATGAATGTAATTTTAAATAGAATGAGTTTGAAGTGCTGGTCAGATATACAGGTAGCAGTAGCTTTAGGGCTGGTCTTTTGGAACGGTCTTGGGGCTAGAGACATTGACTATGGAATTATCTTCATAAGGATATTTTATGAAGTCATAAAAATGATTCATTGAGAGAGTGGTGAGGACATAAGGACTGCTTTGGTGCAAAATGAATACATTGAATGTCCTTTGGAAAGCTTTTTCATCTACTCTTTGGGTTCCCTTCTCTTTCTGGAAGGTTGAGGTTATTGGAAGAGTGATTATCAGATTTGTGAGTCTTTGGAACAAAATGAAGGTTGTCAAAATCCCAGAACTGTATGTAGACACCCACAGAAATTTCCCCTATTGGAAGGGGCAGGCTGGTCCTGAGGGTGGTAGAGCTAGAACCAGATTGAAACTTGAATTTGAGAAGATGGGTTAGGACCTCTCAGCAGCTATGAATAATTAAAGAGATGCAATCATGAAAGGAATGGCTTATGTATTACTATTGAGGCACAAGATCAAGAGGGCATGCCTTGAAGCATTAAGGAAGTAATTAAAAATTAAAGCAAGTCCTACTTAATTGACAAATTAAATACTGACAGCATTTCCAACTTTAGCTAGAATAAAAATAACAGATGACAACACAATCCTTTCCCTAAAGTAATTTATACTTTTTGTAGAGAAAGAAGAGATAGAATAATTTTTTGATAAAATGACAAACATAAGATGGCATAATTAATTGTCTATGTAATAGAAGGGACAACTGTGGCCACAGGTATTTTTGAAATGATTTGCTCTCAATTTTTGTGATTCTCAAATGCAGTTGAGGAGGGATGTAGGTGGACTCTTGGTGCATTCCAGTTTCTATATCAAATCTAAAATATTTTATTTATAATCACTTTAAATGTGCACAAAGTATCTTTATTGTTCAGTTTGAATATTTATAGTGTTGAAATGCATAGTATTTTGTATTTCAATGCTTTTGAAGAAATGTTTCTTATGAAACTTTAAAAATGCATACATGTTATAGAAATAACCTGCATGTATATACTCAGAGGAATATCACTATGGTATAGTGGAGGGAGTGCTGGCTTTAGAATCAAACTTCTATTTATGTCCATTTCCAGACTGTGCAATTATAACCTTATATCATGAAAAAGAATCTTCATTTTCAAAGTAGAGGTCCTAGCATCTGCTCTATTACTTCTCAAAGTTCTTGAGAAGACCCAGTGAGATCAAGCACATAACACTAAGAAAACTGAAAGGTGTTAAACCAACACCAGGCAAGATGTCGACTTTTTGGCATCTTCCCTTATATAGAAAGTAATATGCATATTTTCTCTCTCTTAAGAAATTTTTTTCCCATTAAACTAAATATTGTTTCTAGCAAAAGAAGCCTTTCAAGTAAGATTGGCATTATTATTCCTTACAAGTTTCATCTTGATTCATAAACATTTTATGCCAAGAATAATGCTGTTTTAAAGACAATAAGTGCCTGTTTTTGCCTGGGGCTACTGGAAGCCCTGCAAAAGAGACAGGAGGAATTAAAGGTCCTGAATCATATTTCCCCATTTTTAACTGTTATTTTTTACACTCTTGAGCCATTTCTCTCCTCTCACTGGGCCCTACCGAGGCCCATAAATCTTAATTAAAGATACAATTTTTTTTCCTATGAAATCTGAGCTGCAAGAAACCTTTCATGTTTTTTTTTATTTTTAAGACTAGCTCCATGTGTTGGCTCATAAAACAAATAAGACTTTTACACTCAAAGGATTTTGAAAGCTGTTATTGCTGCTGTCATGTGGAGCTGGTCCCATAATTATTATTATTGTTATTTTATTTTTTATACACAAGCTTCCGATTTTCTTTTACAGAGCACAGTGAAAAAAATGAAAATTACAGCAGGCTTATCTTGGTTCAGAAAGTGAAGGTATGGCTTATAAAACATGAAAGAAACATGAGTCTAAGGCTCCAGCAGAGAAAGGAAGACTCTCTTGAGTGCATCCAGGTATGAGGGCTTCCCAATGAGGTCTCCACTAAGGAATATTTCTTTAAAAGGAATAATCTATTGGCTGCAGTCTGATTGGTAAGATGAGCAAATGTGTCTGCAACTGCATTCCTTACCCCTTTACACTGGAGAATGGGCCTGACATCTTTAGACCTCTGGACCTAATATCTTAATGGCAGGTGCCAAAGTGGTTTAATCACAGATAACAGGTAGCTTGGAGGTCCTGATCCTGTTCTAGATACAGTTGCTAATAAAAAAGAATGATTTTGACAATATTATATAAATATCTAATGAGGGTCAGGCATGGTAGCTCACGCCTGTAATTCCAGCACTTTGGGAGGCTGAAGTGGGTGGATCATTTGAGGCCAGGAGTTTGAGATAAGCCTGGCCAACATGGTGAAACCCCGCCTCTACTAAAAATACAAAAATTAGCCTGGTGTGGTGGTGTGCACCTGTAGTCCCAGCTACTAGGGAGGCTGAAGCAGGAGAATCGCTTGAACCCAAGAGGTGGAGGTTGCAGTGAGCCGAGATTACACTCCAGCCTGGGTGACAGAGTGCACTCCAGCTTAGGTGACAGAGTAAGACACTGTCAAAAAAAAAAAATAAAAAATCTAATGAGGCATGAGGCAGTCACAGAGATTCTTGTGATACAAACCACCAGACTTCTTAGGTGTCAACTTGCCTGTCTTCCACTATCCCTTCAAAACTTCAGTGGTCTTCTAGCAAATATCACCATCCACCTAGCCACACCTCTTCTCCTGTTCACACAGAGAAAGCATAGACAATGCTTTCCAAAGAAATCTTATTCCTTTGCAACTCTGTGGCTTTGCATGTATTGAGAGTTGTGGTGGAAAAAGAGCAATCATGTAATGGACTCGGTGTAGGCTTTTTCCTAGCTGAGTAACTATGGACAAATTATTTAATTTCTCTGAGCCTCTTTCTCCTCATCTGTAAGATGGAGATAATAATCACATCTTGGTAGTGATGTGAGGATTATATACAATATATGCAATGTACCCAGAACAACAGTATTATATGCAACAGGATTATATGCAATACATGCAATGCACTCAGAATGACATCCATAAAGTTGATGCTGTTTCTCCTTCTTTTGTTTTAAGTACAACAGCTTCACCTTGGTTGAGCTTCTACCCATCTCTTAAAATGCTATCAAGTTAAACCTCATTTGGGAAACCTTGCATAAGATCCCCCAGACACATTAGGAAATTCTGAATTAGGATGAACAATTTGGCAACACTGGCAAGATGGTTGGTAGGAAGGAAGGACTTAGGATAAGCAGGCCAGCCAAAACCCTTTTGTTGTGGCCAAAGCACATTTTTCTGCAGAAGGGGCCTTCTGGTCCTTTGCCTGGTTAGGTTTCTTCAAGCAGCTCTCAAGTTTCTTTAAAGGTTTGCTTGCCTCCGCCTTCCTCTCCCATGCTCTCTGCCTCACTCCTTATCCCAAGTCTACCAGTCTCATCTAGGACTTCTTCCAATGGTCTTGTTGGCTTGTTGACAAGTCTTTCAGACTCTGCTTCACACCTTGACAAATAACAAATGTCATTATCCCTTTTACCTCCTTCAATTACCCAAGTCGTTTTTGCTCTTGTATTGGATTTTGTATGATTCTGTTCTTCAGCACTCTTAGACCAAAAACTGCAAATCCCCTTCACATCATAAACTCACAGTATTAGAAAGAGGGGTTCAATATGTCTTTACCCTCTTTGTTTTATACATGAAGAACAGAAGTTTCAGAGAGGTGAAAATGCTTTATTGAGTCAACACTTAGAGGATGATTAAGGCTCTGACCCAGGTCTCCTGTGCCTTGGCCAGTGCTTTATACTGCAGTACACTGATTCTTTGACTTCTTTGACCATACAGCATTTTGAAATATCCAGAAGGCTCCCAATGTTGGGAATTAGAGTGCCAAAATAATGCTGTCTAGCTGTGTAGGGTCCAGCTCAAAGCCAAAGAATTTCCTTTCTATACTGATAAGCCACAGGCTATTTTCAATCAAGTCAACTAGGATGAGGCATCAATGACCAGGTGGATGGAAGGAGGTGAATTTTTGAAGAGAGGCTGCTCCTGGGGAAATCTGCATATAAAGCTAGCTGTCCCATGGAGTTGGGCAGAAGAGGGTTCAGAGAAATGTCAGGAGTATTCAGCAGACAATCCTACCCCACTGAATTTCCTACTCAATATGATTTTCCAACTTAATCTTTTCCTAGTTCCAGATGAATATTGAATAATTTTTAGAGATTCATATTCAAGGGGACTGTGACAGTGTGACTGACTTTCTTGAAATAACAAAGGGGAGAAGGAAAAAATGAATATTTATTAAGCACTTACACAAGATCTGGCAATTTTACATATACATTCTTATGCAAATCTTCACAAAAAAACCTTAATGAGGTTTTGAGAAATGTTCTTGTTTTATGGATGAGGAGGCTGAGACTTAGGAAAGATAACTAACTTACCACAGGTTACCCAGGAAGCTGGACCCAGATTCCAAGTTTAGCTTATCTGACTTAGAGAAGGTGATTAATATAAAGACCTTGACTGACATTTTGTAGAACGAATTCTTAGATTTTAATTTTCTGTTTGTGTTGATTTCAACAAGACTCTTGCCTCTTACCTATACCTCTTTTCCCTTGTCTTAAAACCAGGCATTAATTCGGCTTTACTTTCTCACGGAGATGTTGAAAAATCAAATGAGACAATGCATTTGACAGTATTTTAAAACTTATGGAGTACTATGCAAATATAAATTTCATGACAATGTAAATATTAACTAGATTTTTAAAAACCTAAGGAGTGGACAAATTTCTCATCGTTTTTTTCAAGTCTTTTGGAAACTAATCAAAACCCATAAGGTCTTTTATAATGTATTCTATTCCACTGGTTGATTAATAAATACTCTGGCACAATTAACTGTTCTTCAACTATAAATTTAAATAAGATTACAAAATCCAAAACCTATGTTTTGTAGTATTCAAAATGATCTAAACTCTTGATATTCTGTGCTTACTATTTTGTGTAAGGTGAATGAAATTCTAACATAAGTTGCCTTGTGATTGACACTTTTATACCCTGTTTAAATCTTTTTTCTTCAGAAATTAAAAAATAAAACCAGCGGTATCAGTAGTATCAATTTATAAATTGGCTATTTATATGGGCAAGGTAAATTGTTGGTGGTTAGAATACCATAATGATGTATATAAAGCAAATTTTCTATTTATTAAGAGAGAAGAATAAACAATATATTCATAACAATGAACAAACTTGGAAGAATAATTTTCTTTTCTGACTTATTTTTCCACTTCTCCACTTGGATGATTTCTTCTTCAGCACATGGGGCCTAAGTGATATGCTTTAGCATAGCCACATACACATATTCCTGAGAATAACAACATGAAGGCCAATAAAAACATAAAATTCATTTTTGTGGGAAGCTTGAAGAAGTTTTCATTATTGTACAACCAATTCGTGTCTATTGTTTGTTATTACATAAGTGTAAAATGAAGTACTTAACAAGGTACCTTAGCTGCATTCATGGAGTCCGATAATGAGAAAAGAGGTAAGTGACACTCCTCTCTTAAGTGTTCATTTGCATGAATGAGTAGACACAGGGGTTGAATAGTCTCCTGAGAAAAAGTCTTAGGGAATGAACATTCTGGATCCAGTGTGGTAGCTGAGGCTGGGGTTTCTTGCGACCCGCCCCTCTGGGAAATGGGGTGGGGTGTGTGTGTGGGTTGCGAGCTGTGTCACTAAAAGTCACTACACTTTAGCGTTCATGCCTCTTGCTTTGGGATCTACTGCTTCCCCACCCCTATCTTCAGAAGTGCTATAAAGTAGAAAGGGTGATCTTTCGTTAGAGGAGTTGCCACATGGGTTTTTGGCTGGAAGGTGCAGGAGGTCTGTACTAGGTCCAGAAGCATTGGGGCTGGGCACATTCCCACATGTCCTCCGGCAGCATCAGGCGCCAGAGCCTCATCCAACTCAGAGAGGCCACTCTGGGGAGCCACTGGGGCCTGAAGGCTGTGGATGATCTTGATCTGGCTGGTGGATTCTCGACATAGATAAGCCTCTTTAGTGATTCCAAGAATGACTTGAGGGAGGGGAACTCTGGAAAAGCCTGGGCTCCTAGCCATGACGACTGAGTTCTAACTGTGAGGTTGTCTGTAGTGCCCCATTGCGTTTGCGGGTTAAGAAAGCCACTCAGATTACCGGTAAATAATTAAATTATTCATAAACTAGCATATATAGAAGTAAACACAGATTCATTTCTACAAATCATTTAAATAAAATTATACATTCGGAAAATTTCAAGACCGCATCCTACAAATCTCTTTTAAAACTGTGCCAAATGCATGCCATTGCTAGTAATAGTACCTTTACTACCAGGTGCCATTATTAACTGGAGGTGCCAGGGGAACAAGAGAAATGGCAACACAAACATTAGTGGTAATACAAGCTGGGTGAAGTGGGGGGAAGGGAGAGTGGTGTAAGGGGTGAGTATGGCTACAGCTAGCATCAATGTTAGAGCGTGGTTGTAATAGGAGTGGTAAGAGCTTGGTGGCTTTTTAGTTGTTTCTCCATATCAGCTACAACTTCCTAAAAACCATTCATGTCTGGAAACATAAAAGAGGGATAGATAAAGGAACCATATTGAAAATGATGTTTTATTGGTACGGTTGAAGTTAGAAAATCTCGTTGGTTAAAATTCGTAGTTCATAGCTACCCTCAGTCCTGAAGAGCCAATGCAATACTAACAGCTCAGTCAGTTTCTTCCAGGGGAAGGAAAGAATTTCTACATTACTGGACTCCACGGGCACCTAGGACCACTGCCTACTATGCTTCACTCACCTGTCCATGTTTCTTCTGAAAACTGTGGACCAAAAGGTAACATGGGTTTCAAATTATTTAGGGTCTAATAAGAGGGAAACTACCAAATCAATCACTATACTGTGATTATACCCCTAAAATAAAAAATATTCAAAATAAAGGATGTGGTAGTGGAAGAATTTCAACGCACTGCTGGAGATAGATGGGACCTTTGTGTTGACACTGGCTATAGGATTTCTCCTCATAAAAAAATGTCATGAGGTTCACAGATGGGCATCTGGAATCTGCACACCAGCTTTTGTATGTATGGACAAATTTGCATTGTTCTGTTATGAGCAAACATATCTTTCATCATTTGTTCAAAGAAGTTTGTATTAACCTTTCTAGCTGCTACAACAAACAACTCCCAAAATTTCTGTGGCTTAAAGATGTGCTTTTCACTCATGATCAGCTCAGTTGAGTTGAGAAGGTTCTGCCTTTCACCATGGACTCCAAGTTCTTCATTTGGGCTGGGCATGGTGGCTCATGCCTGTAATCCAGCACTTTGGGAGGCCATGACAGGCAGATCACTCGAGCCCAGGAGCTCAAGACCAGCTTAGGTAATGTGGTGAAACCTCCTCTCCACAAAAAATACAAAAATTAGCCTGGAGTGGTGGCATGCACCTGTGGTATCAGCTATTGGGAGGCTGAGGTGGGAGGATAGCTTGAGCCCGGGAGGTCAAGGTTGCAGTGAGCCATGATCACGCTACAGCATTCCAGCCTGGGTGACAAAGTGATACTTTGTCTCGATACACAAATAAATAAATAAAGTCATTTTTTTGATACTTTGCATCCAGACAGCTAATGATAACAGACATAGAGTGGGGATGATTCTGTAGGACACTTTAAGGGCATGGCCTGGAAGTGGCTGATATCAATTTTGCCCACCTTTTACTGGGCAGAACCCATCACATAGCCTCATATAGATTAGAAAAAGTTAAAAAAAAAATAGTTTTCCTGGTGCCCAGAGGGAAAAATGAAATGTTTTGGTGAACATGTAGAATGATTTCTGCCATAGGTTTTATGACTCATGAACGGTTAGGAAACATTGCCTTGGGCATTCATGTGTGAAAGGGTATGTTTTGCAGAGTATCATGATTTAGTTTGTCAGGCCAGCTGGGTCACAGGGGAGTTGTTAGAAAGGAATCAAAGTGGTAGCATATTTCTCTAAAACAATCTTGAAAGATTCTGATTTCTCTAGGAGATCTCTCCAGCAAGATTTGTAGGGCTTAGCATTCTATATTCTCCCAACACCTTTCATCACTAAAACTCTGGAGGAGAAAAAAATATCGGGAAGATTCCAAGTACTTGCCACTCTCTGGGTGAGATTAACTACCTTGAGGAACATGAAGAAGACATCTTTTGCAATATTTTTTTCTACAGTTTTGGAGGCCAGGGCGTGGGTCTAGAGTTAACTCAAACTTGAAAATGAGAATTGAACCATGCTTCTGAGAGTGCTGCCTAAAGGAAGTGAGGTGTTGTAACTTGGTTACTTGGCATTTGGTATTTGTCTCTGTTTGTTCCATAAAAACTTTTGAAAGTGTTGGCGGATGTAGCTAACATTTGGTCTACTGCTATAAAGGATGTCAAGACCTCCAGTCAGATTTGTGGTTTTCCATTAGCCCTTAGGAATGTTTCTTTTGAATGCTGGTAGCATATTCCACCCACTCTTTTTACACTGATCATAGTAAATATGAATTTGCTTTTATAAAGACAGAGTAGAGACCTAGGAAACTGAATTAATTTTAGCAAAATCAAATTAATTTTAGGAAAATCAAATCAGGAAATGAGGAAAATAACAATATTAATTTATAAGTGGGTATATATTTTCTATTTTTCTCATGTATAATGGTGAAGATTGTTACTTAGCTACTGCTTTAAACACTTTCTAGTCTTAGGATTAATATAAACCAATGATTTGAAAACCTTGATCACATACCGTAGCTGTAAAAATTGTGATCATAGATCTCAAATATATGCACATTTATTCATAAACCATATTCATGTGCAACTTTAATGATATATGTATTAGAAACCTATATAAAAGCTGGGTGTGGTGGTACACACCTGTAATCCTAGCACTTTGGGAAGCTGAGGCAGAAGAATCACTTGAGCTCAAGAGTTTGAAACCAATCTGGGCAACATAGTGAGACCCAAACTCAAACAACAAACAAACAAACAAACAAACAACAAAAACTCTATATAAAGATAAAAATTCAAATGGAAAAGATTACATTACTATATAAGTTGAAATTCCAGTAATTTCTTTCTACATTTCAGTGAGTGGTCTTGCCTACAATCTGGGTGTTTCTCACTTAAGAAGTTTGTTAACATAAACAAGACACTTAATGTAGTATTCTTTGAATCAGAGCTTCCTAAGCAATGAGCTAGTTGTTACTGTAAAACTTTGTTTTATGGGAATTCCATCTATATTTGTAGGATGCTGGATGCCACACAGTCATGCTGTTGAGATGGCAAGTTGCCAAATAGGCTCCTTTCAAGTCCTGAAGAAAAAAATCTTTCTTTCCCAGAAGGCTTTGTCTTTGACTCAGCTGCTGTCAATTCATCACATCTCTAAGTCTCTATGATACACAGAAAAATTAAGACCAACAATTTCTACTCCACCAAGGATAATTTAGAGAATCATAAACAGATTTCACTCTATTCACCTGAAACACTGATGGAGTCTGAAGCAAAAAGATGTGAAAGGTTGGAGAGGCTCTGTAAAACAAAACAAAACAAAACAAAACACAGAAAACACAAGAAGAGACTAATAAAAATTGTAAGAGCTAACACTTATTGAATACCCACTATGTGCTGGTAATTGCCATTGCTAAGTAGTTCATACACATCATGTATTTTCATCCTTAAAATAAACCAAGAAATATGTGCTAATTATTATCCTCTTTTTACAATAAGTAAACTGCCTCTAAGATGAATGGATAATGGAAAAATGTTTTGTTTCTGGAAAATAAAGAATGTTTAGATGACTTGTTAGTTGTTAGGTGTGCCCGTTTGTCGGAAGGGTTTCCTGTGCTATGTAGGAAGTTGGACTTGTTTATCTTTTAGATCCTTTTTGGTACTCCATTTCTGTAAATATTTTTGGACGTTTACTTTGTTCTTAGATCCTTTGAGATGCTTACCAAGCTCAATCTTGATCAAGTCACTTAATCTCAATGATTTTTAGTTTGATCATCTAAATTGGGGTTGCCCTAGCTGATTGGCCTGTCAGAAGTTCTCCTAAGAGTCCAACATGAGTGAATGTTTTGAGGACCATCAATGGTCTGTCTAACGCATCATCATCATTATTTTTTAAATGTGATATAATTTCTGTGTTGCAGGAATTTTCAGTTCATGAAGATATTTTACTTACAAGATAAAGACATGTTCATAAACAGGGAACAGATAATCCTTTTCAATGTTTTCCTATTTGAGTCATACAATCTCAGGTTTGGGACAGGGAAAGAAACCATGAATTGATGAGAGAAAGTGGTCCTAATTCCTTCATAGTGATTGTGATAATACAATAATACATGGAAATTGTAATAATCCTTTGTATTTATGGACACTTCAAATTTTCAAATTACTTATACATTAGTGATCTCACCTGATCCTCCTTTCGTTTCTCAGTTCCAGGATTATTTTTTTCCTTTAACTGTATTGACTATTCAGACACCTGCGTCTGCTGTTAGCACAGTTTTTGGGGACCTTGATAGCCCACTTAGGTGTCCCATTTTACTCCCTCAGCTTTCACTTTCATCACAGTAGTCCCTTCAGCCTACCCTCCTAAGTTTCTTTCCTTCCTTTTCCCTTCCTTCCCTCCCTCTTTTCCTCCATAAACATTTAAGAATTCAAGGGTGTTTCATATGCCAAGCACTATGTTAGATGCTAGAGATGAATAGTTAACAAGGGTCTTCAGTCTGAAGAGATCAATCTTATTGAGGAGATGGAGAAAAAAAAAACAGACAAGTATGCCGTGATGGTGATATAATAGTGGTGAACAAAGGAGGTTCTGAAGAAGGTCAGGGCAGGGAGCTGATTCTAACATAAAGAGGGAGGTCAGGGAAAACTTCCCGGAGGAGGCACACCCTGGGTTAAGTTGATCAGGAAGATTGGCAGAGGGGACAGTGTGAGTAAAGCCCGAAAAACCTGCTTCTTAGCTGCTCTTGGTTTCACTGAGGGCAAAAGAAAGAGTGCAGTGCTCTTGAGTTACAATGTTTCTGTCCTCAAGATCAGGGATTATTTAGAGTTTTGGCTTTAAAAGTCAAGCCATAGATCCTATGAATTCTGAGACTGACGCCTTGAGCTTTCTAGACCACCCTTCTCTTTTGGTCAGACCTGAGGTGCTGATGGAGCCACTGGCTCCTGCTACATCTCTGGGTTTGCCAGTGATTAAGGGCATTTTTGTCTGAGTGCCTAAGTGCTGGGGCAGACTGCCCAGCTTCAATGAATCGATGGACTAAAAATTGTCTTCCCAGCAGGCATTGCCAAGCAGCCTCCAGCCAACACTACAAGCAACTGAGAAAAGATCCATTGAGCTCAGCAGGAGGCTCTGTTTCGGCTGACTCAGCTCCCTGGAAGCACTTCTCCAGTCATTTATATCTCTACTTTTCCTCTCTGAGCTCCGCTCTGTATCTCTGCTCTTTGTGCCAAGCTGGGAGGCACTGAGGTTTCAAATGGCTATGCATTATCAATATCTCAGTGTGCTTCTGACAGGGCATAAAGTAGACCTGACCCAATAGTCCATTTTTATTCTCTATTAGTTTAATTCACATTGGGTTTGGCCCAAGTCATAAAGATTTTAGTTCAAGAAAAACATTTTACAAGGTGACGAATGAGATTAATCTTGCAAAGATCGTGGAAAATAAAATATTTGAATTGGAAAACCAGAGTTTAAGAAACATGTGAAAGGTCATACAACCAGCTGGTGGAGGAACTAGGTCTAGAACCTAAAATTAGGTAGGGCTTCTGGCGAACTTCGCTTTTCTACAAATTACTATGTTTTCCTTTTTTTCTAGAGAGTATTTTTGAAAATAATATTCTATTATAACTGCAACACTATGAAGTCATTAGGGCACATGGCAATGCTAAAACTTTGTTGATGAGGAAAATTGGGCAGACTTACCAAAGGTCACTCAAAGATAAGCAACAGACCTGGGATAGAATTATTTTTCTTTTTTTTTTTGGTGAACCACATTGTAGAATGACCTAGTTCAATAAATCAGGAGATCTGGTTTGAGAGATTAAGTTGGGGCCATTTTGGCCTCTAGTAAGCCATCAGTTTTGAGCAAGTCTCTTGTCACTCTGGTTTCCAGGATGTTCCTCGCCTGTAAAATGTGCAGATTTGCCCGGCTGTGGGCCTACAAAAAGCAGAATACTTAAAGCAGCCAGGCCTTTGGTGCTTTCTTCTAGGGGGCACCTGTGAGTCGGTTTAGCTGATGGCAGATACTCTGGAATGCTGGTCCACAACGGGGAACCCTTCTGATTGTTTCAGAGAACTTAGAAATAGATATTTTTATGTAAAATCTCTTTATTTTTAATTGTTGATGAGATGTACAAAATAAAACAAACAGTGTTTGAGCCAAAAAAAAAATGCCTGAGGGCTAGAAGTAGCTTATAAATTGTCTGTTTGCAATGTCTAAATGGCAAGTTCTGCAGTCTTGGTGAGTGTTAACACTCCGTGACTCCATACACCTTGGAACTCCTTCTAAGTTGTGTTCCTTCGAGTAACACAAAAAGATTACTTGATTATGTAAATGAGTGCTAAATTTCCTTGGAGCTCATTGTCATTCAAATATATCTTAAATACCTAGTAAATTGCTTTGAAGGAGTTTAAGTATTAGGTCTTAAAGATATGTAATGAAAAGGGAAACCTTGAAGTCCTCCTTTTTTTTTTCCTTTGGTGGGTTCCAATGAATAGATTTATTTTGGCTTTGAAATAACATTGCTCCTGCATTCCTCACTGTTGTCCTATGTCCTGGTCTCAACTGGACGATAGATTTTTTTAAAGACCAGAAACTGTTCTCTATATCTTTTCCTTTTCTCCTTGGCCAACATCATATGTGAACACAGTCTGAGCCTGGATAGTCACTCCTTTCCTTCCGGCCCTCTTTCATCCATTGGTGTTTGTTCCTGAATTATACAATGGTTCTCTTGAGACAGGAATAGTACAGGGTGGTCACAGGAGAATAAAAATTCTAGGCAATAGTTTAACATGACTAGAGGCTATGGGCTGATAAGACTCTGAAAAACAGGGTGTGGACCAAGTTGGCTAAGACTGACTGGACCCAACATGGCCGTGGATTCTACCTAGGTTTCACCTGGGACCTCACTATATGCCCATTAACATACAAATCACACACCGACCAGTGACATGAGAGTTCTGAGACCACACATATTTGGTGTAAAAGTGGGTAGCACCATGTTCCGAGAAACCTCTACCTTTTTCCAGGGATTTTCATAAATATTCAGCTCCTTGGTTAAAGAAACCCATAAAGGTAGCAGTCCTAAACTCCACTGTGGGATTCTCTCTTGAGTACACCCTCACTCCCCATTCTTGAATATGTACTTTCTTGAGTGTATTTGTTTTGCAATAAATCGCCATACTTTCACTATTTTCTGACTCATCCTTGCATTCCTTCTCACGATGGTGTCAAGAGCCTGGATGTCGGCTGAGGTCTCTCCCAGCCCCCTGGTATCAGTCTCTATGTGACTGATTTCCTGAATCTTTTGATAAAGTTCCTCTTTCTCATGCTGCTAAGCATATTCTCCTGAGTTCTCTTCTTGACTTTCTTTTTTGCTACCTCAAATATCACTTTCATGCAGATAATATCAATATCTTCCTTCTTTATTCTACTCCTATATCTACCTACATACCCATCAGAAAAACCATCATTTAACTCAGCGAAAACAGGACCACATCCTGCCTTACTCACTTCAACTAGCTATACCACCATGGAAAAGAGAGGGCAGGTGTGAGACACACTGTTTGGTCAAATGTACACAGTTTTTTTTTTTTTTTTTTGAGACGGTGTCTCACTCTATTGCCAAGCTGGAGTGCAGTGGTGCAATCTCGGCTCACTGCAACCTCTGCCTCCAAGGTTCAAGTGATTCTCCTGCCTCAGCCTCCTGAGTAGCTGGGACTACAGGCACCTGCAACCACGCCCGGCTAATTTTTGTATTTTTAGTGGAGACAGGGTTTCACCATGTTAGCCAGGATGGTCTCGATCTCTTGACCTCGTAATCCAACCGCCTCAGCCTCCCAAAGTGTTGGGATTACAGGCGTGAGCAACCGCGCCTGACCAATGTACACAATTTAATGCCTGAAGTGAATGTGAAGAGTAAGACAGAAGGAAGAGGCAAAAATGATTCTAAGTTACAAGTCTAGGTGATTTGGTGTGTGTGGATACTGGCAATAGACATGAATAACATATCAAACCAGGGTCAGAAACAGATAGTGGTTTAAATCTGAATCATTAGTATTTAGAAAAAACTAAAAGTACCTTGAAATTTAGACTAATTTGGAAGCTGAGGCTAGAGTTAAGAAGGTTTTCATTTGAGCTACTATAAATTACTATTATTATTATGTATTTATTTATTTATTGAGACAGAGTCTCGCTCTATTGCCAGGCTGGAGTGCAGTGGCATGATCTCAGCTCACTGCAACCTCTGCCTCCTGGGTTCAAGCAATTCTCCTGCCTCAGCCTCCTGAGTAGCTGGGACTACAGGTGCATGCCACCACGCCTAGCTAATTTTTTTTTTTTTTTGGTATTTTTAGTGGAGATGGGGTTTCACCATGTTGGCCAGGCTGGTCTCTAACTCCCGACCCCAGGTAATCTGCCCACCTCAGCCTCCCAAAGTGCTGGGATTACAGGCGTGAGCCACCATGCCTGGCCACCTATCATTGTTAATACAAAGAATTTCTTCATCTCCTTATCCCAATCCAGTCTCAGTCTACCATGCCAGTGGATTCAATCCATTTGTCCCCAGCTCCTCAAACCTTTCTCCAAATGAAAGTCTGTGGAAATGTGTAAAGCAGAAAACTAGTAAACAAGAAGTTGCTTTGCTAAAGTGGAGATGGAGGTTTTCACAGTCTCCACTCCAAGTCTCAAAGTCCCTAAAGGGACGCCTTTGTGACTGTGAAATAGGTTACCCTTCTGAGTGACTATCTAAGGAATGGGGCAAAAGTTCTCAGCATTTTTTTTTTTTTTTGGCTCTTGGTACTCTGTATGTCCTAGAATTTTTTTCATGGAGAGCTTAAGCCAAAAGAAATACTTAAACCTTATGTTTATTTTAAAAAAGGAGAAGTATTAAGTATTCAGTATCTTAAGTATTAAAATCCAAATGAATTAATATTTGTCCTAACAACTTAGAAGCCATTTGAAAAGCTAATATATATTTATGGAGAGAAATTATATTTTACTTTCATTCTTAAATAAGTACAATTACCTGCTAATGGGGATATGTGTGCTTGCTGGGCTCCACGTATACTCTCAAATCTTTGAACCAGATTGGACACCATCATCTCTACATCTTGTTTCACATTGATTTCTTTGCTGTACTTACTTTTCATTGCATGGATAGATGAAAACCCAGCTTCATAAATGTAGTACATCATCAGAACAAATGTAATGCAATCTAATTTTAAAACTGTGAACTATCTTGAGCTAGTAGTTGGTGTGGTGTCTGCCAAATGTCAACTATTACTGTTTTCCTAGAAAATTTAAAATATCTGACAGCAACCTTGTGTGAGCACTGTGGCACTTTGAGGCACCTCTGCTAATACAATTGGGAAATCTAGGAACAGGGCCAAGAATCAACTCTTTGAGTCATAGGCCTGGCTCAGTTAACTAGCTCTGTAACATTGGGTGGTCATGTCAGCACACTCTATCGCAGTACCCTTATCACAGTGGAGGATAGCTGAACTTGTTAATTCCTTTCTAGCTTTCATGCTTATGATCGAAGGAGTTTTAATTCTGTCAGTGTTACTAAGAAAGCTTGGAAAGAGTTTGCTACCTTAAATAACAAATAGTCATTTTTCTGGGTCATTGTTTTGAAAGTGAGGACGGAACTGGTTTTGAATTCAGACATCTCATCCCTGCTACTCACCCCAACCTGTTAGTTCTGCAAACTCAGAATTCTCCTAGAAGAACTATGTAAGGAATTCTATGTATGCTTGGTGTCAGACCTGGGAGAGAGAGAGAATAAATGTTTGTATAATTTGATGCTTTCAGAAGAGCAAAATATCTCTATGAACACAGTTTTGCTTAATACATCAGGAAGCACTTGTAAGATTCTCTTTTCCTTTTGGGGGATACTAGCTTGGGGTAGATTGAAAAAAAAAGTGAGGTCTTTCCATTCAATATTTATAAAACCATGCAGGGCTTAGATAGAATGAAAACTGAATTGTTCATTAATTTTGACCAGAAAGAACGAATGAGTACTCTTTGGAATTTGGAGCAGGTCAAGTGAAAAGGAGCCATATGAAACAATTTTCTGTTCACTATCCAGGTGGAAAGAGAGAAAATAACTTTTTATATCTGTGGTTTTTATTGAACAGGAATTCTTACTTAATAATAAATCAAATTTTTCTTGTCTTACATTTGCATTGTGAAGTTTTATTTTAAAAGTGTTTTCCTGTTCCCAGGTAAACACTTTTAAGTAATAATATTACTTAAATATTATTAATAATAAAATAAGTAAAATATGTATTTATATTTTCTTTTAATAACTTTATAGTTTTACCTTTCACAGGTGGGCTTTTAATTCATCTATGACCCATCTTTGAATGTAACATTAGAGTTCTAGTTATTTCTACATACATAGTGAACCAGGTTTCCCACCACTACCTATCAAACCATCCTCCTTTCCCCATTGTTTATGGTACTCTCCTTATGTGTTATAGTAAATCTCTGTATATGCAGTAATTTGTCCCTTGGCTCTATATTGATATATTTTTTCTATTCTTGACCATTAAATGCACTGTTTTTATTATTATGACTCTGTAGTGTGTATTAGTACTTGATAGGGCAAATCCTCTGCCTTTAGTTTTCTTTTGGAAGGTTTATTTAGTTACTCTTGGACTTAGGGGCTGTCTTCGATTGTTTTGTGCTATAACAGAATACCTGAGACTGAGTATTTTATAATAAACAGAAATGTATTGGCTTATGGTTCAGGAGGCTTGGAAGTTCAAGATCGAGGGGCTGGTATCTGGTGAGGGTGTACTTATTGAATCATCTCATGGCATAAGGTAGAAGGGCAAGGGAGGGTGACAGAGAGGGGGTTGCTGGCAGGGGAGAAGAGGGAGAGAATAAAAAGGGAGCTGAGCTACCCATTTTATAACAAATCCACTTCTGAGATAATGATGTTAATTCATTCACTCCACCCTTGTGACTTAATCAGCTCTCATTAGGCCCCACCTCCCAACACTGTTGCATTGGGGATTAAGTTTATAACACGTTTTTCAGGGGATACACTTAAACCATAGCAGGGGGCAACACAGAGCATTGGAGAGGTAAGATGGAGTAGACAGACACTGTAGCATTCAGATAGAAGCAGGAGATTAGATGTGCACTAAGTGTGATGAAGGGATCTTTAAAAAATAGTGAGAACAAAAGCAAGAAACAGAATAGATGTACAATGTCATAACTTCCATAGAAATTTAGAAATATATATTTATATATAATATACCTAATCTTAAGAACACATTAAAACAACAACAACAACAACAACAACAAAACCTTATTAAACACGTTAGAATAGTTACCCTTATTGCGGGGGTAATGGTTGTGGATTTTGAGGATAGAATGGAAAAATTATTTTTAATAGTGTATAAAATAAAAATGAATTTATAATAAAGTGAGCCACATTTGAGATAAAAATACAATGATAATTAGAAACATAAAACCAGTTATAAATTTCCAAAAAAAAAAAAGAATCTAACTTTTCAGATTAGAGTTGGGGAAAAGCCACTTCTTTCCATAGCCTCCTTTTCTGGTGCACAGAAAAAAATAAAAACTAGGGGCAGAGCTGGGTTTCACTCCAAAAATCAGTTCCCCTAAACCAACACATCAGGGATTAAAGTCAGAAATTCCCACCAGGAGGGGCTGGGATCATTTGATCTTGTCTTTTATGAGTTATTGGTATTATCTGGGACCAGCTGGTTGGGAAATCTGTCCCAGAAAGCTCCTTGACTCTTGTAGGCCCTAAATATAAACATGCACATATCCCTGCCTGAGTCACTCAGCAATCCACTCGGCTTCAAAGAAAAGAGCATTTTGTTCAGGAGCTCAGTGCCCTGAGCAAGAGCTAAAAGCGTCCTCTTTTCTAATTGTCAATTATCTCTACACTCCAAGATAAACATTTCTCTTTTAACATCAGACTGGGCTGGAAGGTTCATTTAGGACATGGCTATTTGAAGGACTGGAGAAGGGGGGATGTGGGGGAATACAGAGAAAGCAAAGAGACAAAGTTTAAAATCAAGACACACAGTCTGCTTCTTCCGATATATCTCAAATATATTCCTAATTAGAGAATGCCAATGCAATAGCCTGAGATTCTAGAGAAGGAAGAGGTAGGTAGGTGACACAATTAAGTAAGTCTCCATTTGGAATAACTGCCGTTGGGATGGGTGGAGGGTGTTCCCTAAAGGATATTTTTTTCTCTAAAAAATTTTCTTTTATTTGAAGAAGGCCTGGAAGCATTTCATACATATACATGCAGACGCTCTTCGACTTACAATGGGATTATGTCCTGATAAACTCATCATAAAGCCAAAAAATTCTAAGTCTAACCATTGCAATTTGGGGACCATCTATATATGTGTATATGTATATACGTGTATACATATGTATATGTATGTGTATGTATATGCACACATATATGTATACTTTTAAAAGATGGTTTGGTATTTCTTGCTATGAAAGCAAAGCTTAGCTCAGAAACTTTCCAAAGACCCATTTTCTCTAGTTCATTTATGTAATTGATGAGATTGCAATTGACTTGACCGCACTTGACAGCAAGGCCAGAAATAATTGAATTCAGTACCTTCTGAAACCTGTTGTATTACCATGATTCAAAATAAGAAGAGAAGAGGATCTAGTAAGAAAGAATAGGAATGTTTATTTCTGTGTAACAAATAAGTAAGGCTAATACTGAAGGATTTTTCCCTGAAGTTAATCCTCCAGCAAGTATCTGCTTTGGAGGATAAAACAAAGTCAAATTCCTTTTGCCCATGTTCCCTCCCTTCCATTTTCTCCCCTGAGTGACCCTTTCCTCTTTCTCCTCTCCCATCCTTTACATCTCCGTTTGCCTGGCATTATTAAAATCCAGAAATCCATGTGCTAATTAGTGTGGTTATGATTTGCAACCTGTCCAATGATGCCAGGAAGTGAGACGCAACCTTTTCAAGTTTAGCAGCAACCATCTAACTCGAGTCAAAACAGAGAGATGTGTTCAGTTAATTTGGAAGGAGACGGTGATTGGGATTTGTATATTCAAAGTTCAATGATGACAGGTCACATTCAAGGGGGACAGACTGTGTGTTAAAATGCACCAATAAAGTCAGAAACTTTCTAGGCCAAGCAGAAGCAAGATTGTTTCTGTGGAATGAGCTGTTAAATGTGGAAGCCCAAGAGAATCAGGAAACCTGTTTTCAATCAGACACAAAGATTATTTCTACCTCTTTCCAGTTACAGTAATGAGATTTTTAAAAAGAGTAGGGGGGAGTAGTGAATACTTGATTGTCCAATTATTAGCCTAGATAGACTGTTAGTTTTGAGATGGTTTTTTTTTGTTGATAAAGGAAAAAAGAAAATATATGGGTTTTTGTTCTGGGAGCCACTGGGTGAATTTTGCCTCCAGAACTTCAGCCTTTTTGGCATGATGCTTTGACCACCAGTGCCCAGTTAGCATTCCATATGACTCTTTGGAGTCTGGACTGTTGCTTTAGCCAAAATGTGGATGTAAATAAGGGGAAAGTTCTGCTTATTCTGGCTTGGGAAGACAGAAGAACAGATTTGTGTGGCTGGCAAGGACTCATTCTAGGGTTAACACCCAAATGACAATGGCATTTGAAGAATCAGAATCTTTCATCTTAAAACTCCAGTAACCATTAAGTTTCTGGGCTGTCACAGAGAAACTTATTAGGATTGATGATTCTTAATTAGAGTATTCCTTTAATTAGTGCTTGAGCCATGGTTATTTACTAGAAGGCAATGTTTGCAAATCTTTTCTGTACAATATATAATATTTCTGAACAGTTCCATCTGTATTCTTAATAAAGAAGTAGTCCAGTTTCTCTAATATTATCTCTGAATATTAAGTTGTTCAGACTGTTTGAATGTCAGTGGAATATTGATACAATGTAGAAGTGTTAAGGAGTTTGAATAAAATATCATGTGTAATACAGCTAGCACACAGTGCATCCTTAATTAGCATTCTTTCAAATTCCATATCAATAGACTGAAATTTCTTTAAAGAGATAGACCAGGTCTTAATAGATTTGTATTCCCAATTTATAATACAACATCTAGTTCAGAGAAGGGGCTCAAGAAATGTTTATGGATTACTGAAAACATATGCCATATAATTCCGCCAGCTTTGAGTTCAAATTTTTCCATGGGCTTTGAATCTCTTGCATGATCCATTCAGCTTTTGTATTTTCTATTGTTATATCAAGTGGACATCGAATTAGTGTTTTTTTAATGGGCTTTGGTTCTAGTCATACTGCCTGTTAAACTAATGGCAAAGCTCTGGACTGGTCTTGATTTTGTTTCTACCAACCCATTCTTAGAGCCCACAATGACCAGTATTCTGGTGTTTACTTAAAAGGACAGTGGCCATTGGCCAACATGCAAATGTGATTGATGTTGATGTAATAACAGCAGAAGAATAAAGGACATCTTCACTTTGTCTCTATTTAAGGGCAGCCTTCTGGAAGCAGCTCACTGCTTCACTGTGCTGTAATGTCATTATTGGTAAGTCTACTTCTGCCAGTCAGGAATGGAAGTGATTGAGGGATGCACGACTTTTTTTACGCTTCTCCACCCCAGTCCACCAACACACACACAGACACACACACACAAACACACACACACACTCTCACATATACCCACATGCACATACACATACACATAGAGTAGACCTTCACTGCTAATTATGGCATAGTTTTCATCTGGTGGAACAAAAAATGCCAGCCAAGTGAGTCATATTCTGATTTATTGAATAAACACTTTCCATGTGAGAAGCAGAGAGAAAAATGAAACCATTGCCTGTTAGAGCTGGAAAAGGCTAGTGTTTCCAACACACTGGATGGCAGTTCTAAGTTGGACTGGCTGCCGCAGGATCACCTGGGGGAACTTTATAAAGAAACTGGCTTCCAGGTCCACCCTTGGAAGTTTTCAGCCAAAGCTGTCTTAATGATGCTGAGTTTGACCAGTTTAGGCAATAACTGTTTTTTCCAATCCTTTACTTTTACAGCAAAAAACATGAAAGCCCCGGAAGAAGTGACTTGTCCAAGTTTCTTTGGGAGTAAGATGAAGAGCTGAGAGAAGGGAAAGGAATGAATACTTAGTAAATGTGAGAGTTTAATGGATGCCTTATTCAGGGCCCTACATATTTGGTTTTATTAGCTCGTTACCATGGCCTTGGGAGAGAGGCATTAGAGAAGAGAGATAACTGAACTGCTCTAAGTTGATATTATATTGGCATGCTATGCTTTAGTTCCTGAGCCTGGGTTCTGTTCTGTTCAGAACCTTTGCTGGTTATGTTTGACTCCGTAATTCAGTGTTGTGAACATCTGGCCTCTGAGTTGATAGAATAGGTGGTTAGTTGCAGGTCAGTCCCCTACAACTAACTTTATTTCAAAATATTTCAATAAATAATTATTGAGAAAATACTGTGTGTAAGGCGCAATGTTAGGAACTTGGAGGTGAACATGAAGGACACAGTTTTTGTATTTATAGAGACTACAGTCTTGAGGGTGCTATGATAAAAGAAGCTATGCAAATAAAATGTGATGAGAGTTATGCTAGGAGAAATAAGAAGTGCTTTGAGCATAAGTAGCAAGAAAACTTAACCCAGACTCACGGCCAAGGGAAGCCTTCCCAAATCTGACTGCTAGAAGATGAACAGGAGTTAGCTAGGTGAAAAATGGTGAAGCAGGAACATGGGCTCAGAGGGGGAGATGTTTCATAAGAGGAAACAGCATTTGTGAATTCCAGGAGTCTAGACATTGTGTGAAGAGTTCACATTTGACCAGTTCAAGGAACTGAAAGAACCTTATTATTTTTGGGAAGAGAGGAAGAGAGGCTAGATGTGAGGAGGTAGGAAGCCTCCAGATGGAGAAAAGCCACGAAAACCCCATTAAGGTCTTTGGATTTTATCCCAAAGCATTGCTAAGCCGCTGAAGTTTCCCAATCCTGTAAAAATGATCTGGGGATTAAAACCTGGGTGTAATGTAAACAGGTTTATAGTTTGGAAGATGCTTTGATGGCAGTACTAGTGATGGATAGTGGTAGATTGAGCTTGCAGGCAGGGATGCCAGTTAGGAGACTATTTCATTAGGAGACCAAAGCTGTGTTTGTTATTCATCCTTGGAGTTTCAGCACCTAGCACACTGCCAGGTAGCTAATACATACCAAGTAAATATTATTTGAATGAACAGATGTGGAAATAAACATTCATTGGTAAAACCATCCACCAAATATTTCTTGCTTATTCTGGCTTCTTCTCTTTGTTCAGTCTTTCCCCTTTCCCCAGGTATACATAGGTTTTTATTTTAAATCTACCTGATTAAATACTTACCACACATTTATGTTCAACTTAAGACTAGCTGCTTCTTGAAGCCTTTCAATTTTATTTATTTCCTACCCCGTTTAAACCTTCAGGACATTTTACAATGTATGATATTGTTCCATGTGGGTGAATTTTCAGCTGCTTCTTAATTTAATTCAGTATTTTTTTATATATGAAGGCAAATTATCTATCTATCTATCTATCTATCTATCTATCTATCATCTGTCTATTATCTGTCTTTAAGGCTAGGAGGCTTGGATGAGCTAGACTCTTTCATGTATGGTTATGAAAGTATACAATCCCTTCCTGAAAAGCAAATATGGTTATATATGCACACACATATATATTTCCATATATATATATACACACACACACACATATAATTTATATCACAATTTGCTTATACCGTTTGACTCAGAAATTTTTCTACCAGGAATCTCTGCAAAGTAAATTGGTAGAAATGACAATAAAAATGTACGGTCAAGTATATTTATCTCTGCCTTTTGTGATTTTCAGAAATTAGAGACAACCTAATTAAGCACGGGAAGAGGAGAGGTTAAATAAATCACACTATATTCATGTGTGAAATATGTAGAAATATGATTTTGGGGAAAGTTAACAAGGAATGGTATTTGAAACAGTGAAGTTATGAGCCAATAATATGGATTTTTTTCTATATATTCTAATATTTCTACAATTATAGTTAAACTACCAATACAAATATTATGTCAAACAACTATTTTCTGTTCTTTTCTACTGCAAATTGCCCATAGTTGGCAAATAGGACTACCATTCACCATTTAGAGAACTCTTCACACGCCTTCCTGGCAGCCACTGCAGAAAAAGAAGCAAGCTTCCAAGCCAGGCCCTTTGAAAGGAGGGGAGATGGCTTTCTCTTCCTCTTTCCTACTCCAGGCCAGCCTTTGGAGGGCTGCCATCCTCACATTTGACTGAGCCAAATCTTCAACCCACCTGTCCAAGCACCAGGCTGCTCACTTCTGATTTACCTCCTCTAGATGTTCTGGGGAGTGAAACGCTGACAGGCTGTGGCTATGGCACTGGATGACACAGCAACCTGGGAGTATCTCTGCACAGGATTCCAGAGCTGAGATTTGCCAAACTGTTCATCTTTTTCATCTTGGCAATTGTTTATGCTCTAAAACCAATTACTGCAGGCCAAATGCGCATCCTCTCTTCCTCTGAAGAATTATATTAGACCTGGTTCTTGTCTCATTCAACTGCATTGGAACATTCCTATTCCCATAAAGCTCAATCCATTGATGGCCTGTCCTACTTTGGTGGGAAACAAATGCTAGGAGAGTTGTTATCACATCCCATAAATGTCTGGGATGAAAGGCCCTGAAGTGCAAAGTATATTGTGGTTATCTCTTGGGTGGGGAAAAATCTCTCTAATGCAAAACAGCAGCGGCAACACAGCTAGATGGCAGGAACCTCTGTCAGGAACAAATTTCCTCATCCCTCTGGAAGACAATGACTGATTTCTCATAGGCCTCCCCTGACATGACACTAAGAGTGAAGATATTTGTTTTAGTGTCTCCCATCTGCAATGTTCTATAGGTCCCAAGTATATATTCTGACTGGCTCCCTAAAAGAAAACCAGGCAGCACATGCAGAGCTTGGACACTGTGCTGGACTGACTTTTCATGTTGTCTTAGAGAGAGAGTCTTGCTATATTGCCCAGGCTGGGCTCAAACTCCTGGCCTCAAGTGATCCTCCCACCTCAGCCTCCTGAGTAGCTCTGATTATAGGCATGGGCCACCATGCCTGGCTCTACACTGTTTTAAGATCTGTGAATATGTTACTTCCTTTAAGTCTCACAACAACCCTGTGTAGTAGGTACTATCATGATAATTACTTCATTTTGACTTAATTTTTTTAAGAGATGGGGTCTTGCTGTACTGCCCAGGCTGGTATCAAACTCCTAGCTTCAAGCAGTCCTCCTATGTCAGCCTTCCACAGTGCTGGGATTTACAAGCATGAACCACTGTGACCAACCACCTCACTTTACAAATGAAAAAAACTACGGCACAGAGAGGTTGACTGCCCAAGGTCACATAGGCCATAATTAAAGAGCAAGGATTCAAGTTCTGGCAGTCTGACCCAGGTCCCCACACTAACCACCATGCTATATTAAATTAAGACATGCAAAATGCTTAGAGCAATACCTGGCACACTGTGAGTACAAAATAAGTATTATCTACTATCAGTTCTTTTTAGTAATTCAGGGCAGTCACCAACTTTCTGTTTCAACTTGATATGCCCATGGAAGTGATTCAATCCTTTGAGGGGAATTGAAAAAATCCCATCAACCCAGAAATGAATGCATATTTAGCATCCTTGGGCTGGATACTCAGGGGCTATATATGAGAAGGAACTTAAAGTTGATACAGTCTTGAACTTCACAGACAACAGAAGTGCAAGATATGTCAAGCTGAGGTCCTCATCCTTGGCTCTACAATTTAGTGGACCTTCAAAACTCTTTGTTTTCTTCTTGATTCAAGGAAGTTACAGATAGGGGAGGATGAGGAGGCCAATGATGAATGAGAAATATCTACGCATAGCCTTTGGGGCACTTGGTTTTCTCGCCCATCACACACATATTTAATTCTTAGGCTGTACATTTTTTTATCCTATATTTTAATGAGATAATCTTTTTTTTTTTTTTTGAGATGGAGTCTCACTCTGTCACCCAGGCTGGAGTGCAGTGGCACGATCTCAGCTCACTGCAACCTCTGCCTCCCAGGTTCAAGCGATTCTCCTCCCTCAGCCTCCCTAGTAGCTGGGATTACAGGTGCCTGCCACTACGCCCGGCTAATGTTTTGTATTTTTAGTAGAGACAGGGTTTCACCATGTTGGCCAGGCTGGTCTCTAACTCCTGACCTCGTGATTCACCCACCTTTGTCTCCCAAAGTGTTGGGATCACAGGTGTGAGCCACTGTGCCTGGCCATGAGGTAATCTTTCGTTTGACAACCTTCTGATAGTAATTTAACTAAATTTCATGTGGAATATTAATAAATATATTTGCTCCAAGGTGGGACTGGGAGAGAAGCACACAGTGTTATACTCCCTCCACTCTGATACACAGTAGGGAATAATCAAGGTGAAGTTTGTGGTTTATATGAAAAACAGGTATGCACATACATCTATTACTTAACAATATGGGACAGACTATTGATTTAAATGCCATGAGCATAAGTAATAAGTGTTTTGGCATTCTATAGAATGACTACTTGATATGCCACAGATATGATTCATGAGAGATATTTTTCCTTGGTGGTAGCAGGTTTGGTGTACATAATAAAATGATTTTTTTTTTAAAGAGTTGCCTTGAGAAGAATTTTAGCCCATTCTTAAAGAAGGATTGTGTATTGCTTAGGAAAGATTACAGTAACACAACAAAATCTCAAAATCTTAGTGACTTTTAAGCACAGACGTTTGGCTCTTACTCACTCTATCTACTTGAAGTCTCTGCTCAGTCTCAGGCTCAGTCTAGACTGAGTCTAATAGTGTGACCATTATCTGGAGTGTAGATATGAAGCACCAGAGAGAAAGATAGACCATCGGAGGGTCTGCAACTGACAATTAATTTTCTTCTCTGTAAGGGATACAAACCACTTTCACTCAAAAGTCACTGGCCAGAACTATACACAAGATCCTAGGAAATGTAATCCTCTCTTGTACCAGAAGAATAGAGAAGCAGACATATTTGATGAATAATAGAACCATTGACTACCACAGATGGGCAGCATTTAGGTAGGAGACAATGAGTAGGGAGGGTGAGAGCACCTAAGATCTATTGGAAAAAACCATTGAGAAAACTCAACATGAAGAGACATAAAATGAACTAATTTGTAAAGATGTGTGGGGCTAGATTGGGAAAGTTGTAAATAGCAGGCTAAGGAGGTTTGCCTTTTACACATGTACCAATGATTCTCAAACTCGTTTTTGCCAAGAAAGACAATTTGAAAGCAATTTATGTAGATTCCTATATGTAAAATAGAGGAAACGAACGATCATCTCTGGTGGAAGAGGAGACAAAAGAGCCTTGAAGTTCCCCTTAGCTTCCTCCCTCTATGGGACTCCCATGGATCTTTGCAACACAGATTAAAACCTACAGCTTTAGGATCTTAAAACACTGCCTGGCACATTTCACTACTGAAGAAATGGTAAGTCCTGAGTCAAAGCCATGGTTGGTAACTATCGATTAATTAAAAAGATAGATTAGAATGAGGGAGAAAGTGAGAATAAAGAATTTAATAAAGGTTATAAAATAGTAAGATCCTTGAATCTGGGCATTGACAAGGGTGAATGTGTGTCAAAGAAATATTTGAACAAACTGGTGATTAATTGAACTTGAGGGTTCATGGAAAGGGCGGAGTCAAAGACAGGAATGTGTTCAAGGCTTGTAAACGGAGGGAATAATGGAGCAATGGATGTTAATATCAAGATGAACAGAAGAGTTTTACGGGTTTAGCCAACAAGTATTCATTTAGTGGCTATTTAATAAAATGAAGTGCTTTGGAGAAAATATAAATTTAATGTTAAATATATTAGCTTTAGCGGGCAGCAGTTTATCCTCAAATGCCTAATACACAGTTGAAAAAATGACACTGGCACAATGGAGAATCCAGGGCTGAAGGTGTGTCTTGGGACAGTCACAGAGAAATGAAGTGGGGTTCACTGGGATTGATAATTATAAGCATAGGCTCATTATACATTTGATTCAAAAAGAGATTCAATGAATGGGATGAATCTTGTCTTTAGTGTCACTAAAAATATGCTAATCTCTGTAAAGTTTGGTATGAATGAAGAAAATGAGGACAAACTCACAAACTCACAAAACTTCTCAAATGTACAAATTCACAAAGCTGAGGCATACTGAAAAATTTATTCCTCTGGTGGCTTGGATGGCAAGTTCAGCTTTATGGTTCTGAATAATTCAGAATTCAGATGACTTAAATTTTCCTCCTATTTGTGGTCCAAGAGAGTTCCCCACATTGGAGCAAAGTGTCCTAGCTTGAAGCAGAAAAGTGGGTCTGCCTTATAATGGCCAGTATAGCCCTTGGACTTGCAAGGGATAATAAATGAGCAAATAAATGAGGAAAAAGAACTCACTCATATGTTTCCAGCGATTAAGTTATCAAAGATCTTTCAGAAGTTGAACCTTCTTTTCAACTCTGAGAGTTGGACTGTGCTCCTTTCTCTGCCTGCCCAGCTTCTTAGCTGAGCTTGGGGTACAGTTTTTTTTGACACCCTAGTCTTCTGGTCTCATGAAGATGGAGAGTAGAGGAACAAACCCAGGGACCCCTCGCATTTAAAATTTCCGACTCTTTGGTTGTAACCCCAAAACTTCTACTGAACTATCCAAGGTCATGATATTTCATTATAAAAATGAGAAAATGAGGCCTCAAAGAGATTAAATAACAGGTTGTGTAGCTAATATAGAATAAGACTAGAATCTAACTCAGTTTTGACTCCAAGTTCCATGCTCTTAATTTTTAATATAGATTTCCCTAGGAGAGTTCATGAATCTTTAAAATCCACAACCCTAAGCAGTATATTTCTTGGTTCCTGTCCCAGTCAGAGATTGGCTTGAGAAATTCTGTTCTTTTGGAGAAGAATGTTCTTAATGGTGACAAGTATGTATTTTGAATTTATGCCTATTCTTTGGTTCATCAAAATTTAGAATCCTTGTTTATAAATAGACTCTTAGATTACCATGCCACTGTGTCTTATTTTCAAAATTTCCTAGAGTGAACATTCTAGCCACAAAAAGGCCATCATCCCATCAGCTCTAAAATTACTCCAGGCCTTTATTCAACTTCTGCTCAGGGCCTGCAGGGAAGGTCAGGGAAGGCTGTTGCTGCCTCTCCCTCTCAAGTGCCCCCTAATGAGAAGGGAGTGGTGTCATCTAAGGGCCAAATCATCTCTCAAAAACTTATTAGCTCTCCAGCTGTGACTGCCTCTACAACCTTTGTGTATATCTATCTGCCTCTCACAAACTGGGGCTTAGAGAATGCTTTGTGGGTTCACATAAAATGGTTTGCTAACCTGCTATTTCTTTGTCCTATAAGCTATTTTCCTTAATGAAAAGATAGCACTATTTTATTCCTTGAGCTGTAGACCAGGCCCACCACAATCTGCTTTGCAAACTCATCAGCTGGAGATTAGAACACCTGGCTTCCACTCATATTCTGCCCAGGATGTTTATCACATTTCATGAGCCACTCATTAAGTCTCCCAGCATAATGGTGTGTCCGGAATTGGTGGGTTCTTGGTCTCACTGACTTCAAGAATGAAGCCGCGGACCCTCGCGGTGAGTGTTACAGCTCTTAAGGTGGCGCGTCTGGAGTCTGTCCCTTCTGATGTTCAGATGTGTTCGGAGTTTCTTCCTTCTTGTGGGTTCCTGGTCTCGCTGGCTCAGGAGTGAAGCTGCAGATCTTCGCGGTGAGTGTTACAGCTCATAAAAGCAGCGTGGACCCAAAGAGTGAGCAGTAGCAAGATTTATTGCAAAGAGTGAAAGAACAAAGCTTCCCCAGTGTGGAAGGGGACCCGAGCGGGTTGCCAATGCTGGCTCGGGCAGCCTGCTTTTATTGTCTTATCTGGCCCCACCCACATCCTGCTGATTGGTAGAGCCGAGTGGCCTGTTTTGACAGGGCGCTGATTGGTGCGTTTACAATCCCTGAGCTAGATACAGAGGTTCTCCATGTCCCCATCAGATTAGTTAGATACAGAGTTTGGACACACAGGTTCTCCAAGGCCCCACCAGAGCAGCTAGATACAGAGTGTCGGTTAGTGCATTCACAAACCTTGAGCTAAACACTGGGTGCTGATTGGTGTGTTTACAAACCTTGAGCTAAACACTGGGTGCTGATTGGTGTGTTTACAAACCTTGAGCTAGATACAGAGTGCCGATTGGTGTGTTTACAATCCCTGAGCTAGACATAAAGGTTCTCCAAGGCCCCACCAGAGCAGCTAGATACAGAGTGTCCATTGGTGCACTCACAAACCTTGAGCTAAACACAGGGTGCTGATTGGTGTATTTACAATCCCTGAGCTAGACATAAAGACTCTCCACGTCCCCACCAGACTCAGGAGCCCAGCTGGCTTCACCTAGTGGATCCCACACCGGGGCTGCAGGTGGAGCTGCCTGCCAGTCCTGCGCAGTGAGCTCGCATTCCTCAGCCCTTGGGTGATCAATGGGACTGGGCGCCGTGGAGCAGGGGGTGGTGCTTGTCGGGGAGGCTCGGGCAGCACAGGAGCCCATGGAGTGGGTGGGAGGCTTAGGCATGGCAGGCTGCAGGTCCCGAGCCCTGCCCCGCGGGAAGGCGGCTAAGGCTCCGTGAGAAATCGAGCGCAGCGCCGGTGGGCTGGCACTGCTGGGGGACCCAGTACACCCTCCGCAGCCACTGGCCCGGGTGCTAAGTCCGTCGTTGCCCGGGGTCGGCAGGGCTGGCCGGCTGCTCCGAGTGCGGGGCCCGCCAAGCCCACGCCCACCCGGAACTCCAGCTGGCCCGCAAGCGCTGCACGCAGCCCCGGTTCCCGCTCGCGCCTCTCCCTCCACACCTCCCTGCAAGCTGAGGGAGTGGGCTCCAGCCTTCGCCAGCCTAGAAAGGGGCTCCCACAGTGCAGTGGTGGGCTGAAGGGCTCCTCAAATGCCGCCAAAGTGGGAGCCCAGGCAGAGGAGGTGCCAAGAGCAAGCGAGGGCTCTGAGGACTGCCAGCACGCTGTCACCTCTCAATGGGATCTGGGATTGGAAAGAGCTTTGAAGGTCTTCTACCCCATCTTTCTGTCTATTGATTGAATATCCTCTACTTTAGAGATGTTCTTTTTCATCTTGCTATAAATGGAATGCAACCACCCCAGCCCCTCCCCAGGGGAGCTTTTGGGCTTCGAGTTGGGCTGCTGTTGAGTTTTGGTGGCAGTGCCCAGGAGTATCCGATTTGGAAGGAAATGAATATGATTCAGCTGTGAAAATTACAAGTTAGATTTTGGCTTTCAGGCCATTGTGTATTTTTAGAACCAGAGGAGAATAAAATAAACATTATTTTAGGCCTAGTACAGATTATTAATATTATATTCAGGAAAAAAAAAAGCCTTCCTGGTGATTGGTTGAAATAATTTCTCCTAAATATAAATTTTCCCAACTGTGCTAATTTTCTCCAGGATAATATTACAAATCGTATTGATTAATGCCCACCCCCTTTTTGTAACGATTTCTTTGAGATTGGGAGTAGGGAACTGAATGAGTTCACTTTATTATAGCTACTTTGCCAACCGAAAGCCACTTGAGAGGAGAGACGTTTGTCTTCATTGTTACGTCATCTCCTGTGTAGCACAGTGGCTGGCACCACGTAGGAGGACAAATCATGCTTGTGGAGTGAGTGAATAATCAGAAAGCGTAGGTCCTGATAATAGAAGTTAATGACTGAAGTATCTACACTTATTTATTCCCTAACATCCCTTGGGCACTTAACTCTTAGTTAGATACTGTTTAAAACACTTAAAAAGTATTACCTCACAATTACTCTATCCTAAGGTAGCAACTCTATGATCCCAGGTTTATCATTGTGCCACAGGCTTAGGAGGGAGGTCTGAACAAAAATGCAAGAAAAAGGAACTTCTGTCCTCCAAGCCACGTCGTGGTAAAGATGCAGCATACCTCTCAGAAATTTAAGTTAATAGAAACAAGCACTACATGCTAATGTACATGGAATGTGTGACTAACAGAGAAAAAGTGATACTGTGAGGATGTAAAAAGTGAGCTAACTCGAAAAGTCCTCAAGAAGTAGTGTTAATGGTGAGTATGTCTATGCGATAGCTCCTTCCGGACTTGCTGCACAAACAAAAAGGTATAATGATTTTGGTCCGGGTGGCGTTTTGGTGACCTTCTAATGTCATCATGCAGACTGACAGCCAAATCACCATTCATCCACCATCTGCTGAGCTGGGAATGCTGGTGAGGTTGAGTGAGGTTTGTCAAAAAGTTGCCCACCCTATTGTAAATGAGAAAGCAGCCAGGAAGGCCGCAACAGGCAAGGAAGTAAATGGCAGCGATTAACTTCAGAACACAAAGGGAACCCCTAGTGGGCTAAGTGGGTTAATGCATTTTCCTGACTTGGCTGTTAGTAAAATCTAATTAAATCAGATGCTACTAATTTGAAACTCTTGCTTATTTGGACCAGCCTGAGCTAAATGTTGCTTCTACTCTTGCTAGGAAGGAAAAGGTTTTCTTAGCAAATTACTGGGGTAAACAAGATTGCAGATAATTAAAGTGCTTAATAGAATAGTAGAGAATCAAATTTGCAAGAAAACAATCATTGTGCTATTTTTAAAATGTTCTTACCTGTTCATTAAAGCAGGCCATTAAAGGATCTCTGCTTCTTCACACTTCGTTAAGCTGGTTTGAATTGTTATGTTTACTAGACAGTGAAGAGAAAGGACTTCTCTAATTCCTACTGGCCTCTTCATAGCCCAGTTAAGTCCGAATTAATGACATTTTTTTTATGGGCAATCTAAGAGAGTCATTTTAGAGAGATTGTTAGACTTGTCCCTTTCTTACTGGAGGTTGAACTGGGAGTCTGCAGAAGCCACAGTACACTACACAAATTTCTACATAGAGTCTTATGAAGGAAACATTCATGGCCGTGATTTCCCAAATAGAGACAAGTGGTTAGGACCCATGGTGGAGCATCATCTTCATGAGTATTATTAACTCCTTGGTTCCTGGGAAGAGAATGGAAGAAAAGAAATGAGCTAGACTCTGTAGAGGAATTTCAAGTTCATGTGGGAGAACTACAAGCATCTGTAGTTGGCACTTTTAAAATGGGCTCTAAAAAATTAAAGGTTAAAGAGATTTGCCAACTATCTCTTATTTTTATACTTGTTTTAAAGTGTCTTATTTTAGTCTAATGATCATGTGAATCTAAAGCAAAGACATTCTGGATATTTTGGATGTTTGGATGGCTACTTAATTACCTACTCGCAATATTCATAGCTTTCTTTCTATTTGTGTTTATTATTGCAGTAATACAAAGAACTATCTAATGCTTACCAGTAATAAGAAAAAAAAATACAGAGGTATAAAAAATATATAAATTGTGTGCTCCCACCATAAGAAGGCAAACGGCATCCCTAAGAGCTGTGCAAATAAAGCCTTCCTGGAATTTGAATAGAGAAAAAAAACGGTGTGAGGATCGAGTCACCTGTGGCACATTGTAATAAATTTGTTGAACTGCATTGGAACAGAGCATACAGTATGCACATTGTGAGCAATGATATAATTCCAACAAAATGATATCACATTAAATTAATGTTGTTAATTTTAATTTTATTGGTTTTCTTTGAATTCGTTTGCACATTTGTTTGGTTTTTATAGTTCTATAAGAGTCAGAAGCATAAGGGATTTATAGGTAGTTTATGTATATTCATATTTAAGTAACATTTTAATAAATATAATTTAAACCAATACTGGGAGTTCAACAGTACTTTATTATTATTATTATTATTTTTATTTTTTATTTTTTTGAGACAGAGTCTCGCTCTGTTGCCTAGGCTGGAGTGCAGTGGCGCGATCTCGGCTCACTGCAAGCTCTGCCTCCCGGGTTCACATCATTCTCCTGCCTCAGCCTCCTGAGTAGCTGGGACTACAGGTGCCTGCCACCAGGCCCGGCTAATTTTTTTGTATTTTTATTAGAGACAGGGGTTTCACCGCGTTAGCCAGGATGGTCTCGATCTCCTGACCTTGTGATCTGCCCGCCTCGGCCTCCCAAAGTGTTGGGATTACAGGCGTGAGCCACTGCGCCCAGCCTAAGAGTACTTTATTTTTTAAAAGGAAGTTGGAGAACTAATGATCTATAGAACCACAGATTATTGGAAATTGAGAACTTGGAGATCACTGATCTAGTCCAGTGTTTCTGAAACGGGGTTCCAGGGAACCCTGTATTGAGAGGTGTTCCTAGGCATGCCAAAAAAAACCAGACAGGGGTTTCTATAATCAAATAAGCCCTGAAAAAACAGAGCAGTATCTTCCTCTTGAAGATTCGCAGTACTTCTTTATGAAATAAAGTCTCAGCAAGGGCCAGTGATAAAGAAATCAGGCCGATTTTGTTCAAAGCAGCATTTCTCAATCTTATCAGCACCCGAAACCCCTTGCTATAGAGGACCTGCTCCCATCCCGCAGGTCCAGGCCCTCATTTCACAGAAAAGGCAATGGAGAGGATATAGAGGGTGGAAGAGTGCCCCACCCTCCAAAATTCATGTTTACCTGGAATCTCAGATGTGACCTTATTTGGAAGTAGGATCCTTGCAATAAAATTAAGATAAGGTTGTAATAATTAATTTTATGTGTCAACTTCCTTGGGCTTCAGGGTGCCCAGATATTTGGTCGAACATTATTCTGGGTATTTCTGTGAGGATGTTTTTGGATGAGCTTAACATTTAAATGAATAGACTGAGTACAGCAAATTGCCCTGCCTGATGTGAATGGGCCTCATCTATTCAGTTGAAGGCTGAACTAGAACAAAAAGGCTGACCATCCCTGGAAAAAGGGTGAGTTCCTCTTGCCTGACTGCCTTCCAGGTGAAGCACTGGTTTTTCCCTTTCTTTGGACTCAAACTGAAACATTGGCTTTTCCTGGCTCTGGAGCCTCTTGGCCTTTGGACTAGAACTACATTATCACCTCTCCTGGTTCTTCGACTTGCCCACTGCACATCTCGGGATTTGTCAGCCCTCATAATCAAGTGAGCCAATTCCTTAAACCTCTTTCTGCATGTAGATATATACATCCTAATGGATCTATTCCTCTGGAGAGTCGTGACTGATAGAGGGGTCATATTGGATTAAGGCGGGCCCTAAATCCAATGCTTAGTGTCTTTATAAGAAGAGAAAACAGAGACACAGAAAAGACAATCGGGGAAGAGGTCCCATGTGATGACAGTCAAGGATTGGAGTGATGCACTTACAAGCAGAAGAATGCTGCAAACTGGACTGCTGCAACCAGCAGAAGCTAAGAGGAAGCATAAATTCCCCTTCTGAGGTTCCAGAAGGAACTAATGCTACTGACGCCTTAATCCTGTACTTCTGGCTTCCTGAACTGTGAGATAATTTCTGTTGTTTGAAGCCACTCAGTTTGTGGTAATTTGTTATGGTAGCACCAGGAAACACACACACACACACACACACACACACACACACACACAAACACAGAGACAGAGAGGTGAAGTGGCCTACCCACTAGCAAAGGCAGGACTAGAGACCAAGTCTCTCCATTTGCAGCCAGTACTCCTTTCATTGCATCTATTCATTTATTTTTATCCCTATTTTGTTCCAGAAAAAAAATACACATACCATTTTTTTTCCTTCAGGCAAATAAATACAAGAACTAAAACCAAAATACAAACAACTTACAACAGAGAAACAAGCTCATTTCTAGAAGCAACAGAGCCCTAATTATCTGTATAAAATCTAACTATACTGCCATACGAGAAACTAGATTTTCCCAAGAGTAAGACTATCTATAGAATGTCAGAACTGATGTTAGATGTGTAGATGTTTGTGACAATTATTTTATTTTAGAGAGATATTTTTATAGATCTAGTGTATTAGTTTCTAGTTACTGTTTTAACAAATTACTACACACTTAGCAGCTTAAAACAACATGAATTCATTCATTCATTCATTCATTCATTCATTTAAATTATGAAGGCCAGGAGTCAAAAATCAGGCGCTGTGTGCTAAAATCAAGGTGTCAGCAGGGCTGGCTGTTTCTTCTGGAGGCTCTAGGGAAAATCTGTGTCTTTGCCTTTTTGGCTGTCCACATTCCTTGACTCATGACCCTGCATCGCTCTGACCACCACTTCTAGCATCAACATTTCCTTTACACCTGTGACTCGTCTGTCTCCCTCTTATAAGGATCCCAATGATTACTCAGCTGATTCTGGATAATATCCCTATGTCAAGATCCTTAACATAACCATACCTGCATACTCCCATTTGCTATGTAGGGTCACATATGGAATGCATAAGGTTCTGGGGATTAGGCTGTGAGTATCTTTGGTGGTAGGACTCTGATAAGAATTCAGAGTGGTATGAGCCCCATGCGTTACGCCATTATGAAATAATCATAAAAGTAGACTTATAAGGTATAATAAAAGTAGCCTTTTAATTCAAGGTCCTTCTCAGATTTCCAGGGTGTACAAAGTCCACATAGGCTTCAATTATGCTTTGAACTATACATAGTGACAAAAAATATAGAAAGCAGAAGTTTAGGAAATACGTTATTGTAAATCGGGTTTTGTTATTGCTTTAGTTCCACAAGAAAACAAAATATCCATCAATGGAGCTCAGTCGCATCGCCGTCTCTCTGTGATGATCCTAGCCACTCTCCAGGCACAGCAATGGTTTTGTCTATAGAGATCTTGTGAATTTGAGAAGGAACCCAATCCAATATTGCTCCTTGAGAATGAGATAAGGATATTTTTGTTTGCTCATAAACTTGTGAAGGACAAGGATGTCTATGCTATTTAAAAGTCTTTGCAGGCAGGGTGCGGTGGCTCATGCCTGTAATCCCAGCACTTTGGGAGGCTGAGGCAGGCAGATCACCTGAGGCCAGGAGTTCAAGACCAACCTGGCCAACGTGGCAAAACCCCATCTCTACTAAAAATACAAAAAATTAGCCAGGTGTGGTGGTGGGCACCTGTAATCCCAACTACATGGAAGGCTGAGGCAGGAGAATGGCGTGAACCCAGGAGGCAGGCAGAGGTTACAGTGAGCTGAGATTGTGCCACTGCACTCCAGCCTGGATTACAAGAGTGAAACTCCATCTCAAAAAAAAAAAAAAAAACTCTTCACAGATTACTAAAGCCTGTCATATAGGATATGTCAGATAATTTTGCAATAAGGCAGACAGGTAAAATGGAGTAATAATTTTATCTCCTTTTACATCTGAGAAAATTGGGGCCCAGAAGAGCTATGGGAATTGCCCAAGGCCACACGTTTACGAAGTAGTGGATCTGGGACTAATACCCAGATTTCCTGATTACAACTCTCAGGTTGTTCTTTAGATCATCCTAAAGGATATGTCAGAAATCAGGTCCATCAGAGTCAACCAAAAGGGATGATGCATAGTTAAGGCATATTACCAAGGTGAATTAAGTGACTGTTACAGAATGGCCATTTCGTGCTTTTTTTTTTTTTTTTTGTCGTTAAAATTTTAAAAAACAAGTCGATGCTATGAAACTCTTTTAAATGTAACAGGAATTTCTGATTAGACTCAGGACTGGACTATATGAAATCTCTAAGCATGAACAAACAAATTTTACTCAACAAAGATATATTGAATACTGGAATTTAAGGTTTAAGAAAATATGGTTCTATTAAAAATTGTTATGTGTCCTTCACCCATCTTCCCTTATTTTGACGAAATTTTATTCCACAATGGTTTATATATATATATATATATATATATATATATATATCTGTATATATTTTGCTGGCAGATGCTGAAACTGCACTATGTCTAACATTTATAATAGAAAAGAATAAAAATATATGTGAGAAATTTCAAGATTTTTTTTTTTTTCCAGTTAGGAAAATGAACACTTTTGTCATGCCCTGCCTTTCAGAGTTAGGTTAAGTTCGAAGTGGAATTTCACTGTGAAAGAGTCCGTTTAAAGCAAATTTGGACCAGGTGGTGATTGAGGAAACTTTCTGGGAAAGGGCAGGTGATGTGGTTTTAATAAGAAATCCTGATCTATTTAGGGAAAAGGGGCTGGCTCTAGCTGTGAGTTGAGAGGGCAACTTCCTCCCTTCTCCCCTCCCACTTTCTTCCCTCCTTCTACCCTCCATTCTCCCTTCCCTCCTTCCTTCCCGTCTTCCTTCTTCCCCTTCCTCCCTTCTTCCCCTCCCTCCCTTCTTCTACCATGAGTCAAGAACTACACTAGGCTTTGAAGTTGCAGAAAACAGTAAGTTATTTCTTTGTGAAATAGACCCTTCCATTTTTGTGTAGCTCTACTTACTCGAAAGCCGTTTCTTATATGCAGCAAAATAGATGTGTTCACCGTTCCTAACAAGTCGTCTTAATTCTGTCCTTTAGAGTCACCTCTCTTTTTTCTCTTTCTTTTCTTGAGGCAGAATCTCACTCTGTTGCCCAGGTTGGAGTGCATTGGCTCGATCTCAGCTCACTGCAACCTCTGCCTCCCAGGTTCAAGCAATTCTCTGCGTCAGTCTCCCGAGTAGCTGGGATTACAGGTGCCTGCCACCACGCCCGGCTAATTTTTGTATTTTTAGTAGAGACGGGGTTTCACCATCTTGGCCAGGCTGGTCTTGAACTCCTGATTTTGTGATCCACCCACCCGGCCTCCCAAAGTGCTGGGATTACAGGTGTGAGCCACTATGCCCAGCTTTTTTCTCTTTCTTATAACAGTCTCTTAATTATTTGTATTTTCTTTTAATCTTCTAGTCTTCTGGGTAGAGATGCCCATTTGCCTCAGGTGAATCTCATTTGACATGATATTTAGACCTTTCATTGTCTTCTTTTGGCAGGGTATCTTAAAATAGGTTATCTTGAGTTCCACCTATAGTCCAGCCATCACAGTGGAACCAGCTATATTGTCTCATGATACCGATTTGACAGATGTATAAATGTGACTGACCTAATTTTGTGTAAGCCTTTTAAACACCCCCAACTTGTAGTCAAATAATACTGTCACATTTTTGCATGTATTTCTAAAATAAGCTCCATCTTCTATTTGTCAAGTGGATGTTTTGAATCTAAACATAGGGCCTTATGTTTATTCTACTGAAATGCATTTTGTTGGCTTTGGTTCAGTTACAAGCTCATGATTAACCTACGACATAGTCACCTATGCAGAAGAAGTTTTTAAAAATGTAAAGTTATCCCCAAGCAATTAAACCCCAACTTTATTTCTTAATGGCTTTCTATCAGCATAGATTTATCAATTTAATAATGTTTAATAATATTAAGATTAAAATCTATCAGGGTAAGATATCCAGAATTTTCTAGTTAAAAATGGGAATACTCCATCACAAAGAAATGTTCTACTAACACCTTAGTCTGAAAAGGTACCTTACTAGTCAAATGCTGGACCCTAAGAGGATGTCAAAGAGAAAGTTATGTTTTAATGGAAGAATGGAATAAGACAGTTTTAGGACAAGAGTCTTTGCTGAGAAAAGCAGGTCTGTTTCCCTAGGAAAAAAAAATGATCAGATTGAATTTTGTTAATATTTACATAAAAATACACATACATGTATATATTTTATATACATTATATGTATATTATATACGTATATATTTATATGTGTATATATGTATAAAACTGATGTGCAAAAATGTTACTATAATGTACAAAAATGTAGTAGGCATTGGTATAATTTTACGGATTAAGAAACTGAGACCTAGAGAAGGTAACTTTTTCAGGATTAGTAAGTAGCAAAGACAATATTTGAGGTCAGAACTCTCTGACCAAGTCCTCTTCCTTTCTACTCTTCTACAAAACTCAATTTTAATATGACCATCTTCTGAAGGATGAATTATAATTGATTTAAAGATATTCTAGTCAGGAAAAAAGGGGCTGAAACACTTTCAATAAAGTGTTTTCCAGGGATTGGGGGCAATTTAAAAGTCTCTCAGTAAACTTTCTGTTCAGTTCTGTTTCAAGAGCATGACTGGGAATTGGAAATTGGCTGCCAGTGTAGACTGGGAGTTTCTGAATAGCACTGGAAAAGTGAGATTGATTTAATGATAAATACCCTCTTTAGAAGAAAGTTCATTAAATGTCACTTCGTAGTGTCCGAGTTGAAGAAATGGTCACATTTCTTTGGCTCTTCTATGTGTGAGAGTGTCCAACATTGTGGCGAGTACCAGAATGTTGGCAAGGTGTGAAAAATCAATTCATCTCTGGGATGACTAGGCAGAGACTGGTTTATTCATTTGCTTATTTATTTTTCAATCAAATATTATACATAGCTAAATCGGCTGAAGATATCAAGAAGAATAGGCTGAGAACCATGTTCTCACATGACTTGCGGTCTAATAAAGAAGCCAAAAAAATCATCGATGCTATTCAGAATGTTATAAATCTCTCTACAGCCAGCCTCAAGTTCTCATCCCAACTCTCTGGGCTCTTCTTAATTGGAGCCTACACTGCTCATTTTCCCCAATAGCCACTGCTCAACACAGATACACATTGTTCTCACTAGTTTGCTCTCCTCAGTATTACACAAACATGCCTGGACCACTTTGGCTTCCTTTCTCCCCTTCCTCTCTCCCCTCCTCCACATGTTCTTCCTTTCCTTCCTCTCTTTTTCCTTTGATACATGCTTTTAGCCTCTATAATGTGCTAGCTACTGTGCTAACTGCTAAGCTTCCATCAGAAGATCAGACATATTTTTTACCCTCCTGGGCTGACTGTCAATGTTTTAGGATTTAGCTCCAGGTCACATTTTTCTTTCAAAGTCTTTTCTTGAGTATCCTCCTTCTGAATGGTCATTGACTCTTCTGCAACCTGACAGCTCCAACAGTGCTTTTTTTGCAAGTAGGATGGTACTGTATTGATTTTCAGAGAAGAGAAAGTGTTGCAAGAGTTTGAGAAGAGAGTAGTGTCAAGGCCTGGGATGGCCCAGGGAAACTCTTTGTGGACGTGGTGAGACTTGAAATGGCCATGAAGAAGGAATAGTTAAATTCGGTAACTGAAATAGAGAAAAGTTTTCAGACAGAGAATAGCATGATGGCTTTAAAATAGATCAAACTCAGGAGAAGTATTCCCTTTCTCAATACACAGAATTAGTTTCTCGACTCTCATTTTAGGAGATTGTTCAGATTATCCTTGGTGTAAAATCACCACAGAAGGCCATGCTTAACAAGATGTTACTTATTCTTTATTGAGACCTGCTGGTCATAGACTTGTAAGATTTCAGAGTAGCCATGACTTTAGGAGCTTCCAAACAGAAATCCCCCCTCAGCATGGCAGCAATCCTTAACAGGTGGTCTCTGACAATCTCTTCTTAAACAATAATTTCTGCTTGCCACACTCACAAAATAGCTGTTTCCATTCATTGGACCACTTCCATGAAAACACAAGTCTTTTTTACAGTAAGCTGAAGTTGGGCTAGGTTTTTTCAGCCATTGAGTCTCATTTTTAACTTCTAAAGCTATATAGAATAAGGTTAATTTTTCATCAATGTGAGAGCTTCTTAAATATCTGTAAAAACAAAAATTCCTTGGAAAGTAACTCAAGAGATTCATTCCCTGGTGCAACTGGGTTGAAATTATAGCTCAAGACAATGAAACAACCAAGATGACAAAATTGCAGGGTGTTAAAAGTACAAACCCTAGGTTCAGACTGTCTTGGTTTCAGACTTGGCTCCTCCACTTGCTGGTTCCTCTCTGGCCCTCAGGATATTTGCTTGGTAAATGAGGATTACATTAGCATCTCAAAAGCATTCAATGACTTACTTCATTGTGGTGTTGGGGGAGTTAAATAAGACAATACACACAAAGCACTCAGTGTGGGCTTGGGCTCATAATAAGCATTGGATGATAGCTAAGCAAAAAGTAGTTGCACAGTAAATGAGAACACATGGGCCTAGATGCACCATTATTTAAAAGTTGGCTGACTAAAGCCATCAGGGATGACCAGGCCATGCGGGACAATTGTGTCCAGGCTGAGGAGGAGACAGGACACATTAGCAGAAAGCCTGTGGGCTGAAAAACAGAAAGCCCAACTTAGGATACCTTTGCTTGCTTCTATGCTTATGGCAGATCACCCACCTGGTGCATACTGAAGTGCTGTGTCTGGTGTGAGCTTGAATGATGCAAGCAGTACAGTGATCAATTTGTCTCTGCAGAGAAAATTTTGTGGTTTGCCAAATTATATTTTATGAGTTTCTTTTTCACCATCTCCTTAAAATTTCCCATTCCTCCATTCTATTCCTCTTAGTTCTAACTCATGGGTTGACCTTAAATGATGTTTATCTTCTTTTGAACTCCAAGTCTGTTTCTGGAGACCCTTAGGGCATTCTTGCTACAGTCTGTAGAAATGGGTTATCCAGTGAGAAGAAAAATGTTACATTCCAAACCCCTCAGGCCAGTGGCATTTGAATGGTATGCACTTTTAAAAACAACCTCATATATTACCTCATTTAATCTTGTGTAATCACCTATAGCAGATGGTTAGAGTGTGTCAGGTTATTCCCATTATACAGATGAGAAAATCGATGGTCAGAATAATGAATAGCCTTAGGCTTGTAAAATGGCTTAGTGTGGACAGAAAGAAGGCCTGGGGATTCTGAATAGTTCAACTGAGGTTTGGCTGCACTTTGTTGGACCTCCATTTTCTCATCTGTAAAATCTGGAATTTCAAACTGATGATTCCTTTAGTACTAATATCCAGTGGAGATTATAACATGTTCAATGTTGTGCAGTAGTTTAGAGTCAGAGGCAGGACTGGAGTGTGAGTGTCCCACATCTAGGCCAGTGCCTTCCCATGATTCCATGCCATTCTGCGATGCCCTGTAACCCCGCTTTCCCACCCACCATCACCCTCTTTTCTGCTTTGGCAACCATTTATGAAGTAGTCTCCTAGAATGATCAGTGGTGTAGATAGGAAACTATTTCTTTTCCTCTCTCCTGTGCTTTGGCACACATAGATTTGTTTGGGCAAGTTGTCCCTGTTGTGATCATTATGCACTTTGTTATTTTTGTTCTAGCGCCCAGAAGCCTGTAGGGCATAGATGCCTGGTAAAAGAATTTACAGCCAATTTAGTCCACCTGAGTTAAGTTACACAATCAGCCCACTTGCAGAAAGCTGGTTTCTGTTTCCCTAAAATTGGTCATTTCTGGGGATCAGGTTGGGCCATTTTGAGACTTAAAAGAAAACCGCAGACATTGAAACTGAGATTAAAGGGGCTTCATCCATGACTTAGTGGTATTAAGTGTGTAGATTTAAGACCTTGGACTGACACTTACAAACTGTTGAAGCTTGGATGGATTATTAACGTCTCTGTGTTTCAATCGTCTCATCTGCAAGATGAGTTTTAATAATAGGACACATGTCATAAGAGGATTGGATGAGACGACTGATGTGTTTAAAACAGTACTTGCTGCATTGTAGGTGTTCAGTAAATACCAGCTATTACTATCTTTTAAATTATTTTGTTATTCTCACTTCATAATTACAAAAGATGAGGTCCCAAAAGAAGTCTCTTGCCCATGGTCATGAAAAAATCCATAGTGTAGTCATGACTAAAACTTAGTTGTCCTTCCTAATTTCTTTCCACTCAGGTTTCCTTTCACTTTTTTTTTTTTTAAGAATAATGACTTCATAACTGAAATTCAAGAAATGCTTATAAACACTGAAAGATATACAAATGCTCTTCAACTTATGATGAGGTTATGTCCCAATAAACCCATCATAAGTTGAAAAAGCATTTATACACCTTACCTACCAAACATAATAGCTTAGCATAGCCTACCTCAAATGTGCTCAGAACACTTACATTAGCTTACAGTTTGGCACAATCACCTAACACAAGGCCTATTTTATAATAAAATGTTGAATATGTTATGTAATTTATTGAATATTGTACTGAAAGTGAAAAACAAATGGTTGTGTAGGTACTTGAAGTATGGTTTCTACTGAATGTGTATAGCATTTGTATCATCGCAATGTGTAAAAAGTTTAAATCAAACCATTGTATGTCAGGGACCATCTGTAGGTAAGCACTGCTACAATATGGTGTCTATTTCTAAGGAAAGCATGATCAATTAGTAATCTCCAGTGATCCATCTGAATTCTGTGTGCCATACTCTGGATGCCACTCTATTTTTCTTGCCTGTTATGATTGTGCCTACCTTGTCTGCTGCTATGTGGAGCTTGCCTCTCTGGGATCCCATCATTCCAACTGAAATTGGGGAGCACATATCAAAGGCAACACCTTCTACCATCACACCTGGCCTACAAAGGACAAAGATCACATAGCTTTCAACAGTCAGCGTCTCTCTCCCTGATACATTCCTCTATGCCTCCTCTGAACCCTTCTCAGCACATCATTAGTGAGGGATTGATATTTAGGTAGCATATGATGCAAAACTTTTACTGTCTGGCCCCTTACCTTTTGGCTCTACTGATTAGAAGGTCTTGGTTCTCACTAGAGGCATGCCTTCACCAGATAAACAACAATAATTTAATGAAACTGAAAGTTAAGGCTGACAACTGGTACTTATGCCACAAAACCAACAGGTAGAGAAAGAATCAATCCACTTTCTGGTTAAGTTGATTGATCCTGACTATCAAAAGGAAAAATAATTGTTTCGCCGTAGTATAACAGAGGAAAATACATCTGAAACTCACGGGTTTCTGAGGGTATCTCAGTCCATATTCACCCATCTATACTCTTATGTTTCCATGCCCCAATTTAATGGATACATCAACAACCAAATATAGATAAGATTTATCCCCTTCATAAATGACAGCTTGGTTTACTCCCAAATAAGGAATTCTAACAAATTATGGTAATGGTTCAGGGTAAGAAAAACATGGAATAGGGAGTGAGAGATGTAAGTTGTAATGGCTGCATATCTAGTTACAGTTACATACAAATTTCTCTTGTTTGTTAAGTATATATTAAATGTTTTTTCTTCTCCCTTCTCACTGTTTTATGTAAGAGGCACAGATTATGCTTATTTTTAAAATTTAGTCTTTAGGTGACAGAATAATTTGGGATTGTGACTTAACTACCAATAAAATAATATCATCTGAAGATAGAAACAATTTCCGAGACATTGTGTCATCTTTGGGAAAAGAAGTTGAGAGTATCATTTGCATAAAAGATGGTTGAATCTCATATGGGGTAAACACGTCGTTGTTATTGTCACTGTTTAGAAGCCTAAATAAGTGTAGAAAGGCATGAGTAGACAAAAGGGTAGACTGTGCTGGTTTTTAATTCATTGTTTCTCGGTCCATATTTACCCATCTGTACTCTGTTCTGTACTATTGTCGTTAAAAGTCTACAAACTCCATTTTCCAGTCTCCCTAGCCAGTCAGCTCCTTGTTGGTTTCTTGAGTAGCAGGGACTGGTGAGAGGATCAGGCAGTAGAGAAATAAGAAGTGTCACACAGCAATTGTTGACATTGATAGTTAGATTTACCTTGCTCGTTTTTGGCTTGGGGCTTACCTTTGCATTAGCTATTCTTCTTATTTAAAATGTTATTCCCCTTAAACTTCAGATGGCTGCTGTCTTCTTGTCATTAGGATCTCAGCTTTAATATCATCCCCTCAGAAAGCCTTTTCCTACTCCCTATCCTCTTAATCTAAAGTAGTCATTTTACAGTCTCTACCTTATTTTAATTATCTCAATAGCAGTTATCATTATCTTGTAAATTTTTACTTACCTACAATCTATTTGAATGTACTAGAATAAAAGATTCATGGGAGCAGAGATGTGTTCCTTTCTCCCTCCTCTTTCCCTCTCTTCCTTCTTTCCCTGCCTCCCTTGCTTCCTTCCTTTTATTTTTTTCTCTTTTACTAAACAATGCCTGTTACAAATTGATTACTCAATGAAGATTTGACAAGTAACTTGCTAAATCAGTTATTAATTTTCTTCTTTTACTAATTTTCCTTTCTCCAGGTTAAATTAACTTTAGATCTTCCCGTGGGGTAAGCCAGGCAGAAATTACCATCTCTATTTTTATAGAATTCAGTAAAAACAAGAAACATTTCTGTTTCTGGCTATGATATTATTGCTGGTATTAGCTAAAACCTTCCACCAGGAAATTTATGAATTAGGTGTAGGGCTTGGGGGAGAGAAGCAAAGTGGTTATTTGAAAGCATTAGAAAGAAACTAAAGCAACCAGACATTAAGGTCCAAGATCCTGAAGACAAGTGAATTGCATTGAACTGAGCTTGGCATTTATGGCTGCTTTTTCCCCTCAGGTCCTTGACTGATTCACATATCATGGCAGCAAAGCCAAACAGAAAGTGGCAGCCTAGAGCCTTTGGCAGACTCACCAGGGGTAGGGAGACAAAACTTGGAGTTCAGAGCTATCAAGACAGACATCATTTGAGGAAGAAAGATCCCAAAGAAAAGGAAACCACAGAGAGGTGAACCTGAATGGTTGTTGCACAATTTCTCCTAGAGACATTGTTTACTCCAAAGCAATGCATGTGGCAGGCAGTACTCTCAGAAAGAATGCAAAAAAGCTGCTGCTCAGAGGCCAAAAATTTCTCAGAGACTTGGGCAGTCTCCTGGTACTAGAGAGTCAAGGATTAGCATGCAGAGCCAATCAAGAGAGAGGAGCCCATATGAATACCCCAGGCTTTGTAATTGGAAACCTGAAAGGGCTGTACTCAAGAAGTAGAAGATAACCTGAAATAGACCAGTCCCAACTTCATCAAGCTTATATGCCAATACTCTACCTGTCTACCTGAAGAAAGAGAACATTATATCATGTCACTATAATTTTTTTGTAAGAATATCCAGCATTCAATCAAAAGTTTCCAGGAAGGTGGGAAACAAGACTGAATGACTGAAAACCAAGAGGAAAAATAGACAACAGAAAGTGAATCAGGAGTTGGAATTTTAAGATATAGATAAGATAGGGACTTGAATATAATAATAATTAATATATTCAAAATAAAATTCTAGTTTAGCCAGGTAACTGGAATCTATAAAGTAGAATAGTATGGAAATCTGGAACTAAAAATTATAGTAACTAAAATTAAGAATTTAATAGATGGATATATTTTAACAGACATAACAGATTAGATAATTAATTAGAAATAGAGTATTAGAAAATACCCAGATTGAAGCACACAGAGAGCCAAAAAGAATGGAAAACACAGAAGAAAGTAAGAGAGATATACAGGTCATGGTGAAGAGGCCTAAATCACACCAGCTTCTTAGAATGAGAGAAAAGAGAGAATAGAATAGAGGGAATATGTGAAGAGATAATGTCTGAAAATTTCCCCAGATTTGCCAGACATCAAGTTCTAAATCCCAAAATGCTATAGTCCCCAAGTAAGATAACTACCTAGCATTGATGGTACACTGGCGATCCTGGCCCTTGTAAGAGGCAAGAAAGATGTAAAGAAATCTATACCTTTGTGTGTTAATTTCCTAGGGCTGCTGTAACAGAGTACCACAAACTGGGTGGCTTTAACCATTATAAATTTCTTGTCTTAAAGTTCTGAAGGCCAACAACGTGAAATTAAGATGATGGCAGAGTCATGCTCCCTCTGTAGGCACCGGGGAAAGAATTTTTCCATACGTCCTTCCTAGCTTCCAGTAGTCTCAACTGCTTCTTCACTTGTAATACATCACTCCAATCTTTCATCTTCACATGGCATTCTCCCTGTGTGTCTTTATATCATCTTCTTTGTGTGTGTCTGTCTCTGTGTTCAAATTTCCCCTTATGAGGACACAGGTTGTCCTAATCACCCTTGTCCTAATCACCTGACTTTTTAAAAAAACTTAATTTTAGATTCAGGGTTATATGTGCAGGTTTGTTATATAGGTAAATTTGTGTCATGGGGGTTTGGTGTACAGATTATTTCATCACCCAGGTACTAAGCCTAGTATCTGATAGTTATTTTTTTCTGATCTTCTCCCTCCTCTTACCCTCCTCCCTCAAGCAGGCCCCGGTGTCTATGTTCCCTCCTTTGTGTCCATTTGTTCTCATTATTTAGCTCCTACTTATAAATGAGAACGTGTGGTATCTGGCTTTCTGTTCCTGTGTTAGTTTGCTAAGGGTAATGGCCTCTAGCTCCAACCAGGTTCCTCAAAGGACACAATCTCATTCTTTTTATGGCTACATAGTATTGCATGGTATATATGTACGACATTTTCTTTTTCCAGTCTACCATTGGTGGGCATTTATGTTGATTCCATGTCTTTGCTACTGTGAAGAGCATTGTGATTAACATATGTGTGGGTGTGTCTTTACAGTAGAACAATTTATATTCCTTTGGGTATATATATATACCCAGTAATGGGATTGCTGGGTTGAATGGTAGTTCTGTTAACTGTTTGAGGGATCATCACACTGCTTTCTTTAATGGTTAAACTGATTTACACTCCCACCAACATTGTGAAGCATTTCCTTTTCTCTGCAACCACGCCAGCATCTGTTATTTCTTAACTTTCTAAAAATAGCCATTCTAACTGATGTGAGATGATATTTCATTATAGTTTTCATTAGCATTTCTCTAATGATTAGTAATATTGAGTAATTTTTTCATATGCTTGTTGGCTGCATGTATGTCTTTTGAAATCTGTTCATGTGCTTTGGCCACTTTTAAATGGACTTGTTTTTTGGTTGTAAATTTAAGTTCCTTATAGATTCTGGATATTAGATGTATAGTTTGCAAGTACATTCTGTAGGCTGTCTGTTTACTCTGTTGATTCTTTTGCTATGCAGAAGCTCTTTAGTTTAATTAGAACCCATTTGTCAATTTTTGCTTTTGTTGCAATTGCTTTTGGCATTTTCATCATGAAATCTTTGTCAGTTTCTATGTCCAGAATGATATTTCCTAGGTTATTTTCTAGGATTTTAATAATTTTGGGTTATATATTTAACTCTTTAATCCAATTTAAGTTGTTTTTTTATATGGCATAAGGAACAACATAGTATCCATCACCTGCATATGGCTAGCCAGTTATCCCAGCACCATGTATTGAATAGGAAATAATGGCCTCATTTTGACTTTATTAATTCAGGAAAGATCATATTTACAAATGAGATCACATTCTGATGTGCTGGGGGTTAGGTCTTTGCCATATATTTTATGGGGGTACAATTAATGTCGGTTTATCACAATAAAACTGCAGAAAACTAACGATAAGTAAAAGATACTCAGAATAGGCAAAGATTGAACACAGATGACCATCAAAGTAGTAATGATAAAACAGAAAACAGCTTTCTAAAAACCTGTTGAATTGTATCTTAAAAAAAACTAACTCTAAACCTAGAATTCTATACCCACCAAAAAATTCTTCGAAAATAAGTGTGAAATAAAAAATTTTTTAGTCAAACAAAACCTTACACAATTTATGGCCAGCAGACCTTTACTAAAGGAAAAACTAAAGGGAGATTTTCAGGCAGAAAAAAAAAATGCTTTTAACGAGCACTGAAAAGAGTAAGTAGAAAAATCTAACTAAATAGTTACTATTATAATAATATCTCATGAGGTGTGAAACATCTGTGGAGTGAAAATTCATGAAAACCATAATACAGGAGGGGGAAGGAGTACATTATAGTTTTTCAAGGTCTTTTTATCTTACACACTAATCAGGGAATGGTGCGTATGGCAATCTCTAGAATAACCACTAACATAATAAAAATAAAATAATTAATAACCAGGTAATAGTAGGGTATATGGAATAATTTAAATATGATGAGTTCAAAGGAAGCAAGAAAGAAGTAGAAAGAAAAAAGGGAACAAATTGAGATGTCAGTAATAATATTTAATGCAAGTATAACAAATAGTTTAACAAAAGACTAAGATATTTGGACTAGGTAAAAATGAATAATGAAACAAAAATTAACAATAACCATACTTAAGACCAGATTTTAGTATCTAATATTATTCTTAACTAAAGGGAACCAGGATTCCTTGAAAAATGATAGATTCCAAGACTGGAAAAGAAAAGTGTAAAATAAGCCTGAAACATCTTGCCATGCAGGAAAATAAATAAATGTTCAAAGAATGATGGTGACATATCAAACAAAACACAAGAAAGGACCATAGGTTCCAGTTTAAAGGAGCTCTCACTGGTCGAATCTGGGACAATTTAAGCCCAAAATTAATAATGATAATACATAATTATTGTCAATTGAATAAAATAAAAATCGATGTGTCATATTGTCATACAAATAAGCAAATGATAAATAAAATTATAAAACCTTTCCTTACAGTAGAACACCAATGATTAAATGTAGAAAAAAACAGGAAATTTCTGTTTGACAACAATTATTATAATAATATATTGAGGCCAATGGATAATAAAGCTAATGGGTTAAACTTTGAGGATTAACAAGATTTTTCCATAATCTTAAAATTTAAGATATTTATTAATCACAAATATAAATATAGTAACTTTTCAGTACAAAAACCTGGCAGACACCATCTTGGTTTAAATTGACATCACTAGTTGCATTTTTGTACCTCCTAGTATGAAGCATTAAAAAGATCACAATGTCATTTCTGTAGTATTCCTCCCAAAAAGCATAACCCAAACTTAATAAAATAGAAACCTTAGCCAACTCAAATTCAGGGTTTTTTTTTTCTGTAGTTATAAAAATATCATGGAAAAGCAAAGAAATGCTAGTGAAGACATAAGGATATTTTCTATACGTGTTTTGATTCAATGCATGGAACACATAGCAAGTATAGAGCTTTGCTGATAGTTCTAGCCAGTGCAATAAGGCAAAAAAAAAAAAAAAAGAAATAAAAGATGTAAAAACTGAAAAGAAGACATAAAACTGTCCTTCTTGGCAAGTACTATGATATTGTTTCTTTAAAAAATCTGTTATCTGCTGTGCTGAAACTCTGCTAGTACTGTAGCCCTGATAGTTATTGGGGGTCCTGATTAAAAGCCTCCTCCCCGATTTTGGCTTAAAATGAAATCATGTCAGCTAGTATTGACTGGCCACATAGGATGCTCAAAGCTCATTGAATTTAAGATAATTTGTCTTCACTGATTACTATGAACAGCATGAAGAAATAATCACAATTTTAATGATGGTACCTGAAGACAAATAATTTAAATAGTAGATTGTGTATTTAATAAAAAAGATTCCCATATATCAACTTAGTTGAGTCTCATGGAAACTTTGTAAAGTATATATGAAAGATACTACTAGTCCACTTTCCAGACAAGAATCTGCCACTTAGAGAGCTTGAAAGACTTAAAAAATCATACGGTTGATAAGGGGTAAAACTGAGATCAGAATTCAGTATCATTTGTCAAGCGCTTTTTTTTTCTGAAATCTTCACTTATTTGAGGTATGAATCAGTACCAATTTCCCCCCTGCACCCATCCTAAAATATAAAATTTAGACACTAAGTACAAAGAAAGACTCTTTGAGGAAGTTGTTTTATGTCTAGTTAAATTGGATTATCTGGGATCCGACATAATGTTGTTTGTGGAGACATGAAGGTCTAGAAATAAAACATGAAATTATAAAATTACCCAAAGAATTTTTGGCCTTCTTTATTTCCTAGAGTCAGTATTCTCCATTCCCTTTTAAAAATAATTTCATTTTCCTAAAGCTATCTGAGGGGCCATTCTGTTGTTCAATAAACCAAAATTGAGAATTTTATATGTATTTTAAATAGTACATTATCAATTTTACATTCCAAAATGAACCAAGTGTCTTTATATCTAACAGACATATGAAAATTAAAAAATTTGCTCTTTGTCATTTTTTCCCCAGATTTCAAGTTTTTACAATTTTATTTCCTTCACATTCTTGCAATTTTCAAAAGCTTTATATATTTAGGCATGCTTTGTGTGTAAGATGCTCAGCAACTGCTTGAACATGCTCTTTGATCAAAAGTCCAGCTGGGAGAATCTGGCTCAGGGGAGAAACATTATGATATGTGTTATCAGGACACACTAGTTCAGCACTGGGTCAAGCCTCAAATCCTGCTTCACCACCTTAAGAGTCTGCTGCTGTTGGACACAGACATGAAGGTGCCTTGTTTGGGTGATGGGGTGGGAAAGATCCTCATTTGTGAAATGAGATCGGAGATTGGGCTGCTAAGGAAGGACTGAGCTGCTTCAAAGCAAAAGCTCAAGGCATGCTGGAGGGACCCAGAGGCTACTACCTGTATTGTGTCAGATTCTGACCTTGATTTCGGATTGTCTCTGGTCTTACAGTTTGTGTGCTCTGACTTCTATTTTCCATCTATTTGGGTCATTTTCAATGAGTGAGGATTTTTAAATATTGATTAATATAAAACCACTTTTCATGTTAACCCTAAATCACTAAATACTCTTAAAAGTTTACACAAAGAGAATTGAGGTTCTATCACAACTTTGTGTACATTCGGTAAATCTTTGACTAGGCTTATACTGTACAGATGATGGTTGTTATTGTAACTGTAGACAGCACAGCTGGAGCTAGGCAGCTGACATTAAATTAACCAGAATTTTTTTTTGTCTTTTATAGCTCCTGGATAAAGAGTAAGATATTTTGACGAATATCCTATTTGCACCTCTGCTGAGATACATGTTGTATTTTCTGGCACTGGTGTGTACTGTTAAGGCTTGAAGAGTAATACAGAAATGAATTTAGTGATAAAGGAAATACTAAATTGGAATTCACCAACTCTCTAGATTATTGTAAACTCTGGGGACTTGCATGAATCCAATAAATAAGTGAAATAAAGAACATTTGACAAAAAGAATGAGGAACTAACATGATGGGAGATTCCTGTTCTCAATTACTTCAGGAAGGAAGGGAACTAGCACAAGAAGCCAAGAAGGAGAGAAAAGGTGAATGAATGTGAGAGAAATTCATAAAACCATCAAGAAGACTTTTGCTGGCAACGTGAATGGACAGAATGATACCTGATTATTATTTTGTGCTTGTGATAGAAAGCGTTATAAACACTTTAATTGTATATACACTTGAACTAGGCCAATGTTTTAGGCAGAGATAAGATTAAAATGTGGATAGCCTGAGGATGCTAAGAAGGTATTCAGTCAGACTACCGGAAAAATAAATATTTTGGATTAAAATATGACAAGAAGAAATGTGAATGCAATACAGAAATTTCTGCCTTTTTTCCCCTTATCTTTACATGCGTGGATAAACTGGTTTCTAGCAAGAAATATAAAGTAACAGGTTGACTTCTCTGAAGTGTAAAGGAGATTATTTAGGACAAATTAAAGGAAAGCCCTTGGTATGAGTTACTATCTTTTTCATGCAAAGAATAACCATTCTTCCTTTCTTCTGTAATAAGGTAATATGGAGCCATCCACTGGAAGGCATTTGTGGGCTGAGATCAGGTGTTTAAATCTCTGGCAAAATAATCTTTTCTACATCCCGTCACTGAACTCATGATTTTGCCCTATAAGGTCACTGCCAGCTACTCAGGACATGACAGATAAGGTTAGGAGAAATAAACAACATCTCTGAAATCCATTGGAGAATTTGTCCTTGCTGTTGAGGGGAATAGAAGGCAAGATGTTGCCCTTAAGGATGTTAGAAAGGATGGTAAAATGTCAAATAAGTCTGAAAGTGCAGTGCATGCTAATATTATTTAACTGACACTGACTCCGACACTATGACAGGCACTTAGATTACAGACAAGGAAAACATAATTTTCCTTCCAAGAGACATAGGATCTGCTGAAGAATATAATCAAGAATCTGGAAATTCATGATGATATGGGAAAATACACAAGCTTGGGTTTTGGAGTTAGACACGGCTTGGGCTGATTCCCAGTTCTGCTCTTGATTATGAAGTTGGACAAAGAACTTAACCTCTTCTAGTCTCATTTATCTCATCTGTACACTTGAGTGTGCTTGTTTGAAAACCAAAGATGATCCCTATAAAGTGCTTTAAAAAGTGTCTAGCACAAAGAGGATTCTTAACAAATGGTAGTTCTAAGTGATGAAAGGGTTCAGGTTCTTGTGAAAACATGGGGGCTATTTAGGAAGGAAGCCTAATTTTTTAATGTTGAACAGGCATTTTCATTAAAGGGGGAAAAGAACTTCTTGAGGTGGAACTCAAGATTGGTAGGCTCTGATACATATGTACTGAGAACGGAAATGCTTCATTAGTGGCACTGAAATCAAGTGAGTGGGAAAGAGACAGGATGCCTGTTTCTGTAGGCTCCCTCAACATGAGGTGCATGTGTCTCAAAAGCTAGTAAGAAGACCACCAAGAGAAGGAAAAAGATGAGTAAAAAGAAATCTCTTGTCACAAATTTGCATCATTATCATTTATTAGAATAATAACAAAAATATAACTTTGGCAACTTTAGCTAGTATTTTATTTTTTACAGCATTCTTCTTTGATTGCTTTAGTTTCTCACAGATCTCTGTGAGAGAATGAAGGTAGCCCAGAAATTATTAATCCCATTTTACAGATGAGGACACTGAGGCAACTGTTGCAGAGAACACTAGACTAAGACTCAGAAGTGTGAGTCCCTACTAATTGTCACCACCTGATGCTCTGTAATCTGGGAAAACACATTCAACTTTACACGACCTCAGTTCTCCTATCTTTCAGTATGGAAATCAGATAATCTCCAAAAATTGTCTTAGACTGAAGATTCTATGAACTTTTTAAAATTTTTGTTTTAAGATCCTATGATCTTTATTAATCCTTGTGATAAGCAGCTGCTACTGGCTTATAGTGATTGTGATTCCCGCCTCCAGATGTTCATGCCTTTCTAGTCCTCTCCTCTCATGAATGTAGCAAGTGGGATGGGAAGCCGTTTCTGAGATGAGGTTATAGCTACTCTGATTTGCCCCTTGTTTGCTGTCTCTCTGGCTCTTCTTTTTTGTGTTTTAATTTTACTTTAAGTTCTGGGATACATGTGTAGAACGTGCAGGTTTGTTACATAGGTATACATGTGCCATGATGGTTTGCTGCATCTCTCTGGCTCTTCTAATGTGCTTGCTATGATGGACCAAGCTGCAGAGGCCCACATGGAGAAGAACTGAGGGCAGCTTTCAACCACGAGCTGGTGAGACACTGAGGCTTTCAGTTCAACTTTCCAAAAGGAATCGAATCTGCTCATGCTCATGGCAGTGAACCTAGAAGCAGATATTTCTCCAGTGGAGTCTTGAGATGACTGTAACTCTAGCCAGTACCTTGAATGCAGCCTTGCAAGAGACCTGAGCTGTCAGACCTGTGTTTATGAATTCCCGCAGGCCTGAACCAGCCCCCTACTCCTCCTTATTTCTGCAGCAGCAAGAAAAGGTCTGCTCTAATCCAGATCCTCAAGATAGAGGGAGAAAGGGAGAGGTGAGAAATGAGTTGTTTTCCTGCCTAAGTGGATCTGTTTCCTGCCAAGTCCATCTCTTTCTTGAGGGATTCCAAACTGTGGGGAACCAGTTACTGTAAAGTGCTGTGGTAATGTATTCCAAGATCAGGAGTATTTCCAGGGTGAAGGTTTGGGGAGTAAGTTAGAGGAGCTTTCACAGTGGTCTGAACAGGGTCTGGACCCCTGATGAGCAGGAGTCTGTTTACAAGCCAGCCTGAATCTGTGGCCAGGTTGTGATCACAGGACAGTTGGTCTCAAGGCTCTCTGCCTTGCTGTTCAGATTTTCTCTTCACCTCTATTCCACCAGCCACTTCTGAACTACTTCATATCCCGCATCCTCTCCTGTGTTTTATTTTTTAGCATTATAAATCTTTTTATATCAAGGATCTGACTGGGATAAAACCTGACATCTTGTCTGCAGAAAAATGCATGTGTGAGTTTAATCTCCTATCACTCCCCACAGAGATAGGAAGGAGGAGTCTGGTGTTAAAACTGAAACTTCACATGTATTTTCAGGGTTCCTATGTCCCTGGAAATTTATCATCAGCTTATTAAATGTCCAAAAGTTCCTGAGTTACAAATTTTTGCTATAGAGCCCTGCTCTTAGCTGAGGATTTGGCTAGAACATGGCCTGTTAATGGTGTAGACCAGAAATAACCTCAGGTTTCATCTGTACCCTCTGAAGTTTAGCATGTCAGTAGAAAAACTGAAGATTTTAAAATTCAAGGGAATGAATCTTAACTGGTAGGGTTGCAGGCTTTGAGGCATGTAGCTGGGGGAAGAAATCTTAGGTGAAGGGGCCTGTTTGATACCCCCTAAATCCCAGCCTAAAATCTCTCTGCAGATAAGGCTGGCTGGCTCTTAGAATATTCAGCTTCTTATCTGGAGAGCTACTAGGGACCAAGTCCATGGCAAGGGATCCTGGGATCAGGCTTAAATTGTGTAGCACCGAGTGAACTGAGTGGCCCTTTACCTGATGCGTGGAAATCTTTGGTTAGCTGAGTTATCATTATAATGGGGGTTGACTGGCATCAATATTAAGAGTAAAATTTTTCAGCTTTTACAAAAAAAATTATTCTGCTTATACAAGATGCTTTTCTTGCATAAATATTTATCTCTGTGCTCGAAGAATATAAGTCAAAATGTTGTCCTCTATACTATATTCCATCCTACTTGCAATGATGCTCCCATCTCTGTACCTATCACTCTTTAATGGAAAGCTTCAAAGGCTGCTAATAAACAGACAAATGCCATTGAAGGAGGTTAGCTTCCTAAAGCTATTTTCTCCTTGGGACTTCCTCATTTAGATTAGTGTATTAGATTAGCCAGGGATAGGAAACACAGGCAAGAAAGCTAGGAGGCTAGAAGAAAAAGAACCAGAAAATTCACACAGGTATCATTTTTCTGATATTTTGAAGTGTGGGAGGTTAGGGCTGAAAGGGCTTGAAAAGATGTTTAAATTTAGTCTAGAGCACTTGATCAACTATGTGCATTCAGGGGAAGGTGGTGGGGCGGCAAAGAGTAATGGAAGTTTTCAATGGATGGAGGGGGTAGGTTTAGGGGCAGATGCCATGCTAATACCCTAGGCAGAGTGTGGAAAATCAGTTTGGCACTTGTCATATGGGCATATCAAGGATCCTTCTGGGAATGGCAAGCAGAAGGAGAAGTTTATTTTCACCACTTTATGTAAAAATTCCTCTGTAGGCATTATCGTCTTAATTTTCGGTGTGAAACTTCAGTCTTGGGGAAGTTTGATGCCTTTGACTAGTTCTCATATTAGTTTTTAGTAGTGTCAAAAATGGAAACAAGACCATTGTATTATGTGTTCTTTTTTATTTAACTTACATTAAAAAATATTCCTGGGTAAGGCATAAAAAATGCTAATCTAGGACTTTGGGATTTCTGGAAGGAGTGGTGGAGAGGGCTTGTAGTCCAGGTGTTTGTAGATGCGAGAATCAGAAGACAAAATAAGTTTTTGTTTTGTTGCGTTTTTGAGGCAGAGTCTCACTCTGTTGCCCAGGCTGGACTGCAGTGGCACTATCTAGACTCACTGCAACCTCCACCTCCTGGGTTCAAGCAATTCTTCTGCCTCAGCTTCCTGAGTAGCTGGGATTACAGGTGCCCACCACCATGCCTAGCTATTTTTTTGTATTTTTAATAGAGACAGGGTTTCACCATGTTGGCCAGGCTGGTCTCGAACTCCTGACCTCAGGTGATCCACCCACCTCGGCCTCCCAAAGTGCTTGGATTACAGGTGTGAGCCACTGCACCAAGCTGAAATAAGATCTTAAAATAAAATGCGAGGCCTAGACCTTGATTCCTCCTGAGTTGTATGTCTGGTCTTGGCCAGAGAGGAAATTCTTGACCATGTTTTAATTTTTATTTTATTTGTATGTGATTATTTCCAAATCTGCCATCACAAGGTGGAGCATATTTTCCCTTTCCCTTGAACCTGGCCTGACCTTGTGATTTTCTTTGACCCAAAGAATACAGCACAGCAAAGCTATATGACTTCTGGGGTTAGACCTTAGGGAAATGTCCTAATCATTTGCTTTCAGTCTTGAAACTCTTAGGTCTCCATGTTCCAAATAAGTCTAGTCTAGTCCACCAAAGGATGATAAGTCTCATGAAAGAGGCACAACTGCTGTTAGCTGGAACAAACTTCTGGATGAACCATTGGGTATCTGTAGCCAGCTAAATTAGATGATAATTCCTTATACTTGCCCTAGTAGTTTTCACAGTATTTTGCATATATTATCTCATATAATCTTTATCTTCATGCTAGGGAGACAGGACAAAAATAACACCACTCAGATTGTTCACCCACAGAATTGAGAGAAAGGCTAAACCTTTGTTAGTTTAAACATCTAAATGTTGGAGTAGTTTGTTGTACAACAATAGGTACTTAGATAGCATAAGGTACTCACTTAACAATGACATATGTGAGTGCATGTATAGTGTTTTATAGCTTACAAGGGTTTTTCACATGCAATTTTATTTCCCTGGATCCACAGGATAACCTTGCTTTCCAACTCTGTAGAGTAGCTGTGGGGGATTTCTGTTTTGTTTGGGGATTTAATCTTTATTATATAAAATGAATGTTTTATTCACCTATATTACAAATGAAGAAGCTGAGATGTTGAAAGTTTCCAGGGTTCACTTACAATCACAGGGCTGGTAAGTGAGCAGGAAAGGGCTCCCAAAGAAGTTTTTCTTCTAGAAAGCCTATAAGGCTGTGCCTTAGGCCATGTTGTTGAAAACGCCAGGGGTATAAGCCTGCTGTTGGAACACACAGCTGTGAGATGGGCTCCTGCAGGGAAGGAAGGCAGCTTTATCATGGACCTAGGCCACTGCAGAATCCACTGTGGGGCCCCGAAGAAGCTTCCCTTTGGTTGTCATGCCAACAGACCTCCTATAGTCTCCAGTAAAACTTCAGCCCAGCCTGCAGGAGTTTGTTAATTCATGTGTACTTCTGACATGTTTTGTAACTGTTAGTTTAAAAAACAAATACAGTAAAATATACCCTAACTTACCACACTCCCAAATTAGCCCAGGAGGACAGGTCTGCTCTGTGAAAACAGGGGTGGAGGCTCGTATGCATGGTTTCTCAGGTAATGTCCATGCCAAGTAAAATAATTTCTTTTCCATACTCACCTCATTGCCTTCAGTTTAGGCCCTCGTCACTTCTCTCCTGGGTTACTGTGACAGCTTCCTTGTACTCCAGGTACCACAAGTCCAGTACCACAACTGGTACTCCTGCTGTAACACAAGCCTCTTTTCCCATTCAACCACATGGCACATTGGCACCAATTCCATGTCCTAGAGCCACCAGGAAGGTTTAGGCTTAGGAATATAAGCTCCATTTCTGGAGCCTTTGTCATCATTTAAAACAAGTGTTGGGAAATAATAGAACTATCACTGATTAAATAACTGTGAGAGCCACCACACCATAGCCACCACCTATTATCCCGTTCTAACTATTGCCACATCTCTTCTCAGGGTAAACTGAGAAACATCTACTTCTTTGGAAGCATTATGACTATGACTCTCCTATCTTGTAAATGTGGTTGTGTTTAAACTTTCCCCTTTGTTGTCTACTTCTTCACCAGTTTAACTTCTACCCATAGCCCAAAATGAGACCCAAGTGTCAACCCTATTTAGAAGCCTTGCAATTTCTCTGAGATATAATATATACATAATAAGAAGGAGTCACAAGCACTTAGATATTTGAAGCCTACATAAACAAGGATTCTGTAATGAGGAAGTCCAGTATAGTCATGGCATCAGAAGTTCATAAAACACAAACTTGAGAGCTACTGGTTTAAGCTTTTCATTTACAAGTGATACCATTGAGGCTGGGAGTGAGAAGTAATGTAGGGCATAGTGGTGGGGAGAGAAGGTGAAGTGTAAGGTTTATTTCCCAAGGTCAAGCAATTAGGCAATAGGAGAGGCAGGACTAGAAAGAATACAGATCTCTTGGCTCCTAAACCAATGTTCTTTATATTTGCCTAGGCTGGAATAAAGAATTTAATTGTGTGGCTGGGCACGGTGGCTCATGCCTGTAATCCCAGCACTTTGAGAGGCCGAGGCGGGTGTGGATCACAAGGTCAAGAGATCGAGACCATCCTGGCCAACATGGTGAAACCCCGTCACTACTAAAAATACTAAAATTAGCTGGGCATGGTGGCATGTGCCTGTAGCCCCAGCTCAGGAGGCTGAGGCAGGAGAGTTGCTTGAACCTGGGAGGCAGTGGTTGCAGTGAGCCAAAATCATGCTACTGCACTATGGCCTGGTGACAGAATGAGACTCTGTCTCAAAAAAAAAAAAAAAATGTAATTGTGTGAAGGTGATTAAAACTAATATTAGTGTTTTCAAGTAAAGAAATACATATTTTTTCTTTAAAAAACAGTTGGTCTCCAGAGCATTATTGGATTAACCAATTGAAATTAATCAACTATTCAATTTCATTAAACAACCAGAAATTCAGCCAAGCAATTGACACTTGCCACTGAGTCAATGAATTGTTTGGGTACACAAGCTAACAGCTCAGTGGTGTAGGTGTTGTATAGACAGACACAGTCTGGCTGTTTCTGAAGTGGTAATCCAGTAAACAAACCCAAGAGAACTATGTACACACAGGCTGGTTCCCCCACATTGCCTACCAACTGAAGCAGATTAAATTAATAACTTTGCTCTGTTTATGGACATGCTAGTTATAAGCAACGTAGGCGTCTCGACTGACAATCAGCCAGGCAGAGAAACCAATTAACTAGTGGATCTAAAACACAAGAAAGAGGAGCCATTTTCTAAATGACCTGGATATATCCTTGGTATAAATTACTAAATTAATTAATGAATAAATCTCAAGTCTTTGTTGGTTAGCAACTTTACTCATTCATCAAATTTTATGAAACATCTCCTCTTTCTGTATGAGACATTGAAAAACAATAGCGATTAAAATATATTTCTTACAACATTAAAGAGAGACAATGTAGTTGCAAGGAAATAATTTCAAGTTCATTTTGTCAAGCATTCCTTGGATCCAAAATCCTGGAAGGTGAAAGAGAAAGGAAGGGGAGGAGAACCATCTTTTGTGAAGCCTGATTACACCTGCCTGGTGCTTTCTCATAAAGAAGCTTTGGCCCTGGGTAAAAGAGAGTTGAAAGCAAGTGACTCAGCATGGATACCATATCCATCTTCAGATAATTATGTTCTCTTCCCCTGTCAGCAACTAAATTAGATGATAATTCCTTATACTTGCCCTAGTACTTTTCACAGTATTTTACATATACTATCTCATATAATCTTTATCTTCATCCTAGGGAGACAGGACAAGCACCACTATTTTCATTTTAAAGATGAGGAAACCAAGGCCTAGAAAATTTAACTGATTTCCCAAAGCCACTCTGCTTTCTTTCAAAGCCATGGTAATCCGTAACTTGAAACTCTTACCAAATGGAGGCAATTTCTTGATTGAACAATATTCATAGAATCACTGAACCTATGTAGGGTAGTGATGATGAAATATGCCTCAATTTTCTTGTTGATATATAATAGACAAAGCATCAATATTTTTGCTTCATGTTTCTCTCCTCCTTCTTCCTCTACCTACCTATATTTTACTATATTAAAGTGTACATCTGGTCTGTGGTAAGCCATGAAATCTTACTTGGCTTCTCAAATCCACACTGTTTAGTGTCTTCCCTGAATTTCTTTAGCAATGCGAAGAGAAAAAGATTTTTTTTAAAACAGTTAATGGGTCGATTCTTGGATGTGTTAATTAAGATACTATGTGAGGGCTTGAGGCAAAGACAGAAGAGCAATGCCTGTTTACTGCTCCACCAGATCTCATGGTCTGGTGGGGCAGCAAGAGTCAGGGCAGCAGCCCACCACTGCGTGTATCAGGGGTGTGCTCTGTTGGAGTTCCCAATGCTATGGGGGCTCTAAAGAGGAAAGATCTGTTCTGCATAGAGCATGAAGAATGTAAAGACACGCAACAATTGGTTAAATACATATTTGAGCCATTCTCTGATATTTCATTTGCCTTATCTTTTTAATCTCAACTAGAGTGCTTCAAGTTGGAAACAATTTTCAACTGGAGAAATGTGCCCAGTCTGTTGGTGAAGAGAAAGCACAGGAGAGGTCAGATTATTTAATATAGAATAAAGTAAGCATCAGCTACCTACCCTCTAAAAGATGAACCTACTTGAGAGAGGAGAGAACATCAAAGGCTGTAATATGCTGAGCTTTCTAAGAAAACTGCTTTGAAGGGAACAGGTTTTGCTTGGATGGGTAAGTCCCAACATATTTATAAAAATCATTCACATTGTCATTTTTCATATGACCTCAATTCTGTGCCACATACTCATACTAGTTGAGGGTAGAAGTGGGTGAGAAGGGAAGTGAGTGGGGCAGAACTACAAGAAATAAAATGCACAGTCCCTGAACTTCTATTTTAATTGAGGAGACATAATTAACGGTGAAAGGTAGGGTATGACTTGGGGCTATAAAGGAGTCATCAATAGCTTGAGGGATTCTATTGGGGGGAATCAACTTGCATATTTGGGTAAATCTTCATGGAGAAGGTGGAATTAATTGAATCTTGAAGAACAGGCTGAATTTTGACTGTTAAGAAGTCAGGGAAAGATATCACAGAAAGTCTGCACTTGGCCAGTTGTGCTTATAAACAAGAATCCTGGGCAGATTCCAGTACAGCACTGAGATGGGATCCCCGTGCCCCGCCCCACCTCTGAAACCCCATGTGACACCCTGGTGCTTGTTAGCACCAACTAAGCCAAGCAGTCTAGTTATATGGGACGTAGAAGATCCTGTCCCTGCCCTCAAAGTATTTACCATACAATCAGTCAGAAAATACGAGGGTAAGAGAAGGAAGGAAATGCTTCTAAAGACAAAGTGATTTGAGGGGTTTAGGAAAAGTGGCTATCTACAGGGATCAACATAATAGGTAATTACCCAATCTTCTCTTCTATTTATTACAACAGATGGAGGCCTGGCCTAAAGTTGTAAATTGCCTGAAAGATGCTTCCTGTTGTCATTCTCTGCGGTTGTGCTTTTGCTTCTCTTTAGGGTTAAGAACAGCTGTTGACTAACCCACCCACATATTTGGAAAAACAGCTGTAGTTAATGTGTATCACTTTAATCTAGAAAAATGTTAGTCCAGCCTCATAGGCTGCTGTTTAGGAGAAAGAAGATGGATGGGCAGGATGTCTAGAGACCTGATTTGCCAATATCCAGTTTTGTGATTTTAGGCAACATTCTTGAACTTGGAACATCTGTGTGCACAATGGGGATAGTAATACTTGCCTACTTATCTGCTGGGGCTATTGTAAGGGCAAAATGTGGTCATAGATAAGAAAACATAGACACAAAGAAACCACTGTACGTGCTTCAGGGACATTTAACCACAGTTGGACATAACAGGGAAAAACTAGAAACATTCGTTTTCTTCCTTGGCCATGAGCTCAAGAAAGAAAGGTACATTAGGGGGTGGGTGGATGGGAATAAAATATCAAGAATGTGTTCCCATTCTTAACTGCATATCTGAGATACCATGAGGAGTGCTTCTGTTTTCAACTGTACCATAAGAATTTTGACATTTTCCATTTGTAAAATGACCCTTATTGAGAAGAAAGGGATATTGCATTTATAAATTGATGATTTTCCAAAACCAACAATGTGAGAATTAAGCCTTTATATGCTATGAACTTAAATGTACACAAAAAGTTTTAAAAAATGATAAGGAACAAAAATGAACTACAATTTAGTCTCTAAACTTGCAAACACTCTACCAAACAATGGAAACAGCAACAATAATCTTACAAACTCTGTGCAATGCCTCTAATTCTTTTTGTTCCCTGTACTAAATTATATATACTAAAATGTTGTAATTTAGGTTTGCTAGCCAAACTCTCCACAAATATTCAACTAGAAAAGAAAAATACAATGATCTTTTACACTCAGTGGTGGAAAATTGTTTTGGGAAGATGCACAGGATATTTACAAAGATAATTTAGAGACAAATATGGTAAAATTGAGTTTGCTGAGAAGGCATATTATTAGAATGGTAGTTATCCAGAAAATTAACCTAAGGTACAAAGTAAATAAATGGAGAATAGACTCTCTTTTATTAGCTTCATCTCTCACCCATAAATGGCAACTCCCATTTTCTAGTGCCACAGGATTAAAAGCTTGCAATGATGTTGAGCTGCTTCTCTTGTACCCTCATATTTAAACATCAATTCCTACACATGACTTTGAATTATTACTAATATTAATTAGTACCATTTTGATCTGACTTCTATGATTTTAGATACGACATAAGCTCTGAGATTCAAGTTCTCAGCCATACCATTGAAATAATGATTTGCTTTCTATTTTTTTCAAGAATTAACATGAGATTATGTCTATAAAGTCTTCAGCAATACCTGACACTTTCATAAGCATATGTAGGCATTAAAAATATCAGTTACCTTTAATTCTTCCTTATATGCAGATGATTATTTTGAAATAGTTTCTTTCCGCCCTATCTGGTTTCAAAGTCTTCCATAGTCAGTGAACCCTGAACGCTTCCTCCAAGTTAACACTTTGCTCAGGTGATTTGCCTATTCAGAAAAGCTCTCTGCATTGCCTGCAGGATGAAGGCCAATATTTTTTGAAGACCTTCATAACATAGCCTCGGCATATTTAGCCAAGCTTATCATTAAATTCTTCAGAAAAACTGTACCTTTAGAAAGTCTGAATTTTCTGCTTCTGCAAAGTACACTGCTATTCTGCCACATTTAAAACAAATTTAACACATCATACTTAGCCTTTTGCTTGTGGAGGAGTCTATAATAGTCAATCCATATTTGCCAAATTGAATAGTGGACACATCAGTGCTACTTTTTCATTATGAATTACTTAAAAAAATTCAAAATGTAAAATATATATATGTCAAGCAATATACCTAGTCCTGTAAAGAACCCCCTGCTACAACAAAAAGGAAAAAAAAAAGAAAAAGGACAAGTTCTATCCTTAGAGGGGATTACAGGTCTACTAGGGTGATGGATTAGGCCATTCTTGCACTACTGTAAAGAAATACTGGAGACTGGGTAATTTACAAAGAAAAGAAGTTTAATAGGTTCGTGGTTCTACAGGCTGTACAGGAAACAGTGCTGGCATCAGCTTGTCATTGGGGAGGCCTCAGAAAGCTTTTACTCATAGCAGAAGGTGAAGCAGAAGCAGACACATCACATGGCCAAAGCAGGAGCAAGAAAGAGAGCAGGAGGTGCCACACACTTTTAAACAACCATATCTTGCAAGAATTCACTCACTGTCCTG